>NC_000019.10:34115874-34740874 GCF_000001405.40 Homo sapiens
GATGGGCAAAGGCATTTAACAGTCAAATGGAGACCATAAGAGAACAGCGGAGTGACAAGACTCAATTTGCACTTTAAGGAGATGGCTCAGGTTTCTGCGTGGAGGATGGATTGAGGGGGGTGTTGTTATATAAAGTGGTCAAAGATGGCCTCTGTAGATTGGCCATCTTTGTTTATTTCTTCACCGCAGACTGAGACCTATTCGTTCAAAGGCCGACTCAAATTTTTATACATCCAGTTGTTCTAAAAATAGCCCACACAACCGGGCGCGGTGGCTCACGCCTGTAATCCCAGCACTTCAGGAGACCAAGGCGGGTGGATCACCTGAGGTCAGGAGTTCGAGACCAGCCTGACCAACATGGTGAAACTCTGTCTCTACTAAAAATACAAAAATTAGCCAGGCGTGGTGGCGGGCACCTATAATCCCAGCTACTCGGGAGGCTGAAGCAGGAGAATCACTTGAACCCGGGAGGGGGAGGCTGCAGTGCGCCAAGATGGCACCATTGCACTCCAGCCTGGGCAACAAGAGCAAAACTCCATCTCAATAAATAAATAAATAAAGCCCACACAAGCAGATTTTCAGCCATTGCTTGTGAAACTCCACCCAGCATCTGCTGGCACGGATCAGATGGAGTCTGTGGTTCTGAGACTTCAAGCTGCTCTCTGACCTAGAGACTCCCCTCAGTGCTGCTGGAGGGCACCACCTAGACATGTCAACCCCCCTCATCAGTCCCCCTCTCTCCTGGGAGTGCCCTTGCTCTTCTCCCCTTCTAAGTAGAGACCCCCAAGCTCTAGCCTCCAGAGAGTTTCTTGCTGAGACGTGCTTGCTCCCCATGGCAATGTCCAAGCATCACACATTAAGCTTGTTGTGCTACTTCTACTTTATGGTTCTCTCTTTTCCCTTGCTCAAGTCTCATTTCCCCCAAATCCTCTACAGTGGGCAATCACCCCAATGAAAGATGAAAGCAGCCAGACAGGAGAGGACTGGACCAGGCATGGTGGTTCGTGCTTGTAATCCCAGCACTTTGGGAAGCCAAGGCCGGAGGATCACTTGAGCCCAGGAGTTCAAGACCAGCCTGGGCAACATAGGGAGACCTCGTCTACACAAAAAAAAAATACAAAAATTAGTCTAGCATGGTGGTGCACGCCTGTAGTCCCAGCTACTCAGGGGGCTGAGTGGGAGGATCACTTGAGCCCTGGAGGTTGAGGCTGCAGTGAGCCAAGATCACACCACTGTACTCCAGCCTGCAGTCTGGGTGACAGAGTAAGATCCTGTCTCAAAAAAAAAGAAAAAGAAAGAGAGATACACTTTGTATCATGTCCCAATGTATGTATGCATGTATGTGTCACACACATACATATACATCCATGAAACCATACTTGCCTTCACTTTGCCATGTATTTTTATTTGCATTTTCTATGTGTTTCTTTTTTATTTTTAAGAGATGGGGGTCTCACTATGTTGCCCAGGCTAGAGTGCAGTGGCTATTCCCAGGTGTTGTCATTGTGCACTACAGCCTGGAATTCCCGGGCTCAAGCAGTCCTCCTGCCTCATCCTCCTAACCTGGAGCTACAGGCGCACCACCATCCTTTTTTTAAATTTTATTTTCAAATAGTTGCTAGTCATGAGCCTTTAAATTAACTTCATGATCCACTAACAGGCGACATCCTGCAGTTTGGAAAACCCTGCATTTCACCATGATTGCTTATGTTTCTGCTCCTTAAATATGTCCTTGGATTTATGATGAAAATGGGGGAAAAAAAGTGATTTTTTTTTTCATGAGTTACCTCTCTTTTCTCCATGTTCCCTCTGGTTTTTCTAGGAAGCCCACACTTTGCATTGCTGGTTTTCAATAATAGTGAACTAAAGGAATCCGAGAACTTCTAGACACAATAGGCCTAAGCCAAAGGAAAAAGAGAGTCCCTGAAGCAAGTGTTTTCTCCTGGCCGTAAGAAGTACTCACAGCCAGGCATGGTGGCTCACACCTATAATCCCAGCACTTTGGAAGGCCAGGGCAGGAGGATTGCTTGAGCCCAGGAGTTCGAGAACAGCTGGGCAATATAGGGAAACCGCATCTCTATAAAAAAATACAACAATGAGGTGTGATGGCACATGCCTGCAGTCCCAGTACTTGGAAGACTGAGGCAGGACAATCAATTGAGCCCAGGAAGTCGAGGCTGCAGTGAGCTATGATTGCACCACTGCACTCTGGCCTGGGCAATGAAGTGAGACCCTGTCTCAAAAAAAAAAGAAGAAGGGGGAGGGGGAGGGGAGAGGAGGAGGAAGAGGAGAAGGACAAGGGGGAGGAGGAGGAAGAGGAGGAGGAGGAATAGGAGGAGAAAGAGGAGAAGGAGGAGGAGGAGAAGGATAAGCAGAAGGAGAAAGAGAAGGAGGAGAAGGAGAAGGAGAAGAAAGAAGACAGAAGAAGCTCACAGCCCTCTGGATACCTGCAGTTAAAGGAGGCAGCCTGTGTACAACTGAGCCCCCAGCCACTTACTCATTACTGTCTGTGTGACTCCTTGCCGAATACATGCACACTCTCTGGGGTGTCTTTGTAAGTGGAATTTAGGAACAAGAGAATTTGCTAAAATGGGAAATTTGAGATACCTTCCTATATTCTTTTGGTGTATAAAGTAGCACAGAAAAGGAAATATACATAAGAACTTCATCAAAGTTCTTTAGTGAATAAAGATGAGAATCTCATTATTAAATTAATTAACATTATTACCAAGAACAGAATAAACAAGAATCCAGATGCTGGAAATGTTCCCTTTCCTTTTATTTAGAATAAAAATATTACATAGAAAAAGAATATTCTGTATATAAATACAATAGAACAAGTGACCTACAGTTTGACTTCTCCACAGCCTAGAGTACCCACAGAGTCATTTTTTTGAACACAATGTATCTTATGAATAAGCCTCTACACTTTTAAAATTGAGTTTTTCTCTTTTTGAAGTACAGCTTCAAGCAACTACAAGTTTCCATCCTGCTAACCCCAGGCAGCAGTTGCTTTTAACTTCTATCTTTTATTTAAAAAACTTAATTGGAAGTTTTTGTAGCCAGAAGGAGCACTTCAAAGAAAGAAAAAAAAATTACCAAAAATTAATACTTTATGTCAGAGGTTAGTAGGGAAAGAAACAAAGATTACAGAAAAAGAAGAGTTAATGGTATCTAACAAAGCAGTGAAAGAAGAAAAGAGGCAGAAAACGAACTGAAGGAAGAAGTGAAAAGGGAAACTTGTAACATTAAAAACAGAAAATGTGGAGTAACATTTTCCTTACTCCAAACAGGATGAGACAACACAAACGTTACAGCAGCATTTATAATTTCCTGCACAGCCAAAAAGCTCTGTGTACAAATCCTCCCGCCCCTGCTCAAGTCTTTTACTCCTGTCTACAATTACACATCAAGGGACCACAGCACTTCCTGCACTTTAATTTCCAGACACTCCTGTCACTGTCAATTCTAAATCAACTCTGACAAAACAGTATTAAAACTTCAGGCATGATTTAGTATTCTGCCTTTGAGGCGAGTGCAGAGGAAGAAGGCCCTGGATTGAGAGGGTCAAGAGATGAGGGTCTTTGTCCCAGCTCTGCCATCAGTTTACGTGACACTTTAAGCAGGTCCCTTTCCCTCTCTAGAGTTCAGTGATGTCATTGTACAGGAAGAGGGTTGGAGATTCCTGGGGTTCCTTCCAGCTCTGATAAACTGTGGCACTATGATCCTAGCGTATTAGTGATCTTAGTGAATCTCCCATAACACTCGCCAAAGATACTGCCAACAGGGAAATTAGATGACTATCCAAGACTCGCTCCAGAAGTTCATAGAGTCAGAGTCAATAATAGATCCTACTATTTCAAATGGGAAAAATTTCCTATGCTTGGCTGATGACAATCAAATTGAAAACAAGTCCCCAATATCAGAATAGCTATGAAATAAGACTAAAGACTTCACTGTTCTCAGACAGGCAAGACTTTTCTTACATAAAAAATCATAACATAGTGTTGATAGATCAGAAGAATGATTATAGTTTACAGTAATCTATTGCATATTTATTTCAAAATAGCTAGACGAGAATAATTTCAATGTTTCTAGCGTAAAGAAAAGGCAAATATTTAAGGTGGTAGATATATCAATTGCACTGATTTGATCTGAGCTATGATTGCACCACTGCACTCCAGCCTGAGTGACAGAGCAAGACCTTGTCTCAAAAATAGATGGGTACATAAATAAATAATCACCTCTACGCCAAAAGTATGTATACATATTACATACCAATAAAAATAAAATATTAAAAAATCATAACAGCCTGTCTCTACAAAACATTTAAAAATTATCCAGGCTTGGTGGTACGCACCTATAGTCCCAGCTACTCAGGAAGCCGAGTTGGGAGGATTGCTTGAGCCCACGAGGTCAAGACTGCAGTGAGCTATTATTGTGCTACTGAGCTCCAACCTGGGTGACAGAGCGAGACCCTGTCTCATAAAACAAAACAAGGCTGGGCACGGCGGTTCACGTTTGTAATTCCAGCACTTTGGGAGGCCCAGGTGAGCGGATCACTTGAGGCCACAAGTTTGAGACCAGCCTGGCCAACATGCCGAAACACTGTCTCTACTAAAAACACAAAATTAGCCCAGCGTGGTGGCGGGAAGCCTGTAATACCAGCTACTAGGGAGGCTGAGGCAGGAGAATCGCTTGAACCCAGGAGGCGGAGGTTGCAGTGAGCCAATATTGCACCACTGCACTCCAGCCTGAGCAACAGAGCAAGATTTTGTCGAAATAAGAAAGAAAGCAAGAAAGAAAGAAAGAAAATTTGAACAATAAACTTGATTTAATGAACCAATAACTAAAAAACAGACTATATACTCTTTTCAGTCACATGGAGCATTTACAAAAACTGGCCATTCAAAAGGTTAAGGCAAATGTTTTTTAAAAAGTTAAAAACAAATGTTAAACATTCCAAAGCGTACAGGCCTTAATCTCTATCAACATGTAATTAAGTTAGGATTCAATCATAAAAATATATTTTTTTCAAATCTGTATGTTTGGAAATTTAAAAACATTTCAGAAATACACCGAGGTCAGAGAAAAAAATATCAGGGAAATTAAAAAGTGCTTATAAAGGAAAACATTAAACATAACATACCAAAACTAGCAGGATAATTCTACTCCCATTTAGAATGTAGGAGGTTACAAGACAATGTTTCCCCACTCTAACAACAAGAAAAAGATGGTTAACCGCTAATCACGGTCTTTCCAAGTACATCAGAGAGCTGAGAATGCATAAAACCTAATGAAAAGAACCCAAAAACTGACAAGCATGGTTGCCTTCCCTTGGTCGTGCAGCAGGGGGCAGAGGATCTCGCTGCAGATGGGTAAGAAGGGTGAACTTTTAATGAATTTCTAGAGATGAAATGAAGGTTTGAGTGATGGTTTAGAATCCCTAACAGCCCCATACACACAGACTCTGTGCTCATAGCCAACTCTACTCCATGGATCTTTACCAAATGTATGTGAAAAAAACTGGAGACAGAACAGGAGAACTGTTGAGAGACCCTCTCTGAGCACATGTGTGGAGCCTCTGGGCCTGCGGAACAATAAAAGAAATGACTAGCGTCTGTGTGACTGGGGTACCAGAGGAAAGAAGAAAGAGAAGGAGTCAAAATAAGTATTAGAAGAAATAATGGCTAAAACTTTTCCAATTTGGCTAATTTTTAGAATTTTTTGTAGAGACAAGGTCTCACTGTATTGCCCGGGCTGGTCTCAAACTCTTGACCTCAAGAAATCCTTCCAGAGATAAACTCACAGATTCAAGAAACTCAGTGAAGCACAGTAGAATAAACACAAAGAAAAATACCCCTATGTATATCATGGCACTAGTGAAACCAAGAATAATGAGAAAATCTTGAAAATAGAGAAAACGTAGAGCAATAATTAAAATTACCAGCCACTTCTCATCAGAAAGTATGAAGGCAGAAGACAGGGAAATAACATCTTTGAAATGCTAAAAGAAAAAAGAAACGACCAACCAATAGTTCAGTATACAGAGTAAATATCCTTAAAACATGAACTCAAAATAAGGGCATTTTCAAATAATATAGGTTGATGATAGAACAAAAGGAAAAGCTATAACTATCAAGTTTCTAGAAGAAACACAGAATGTCTTGGAAAACTTGGGATAGGCAAAGATTATTTTAAAGGAAATTGAAAACACTAAATTTTAAAAGCTTATGACAAACCGGGTATCATTAAAACTAATAACTTGGGCTCTTAAAAAGATACCATTAAAAGAAAGAAAAAGCAAGCCATAGACCAGAAGAAAATATTCAACACACATGTCTTGTATTTAGAACAAAGAACTTATATCGGGAAGTGAAAATAAAAGAACTCTTACAAATCAATAATAATAAACAATCCAACTGAAAAAAAAATGAGCAAAAGACACTGTAAGAAGCTGTATGGATAGCCAACAAGCACATTAAAAGTTGCTCAAATTTAAGGAAACGCAACACAAAACCACTGTGAAATACCACTACTCCCCCATTCGAATGGCTAAAGTAAAAAGCATTGACAAGCCAGGCGCTATGGCTCACGCCTGTAATCCCAGCACTTTGGGAGACCGAGGAGGGCGGATCACCTGAGGCCAGGAGTTCAAGACCAGCCTGGGCAACATGGTGAAACCCCATCTCTACTAAAAATACAAAAGCTAGCTGGGCATGGTGGCGCATGCCTGTAGTCCCAGCTACTCAGGAGGCCAAGGCAGGAGAATCACTTGAACCTGGGGAGTTCAGGTTGCAGTGAGTCGAGATCGTGCCACTGCACTCCCGCCTGGGTGACAGAGTGAGACCCTGTCTCAAAAAAATAAATAAATAAGTAAAGTCTGGAAGAGAGAGATGTGATTACCTGGTAAAGAGTTTTCCACTTGACATTTCTCAGCATATAAATGGGTTATGGGTGAGTCAAGATGTGACAGCTGAAGGCTGCGAGAGCCTCTAGACTGGTCACCTCAAGCCCTGGGTGGCCTTACTGACCCCAGTGTGCCAAAACAAGTGGTCATTTTCTGCATGGGCCATGATATGAAAAAGTTTAGGAAGTATTAACATAAGGAACGGGAATATAGAGAAAAGGCTCAAATACAGAGGCCTGGGGTAGCTAGCACGTAGAGGCCAGGAAGATGAGGAATAACCAGCAAAGGAGACTAAGAAAGCATGAGCAGTGATGAAGGTGGTGAGCCATGACAGTGTGTTATCCCAAAGCCAAGGGTTTGCAAAGAGTTTGAAGAAAGGAGTGACTATGTCAAATGCTGTAGACGGGTCAAGAAAGAGAAGGTTTAGGCTAGGCATGGTGGCTCATGGCTGTAATCCCAGCACTTTGGGAGGCCAAGGCGGGCAGATGGCTTGAGCCCAGGAGTTCGATACCAGCCTGGGTAACATGATGAAACCCTGTCTCTACAAAAAATTTAAAAATTAGCCAAGCGTGGTGGCACTCACCTGTAGTCTCAGCTGCTCGGCAGGGCTGTGGTGGGAGTATCACTTGAGCCTGGGAGGTTGTGGCTGCAGTGAGCCAAGATCACACCACTGCACTTTAGTCTGCACAACAGAGTGAGACCCTGTCTCGAAAGAGAAAGAAAAGAAAGAAAGGAAGAAAGAGAGAGAGAGAGAAAAGGAAGGAAGGAAGGGAGGGAGTGAGTGAGGGAAGGAGAGAGAGAGATGAAAGAAAGAAAGAAAGAAAGAAAGAAAGAAAGAAAGAAAGAAAGAAAGAAAGAAAGAGAAAGAAAGAAAGAGAAAGAGAGAGAAATAAAGAAGGAAAGAAGGAAAGAAAAGAAAGAAAGAAAGAAAGAAAGAAAGAAAAGAAAGAAAGAAAGAAAGAAAGAAAGAAAGAAAGAAAGAAAGAAAGAAAGAAAGAAAGAAAGGGAAAGAAAGAGAAAGAAAAGAAAAGAAAGAGCGAGAAAGAGAGATGGGGTGCAGTGGCTCACCCTGTAATCCGAGCACTTTGGGAGGCCAAGGTAGGTGGATTACCTGAGGTCGGGAGTTGGAAACCAGCCTGACCAACATGGAGAAACCCTGTCTCTACTAAAAATACAAAATTAGCTGGGTGTGGTGGGGCATGCCTGCAATCTCAGCTACTCAGGAGGCTGAAGCAGGAGAATCGCTTGAACCCGGGAGGTGGAGATTGCAGTGAGCCGAGATCGTGCCATTGCACTGCAGCCTGGGCAACAAGAATGAAACTCCATCTCAAAAAAAAAAGAGAGAGAAAAAGAGAGAGAGAGAAAGAAAGAAAAGGTCTGAGAAATGACCACCGAATTTAGCAAATCAGAGTCATTGGTGACCTTGACATAAGTTACTTCAGTAGAGGACAAGGCAGGGTTGAAAACCTGACCACATGCATTCAAGAAAGAATATGATCACTTTTTCAAGGAGTTTTGCTATAAAGTGGAGGAGAGAAATAAAGTCATCCCTAGAGAAGGTTATAGAATAATGAAGTTCTTTGAATCTTAAGATGGGTGACATAGCAAACGTACATCCGACGGGAATGTTCCAGTGGATGGGGAAAATGTGATGAGACAGAAAAGGGAAAATCTGCTGGAGAGTGTTCTTAAGAAGGCACAAGAAGATAGGATGTAATGCACAAAACAAAAGGTTTGCCTTAGAAGTATACCCGGAATAACAGAAGAGAAGGCAAAGTATATATGGAGAGACACATAGAACATCGTGCAGATGTGATGGAACATATGCAAGTTCTCTTTCATTGTTGAAAGTGAGAGTAAGAGAGAAGATATTTGAAGTTTCAGGAAAAATAAGTTGTTAAGGAGTCATCTAAAATAATCTATTGCTTTTGTTACTAAGTAATCAATGGGCTGGCTGCCCAATGCACATAGAGGCTAATAGCATGGCACTGGCTTTTGAAAAAAGAAATATTTTTTTGTGAATTGACTGGCAAGGAGACAGGAGGAAACACTCAAATCTGTCTCCCTGAGCTGGGATTTGGATCAGGTTTTATAAGCATAGGATAATGAAGTATGATCTGATTGGATCTTGCAGTGAGGTGATTGCCAGGAGGCATGATCTAACTGGATCCTGCCAAGAGGTAACATCAGAGCTTGATCTGATTGGATCCTGGATGCCACCACGTGGTGTCTGCTTTTTAATTCAGTCCCCTCTCCTCAGTCCAAGCACTTAGGATCCCCCTACCCTGACTGTTCATCTGGGCATGCTCAAGTTACATGACCTTTGACCTGGGGGTCCATGGCAACTGAAAAACAACTCACAACTTTGTTACATAAAAGTTGAGCCAGATTGATCTGGTGCAATTACACTTTCTTCCCTCAACAATCAATCCAGGGAAACAGCCATTTTAAGAACCTGCTACTCAGTACATATACATCTAATGAAAAGGGTTCTTATGAGCATATGTATTATATTTAAGCTATATATTTAATCTTCACCATGAGAAAACACAAATGATAAACATACCTTATCTCAAGTAATTACACCATATTCCCCACTACCTCTGCTCTCGAATGCACAGTTTAGCAGTTATTTGCGCTAAAATTATCCTTCTACACATCAAATCCACTAAAGGAGCTAGTCTCTTTTAAAGAAATGAACCTAATAATCTGTATGAATAAAACCATGTCCCAAATTCTCTATAAAGTATATTAAGAGCAGAACTATGATTTAATGCCAAGTAAATTTTAAATATTACACCTTAAAATGCATCATGTTCACATAAACAATTATATAACAGACTGGAAATTCAGGAGCTAATAATGCAGTTTTCAGCAACAAAATCAAAGTTCATTTCCTCCACAGCACCCCTGTCTCTACAGCCCACTCATATACTATGTATGAACAGCTTCCATATATATGATGTTTCTCAGTGGGTTTTCTCCAACCTGGGCAGCAGAGCAAAACCCTGTCTCAAAAAAAAAAAAAAAAAGAAAAAGGAAAGAAAGAAAAATGGCCAGGCACAGTGGCTCACACCTGTAATCCCAGCACTTTGGGAGGCTAAGGCTGGTGGATCACCTGAGGTCAGAGTTCAAGACCAGCCTGGCCAATATGGCGAAATGCTGTCTCTACTAAAAATACAAAAATTAGCCAGGTGTGGTGGTGTGCTCCTGTAATCCCAGCTACTCAGGAGGCTGAGGCACGAAAATCACTTGAACCCAGGAAGCAGAGGTTGCGGTGAGCCAAGGTTGCACCAGTGCACTCCAGCCTAAGCAACAAAAGCGAAACTCCATCTCAAGAAAAGAAAAAGAAAAAGAAATGTCATTTTCATTGAGCATTGGATCAATTTAGAAGTTGATATTCATAGAATAATAACCACATCACACTATCTTTCTAAAATTCCAACACAGAATAATAAGACCAATTACTGGGTATGCTCAGCCTGTGGGGGCCAAGAGGGCAGATATTCTCTGCATCTATCCCACTTGGAGAGTCCAGAGAAGCAGAGGATGTTTTCCAGGGAGGCTGCTGAGATGTAGGGCCCACCCAGGAAAGTCTGAGGGCTATCCTGGGAAAAGGATAAGGATAAGGATAACTCATTTTTTCAAAAAAGCAAGTGGGAGAGGCATTAGATTTAAAGTATTTGCCAAATACAAAGCAATTTCAAAGCCTTAAAAAATTCTACAAGATATTCATTCAACAAATATTGATAGGCCAGGTGTGGTGGCTCATGCCTGTAATCCCAGCACTTTGGGAGGCCGAGGCGGGCAGATCACCTGAGGTCAGGAGTTTGAGACCAGCCTGACCAACATGGTGAAACTCATCTCTACTAAAAACACAAAAAAATTATCTGGGCATGGTGGTGCACACCTGTAATCCCAGCTACTTGGGAGGCTGAGACAGAATAATCACTTGAATCCGGGAGGCAGAGGTTGCAGTGAGCTGAGATCGAGCCATTGCACTCCAGCCTGGGCAATAAAAATAAAAATACAGCTAATGGTGTTTCTTTCTCGGTGGCGGAATTCAGGGAGGATTATATATTTTCTAAATTTTATCACTGCAGTTTTCTGCATTGTTTGAGCTCTTTAAAATGAACAAAACGGCTTGTTTTCACACATCCAAATGCCGAGCCGCCAACACACCTAGGATGCCCCATGGAAGCTGAAGCCACACTTCCCACATGGCCCCTCTGGCCAGCCGGGCATCTCAGATGACAGCTGCATACAGGCCAGCACCTGCAGCTCAGCCGCCAACAGTGGCATCCACCTCTGCAGTTGGCTCTCCTGCTGCTGCTCCCCAGCAGCCAGGTCTGAGGGCCCAGATGGCAACCACTGCAGCTGACGTGGCTGTGGGCTCTGCTGTGGGGCACACACTGGGCCACGCCGTCACCGGGGGCTTCAGTGGAGGAAGTAATGCTGAGCCTGTAAGGCCTGACATCACTTACCAGTAGCCTCAGGGAATCCAGTCGGCACAGCAGCAGCGGCCTTGCTTCTATGAGACCAGTTTTTGGAGGATGCACAGAACCAGGGTGACAGAAAGCTCTGTGAGGGTTTCAGTGAGGTGCTGAAACAGTGCAGACCTTCAAACAGATTGGCCTAATCAAGAAGGTCAAATTGGAGTAATGAAAAATCAGCTCTCATAACCAAGTTAATTTAGTATAAAAATATAATTGATAGTGAAGGTATAAAGTGTAACCATCAGTTAAACCTCTCCTTGTCATTCATAGCTTCCTTGCTTCAGAATTGAAATGAAAGAAGGTGCTCTTACTGTGCAGAATTTCATTAAGGTCGTGTAGAATTTGGGGCTGGGCAAATGTTTGTGTAGCCTCCTTAAACTAGCTGTGATTTTATTCTCTGTGAGTTAATTAAAATAAAGTGATTTTCTTCCAAAAATAAAAATGAAAATGAAATGAATGAAATGAAAAATGTAATATCATTGTCATCAAACCAACACTGATTTTTCTTTAAAAAAAAAAAAAAAGATTTAAATTAAATATGCAAAAATGTTCACTGCTGGCTGGGTGAGGTGACTCATGCCAGTAATCCCAGCACTTTGGGTGGCCAAAGGGGTGGATCACCTGAGGTCAGGAGTTCGAGACCAGCCTGGTCAAAACGGCAAAAGCCTGTCTCTACTAAAAATACAAAAAATTAGCCAGGAGTGGTGGCGGGTGCCTGTAATCGCAGCTACTTGAGAGCCTGAGAAAGGAGAATTGCTTAAACCCGGGAGGCGGAGGTTGCAGTTAGGAGAGATCATGCCATTGCACTCCAACCTGGGTGACAGAGAGAGACTCTGTCTCAAAAAAAAAAAAAGTTAGCAGTGATTGATTCTCAGTGATAGGAATGTGGATGATTGTTGTTTTCTTTTCTTTTCTTTTCTTTTTGAGACAGAGTCTCACTCTGTCACCAGACTAGAGTGCATTGGTGGGATCTCAGCTCACTGCATCCTCCGCCTCCCGGGTTCAAGCAATTTTCCTGCCTCAGCCTCCCAAGTAGCTAGGACTATAGGCAGGTGCCACCAAGCCCGGCTAATTTTTCTATTTTTAGTAAAGACAGGGTTTCACTATGTTGGCCAGGCTGGTCTCAAACTCCTGACCTCACTATTGTCCTGCCTCACCCTCCCAAAGCGCTGGGATTATAGGTGTGAGCCACCGCACCCGGCCAAAAAAAATTTTTTTTAACCACAAAAAGGAAAACACTTGAAGTTGGGCTATAAAGGAAAGACTTCAGGGAAGACGGAAGATGAATTTGAATAAGGCCGTGAAAAATGAATAGGATTCATAAAAGCACAAAGAATGAGAAAGTTCGCGAAAGCTCAAGTAAACTAGTTTTGCTGACGAGACTATGGTTTAGTGAATAATTAGAAGGAAGCCTCAATACAGAATGAGGTCAACTCAGGGAGGACCATTAATGCCAGGATGAGAAGTCTGAGATTTATTTTATGGGCAATGAGAGCCACTTAAACGTTTAATGCAGGTCTTTCACATGATCAGTGTGGTATTTTAGGAAGACCACACTGGCATAGCATAAGCCCAGATGTGGGGAGGCTGTCACTAAACCCCTCAGTCTCCCTCTAGGATGCCTTTTTTAAAAATAAAAAATAATAACATGAGCTTTGGGAACAGAGTTACCCTCCAACAATAGTTGCTGGATGAACATCTCCATGACATTCACTGCTGCACATTCCTTGTTTAATTGGAAGAGACCACAGATGACCAAATCATAGGCTGACACATTCAAGCCCTGCCTTGTGATAAAACTAAATAAGACAGGGCTTACCCAGGGTAACCACAGGACAAGGGGGAGGAACCTTCCACTCTGCTCCCCAAGGGTAACCACTGAACAAGCAGGAGGAAACTTCCACTCTGCTCCCCGTTTCCTACATCCAGACAAAATGCCAGCATCCCTAGTCCACTTCATTTTGTTCTAGTCAAGTCCATTTTTTTTTTTTGAGATGAAGTCTCATTCTGTTGCCCAGGCTGGAGTGCAGTGGCACGATCTCGGCTCACTGCAAGCTCTGCCTCCCGAGTTCACGCCATTCTCCTGCCTCAGCCTCCCGAGTAGCTGGGACTACAGGCGCCCGCCACCACCCCCGGCTAATTTTTTGTATTTTTAGTAGAGATGGGGTTTCACTGTGTTAGCCAGGATGGTCTCGATCTCCTGACCTCGTGATCCACCTGCCTTGGCCTCCCAAAGTGCTGGGATTACAGGCTTGAGCCACTGCGCCTGGCCCTTTTTTTTTTTTTTTTAAGAGAGAGAGAGACAAGGTCTGACTCTGTTGCCCAGACTGGAGTACAGTGGCGAGATCTTAGCTCACTGCCAGCCTCTACCTCCTGGGCGCAAGCAATCCTCCAGCCTCATCCTCCTGAGTAGCTGTCTCCCTAGTAGTGTACCACCATGCCCTGCTAATTTTTTAATTTTCTAATAGAGATATTGCCCAGGCTGGTCTCGAACTCCTGGGTTTAAGCAATCCTCCCACCTCAGTCTCTGTAATCCCAGAGTGCTGGGATTACAGGCATGAGCCACAGCATCCAGCCTAATTTGTTAAATTTTTTATGAGCTCTGCGAGCATAATGTAAAGATCCCAATGCTGGTCCTCATCCTCTCCATGTACCTGCCATTGGTGTTCATGCTATTAGGTCTTAGGACTTTTGGGCTTCCTACCCTTTTGCTTTGCCTCTCTTTGGCTGTGATAGCAATGGTCATCTCTGCAGATTGGACAAAACCAATTGTATTAGTCCGTTCTCACGCTGCTATGAAGAAATACCCAAGACTAGGTAATTTATAAAGAAACGAGGTTTAATTGACTCACAGTTCTGCATGGCTGAGGAAGCCTCAGGAAACTTACAATCATGGAGGAAGGTGCTTCTTCATAGGGCTGCAGGAGAGAGAATGAGAGCAAGCAGGGGAAATGCCAGTTGCTTATAAAACCATCAGATCGGCTGGGCATGGTGGCTCATGCCTGTAATCCCAGCACTTTGGGAGGCCGAGGTGGGCAGATCACGAGGTCAAGAGATCAAGACCATCCTGGCCAACATGGTGAAACCCCGTCTCTACTAAAAATACAAAAATTAGTTGGGCATGGTGGCACGCGCCTGTAGGTCCAGCTACTTGGGAGGCTGAGGCAGGAGAATTGCTTGGACCCGGGAGGCGGAGGTTGCAGTGAGCCAAGATTGTGCCACTGCACTCCAGCCTGGCGACAGAGCAAGACTCCGTCTCCAAAAAAAAAAAAAAAATCAGACCCTGTGAGATTCACTCATTTTCACAAGAACAGTATGGGAGAAACCATCCCCATGATCCAATTACCTCCACCTGGTCCCGCCTTTGACATGTGGGTGGGACCTTTACAATTCAGTGTGAGATTTGGGTGGGGACACAGGGCCAAACCATATCACCAGTTATTGGCATTGGCATCTTGGCCTGTACTCTTTACCTTTTAGGGCTTTTTGTCCTGGAGCAGATGCCACAGAAAGACTACTGAAATGCTTATTTCTACCCCTCAAAACACTATAAACACAGGGGTGAGGCTGTGCAGGCTCTTCTGTTCTCCACCAAAGTGTTCTACACTTCATCATCTTGGGAAAGAAGCTTAATTCACACAGGCTCTCATTCTGTGCTTGGCATAAAGTATACCCAGCAGCAGAAAACCAGGAGGTTAACACTCAGTCTCAGACTTCTCTTCGTTTTGTTAAACACTCTAAAAAATGTAACAGGGCATGCTATGTCTTCCTGATCAAATATTATCAATATCTCCTAATATCCCAAATAAAATCTTTTGGAAGGAAAGAAACTAATATTTGTAAGGGGTATCTTGTGTGCCAGACTTTCTTCTAAGCAGTTTCCATACATTGTTTATTTAATCTCCAAAACAACCCTTTTAGTTGGGTATTTTTGTTTGTTGGTTGGTTTTTGTTTGAGACAGGCTCTCACTCTGTCACCCAGGCTGGAATGTAATGATGTCATCATAGCTCACTGTAGCCTCAACCTCCCAACCTCCCCAGCCCAAGTCATCCTTCCAGCTCAGCCTCCCAAGCAGCTGGAATGACAGGCACCAACCACCACATCAGGCTAATTTTTTAATTTTATGTAGAGATATTGCCCAGAGTGGTCTCAGACTCCTAGGCTCAAGTGATCCTCCCACCTCAGCCTCCCAGAGTGCTAGGATTACAGGCATGGCACTGGCCTCCAATCTGATTATTTCGATAAAAGTAATACTGTGGAAAGCCGACTAGCAGTAGCTGCTAAAATTAAACATATACATACCTTACGACCCAGAAATTTTACTTCTGCCAGGGCCTAGTGGTGCATTCCTGTAATTCTAGCACTTTGGGAGGCTGGGGTGGGAGGATCTCTTGAGCCCAGGAGCCGGAGGCTACATTTTGAGCTATGATCACACCACTGCACTCTAGCCTGGGCAGCAGAGCAAGACTCTGTCTCAAAAACAATTTTTTTTTAATGTAAAAAGAGTGTGAAATCTTTGGGATTTCCTCATGCACTCATATATTACATTTTATGGGGTTCACACAAACTAAACTTGGTAGTAGTACAATTATTTGATAAGAATATATTTTAGCTCCCTCTCCCTCTCCCTCTTTCCACGGTCTCCCTCTGGACTGTGCTGCTGCCATCTCGGCTCACTGCAACCTCCCTGCCTGATTCTCTTGCCTCAGCCTGCCGAGTGCCTGCGATTGCAGGCGCGCGCCGCCACGCCTGACGGGTTTTCGTATTTTTTTGGTGGAGACGGGGTTTCGCTGTGTTGGCCGGGCTGATCTCCAGCTCCTAACCGCGAGTGATCTGCCAGCCTCGGCCTCCCGAGGTGCCGGGATTGCAGACGGAGTCTCGTTAACTCAGTGCTCAATGGTGCCCAGGCTGGAGTGCAGTGGCGTGATCTCGGCTACAACCTCCACCTCCCAGCCGCCTGCCTTGGCCCCCCAAAGTGCCGAGATTGCAGCCTCTGCCCGGCGGCTACCCCGTCTGGGAAGTGAGGTGCGTCTCTGCCTGGCCGCCCATCGTCTGGGATGTGAGGAGCCCCTCTGCCTGGCTGCCCAGTCTGGAAAGTGAAGAGCGTCTCTGCCCGGCCGCCATCCCACCTAGGAAGTGAGGAGCGCCTCTTCCTGGCCACCATCCCATCTAGGAAGTGAGGGGCGTCTCTGCCCGGCCGCCCATCGTCTGAGATGTGGGGAGCGCCTCTGCCCCGCCACCCCGTCTGGGAGGTGAGGAGCGTCTCTGCCCGGCCGCCCCGTCTGAGAAGTGAGGAGACCCTCCGCCTGGCAACCGCCCCATCTGAGAAGTGAGGAGCCCCTCCGCCCGGCTGCCACCCCGTCTGGGAAGTGAGGAGCGTCTCCGCCCGGCAGCCACCCCGTCCGGAAGGGAGGTGGGGGGGTCAGCCCCCCGCCCGGCCAGCCACCCCGTCCGGGAGGTGAGGGGCGCCTCTGCCCGGCCGCCCCTACTGGGAAGTGAGGAGCCCCTCTGCCCAGCCAGCCGCCCCGTCCGGGAGGGAGGTGGGGGGGTCAGCCCCCCGCCCGGCCAGCCGCCACGTCCGGGAGGGAGGTGGGGGGGTCAGCCCCCGCCAGGCGAGACGCCCCGTCAGGGAGGGAGGTGGGGGGTCAGCCCCCTGCCCGGCCAGCCGCCCCGTCTGGGAGGTGAGGGGCGCCTCTGCCCGGCAGCCCCTACTGGGAAGTGAGGAGCCCCTCTGCCCGGCCAGCCGCCCCGTCCGGGAGGGAGGTGGGGGGGTCAGCCCCCCACCCGGCCAGCCGCCCCGTCCGGGAGGGAGGTGGGGGAGTCAGCCCCCCGCCCGGCCAGCCGCCCCGTCCGGGAGGTGAGGGGCGCCTCTGCCCGGCTGCCCCTACTGGGAAGTGAGGAGCCCCTCTGCCCGGCCACCACCCCGTCTGGGAGGTGTACCCAACAACTCATTGAGAACGGGCCATGATGACAATGGCGGTTTTGTGGAATAGAAAAGGGGGAAAGGTGAGGAAAAGATTGAGAAATCGGATGGTTGCCGTGTCTGTGTAGAAAGAAGTAGACATGGGAGACTTTTCATTTTGTTCTGTACTAAGAAAAATTCTTCTGCCTTGGGATCCTGTTGATCTATGACCTTACCCCCAACCCTGTGCTCTCTGAAACATGTGCTGTGTCCACTCAGGGTTAAATGGATTAAGGGCGGTGCAAGATGTACTTTGTTAAACAGATGCTTGAAGGCAGCATGCTCGTTAAGAGTCATCACCATTCCCTAATCTCAAGTACCCAGGGACACACACACTCTGCCTAGGAAAACCAGAGACCTTTGTTCACTTGTTTATCTGCTGACCTTCCCTCCACTATTGTCCTATGACCCTGCCAAATCCCCCTCTGCGAGAAACACCCAAGAATGATCAATAAAAATAAATAAATAAAAAATAAATAAATAAATAAAAAAGAATATATTTTATTGGCTGGGCACGGTGGCTCGCACCTGTAATCTCAGCACTTTGGGAGGCTGAAGCGGGCGGATCACCTGAGGTCAGGAGTTCGAGACCAGCCTGGCCAACATGATGAAACCCCATCTCTGCTAAAAATACAAAATTATCTGGGAGTGGTGGCGTGCGCCTGTAATCCCAGCTACTTGGGAGGCTGAGGCAGGAGAATCGCTTGAACACGGGAGGCGGAGGTTGAGCCGAGATCGCGCCACTGCACTCCAGCCTAGGCAACAAGAGTGAAACTCTGTCTAAAAATATATTTTTTTAAATTTGTTTTGTATCAAGAAAAAAATACGAAAACATAACTTTATTGTAGCAATCTAATGCAGGTGTCTTTTAAAACTATCTTTTATTTCCAGATGGGACTTGGGAATTTCTTTGTTTTATTTTTTAAATACATTATCTTTCACAAACTCGGGGAGGAACAACTGTTTTTTAACCAAAAACTCCTCACCCAGGAACAAGCAAACTGCCTGAGAGCTGCATCTATTTTGCAATAGTGCCCCTGAAGCGCGCACGACGCCGCAGGGTAGGCGTCCCGCTCCTGACTGGACTCGTGGCACGGTCCTAAATTTGCAGAGGGACCCAGGGAGGATCAACCCACTCGACACTGGCAATGTCCCCACCTTCCCTAGCTGCAAACTGAAACCAGCAGCCGAGCCTCCCGCTCTAGAGGCGCGGCGAGGGGCGTGGCCGCGGCTGGGGTGGGGCTAGGGGCCGGGTCGTGCCCCCCGAAACTGGGCCGTGCCCCCCGCCCACCTCACTGCGCCTGCGCCCGAGGGCGCGGGGCAGGCTGGGAAGTAGCGTTAAGGTGGTGGTTGGGTGCTTTGCGGGTCACTTGTTGCGCTGCCCGCACGTTTGTCGCGGCTCCTGGATGCCTCTTTGGCCGCCTCGCCTGTTCCGGCTCTCTTATCTGCCCAGTCTTCCCGGCCCCTGCCCCGGACCCTCCTGCGCGCCCCTCCGGCTGCCTGTGTGCGACCCCAGCAACCGGCCCGGGGTCTCGCCGGCGCCGTCAGGTCATCGTCCACCCGGCTTGTTCTCAGCTTACCGAGAACGCCCCAGCCCCTGCGCTCCTCCTGTCTTACTTGTGTTGAGTCATTTAATCCGCTTTGCAATTGAGACATTGAAACGGAGACGCTCAGGAACGTGCTTCAGGTCACAGATCCAAGATGAGTTAGGGCCTGGAATTGAGTCGGGCTGCCTGCCACCATTCCACCTTGCATGTCACACCTGGACGAATACCCTGTGCTTCACCTAAATTCGCCTAAATTTTCACTATTTCTTTTTATTTTCTTTTCTTTTTTTTTTTTTTTCTTGATACAAGGTCTTGGTAGCCCAGGCTGGAGTATATTGGCGTGACCAGAGCTAGCTCACTGGAGCTTTGAACTCCTGGGGCTCAAGTGATTCTCCCGCCTCAGACTCCCAAATAGCTGAGGCTACAGGCGCAGGCCACTACACCCGGCTAATTATGACATTTTTGTAGAGGGGGCGGTCTCACTATGTTGCACAGGCTGGTCTCCAACTCCTGGGCTCAAAAGATCTCCCACCTCGGCCTCCAAAAGTGCTGGGATTACCG
The DNA here is from genome assembly GCF_000001405.40 of Homo sapiens. Lineage (NCBI taxonomy): Eukaryota > Metazoa > Chordata > Mammalia > Primates > Hominidae > Homo > Homo sapiens. The sequence goes on from NC_000019.10 coordinate 34,135,352, forward strand.
GCGTGAGCCACCGCATCCGGCCTGTTCACTATTTCTTTTTTCTTGACTTTCTTCTTTTTTTTTTTTTTTCGGAGGCAGAGTCTCACTCTGTCGCCCAAGCTGTAATGCAGTGGCGCAATCTCGGCACACTGCAACCTCTGCCTCCCGGATTCGAGTGATCGCCTCAGCTGGGATTACAGGTGCCTGCCACCACGCCTGGCTAATTTTTGTACTTTTAATAGAAACAGAGTTTTGCCATAATGGCCAGACTGGGCTTGAACTCCCGACCTCAAGTGATTCACCCTCCTCGGCCTCCGTAAGTGCTGGGATTACAGGTGTGAGCCACTGCGCCTGGCCTGTACACTATTTCTTAATCCCTGCCAGGGCGGTGTTATCTTTGCAGCTGAGAGTTCTAAGTGACTTGACAAAGGACACTAGCGCAACTTTAATAGCAAAGCCTGGGCCATTTCCACCACCACATGTGTGGCCTGTGTTCTTTCCCACACCTTTTAAAATTTTAAACAGCCTTATTGAAGTGCTGGTGTAAAGCCTGTACATATTTAAAGCATACAGTTTGCCTTTTACATATGTGTGTATACATCCCTGAAACCACCACCACAATCAAGAGAATGAACATAAAAGTTTCCTTCTGCTCATTTATAATCCTTCCTCCCAGTCACAGCCTACCGTATCAGTCCCTCAGATAACAGTGAATCTGCTTTTGGTCACCGTGGATTAGTTTGCGTCCTGTAGAATTATATGTTAAGGAATCATATACTATCTGCTTTTTCTCAGGGTAGAGGACAGTTACTGAGGCCAAGGGGTCACTTCATGATGAGCATAGAGGCCAATACTATGGCATGAGATTTTGAGAAAAGGAAAGCTTTATTGCCAGTTGACCAGCAAGGAGACAGGAGGCCAGATCAAGTCTATCTCCCCATGCTGGCCTTAAGGCAGTACATTTATTAGGAAGGTTTAGGGGATGAGTTAGGGATCAACAGGTAGAAAGAAAGGGGAGGTCTGGAAAGTCCTTGGGCATGCACAGTTGTCTCTTGATGGGTTGCATGTGCAAATCCAGGATGCGAGAGTGAATATGGAACATGCTGCGGAAGTTCAGACTGTGATGTCAGCAGCCTCTTTCTGCACAGACTCCAGTTGGCCATGTTGGTTCCAACTGATTTCAGCCAGTTTCGTTCTCTTATAATTAAAGGGAGTTTCTGCAAAATGTTTCTTGTCTTATCTGCCATCATGTAAGCTCAAGAATTCCTGGCGGGGTGTGGTGGCTCACGCCTGTAATCCCAGCACTTTGGGAGGCCGAGGTGGCTGGATCACCTGAGGTCAGGAGTTCGAGACCAGCTGACCAACATGGTGAAATCCCGTCTCTACTAACACCACAAAAATTAGCTGGGCATAGTGGCAGACGCCTATAATCCCAGCTGCTCCGGAGGCTGAGGCAGGAGAATCGCTTGAACCCGGGACAAGGTTGCAGTGAGCTGAGATCACACCACCGCACTCCAGCCTGGGGGACAGAGCAAAATTTTATCTCAAAAAAAAAGAATTCCTGTTAGTCACCTGTTTAACCCTTTGGGGTACGATTTCACTTCTTAGCTCTGTGCTTGCAAAATAATTAGACATCCTGTTATCAAGAAAGTATGGCCAGATAAAACTGGTCTGGAAGTTACACAGTCAAGCTTAACTATTTTGAAATTCACCCATGTTGCTGAATAGATCAGTAGTTCATTTCTTGTCATTGCTGAGTAGAATTCCATTGTATTGATATACTGCAATTTTTTAAATCCATTCCTCCATTGTTCACTTTTCAGTTTCTGGCTATAACAAACAAAACTTCTATCAACATGGGTGTGCAAGTCTTTGTATGAATGTACCCTTTTATTTGGATTAATAGCAGTGAAATGGTTGTGTCAAACAGTGGGTGTATGTTCAACTTTTTAAGAAACTGCCAAACTTTTTCAGATGAGATCAGGTGTGTTTAGGGTGATATGGCCATAGACCCAAACTATTTTTCAAAGTGGTTGTTCCAGACCAGGCATGGTGGCTCATGCCTGTAATCCCAGCACCTTGGGAGGCTGAGGTAGGCGGATCACCTGAGGTCAGGAGTTCAAGACCAGCCGGGCAAACAGGGCAAAACCCTGTCTCTACTAAAAGTACAAAAATTAGCCAGGCATGATGGCGGGTGCCTGTAATCCCAGCTACTTGGGAGACTGAGGCAGGAGAACCAGGAGGAGGAGGTTGCAGTGAGCTGAGAGTACACCACTGCACTCCAGCCTGGGTGACAGAGTGAGACTCATCTCAAAAAAAAGAGAAAAACACAAAGTGGTTATTCCATTTCACATTCCCACCAGAAGTGAATGAGAGTTCTAGATCCATATGTCCAACACTTGTTAGACATTCTAAAAGTATGTAGTGGTATCTTGCTGTAGGTTTAATTTTTATTTATCTAATGACATTAAGCATCCTTGGCTGGGTATGGTGGCACACGCTTGTAATCCCAGTACTTTGGGAGGCCAAGGCAGGAGGATTGCTTGAGTTCAGAAGTTCAAGACCAGCCTGGGCAACATGGCAAAGCCCCTTCTCTATTTTTTTTAATTTTTAATATAAAAAAATTTATACCCAGCACTTTGGGATGCCAAAGTGGGCAGACGGTTTGAGCTCAGGAGTTCAAGACCAGCCTGGGCAACATGGCAAAACCCCATCTCTACAAAAAAATACAAAACTTAGCTGGGCATGGTGGCCTGAGCCCATAGTCCCAGCTACTGGGGAGGCTGAAATGGAAGGATTACTTGAGCCCAGGAGGTGGAGGTTGCGGTAAGCCAAGATCGCGCAACTGCACTCCAGTCTGGGCGACAGAGTGAGACGCTGTCTCAAAAAATATATATATATAAAATTTTAAAAAGACACTAAGCATCCTTTCATGAGCCTATTTTCCATTCATATATATATTTTTGGTGACGTGTGAATTCAAATATTTTGCCCATTTTTAAAATTAGTTTATTACTATTCATAAAAATCTGGGTTTCAGATTTTTATGTTTAATTATCTTTTTTTCAGATATTTGTTTAATTATCTTTTTTTTTCGAGGCAGGGTTTTGCTCTGTCACCCAGGCTGGAGTGCAGTGGTGCAATCACAGCTGGCTGCAGTCTCAACCTCCCAGGCTCAATCAATCCTCCCACTTCAGCCTCCTGAGTAACTGGGAATACAGGTGCAAGCCATCACACCCGGCTAATTTTTGTATTTTTTGTAGAGACAGGGTTTCGTCACATTACCCAAGCTGGTCTCAAACTCCTGGGCTCAAGCAATCTGCCTGCCTCAGCCTCCCAAAATGCTGAGATTACAGGTGTGAACCACTGTGCCCAGCCCTCATAAATATTTCCTTCCCTCATAAATATTTTCTTCCTCATAAATATGGCCTTCATAAATAATGTCCTTTTATTCTCTTAAAAGCATATTTCAAAAGCATTCTTAATTTCAATAAAGTTTAATTTGCCAATTTTTTTTTTTTTTTTTTTGAGATGGAGTCTCGCTCTGTCTCCCAGGCTGGAGTGCAGTGGTGTGGTCTGGGCTCACTGCAGCCTTCACCACCTGGGTTCAAGCAATTCTCCTGCCTTAGCCTCCCAAGTAGCAGGGATTACAGGCACACACTGCCGCGCCTAGCTAGTTTTTGTATTTTTAGTAGAGACGGGGTGGCCAGGCTAGTCTCGAACTCCCGACCTTAGGTGATGCACCCACCAAGGCTTCCCAAAGTGATCTGTCAATATTTTGATTTGTAGCTTTTGTCTTTAGTGTCCTATCTAACAAATATTTGCGTAACCCAAAGATTTTCTCCTGTATTATATTTTTCTCTTGAACTTTTTTTTTTGTTTGTTTTTTAAGATGGAATCTTGCTCTGTCGCCCAGGCTGGAGTGCAGTGGCACAATCTTGGCTCACTGCAAGCTCCGCTTCCCAGGTTCACGCCATTCTCCTGCCTCAGCCTCCTGAGTAGCTGGGACTACAGGCACCCGCCACCACGCCCAGCTAATTTTTTTTTTTTTTTATTTTTAGTGGAGACGGGGTTTCACCGTGTTAGCCAGGATAGTCTCGATCTCCTGACCTCGTGATCCACCCGCCTCAGCCACCCAAAGTGCTGAGATTACAGGCGTGAGCCACCGCTCCCGGCCTTCTCTTGAACTTTTCTAGTTCTAAGTTTTAGAATTACATCCATGATCTACTATGTTAATTTTTATATATAGTGTTAGATAAGGGTCAAAGTTAACTTTTTGCATATAGATATCCAATTATTTCAGCCGTTTGTTAAAAATATTTTTTTTTTTTCTGAATTGCCTTTGCCACTTTGTTGAAAATTAATTGATCACATAAATTTGAGTTTTTTATGGAATCTCCATTCTGCTCATTGACCTATTTATATGTCTTGACACTGATAGCACATGGTCTTGATTATCATAGCTTTATAGTAAGTCTTGAAATCAGATAAGTTTTGTTTGTTTGTTTGTTTGTTTGTTTTTGAGATGGAGTTTTGCTCTTGTTGCCCAGGCTGGAGTGCAATGGCGCAACCTCAGCTCACTGCAACCTCCGCCTCCCGGGTTCAAGCGATTCTCCTGCCTCAGCCTTCCAAGTAGCTGGGATTACAGGCACCCACCACCACGCCCAGCTAATTTTTTTGTATTTTTAGTAGAGGCGGGGTTTCACCATGTTGGCCAGGCTGGTCTTGAACTCCTGACCTCAGGTGATCTGCCCGCCTCGGCCTCCCAAAGTGCTGGCATTACAGGCATGAGCCACTGCGCCCAGCCGAGATCAAATAGTTTTAATCTTCCAACTATTTTTTTCTCAAAGTTGTTTTGTCTACTCCATGTCCTTTGCATTTCTAAATGAATCTTAGAATCAGCTTATCCAGATCAACAAAAAAAGCCTACTGGGATTTGACTGAAATTCCAGGGAATCTGAAGATCAATATAGGGCAAATTAACACCTTAAAAATATGGTCTTTCAAACTCTATGGATATGGTGTATATTTCCATCTACTTAGATATTCTGTAATTTCTCTCAGAAATGTTTTGTGCTTTTCATGAGCAGGCCTTGCACATCTTTGGTCAGATTCATTCCTAAGTGTATCATACTTTTGTGCTCTTTTAAATTGTTTTTGTTTGTATTTTAGAAACAGGGTCTCACTCTGTCACCTGGCTGGAGTGCAGTGGCAGGATCATAGCTCACTGAAACCTCAAACTCCTGGCCACAAGCAATCCTCCTGCCTCAGCCTCCCAGAGTGATGGGATTACAGGCATGAGCCACTGTGTCCAGACTATTTTTAATTTTTTAATTTAAAACTTATTTAAAAATTTTAATTTAATTAAAATGTATTTTAAATTTTTAGTTTTTTGCTAATATATAGAAACATAATTGATTTTTGTCTATTGATCTTGTATCCTGAAAATTTGCTTATTAGAATAGCTTTTTATACATTCGATAGGATTTTCCATGTAGACAATCATGTCAACTGTGAATAAAGACCATTCTCTTCTTCCTTTCCAGTCTGGATGCCTTTTATTTCTTTTTCTTGCCTATTGCACTGGTTTGAACCTACAGTACAATTCAGTGGGAGAATGGGTGGTCTTTTCACTAAATGAGTCTGGGTCAATTAGATACTAATATAAAAAAATGAATCTTATAAACCAAATAGTATCTGAGATAGGTCTCAATCAATTTAGAAGTTTATTTTTCCAAGGTTAAGGACTTGAGAAAGGTCCGTGCATTTCTCCAAAGATGACTTTAAAGGCTTCAATATTTAAAGGGAAAAAGCAGGCTGGAGGGAAAACAGGGAGGGAATGGTCACGTTACTAAATCCACGTGTCGCAAGAGAAAAAGAGCACATAAGGGAGTGAATAGTCAATCATGTTATTAGTCTCCTGCTCAGTAAATCAGCACTTTACATAAGATAAGGTGAACAAAGCATAGCTACCTGTGGAGATCTTTAACCTTTTATCCACAGCTCTCTGCTTAGGAACAAAAGGAAAGTTCGTTTCTTGCCTGATTCAGCTTTCAGCTTAATTTTTTCTCCTTTTGGCATTGTGAATTATTTTTTTCTGTGTACTCTCACAGAATGGAATGGCATAGTGAATTGGGGTCCCAAGTTTCTATTTTTCTTTCACAACCTTTACCCCTACCTAACACCAAACACAAAATTTAATTTGAGAAGCATCATCGACCTCAATGTGAAAGGCAAACCAAGAACACTGTTAAAGAAAATATAACAGATCAGGTTAATGTGTAAGCATAGGCAAAGATTCCTTAAACAGGATGCAAATACCAATAACCATGAAAGAGTAATAATTTATAGAATAAGTTTCAGTTGTAAATTAATTAGTAAAATGTGTGTACCTCAAAAAACACCATTAAGAAGGTGAAAAGGTAAGTGACGGGCCAGGAGAACACATTGCAAAACATGTGTCAAAGAGCCCTAGTAATTGATAAGAAAAAGACTGGACAACCAATTTTTCTTTTTCTTTTTTTTTTTTTTTTTTTCTTTTTTGAGACAGCGTCTTGCTCTGTCACCCAGGAGTGCGGTGGCGCGATCTCGGCTCACTGCAACCTCTGTCTCCTGGATTCAAGCGATTCTCCTGCCTCAGCCTCCCCAGTAGCTGGGACTACAGGCTCGTGCCACCACGCCCGGCTAATTTTTTGTATTTTTTGTAGAGATAGGGTTTCACCATGTTAGCCAGGATGGTCTCAACCTCCTGAACCTCCTGACCTCGGGATCCATCCACCTCAGCCTCCCAAAGTGTTGGGATTACAGGCGTTAGCCACGCCCAATTTTTTTAGAGGAGGGGAGGGGCAGAGGCGTGCCCTGACCTTCACCAAAGAGGATAGCCACAGGCCAATAAGCAGAAGAAAAGGTGTTTAGCATCATTAGTCCATTTGCAAATTAAAACCAGGACAGAGATACTGTTGCAGGGCATGTGGACCCCAAAATTGGGGCTTAACCCAGGAGGGTTCTTGGCTTTGCCCAGAAGAGAATTCAAGGGTGAGCCGGTGGTGTTAGCAACTTTTCTTGAAGCAGCCGTGAATAACAGCAGCAGAGGGGCTGCTCCTGCAGAGCAGGGCCACCCACAGGCAGTGTGCCCAGAGGAGCAGCTCAGAGGCAGTGCTGCAGTCACGCTTATACACACTTTAAATTATATGCAAATTAAGGGACAGATTATGCAGAGATTTTTAGAAAAAGCATGGTAACTTCTGGGTCATCAGGTCATCGCCATGGAAAGGGATGGTAACTTCTGGGTGGTGCCATGGCAATGGTAAAGTGACAGGCCACACCACTGGGTGTGTCTTATGGAAAGCTGCTTCTGCTCAGACACTGTTTTAGCTAGTCCTCAATTTGGTCCAGTGTCCAAGCTCCACCTGCAGGGTTGAGTCCTGCTCCCTGTCACAATACCACTACAAACCAACCTGCTCAACCCCACCATGGTGCAACCACTTAGGAAAACACACGGCATCTACTAAAGCTGAACATATTCACTCTATGACCTAGCAGCTCCATTCTTAGTATATATCCAACATGAGTGCTATGTCCACCAAAACACATGTATGATAATGTTCATAGAAGTTTTATTCATAATAGCCAAAAACTGGAAACAATTCAAACGTCCATCAACAATAGAATGAATAAATAGATTGTATCCATACAATGGAATACAGTCGTGTGCCACTTAACGATGGATATACGTTCTGAGGAATGTGTCATTAGGTGATTTCATCGTTGTGCAAACCTCATAGTGCACTTACACAAACCTAAATGGCCTGGCCTTTACCTACCTATGCTATATGGTATCGTCTATTACTCCTAGGCCCCTAAATTAATTGCACAGGATGTTACTGTACTGAACACTGTGGGCAACTGTTACACAGTAGTAAGTATTGGCCAGGTGCAGTGGCTCATGCCTGTAATCCCAGCACTTTGGGAGGATGAGGCAGGTGGATTGCTTGACGTCAGGAGTTCAAGACCAGCCTGACCAACATGGTGAAACGCTGTCTCTACTAAAAATACAAAAATTAGTTGGGTGTGGTGGTGGGTGCCTGTAATCCCAGCTACTCAGGAGGGTGAGGCAGGAAAATCTGAAGCCAGGAGGCAGAGATTGCAGTGAGCCGAGATCTGTGCCACTGCACTCCAGCCTGGGCAACAGAGCAAGACTCCATCTAAAAAAACAAAAAATAAAAAAAATTAAGTGTTTGTGTATCTAAACATATCTAAACATAGAAAATGTATAGTAAAAATACAATATAAAAGATTTTTCAAAAGGTACATCTGTGCATGACACTTACGATGATGGAGCTTGCAGGACTGAAAGTTACTCCGGGTGTGTGAGTGAATGAGTGGTGAGTGAACGTGAAGGCCTAAGACATTACTGTACACTACTCTCAACTTTATAAGCACTGTACACTTAGGCCACACTAAATTTATTTTTTAATGTTTTTATTTGTTCCATAATAAATTAATTTTAGCTTACTGTAACTTTATAAGCTTTTTTAATGTTTGACTTTTGTAGTCTTGTAACACAGCTTAACACATTGTACAGCTGCAAAAAAAATTTCTTTCTTTATATCCTTATTCCATGAATCTTTTCTATTTTTATTTTATTTTATTTTATTTTTAGTTTTTAATATAAACACACACATAAGCCCGGGTCTACACGGGATCAGGATCATCAATATCATTGTCTTCCACCTCAACATCTCGGCCCACTAGAAGGTCTTCAGGGACAATAACACTCATGGAGCTGTCACCTCCTGTGATCATAATAATGCCTTCTGGATACTTCCTGAAGGACCTGCCTCAGGCTGCTTTCCAGTTAACCTTTTTTATATAAGTAGAAACAGTACATTCAAAAATAACAATTAAAACTATTGTTTTAATTGGCACAGTGGCTCAAGCCTGTAATCCCAGCCCTTGGGGAGGCCGAGGTTGGGCAGATCACCTGAAGTCATGAGTTCAAGACTGGCCTGGCCTACATGGTGAAACCCCGTTTCCACTGAAAATACAAAAAATTAGCTGAGCATGGTGGCAGGCACCTGTAATCCCAGCTACTTGGGAAGTTGAGGCAGGAGAACCGCTTGAACCAGGGAGGCAGAGGTTGCAGTGAGCCAAGATTTTGCCACTGCACTCCAGCCTGGGCGACAAAAGCAAAATTCCATCTCAAAAAATAAAATGAGTACGGTATAGCACATACACATACAAAATGCTTATGAAAGAAATCCAAGACTTGAATAAATGAAGAGACATGCCATGTTCATGGACTATAAGACTCAACACAGTAAAGACGACAATCAGCCCGAAAATGATATACAGGTTTAATGCAATTCCAATTGCATTGTTACTGAAGATACCGTTTGCTAGAGGGCATGAAGCTTTTAAGTCGGCGCAGCTCATGCACCTGCTCAATGCAGATCTTGTCTTCTTGTACCTGAGCCCTCTGCTGAGTTAACTGCTACAAAGCTTCCTGCTGGTGGAATGCCTGATTCTGCCTTGCTGGTGTGTGTGGTTCCTGCCGTGAGTCCTTCTGAACAGGCCACTTGAATCAATGTTTTTTGTTTGTTTTTGTTTTTGAGATGGAGTCTCACTCCATCACCCAGGCTGGAGTGCAGTGGCAAGATCTTGGCTAACTGCAACCTCCGCCTCCTGGATTCAAGCGATTCTCCTGCCTCACCCTCCCAAGTAGCTGGGACTACAGGTGCATGCCACCACACCTGGCTAATTTTTGTTTTTTTTTTTTTGGTAGAGATGGGATTTCACCATGTTGGCCAGGCTGGTTTCAAACTCCTGACCTCAAGTGATCCACCCACCTCGGCCTCCCACAGTTCTGGAATTACAGGAATAAGCCACCGCACCCGGCCCGTGAATCAATGTTTAGTTGAATATAAGAAGACCCCGGTGAGCATTGCAGAGTGGTGGCGACAGTAAACTAAACTTTCAGTCCCTACACTCCATTTGGCCAATGAACTATGAGATGACAGGGATAAGGAAGGAAATGTAGACGAGGCTTTGAATGCCTCGGTAGGAGGGTCCATTTGCCCAGCCCCTGGTATGAGAAGCTCTGCAGCCCACGATGGGGAGCAGATGTGGGTTGAAATGAAACCAAATTCATGCTAAGAGGAGAAACTGCTCAGTGTTCATGAAGGGGACCCGGGTAGAAACCCACCTGCGGCCGGGCTGTGGGGACGGATTCATGTCTGGCTGGGATGGGTATTGGGGGTGGAAGGCGAAGACAACGGAATGACCCTGCAGACCCCGTGCTTGGGATGGGACTACCACTTGACAAAGCAGGGGAACGGCCAGACTCACTCCAACTCCTCCAAACTCCAATTTACGGGCGAGAAACGTTTGGGAACCCCCAAGACCCTGTAGAGCCAAAGCAGACAGGCAAGGCTACAATGGCAACAGTTTAGTAGGATTTGGTGAAATCCCATTAAAACGTTCAAGAAAGCTCTCCGCGTGTGGGAAGGGGTAACCTAAACAGCATCCCTGAGTCTGAAAAGCTATGGGCTAAGGGTGCACAAGTCAATTGAACCCTGTGTTGGAGTCGGACCAGTGTCCTCTGCCGCCATCTAGTGGAAATACACAGGAATGCGGACATTTTCTAAAGTGACAGATTTTTTAAGCAGTCATAAATTATTGTTTATTTTAAAGGTTTAAGCCATACCTTAAGACTGGATAAAACCCTTCATTTACATATGGCAGACAGAGGGAAAATACACTTTTTATAAAATGCTTAAACAACTTTCACTGTAGTAAGTTGGTTTGGTTAAAAACTATCATGTGATATCATTTGATGTAAAATATCTAGGCCGGAAAAAATGTATATATATCTAGGCCGGGCACAGTGGCTCATGCCTGTAATCCCAGCACTTTGGGAGGCTGAGACGGGTGGATCACTTGAGGCCAGGAGTCTGAGACCAGCCTGGCCAATATAGAGAAACCCTGTCTCTACTTTAAAAAAAAAAAAAAATAGCGGGGTGTGGTGGCACACGCTTGTAATCCCAGCTACTCGGGAGACTGAGACATGAGAATCACTTGAACCCAGGAGGGGGAGGTTGCAGTGAGCTGAGATCGCGCCTCTGCACTCCAGCCTGGGTGACAGAGTGAGACTCCATCAGAAAGGAAGAGAAGAAGAGAGAAGGAGAGAAAAGAAGAGAGAAGGAGAGAGGAAAGAAAGAAAAAGAAAGGGAAAGAAAGAAAAGAAAAGAAAAGAAAAGAAAAAATGCTTAGAATTCACGGAATAAAAGGAGTATTGCATGCATTATAAAAACTAATGGCAAAAACTATTTCAGTTGCCCAGCATATGGGGGGACATCCCATTGGGGAATAGAAATAGAAATACAAATCCTGATGATCACCAAATGTACTAACTTGTTTTTTTGTTTGTTTGTTTTTTGTTTTTCTGAGACAGTCTCACTATGTCACCCAGGCTGAAGTGCAGTGGTGTGATCATAGCTCATTGCAGCCTCAAACTCCTGGGCTCAAGCAGTTCTCCTGCCTCAGCCTCCCCAGTACCTGGGACTACAGGCGCATGCCACCATACCTGGCTAATTTTTTTGTAGAGACAGGGTCTCATCATGTTGCCCAGGCTGGTTTTGAACTCTTGGGCTCAGGCAATCCTCCTGCCTCAGCCTCCCAAAGTGCTGGAATTACAGGCATGAACCACCGCACCCAGCCTGAACTTGTCCTTTTTTGTTAAAGGTGTTAACCAAAGTCTTGGAGGTACACCACTGGCAAAAGTTTAACAAAATGCTTCTGCATGAGAATCTAACCTTAGGGTTAGTTCCCTGAAAGCATGTGTCAACTACGTTGCTAGGCAACATTGCTTAGAGTAAAAATGATCATTGGTACCTTGTACCTGGAATCACCAGGTAGTCGTATGTGGTATTTATACCAGTTTTTGCTTTCTGAGTGTGGAATTTTTGTAACTGGGCATGTCCCTTGCAGAGACCCTGGAAGCTATGTTTATGGAATTGTTATGGGATGGTCTCCTGTGAGGCATCGGGCTTTTAAATCAGGAACGCTGGAAGCAGTGGCTCATGCCTATAATCCCAGCACTTTGGGAGGTTGAGGTAGGAGGCTTGTTTGAGCCCAGGAGTTCGAGACTAACATGGGGAACATAGTGAGACTCCATCTGTACAAAAAAAAAAAATTTAATTAGCCAGGTATGGAGGCATGCACTTGTGGTCCCAGCTACTGGGGAGGCTGAGGCAGGAGGAGCGCTTGAGCCCAGGAGTTAGAAGCTGTGATGAGCCACGATTGTGTCACTGCACTCCAGCCTGGGTGACAGAGTGAGACCCTGTCTCAAAAAAATTGATGAAGCCATCATTTAGGGCAGCTCTCCTAAAGGCCCAGTGTAGATCTCGCCTGTCTCCTTGTATCTACTGAGTGAACTGCATCAAGGACACTAGATTAGAGGAATGACTACCTGAAGGAAGCCGCTTTGATAACAGCTAGGGCCCCTGCGCTTCATCCTTCTAAATACTCTGAATGTGACTCCTGGTCATCTCGTGAGTTTGAATAAGCCCAAGAAGACCACTAGTGGGGATTGCATAAGTTACATCAGCCAAAATGATTCTTCTTTTCTTTTCTTTTGAGACAGAGTCTCACTCTGTCTCACAGGCTGGAGTGCAGTGGCCCAATCTCTGCTCACTGCAACCTCCACCTCCCGGGTTGAAGTGATTCTCATGCCTCAGCCTCCCAAGTAGCTGGCATTATAGGTGCCTGTCACCACACTCAGCTATTTTTTGTATTTTTAGTAGAGATGGGGTTTAGCAATGTTGGCCAGGCTGGTCTCGAACTCCTGACCTCAAGTGATCTGCTGGCCTCAGCCTCCCAAAGTACTGGGATTACAGGCATGAGCCACTGCGCTGGGCCCTCTTTTGTCTTCTTTAATTTGGAATGCTTCTTTAACTTTTTTTATTTTTCCTTTCATGACATGGACATTTTGAAGAGTACAAGCCTATTGTTTTAGTAGAATGTCCTTCAATTTCGCTTTGTCTGATGTTTCCTCATAGTCAGATTCTGGGTTGGGGCTTCCCCTACTTTAGGGAAGTCCACTCTGATACCCTCCCCAAGCCTTGCTCTCAAGTTCACAGCCAAGGGGTCAAACCCATTGGAGTCTGCCCACTGCCACCTTCTGGAGCACAGGTTGGCAAATTTTTTCTCTGAAGGACCAGAGAGTAAATATTTTAGGATTTGCAGGCCAAGTGGTCTGTGTCACAATTTGACTTTGCCATCGTAGCCTGAAAGCAGCTACAGATAACACATAAATGAATTAGCATGACTATATTCCAATAAAATTTTATTTACAAAAAACAAGTGAAGGGCCAGATTTGGCCCCTGACTCTAACCCATGTCCCAGCCCCCAAAACCTCCAGAGTTCCATGCCCAAACAGCCTCCAGTCTGTTTCCAGGGTAGGCCTCTCTTTCCTGCATGCTGTATCCTGAGGGGCATCATATTGCCATGTGGGTGTATGTTTTCCCTAGACTAAGAGGTGGCTGGGTTTTGTTTTGCTTTGTTTGAGATTGAGTCTGGCGCTGTCGCTCAGGCTGGAGTGCAGTGGCACGATTTCAGCTCACTGCAACCGCCGCCTCCCAGGTTCAAGTGATTCTCATGGCCTTGTCAGCCACTGCACCCGGCCAAGGTGGCTGTTTTGAGGGCAGATGTGGATACACAAGCTGAAGTGTCTGCAAGAGTGCAGGTGAAGATTCAAGGAATCCTCCCACCGCAGCCTCCCAAGTAGCTAAGACCAAAGGCATGCGTCACCATGCCTAGCTAATTTTTTAAAAAATTTTTAGAGGCCGGGTGCAATGCCTCACGCCTGTAATCTCAGCTCTTTGGGAGGCCAAGGCAGGCAGATCGCTTGAAGTCAGGCGTTCAAGACCAGCCTGGCCAAAATGGTGAAACCCCATCTCTAATAAAAATACAAAAAAAAAAAAAATAGCCTAGCATGGTGGTGGACACCTGTAGTCCTAGATACTCAGCAGACTGAAGCAGGAAAATCACTTGAACCCAGGAGGCAGAGGTTGTAGGGAGCCAAGATCACGCCACTGCGCTCCAGCCTAGGCAACAGCGTGAAACTCCATCTCAAAATAAATAAATAAATAAAATAAAAAATAAAAATAAAAATAAATTGTTTTGGCCAGGCACAGTGGCTCACACCTATAATCTCATCACTTTGGGAGACTGAGGCAGGCAGATTGCTTGAGCCCAGGAGTTCAAGACCAGCCTGGGCAACATGGTAAAATTTTGTCCCTAAAAAAAAATTTGCTTTTCCTAGCTGGCACAGGCCAGGTGTGGTGGCTCACGGCTGTTATCTCAGCACTTTGGGAGGCCGAGATGGGCAGATCACTTGAGGTCAGGAGTTCAAGACCAGCCTGGCCAACATAGTGAAACACTGCCTCTACTAAAAATACAAAAATTAGCCAGGCATGGTGGCACACACCTGTAATCCCAGCTACTTGGGAGTCTGAGGCAGTAGAATTGCTTGAGCCCAGAAGGCAGAGGTTGCAGTGAGAAAAGATTGTGCCACTGGACTACAGCCTGGGTGACAGAGCGAGACTCCATCTTGAAAAAATAAAAAAAAATTAGCCAACGTGGTGATGCATGCTTTTAGTCCCAGCTATTCGGGAGGCTGAGGTAAGAGGATTGCTTGAGCCTAGGAGTTCAAGGCTGCAGTGAGCCGTGATTGCATCACTGCACTCCACTCTGGGTGACAGAGCAAGACCCTGTCTTGACAAAAAAAATGTTTTTTAAGTTTTTGTAGAGACAGAGTCTGGCCATACTGCCCAGGCTGGTCTGGAACTCTTGGGCTTAAGTGGTCCTCCCACCTCAGCCTCCCAAAGTGCTGGGATTATACGTGTAAGCCACCAGCCCAGCTACAATTCTAATTTTTCTTTTCTTTTCTTTTTTTTTTTTTTTGAGATGAAGTCTCACTCTGTCACCCAGGCTAGAGTGCAATGGTGTGATCCTGGCTCACTGTAACCTCCGCCTCCCGGGTTCAAGCGACTCTCCCACCTCAGTTTCCCAAGTAGCTGGGACTATAGGTGTGCACCACCAGGCCCGGCTAATTTTTGTATTTTTAGTAGAAACAGGGTTTCACCACGTTGGCCAGGCTGGTCACAAACTCCTAACCTAAGGTGATCCACCCACCTTGCCCTCCCAAAGTACTGGGATTACAGGCATGAACCACCGCACCTGGCCTAGAATTCTAACTTTTAGACATTTAGACACATGGTATGTCATCTCCATTTGCACTTTGCCCCTGCCCATAATGCAAGGGGCAGCCTGTGTGAAAGCACAAACGCTTCTCAGAACAGCCTTAGCCAGGCTGGCCTGGTCCCCACAGATGTTCACCAGGGAAGGGAGTCTGCAGGCTGGCTTCTATCTCCACATCTCCCCTGGGAGAGTCCGGAGCAATTCCTGGGCCATGCCTCCCAGCCTCCCCTTGCCTGCAGCCACTCAGCTCAGCACCAGACCCCAGCCTTGGTGCTCAGCTTCTCAACAACAGAGCAGAGAAGACCCCAAACTGGCCAGTTCCTCCGTCTTCCCACCCTCTACTTCTGGAATCTCTTTTCTCTTTCCTTCTTCCTTTTTTTAATATACATTTAAGGGGTATAAGTGCAGATTCCTTAAATACATATATTTCGTCATAGTGAAGTCTGGGCGTGTAGCGTACCCATCACCCGAATAATGAACAATGTACCCAACAGGTAATTCTTCAACCCTCATCCCCCTCCCACTCTCCCACGTTCTGGAGTCTCCAATGTCTATTATTCCACTCTGTATGTCCATATGCACCCATTGTTTAGCTCCCACTTATAAGAATACACAGTATTTCACTTTCTGCTTCTAAGTTATTTCTGTTAGAACAATGGCCTCCAGGCCAGGCATGGTGGCTCATGCCTGAAATCCTGCACTTTGGGAGGCCGAGGCGGGTGGATCACCTGAGGTCAGGAATTCAAGACCAGCCTGGCCAACATGGTGAAACCCTATCTCTACTAAAAATAAAAAAATTAGCCAGACATGGTGGCCCACACCTGTAATCCCAGCTACTTGGGAGACTGAGGCAGGAGAACCATGTGAATCTGGGAGACGGAGGTTGCAATGAGCCAAGATCGTGCCACTGCACTCCAGCCTGGGTGACAGAGCAAGACTCCATCTCAAAAAAAAAAAAAACCAAAAAAAACAAAAAAAATAACAATGGCCTCCAGCTCCATCCCATGTGGCTGCAAAATACATGATTTCATCCTTTTCTAGGGCTGAGTAGTATTCCATGGTGTACATATACCACGTTTTCTTTATCCAGTCCTCCGCTGATGGACACTTAGATTGATCCATGACTTTGCTATTGTGAACAGTGCTGTAAGGAACATACGAGTGCAGGTGTCTTTTTGATATGATTTATTTCCCTTTGGGTATTTACCCACAGTTGGTTTGCTGGATGGAATGGTAGTTCTATTGTTAGTTCTTTGAGAAATCTCTATACTGTTTTCCATAAAGGTTGTACTAATTTACATTCCCACTAACAGAGTACAAACATTCCCTTTTCTCTGCATCTTTGCCAACATCTGTTGTTTTTTGTGGAATGTCTTTTCTTTATAGTCGATCTAATTTCCTTTAACCTCTTGATATATGAACAACAAATTCATCCCTTGCGGCAGCATTAAGACCTTTGGAGGTTTCCTGCTCTCCTCTCATTCACTGAACACACACACCACCACCACCACCCCACTACCATGACTACCCCATCTCTGCCATCTGATCAGCACAGGGCCTGAAGGCACATTCCCTGTACCCAGAGCACTATGAAGCAACACAATGTTGTAGGAGTTACCATCCTACCAACACTACTGCACGCTCACGTCCAAGATGCTTTGGAATTCCAGCTAACAAAGTAACACCAATATGGTACCCAGGTCGCATAAGCACTCAAGTGTATCCAGAAAGATGAGCAATTCTTTTTTTTTATATATACTTTAAGTTTTAGGGTACATGTGCACAACACACAGGTTAGTTACACATGTATACATGTGCCATGTTGGTGTGCTGCACCCATTGAGCAATTCTTTAAAATGTGATCCCATGAAATATTTCTAACTTTTCACAATCTCAAAAAGTAAGTGACAGCTATTGCTCTAAATATCACTTTCAATAATATAGTACTTGTAGCAAGGCATCCTATAATTTTAAGAGCTACATAATGTAAATTACGTAATTTACATAATTATTATAATATAGTAACTGTTCTTTTCATTATTTTGCTCAGTGTTTTTACTTTTATCCTAAAATTGCTTTCCATAAACTCCAAAAGTTGTTTCTTTTAATACTTTCAGTCTCTAGAGAAAAAGCAATTTTATGAAAGTGTTTTGCAATAATATATTGATTAATTACTCTATCATTTTATTTGCCAATAGTTAGGCCCATTCCTTAGCATAATTTACTTATTTGTCTCTTCATTGACTCAGGCCACCATCAGAACACATAATTATTCATGATAAGAAGTTGGGCAAAGCAGGAATTTTGCACACAAAGAGGTAGAGCCGAATCAGATATTGAGTACATTAATTTCTTTTGTAACTGGGTGCTGTAATAAGAGAGCTGAGGCTTGGACTTTAAAACTTGTGGTACAAATCTTGACCCAGCCGTCAACCACCTCAAGTCAAGACTATCACCTTCCCCAGCCCTTAGTGCCCCCACTATCGAGAGAGGAACTTGGTGATACTGGTTCCTGTACAACACAGGTAGTATGACGATCAAGTGATAAAATGCTTATAAGAGAGCATTAATACCAGTGACATCAATGTGCTAGTTGTTATCTCATGACATGCAAAGTCTTCTCATTGGATCATGATTCCCAATACTGTCATGGCATTGCTTTCCTTTGACAGATTGTGATGGTTGGTTTTTCATGACAACTTGGCTAGGCTAAGGGATGGGCAGATCACTGGTACAACATTATTTCTGGGTGTGTCTGTGCAGATGCTTCTGGAATAGATTAGCATTTGAAACAGGTGACTGAGTAAAGATTACTCTCACCCATGTGGGTGGGCATCATCCAATCTATTGAGACCCTGAATAGAACAAAAAGACAAGAGGCCAGGCATAGTGGTTCACATCTGTAATCCCAGCATTTTGGGAGGCCAAGGCAGGAGGATTGCTTGAGGCCAGGTGTTCAAGACCAGTCTGGGCAACAGAGTGAGATCTTGTCTCTACAAAAAATTTAAAAATTAGTGTGGCGTGGTGGTGAGATGGGATTTGTTCCCTTGACCTTCACCCCCTTCATGGGCGAGAACTGGAGTGGCTCATTTCGCTCAGCCTGCCGCTGGCCACTCCTTGCAAGAGGGAGCGTGTGAGCAAGCGAGTGTGGGAACCAGAGGGAACAAACGCTAGAACCAAGTTCTGGCGGGAGCAGGCTCTGTATGGGCCTCACAGCAGCATCCAAGCCCCTGCCCTTTTCGCACCCAGGTTCTTGTCCGGCATCCAGGAAGGATCAGGTTGCATGAACGGATTGAAGGGTAGCATATGTGGGGTATCTTACTGGGTGATGGAAGTGGCTCTCAGAGGGATGGGAATTGGAAAGGGGATGGTGCGGGAAGAAGGTGATCTTCCCCTGAAGCCACACCATCTGAAGTTAGCTGTGTCTTGCAGAGATCCAGCCACTGCACTCCAGCCTGGGCAACAGAGCGAGTCTCCGTCTCAAAAAAAATAAAATAAAATAAATAATTTCAACAGAATTATTAAAGATGTTAAATAGCCAGGTGCAGCGATTCATGCCAGTAATCCCAGCACTTTGGAAGGCTGAGACAGCAGGATTATTTGAGGTCAGGAGTTCAAGACCAACACAGAAAGACCCTGTCTCTAACAACAACAAAAAAAAATTTAGCCAGGCTCATGTTGGTGTGTACTTGTAGCCCCAGCTACTCTGAAGGCTGAGGCAGGAGGATCACTTGAGATCAGAATTTGAGGCCACAGTGAGTTATGACTGCACTACTGTACTCCAGCTCAGGTGATAGACAGCAAGACCCTGTCATTAAATTAAAAAAAAAAAAAAAAAGATGTAAAGTAGAGGGTGGACCCAAAGGACAAATACTGTAGGACCAATACCACTTATATGAGGTTCCCAGAGGGGTCAGATTCACAGCCACAGTAGGCAAGATGGTGGTTTCCAGGGGCTGGGGGAAAGGGGAATGAAGAGTTATTGTTTAAATTGGTACTGAATTTTATTTGTGTGTTTGTGGCTTTGTTTTTTGTTTTTGCTTTGTTTTTGTTTTGTTTTGTTTTGTTTTGAGATAGAGTCTTTGTCACCCAGGCTGGAGTGCGGTGGCATCATCTTGGCTCACTGCAACCTCTGCCTCCCAGATTCAAGTGATTCTTGTGCCTTGGCTGCCCCAGTAGCTGGGATTACAGGTGTGCACCATCGTGCCAGGCTAATTTTTGTATTTTTAGTAGAGACAGCATTTCACCATGTTGCCCAGACTGATCTCGAACTCCTGAGCTCAAGCGATCCACCCGCCTCAGCCTCCCAAAGTGCTGGCCGTGCCTGACTGGGGATAGAATTTTAGTTTGGGGAGATAGAAAAGTTCTGGAGACAGATGGTAGTCATGGTTGCACAATAATGTGAATGTATTTAATGCCACTGAACTGTACACAGAGAAGTGGTTAAAATGGTGATGTTTATGTTATGTGTATTTTATCATACGCACACAAAAATAAAGGGTAGCAGTAATGGACGAAGTGAAGCAGAGGCTGACGGGGACTGGAATGGCCATGGAGGGGAGGTGGAGAGGGGAATAGCAGCCAAGCAGGGAGCAACCCATACTTTGGGACCACCAAGTGGCTCATGCCCCATAAATTCC
This sequence comes from Homo sapiens, assembly GCF_000001405.40. NCBI lineage: Eukaryota > Metazoa > Chordata > Mammalia > Primates > Hominidae > Homo > Homo sapiens. Next base: position 34,155,233 of record NC_000019.10, read on the forward strand.
CAGTAGAGCAAAGGGTAGAAGTAAGACATGGAGTGGAATCTTCCTACACCCTGACCCTCACCCATCTCACACAGCAGCCATGTAGTAGCTTGACATGCACCCGCCCCAGAAAAGTTGCAGGGGTTCTTCTGTTAAAAAAAAAAAAAGAGGCTGGGTGCGGTGGCTCACACCTGTAATCCCAGCACTTTGGGAGGCCGAGGTGGGCAGATCACTTGAGGTCAGGAGTTTGAGACCAGCCTGGCCAACATGGTGAAACCCCGTCTCTACTAAAAATACAAAAATTAGCCAGGCGTGGTGGTGCACACCTGTAATCCCAGCTACTCAGGAGGCTGAGGCAGGAGAACTGCTTGAACCAGGGAGGTGGATGTTGCAGTGAGCCATAATCGCACCACTACACTGCAGCCTGGGCAACACAGCAACACTCTGTCTGAAAAAAAAAAAAAGCAAATGTCTTAAAACACCCACAATCTGTCATTGGAGGTTCACCAATGTCTAGAGAATGGCTTCCTTCCTGATCACCCTAAGTGAAGTCCTCCAGTGAATGAGTCCACTAAAAATACAGAGGCCCTCAACAAATGATTTATGACATCGTTCTCACATACATTCCAATATGGTGACTTTGATGAAAGTCTCCAACATGCAAGACTCACACTAAGATATGCAAGCAAAAAGCAGGACGAGGAGGCAGGGACATCTTCATGCTATGTAACTGTCAGCACAGCCAAACCCACGCATAGTCAGAACCAGTAGCACATGTGCATAACGGGCCCACCCTACCATGCACACAGCCTGGACAGCAGGCCTGCGTGGAGCAAACAAAGATAACTCAGGAATAGAAAAGAACTTTAAAATATCTCTATGTACTTGGCCTGTGAGCTAAATCTGCATTTATCATAGCTGGAAATCAATAGACAATCTCCAAAATGGATGAATCAAGAACTGGTGATAATGGGATACTACTCAGCCATTAAAAAAAAAGAAATTGTGTCACTTCACATGCAACCCCAGCACTTTGGGAGGCCAAGATGGGAGGATTGCTTGAGGCCAGGAGTTTGAGACCAGCCTGGACAGGAGAGGGAGACCTCTGTCTCTAAAAAAAGAAAAAGACATCATGTCTTTTGCAGCAACATGGATGGAACTGGAGGCCATTATCTTAAATGAAACAGCTCAGAAACAGAAAGAAAAATGCTGCATGTTCTCACTTGCAAGTGGGAGCCAAATAATGTGTACACATGGACATAAGTGTGGACTGATAGACACTGGAGACTAGGAAAGGTGGGAGGCTGGGAGGAGAGTGGATGATGAGAAATGAACAGGTACAGGTTGGGGGCAGTGGCTCATGCCTATAATCCCAGCACTTTGAGAGGCCTAGTTGGGTGGCTCTCTTGAGCCCAGGAGTTCAAGACTAGCCTGGGCAACAGGGCAAAACCCTGTTTCCACAAAAAATACAAAAATTAGCTGGGTATGGTGGTGCATGCCTGTAGTCCCAGCTACTTAGGAGGCTGAGGTGGGAGGATTCCTTGAGTCCAGGAATTCCAGGCTACAGTGAGCAGAGATCATGCCACTGCACTCTAGCCTGGGCCACAGAGTGACAGCCTGTCTCAAAAAAAATAATAAAAACAAAAAATAACAGGCAAAATGTACTTTATTCAGATGATGGGTACACTAAAAGCCCTGACTTCACCATTATTCAATAGATCCATGTAACAACACTGCACTTGTACCCCTAAAATTAACACAAATTTAAAATAGGACCAGGTGCAGTGGTTCAGGCCTGTAATCCCAGCACTATAGGAGACAGAAGTGGGTGGATCACTTAAGGTCAGGAGTTCAAGACCAGCCTAAGCAACATGGTGAAAGCCTATCTCTACTAAAAATACAAAAATTAGCCAGGCAAGGTGGTGCATGCCTGTAATCCCAGCTACTCGGGAGGCTGAGGCACAAGAATTACTTGAACCCAGGAGGTAGAGGTTGCAGTGAGCCTAGATGGGTGACAGCGAGATCCATCTCAAAAAAATAAAATAAAATAACTAGTGATGTAACCCTATTATTTCCATGCAACAATAACCACCAGGAGAAACAGCTGAAGGAACTAAATATGGTTGCCTCCATAGGACCACGGCTGGGGAGAGAGAGGCCGGAATGATCTCCATGCATCATAAACCCTCCTGCATAATTTGATTGTTTAACCTTATGCATGTATTAGTGATACTTTGATTTTTAAAAAAATTGTTCCAAAGAAAATGACTAGAAGGTTTTTTCTCCTACAGCACTGTTTCATTCTGGAATCTTCCAATTAAGCTTTTGGCTAAACACATAAATATGATAATGATGATTATTCAGGAATCAGAAGGTTTGTAAAAACATTGTACCATTAGAGTAATCAAGCTCTGCTCTAACACATCTTGGCTTTTTGGGATAATTAGACCACACTGGAGGCCCAGATGGGGTGAATGAGAAAGCCATGGGTATCTGCCACAGAGTAACAAGAAAACCGTACACAAACCTACTCAGCTGGTAGTTTGAAATCTGCATGTTAACTTAGTACACAAGGAGAAAGGAATAAAAATACTTGGATTTAGGGCAAAACATTTCACTTTAAAAACTAAGCATAGAACATGAGTGCAGTAATTAATGTCCTACATAACTTATTTTAAGCCCTTGTGTTAAAATTGACTCTTTTGGGTGAGGGGAGGGGACAGGTCTCACTCTGTCCCCCAGGTAGGAGTGCAGTGGTGCAATCACAGCTCACTGCAGCCTCGACCTCCCAAGCTCAAATGATCCTCCTGCTTCAGCCCCCCAAGTAGCTGGGACTACACACATGCACCACCATGCCTGGCTAATTTTTGTAGAGACGGGGTTTTGCCATGTTGCCCAGGCTGATCTCCAACTCCCGGGCTCAAGAGATCTGTCCGCCTTAGCCTCCCAAAGTGCTGGGATTACAGGCATGAACCACCAGGCCTGACCTAAAACAAAATCTTTAAAGCTAGAAGTGATTTCTTCTATACGTTCCATTTTTTAAAAAATTCACCTCCTACTGTGAGCACAATACAAAAAAAAAATTTAACCTATTAATTCATCTAACCAAGATTTATTGTGTTCCTACTCTGAGCCAGGTCAAGTTGGCACTAAGAATGCAATGGTGAGACCAGGCACGGCAGCTCATGTCTGTAATACCAGGACTTTGGGAGGCTGAGGTGGGTGGATCACCTGACGTCAGGAGTTCGAGATCAGCAACTATCTCAGACAGCAGATCTCAGCAGTGAGAAGTCTCCCGAACTGAAAAATATCTAGGCTGAGCTGCAGTGAGAAGGCTTGACGGGGAGAATCTGGGAGAAGTTTCATGTGGTTTCTGGAATACAGGACAAAGGCTTGGAGGGGCGAGGCACAGTGGCTCATGCCTGTAATCCTAGCACTTGGGAAAGCGGAGGCAGGCAGATTGCCTGAGGCCAGAAGTTCAAGACCAACCTGGCCAACATAGTGAGACTCACCTCTCTATTTATATTTAATCATATTATATGATAATGAAATGGTTTGGACCTGTATTCCCACTCAAATCTCATGTCGAGTTGAAATCCTCAATGTTGTAAGGGGGGCCTGGTAGGAGGTGATCAGATCATGGGGGTGGTTTCTAATGGGTTTGCACCATCCCCCTAGTGCTGATCTCATGATAGAGTTCTCAAGAGATCTCCATGGCTGTTTAAAAGTGTGTGAGCGGTGGTTCCTGCCTGTAATCCCAGCACTTTGGTGGGTGGATCACTTGCGGTCAGGAGTTTGAGACTAGCCTTGGTAACAAGATGAAACCCCATCTCTACTAAAAATACCAAAATTAGCTGGGCGTGGTGGTGGGCACCTGTAATCCCAGCTACTTGGCAGGCTGAGGCAGGAGAATCGCTTGAGCCCAGGAGGCAAAGATTGCAGTGAACCGAGATTGCGCCACTGCACTCCAGCCTGGGCCACAGAGTGAAACTCCATCTCAAAACAAAACAAAAATTGTGTGACACCTCCCCCCACCATTATTTCTGCTCCATCCACGTAAGACACGCCTGCTTCCCCTTCCCCTTCCATCACAGCTGTAAGTTCCCTGAGGCCTCCCCAGCCATGCTTCCTGTATAGCCTGCAGAACCATGAGCCAATTAAACCTCTTTTCCTTATAAATTACCCAGCCTCAGGCATTTGTTTCTAGCACTGTGAGAATGGACTAATACCGACAATATAAAAAATATTTTTAGGCCGGGAGTGGTGGCTCAAGCCTGTAATCCCAGCACTTTGAGAGGGTGAGGCAAGCCGATCACCTGAGGTCGGGAGTTCAAGACCAGCCTGGCCAACATGGTGAAACCCTGTGTCTACTAAAAATACAAAAATTAGCTGGGTGTGGTGGTGCACATCTGTAATCCCAGCTACTTGAGAGGCTGGGGCAGGAGAATCGCTTGAACCTGGGAGGCAGAGGTTGCAGTGAGCCGAGATTGCACCACTGCATTCCAGCCTGGGTGACAAAGCAAGAATCCATCTCAAAATAAATAAACAAATATTATTAAGTTAAGGCTTGGAGGGAGTAGAGAGACAGAAGCGGGGAAGGTAAACGGGAGAGACAAAAGGCGAGACCAGAGATTTAAGCAAGTGCCAACTCACACAGGATTTTGTAAACAACATAACCCAGGATATTCCAAGAGAAAAGAGCAAGGAGAAGCTATTAAAGCCATTGAAGGCTTTGGGGATGGGGGGAAGTACAACAGACTGAATGTTTATGTTCCCCTAAAATTCATAAATTGAAATCTTAGCCCTCAAGGGGATGGTATTGGGAAGTGGGGCCTTTAGAAGGTGACTAGGTCATGAGGGTCAAGCCCTCATGGATAAAATTAGTGCCTTTAGGGTCGGGCGCTGTGGCTCATGACTGTAATCCCAGCACTTTGGGAGGCCTAGGCAGGCGGATCACCTGAGATCGGGCATTCAAGACCAGCCTGACCAACATGGACAAACCCCATCTCTACTAAAAATACAAAATTAGCCAGGTGTGATGGCGCATGCCTGTAATCCCAGCTATTGAAGAGGCTGAGGCAGGAGACTCGCTTGAACCCGGGAGGCGGAGGTTGCGGTGAGTCAAGATCGTACCATTGCACTCCAGCCTGGGCAACAAGAGTGAAACTCCGTTTCAAAAAAAAAAAAATTTAATGCCTTTATAAAAGAGATTCTGGCCAAGCATGGAGGCTCACAAATGTAATCCCTGCACTTTGGGAGGCCAGACTGGGAGAATCACTTGAGCTAAGGAGTTTGAGACCAACCTGGGCAATATGGTGAAACACTGTCTCTATTACATTTTTTTTTTTTTTAATAGCAGGGTGTTGTGGTGAATGCCTGTAGTCCCAGTGACTATGCACGAGGCTAAGACAAGAGGATTGTTTGAGCCCAGAAGTTTGAGGCTGTCGTGAGCCATGATCACACCACTGTACTTCAGCCTGGGTGACACAGCAAGACCCTATCTCAAAAGAGAGAGAGACGGCCAGGCGCGGTGGCTCATGCTTGTAATCCCAGCACTTTGGGAGGCTGAGGTGGGAGGATCACTTGAGGTCAGGAGTTCAAGACCAGCCTGGCCAGCATGGTGAAACCCTGTCTCTACTAAAAATACAAAAATTAGCTGGGCCTGGTGGTGCATGCCTATAGTCCCAGCTACTCAGGAGGCTGAGACAGGAGAATTGCTTGAACCCAAAAGGTAGAGGTTGCAGTGAGCTGAGGTGGAGCCACTGCACTCCAGCCTGGGTGACAGAACGAAACTCTGTCTCAAAAAAAAGAGAGAGAGACCCAGAGAGATCCCTTGCCCCTTTCTCCATGGGAGGTTTTAGCAAAAAGACAGCCATCTATGAACCAGGAGACAGTCCTCACCAGAAACTGAATCTGTCAGCCTTAATCTTGGACATCCCAGCCTCCAGAACTATGAGAAATAAATTTCTTTTGCTGATAAGCCACCGGTGTGTGATATTTTGTTACAGCAGCCCAAATGGACTAAGATGTGGGGTGGGCAGGGAGTCTTGAGGGACAGGTTTGGCATCATCAAATTTGCTTTAGAAATATTATTTTCAGGCTGGGCGTAGTGGCTCATGCCTGTAATCCCAGCACTTTAGCAGGCCAAGGCCAGAGGATCACTTGAGGTCAGGAGTTCAACACCAGCCTGGCCAACATGGCGAAGCCCCATCTCTACTAAAAAATACAAAAATTAGCCGAGTGTGGTGGCACACACCTGTAGTCCCAGCTACTCTGGAGGCTGAGGCAAGAGAATTGCTTGAACCCAGAAGGCAGAGGTTGCAGTGAGCCGAGATCGCAACACTGCACTCCAGCCTGAGCAACAGAGAGAGACTCTGTCTCAAAAAAAAAGGAATTTTTCTTTACTCAGAAAAATTAATTATAGATTAGTTTCCATTATTTTGATTACTTTCCAATCATACATATCTTATCAATTTCTATTGTTCGTTGTTAGGGTAGTTGGACAAATATTTGAGAAACGGTAAGGATAATAAAACTAATTGTAGAATGCTATTAAGTTTACAAAGCACTTAGTCATGCTTTTACTGCATTTACTTAGGAGGCAGATGGTATAGACAGATTTGCACCTGGTGCCACCATTCTTCTGCCCTGTGTCCATGGAAGGCACTGGTAATTGATCACGGTACAAGCTCCTGATGTCTCAGACACAATCTCAGAATCCTTCTCAACACAAATTTCCAGGCAAGCAGTGTCATCTGCTTAAGTTGTCACTTGATGAAAAATTATATTTGCCATCCTAAAATGGTTTAAAGCACCCACATTGTGGAATTATAACAACTTGATTGAAATCCACGACTTCCACCTTAATACTAGATCTAAGTTACTTGACTTCTGCTTTTGAGTTGGGAGGGTGTGTGTGTGTGTGTGTATGTGTATGGTTTTTGTTTCATTTTTTTTTTGAGACAGAATCTCACTCTGTTGCCCAGGCTGAAGTGCAATGGCGTGATCTCAGCTCACTGCAACCTCTGCCTCCTGGGTTCAAGCAATTCCCCTGCCTCAGCCTCCTGAGTAGCTGAGATTACAGACATGCATCGCCACGCCCAGCTAATTTTTGTATTTTAGTAGAGACAGGGTTTAACCATGTTGGCCAAGCTGGTCTCGAACTCCTGACTTCAAGTGATCCACCCGCCTCTGCCTCCCAAAGTGCTGGGATTACAGGCATGAGCCACCTTGCCTGGCTGGTTTTCGTTTTTTGTTTTTGGGGGTTTTTTTTGAGACATTCTCGCCCTGTTGCCAAGGCTGGAGTGCAGCACCACGATCACAGCTCACTGCAGCCTTGACCTCTTGGTCAAGTGATCTTCCCAGCTCAGCCTCCTGAGTAGCTGGGACTACTGGAATGTGCTACCACGTACAACTAATTTTGTTTTATTTTTGAAGAGCCAGGGTCTCACTATGTTGCCCAGGCTGGTCTCGAACTCCTGGACTCAGGCAATCCTCCTGCTTCAGCCTCCCAAAGTGCTGGGATTACAGTCATGAGCCACCATGCCCAGCTAGTTTTCTCATTTTAAAATTAGACATAAAGACATGTAACAGAGGGCTGCTCTAACTAAATTAAGAAGCAGCAAACTATGAAATTTTACCATCTATGTATTTAACTATACCAATTCAACGATCCTGCCTTGGCAAGAGAGAGTAAGAGAAAGATAGGAATTAGTAACAATTCCACTCAATGTGCATGCACCCCAGAGCACGTATGGGATGGGCGACACCTTCCCTAGCAATGGTTATTAGTCTCAGTTTCAGAGTGTCTCTCACAGAATAAGAGGTTCACCCAGTGAGAGTGGGTCTGTTGTTCGAAGGGACATATTTTCCAAAACACATGGCCCCCAAATGCAAGCCAAGAGCATTATATATTGCTTAAATGAAGGACCAGCAGTCTATCTCTAGAGAAAAAAAACTAGCTAGGAGGTCCTCCCTAAGGATATAACAGATATGTTCCTAATGGATTTAAATATGGCCAAAGGCTGGGTGTGGTGGCTCACACCTGTAATCCCAGCACTTTGGGAGGCCAAGGCCGGTGGATCACCTGAGGTCAGAAGTTCAAGACCAGCCTGGCCAACATGGCGAAACCCTGTCTCTACTGAAAATGCAAAAATGAGCCAGGCATGGTGGTGCATGCCTGTAACCCCAGCTACTCGGGAGGCTGAGGCAGGAGAATTGCTTGAACCTGGGAGGCAGAGGTTGCAGTGAGCAGAGATTGTGCCACTGCACTCCAGCCTGGGCAAAAGAGTGAGACTCCATCTCAAAAAAATAAATAAATAAAATAAAAATTAAAAATGAATATGGCCAAAAAAATCTTTCAAATTCCTCTTCCAATTAGGCTGTAAATATCTAAATAAGCCACCAGTTTTGCTGTAAAGATGGGGGAAAACAGATAAAGTAAAATATCATACTGATTTTTCAGATGTCTATAAAATAGTCTAAAGGAACTAAATTCTAGAGAAAGAGGACAAGGCTTCATAGGTAGGAAAAATTAGGGATCATTGGGGGCATTTGCCAAGTCTGGGCATGGGCAGGCAGAGGATGGGCCCTGCCACAGAGGATGGGGCTCTCCTTGGCTAAGAAGAAACCACTGATTCTTTAAACATCTCTACGGGCTGGAGCAACAGATGGAAATATCTAAGAACTCAAAACACAGTGCTAGTCTTCCATTTTTGCTAAGTGGGTTACAGTGCAGGAGGCTGGGTCTTCTGTCTTCCTCATTGAAAGACAGACAGAAAACTCCACTAATTCTTCATGCTCAGGTCCAAAATTCCACTAGAAGAAGGGGCCCACAAGACACGCAGATCACATCTTGCCCTTAAGACATTTAAAATCCAGGTGAACAAAAACTAACTAAATCTGCAATTCATCCAACCCCAATTCAGCTCCACTGTTGATTGGATCTGACTGATCAAGCTCCTCATCCTAATTGACTGGCAAGAGGAAAGGGCTTGCCCTCTCCAGGGAAAAAAATATTTACTTCCGTCACTTTGGTTCTTTACAATGTCTAGAATACAGTATCTAGCTAGACACAATATCTGGCATAAAATTAAAAATTATGAGATGCAAAGAAGCAGGAAAATGTGATGCATAATCAAGAGAAAAAACAATACATGCAGATTCTTATATGATTGAGATGCTGGAACTCACAGATAAGGACTTTATGATAATTACTATAAATATGTTAATGAAATTAGAGCATAAAATAGACAAAATGATAAGAAGATGAAGATTTTTTTTTTTTTTTTGGAGACAGAATTTCACTCTTGTCGCCCAGACAGGAGTGCAATGGCATGATCTCGGCTCACTGCAACCTCCACCTCCCGGGTTCAAGCAATTCTCCTGCCTCAGTCTCCCCAGTAGCTAGGATTACAGGTTCCTGCCACCACACCCAGCTAATTTTGGTATTTTTAGTAGAGATGGGGTTTCACTGTGTTGGCCAGGCTGGTCCTGAACTCCTGACTTCAGGTGATCCACCTGTCTTGGCCTCCCAAAGTGCTGGGATTACAAGCATGAGCCACTGTGCCAAGCCAACAAGATGCAGATTTTCAACAGAAAAATACACTCTCTTTAAAAAGATAGCTGGACGTGGTGGTGTGCACCTGTGGTCCCAGCTACTTGGGGGCGCTGAGGTGGGAGGATCCCCTGAGCCCAGGAGGTTGAGGCTACAGTGGGCTGCGCTCGCACCCTATACTCCATCCTGGGTGACAGAGCAAAAGCCTGTCTCAAAAAATTAAAAAAGAGAGAAATCCATTAATCTGGGGATCAAGTGTACTAACACTAAGGTGAGATGCAATCTCAGGATAAGACTTTGGAGTATTGTTTACCATATATACATTTTGTTTGTTTGTTTGTTTGTTTGTTTGTTTGAAACGGAGTCTGGCTCTGTCACCCAGGCTGGAGTGCAGTGGCGCCATCTCGGCTCCCTGCAGCTCCCTGCTTCCCAGGTTCAAGTGATTCTCGGGCCTCAGCCTCCTGAGTAACTGGGATAACAGGTGTGTGCCACCATGCCCTGCTAATTTTTTGTATTTTTACAGTATCTCATTGTGTTGGCCAGGCTGGTCTTGAACTCCTGACCTCAAGTGATCTGCCTGCCTCGGCCTCCCAAAGTGCTGGGATTGCAGGCATAGGCCACCACGCCCAGTCACTATATCTAATTTTTACTGGTTTCCAGAAAGAACTAATCGTGCTGTTCCAAGAAGTGAAGTTAGCCAACAGGATCTACTTCCTCTTTCAATCCAAGGCCACGCTCCTCCCAGACAACCCCAGCCAACGACAGAACACAACAGGGGTACTAGGGCCTAACCATTTCTGTTCCAAAGAGCCATCTTCACTCCAGGGCTTCCTGTTGGGTTGGCCAAGACGTTGTCAGATCTGCAGTACGGTCTGGGGCTCTCCCTGCTCAATCCTGCTTCTTCTCCGTTTTACCTTTCTCAGGCATTACCTCCAATAAACCTCTTAACTCTGGCTCAGCATCTAATTCTGAGAAGAACCAACAGACACACATGGCTTTAGAACTCAACCTGTGGACTGGCCTCCCAAAGTGCCTGTAATCCCAGCACTTTGGGAGGCCGAGGCATGTGGATCACTTGAGGTCAGGAGCTCCAGACCAGCCTGGCCAACATGGTGAAAACCCGTCTCTACTAAAAATACAAAAATTAGGTGGGTGTGGTGGTGCATGCCTGTAATCCCAGCTACTTGGGAGGCTGAAGCACGAGAATCGCTTGAACCCAGGAGGTGTAGGTTGCAATGAGCCGAGATCATGCCACTGCACCCCAGCCTGGGCCATAGAGTGAGACCCTGTCTCAAAAAGAAAAAAATTCAACCTGTGTAAGATGTGTCTCCTCCAATGTGTGTAAGATGACTGACCCAATACCAAGCACAAAGTAGACTTTGTGTACTTTACAAAGTATACAATACCAGTAGATGTTAGATATCTTTGCCTTTTGCATCATTTAGGATATGTGTTTGCTGGTCAGGAGAGACTCAAAATAACACTGCCACAAATAGTGTCACAAAATTCCTGGACTTCTAGCTGATCCTGTGAAATAGTCAGATAAGTGAGTAAAGCCATCTTGGACCCTCTAGACCAGGCAAGCTGCCCTCAATGATTCCAGTTGAGGCTACACGGAACTGAATTGCTTAGTCAAGCCTGATCCATGAAATTGAGAGGTATAATAAAGTGATAATTGTTTTAAGTCACTGAATTTGGGGGTGGTTCCTATAAACAGAACACATCTCCTAACTAATACAGAGACAAAAACTTACCTTAAAAGTTTATATCTAGGCCGGGCATGGTGGCTCACGCCTGTAATCCCAGCACTTTGGGAGGCCGAGACGGGCGGATCACGACGTCAGGAGATTGAGACCATCCTCGTTAACACGGTGAAATCCCTTCTCTACTAAAAATACAAAAAATTAGCTGGGCATGGTGGCGAGCACCTGTAGTCCCAGCTACTTGGGAGGCTGAGGCAGGAGAATGGCGTGAACCCAGGAGGTGGAGCTTGCAGTGAGCCGAGATCGCGCCACTGCACTCCATCCAGCCTGGGCGACACAGCGAGACTCCATCTCAAAAAACAAACAAACAAACAAAAAATTTTATCTAATACCATGGTACCATAGCATTTGGAAATTACTGCTTTCCTCCTTTATTTTCATATGTTGTTTGTTTTTTTTCCTTTTAAGAAAGTCTTTATACTCACACAATTCTGTATTCAGCTTTTTTACTTACATATTATTTCAAAAGCAAGTGCCTGTTTTTGCTACATAAACTTAGTTTTTAATAGGGCCATTTTACATGGAAAGTTTGCCTTTTTGAGATAGAATTCACATATCATAAAATTCACTCTTTTTTTTTTTTTTTTTTTTTTTTTGCGATGGAGTCTTGCTCTGTCGCCCAGACTGGAGTGCAGTGGCGTGATCTCGGCTCACTGCAACCTCTGCCTCCCAAGTTCAAGCAATTCTCCTGCCTCAGCCTCCTGAGGAGCTGGGATTACAGACGCCCGCCACCACGCCCAGCTAATTTTTTTTGTATTTTTAGTACTACGTTGGTCACGTTGGTCTCGAACTCCTGACCTCGTGATCTGCCCACCTCAGCCTCCCAAAGTGCTGGGATCACAGGCTTGAGCCACCGCGCCCGGCCCTAAGTTCACTTTTTAAAGTATACAATTTAGTGGGTTTTCGTATATCCACAAAGCCATGCAACCATTATCATTATATACTTCCAGACATTTTCTTTTTTCTTTCCCTTTTTGAGATGGAGTTTCACTCTTGTTGTCCAGACTGGAGTGTAATGGCACTATCTTGGCTCACAGCAGCCTCCGCCTCCCGGATTCAAGCTATTCTCCTGCCTCAGCCTCCCAAGTAACTGGGATTACAGGCGTGCGCCACCACGCCTGACTAATTTTTTTGTGTTTTTAGTAGAGACGGGGTTTCACCATGTTGGCCAGGCTAGTCTTGACCTCCTGACCTAAGGCGATCCACCAGCCTCGGTCTCCGAAAGTGCTGGGATTACAGGCACAAGCCCCTGTGCCCATCCTACTTCCAGACATTTTTATCACCCCAGAAAGAAACCCTGCGCCCCTTGGTAGTGACTTCCCATTCCTACTCCTCACCCCCATGTCCCAGCCCCTTGCAGCCACTAATCTACTAATATTTTCTGCCTCTGTGGATTTGCCTGTTCTTGGTGTTTCTTTTTTTTTTTTTTTTTTTTTTTTTTTTGAGACAGAGTCTCGCTCTGTCGCCCAGGCTGCAGTGCCTCTCGAGTAGCTGGAATTACAGGCATGAGCCACTGACAGTGAGCTTATCCTTTTTCCATCTGTAACAATTTCCAAATGTACACCTCCATTTCAGATCTCCTGACTTTTAGGGTCATACCAATTATGAAATAGACGCAATTGCTTGGTGTCCCAACAGGCACTTCCAGCTCAACAAGTGCAAAATTATTTGCATCTATTAGTATTTCCATCCTCCCCCCAAATAAACTTCCTTTTATCCGTTCTCCTTATGCTCATCACTAGCCCTAGGACTGACCTAGGTGTTCAGTCCTGGAACTAGGAGTCCTTATCTGGCTACACCCAATCAGTCACCAATCTGTTAGATTCTACTTTATGTTTTGCAACTCATGGTTTCCTGCACCCTAGGGCGGCAGGAACTATGTATAATGCAGCTGATCAGTTGGTAGCCCCTAGTGTAATATGCACATTAATCTCCGTTTCATGTACTAGAAACAAGGTTGAGAACCGTGACACATTTTATGACCATCGCAGGCTTCCTAAAGATCCAAAATCCATTGTTGCTTCCCTGCTTAAGAGCTCCCGGCAACCTGCAGAAAAACTAAATTCTTCCCCATTCATGTTTTCAGCAGTAGAAGCTCTAGAATTTCTACACTTGAGGAGCTATGGGGTAAGAAAGAAGATCTGGAGGATTTGCGAGGCTTGTCCAAAGCAATTCCCAGCTAGTACACTGTTTTTTCCTTATATTTGTCTTTACTTTATGAGGCTAGGGGATGGCTGTTGGACAATATGGGAGAAACAAAGCCCTCAACCCTCACCACCTTTGGTGTGGCCACTGCTATCCACTATAACTCCTAATATACTCTGCATTCTTTAGGCTGTGGCCACACTGAATTGCTTACTTTCCAGAATGCATCTCACTCTTCCTCCTGTAATCACTCCATCTCCTGTTTGATCTGAAAGCTTCTTAATCCCATCTCTATTTCAGGCAAGATTTGAAGTCCCCCTCATACCATAGACAAAAATTGGCTCAAAATAAATCAAAGACCTAAATGTAAGAGCTAACACATAAAACTTAGAAGCAAACATTATGGGTAAATATTTGTATCCTGGATTAGGCAATGCTTTATTGCATATGACACCAAAAGTGCAAACAACAACAACAACAAAAATGAATAAACTGGACTTTATAAAAATTAAAAACTTTTGTGCTTCAAAGGACACTATCAAGAAAGTGAAAAGACAACCAATCCGCTGAATAAGAGAGACTATTTACAAATTATAGATCTGATTAGGGACTTGTATCTAGAATATATAAAAGAACTCTTGCCACTCAACAATAAAAAGAAAAATTGCCCAATTTAAAAGTGTTTAGCTGGGTGTGGGGCTCAACGCCTGTAATTCCAGCACTCTGGGAAGCCAAGGCGAGAGGATCACTTGAGTCCAGGCATTTGAGACCAACCTGGGCAACATGGCAAGGCCCTGTCTCTACAAAAAAATACAAAAATTATCTGGGCATGGTGGTTTGCACCTGTGGTCCCAGCTACCTGGGAGGCTGAGGTGGAGGATTGCTTGAGCCCAGGAAGGTTGCAGTGAGCCATGATAGGGCCACTGCATTCCAGCCTGGATGACAGAGTGGCACCCTGTCTCAAAAAGATACACAAATGGCGGGGTGCGGTGGCTCACGCCTGTAATCCCACCACTTTGGGAGGCCAAGGAGGGCGGATCACCTGAGGTCGGGAGTTTGAGACCAGCCTGACCAACATGGAGAAACCCCCACTCTACTAAAAATACAAAATTAGCCGGGCTTGGTGGTGCATGCCTGTAATCCCAGCTACTAGGGAGGCTGAGGCTGGAGAATCTCTTGAACCCGGGAGGCGGAGGTTGCGGTGAGCCAAGATCACGCCACTGCACTCCAGCCTGAGCAACAAGAGCGAAACACCGTCTCAAACAAACAAACAAAAAAAGATAGACAATAATAGGTGTTGGTGAGGCTGTGGAGAAAATTGGAGCCCTCATACAATTGCCAGTGGAAATGTAAAATAGTGTAGCTGCTTTGGAAAACAGTTTGACAGTTCCTCAAAAAGTTAAACTCTGAGTTACCATATGGCTCAACTACTTCATTCTTAGGAGGATTGAAAACACATGTTCCCACAAAAACTTGTTCATAGAGGTACTCATGGATATTTATAATAGCAGAAGTGAAAACAACCCAAATGTTCATCAACTGATAAATGGATAAACAAAATATGGTATGTCCATACAAAGGGATATTATTTAGCCTTGAAAGAATTTCCGGGCACGGTGGCTCACGCCTGTAATCCCAGCACTTTGGGAGGCCAAGGCAGGTGAACACTTGAGGCCAGGAGTTCAAGACCAGCCTGGCCAACATGGTGAAACCCATCTCTACTAAAAATACAAAAAATCAGTCAGGCGTGGTGGCATGCGCCTGTAATCCCAGCTACTCGGGAGGCTGAGGCAGGAGAATCGCTTGAACAGAGGAGACAGAGGTTGCAGTGAGCCGAGATGGCACCATTGCACTCCATCCCGAGTGACAGAGTGAGACTGTCTCAAAAAAACAAAAACAAATAATTCAACTTCCTCGCATGGACCTTGTACTGAAACAGGGATTTCCAAACCTTTCTTTGTAGCCACTGTGCACCAGCCCCATCAGAGCTCTGTCTCTCTCCTGTGTCCCTCTCTTATGATGCCAGGCTTCTCGCCATTTGCTCACTCAGCTCACCGTCCTGCCTGTGCTCTGCCTTCATCCTGCTGTTCATTCATGCAGCAAATATTAACTGAGCAGCTGCCCTGAGCCACGTGCTGTTACTAGGCCCCTGATGATACGGCAGCAACCAAAACAACATCACTATCTCAAAATGTTTACATTCTAGTGAAGGAGACAGATACATACAAATAATTAAACAGACATACTTGAGAGAGATACATGCTATAAAGAAAATACAAGCTGAGTTAAGGAGATGAGTGGTATTATTTTAAACAAGGCTGTCAGGGACGTCATCTCTGGAGGTGATGCTTGAGCAGAGACTGGAATAAAGTGCTCAAGTACTGGTTGAATTAGACGCGACTGGAACAGAACGAGAAGCTAAATCATGTATATCCTTAGACACCAAAGTCTGGTTTTCTCTCTGTGTAACATGGGATCAGTAGAGTGAGTAGAGGAAGGACATGATCTGAGTTAGATTTTTTTTTTTTTTTTTGAGACGGAGTCTCGCTCTGTCGCCCAGGCTGGAGTGCAGTGGCACAATCTCGGCTCACCACAACCTCCGCCTCCTGGGTTCAAGCAATTCTCCTGCCTCAGCCTCCCAAGTAGCTGAGACTATAGGCGCGCGCCACCACGCCTGGCTAATTTTTTTATATTTTTAGTAGAGACGGGGTTTCACCATGTTGGCCAGGCTGGTCTCGAACTCCTGACCGGTGATGCGCCCGCCTCGGGCCCCCAAAGTACTGGGAGTACAGGCGTGAGCCACTGCGCCCAGCCCTGAGTTAGATTTTAAGAAGATCTCTCTGGCTGCTGTATTGAGAATAAAGTACTGGGGGCAAGAGTTGACACAGAGGCAACTTTTAGAAGGCTACTGCAATAATTCAGCCCGAGTAATCGTGGCTTGTGGGAGAAGTGTAGGAATGGAGATGAGAAGTCAGATTTAGGATATATTGTGTATACATAACGGAGAGGTGTAGTCAGAACAGATGTGGAAGCAAGACAGGGCAAGGCTGACTCACGGCTTTTAGTCTGAGCAGCTGAGTAAAAATGGTACCGTTTACATCAAATAGGGAACGGTGGTGAAGGAGCAGGTTAGAGGGGAAACAGGGAGCATGGCTTTGGACCCTTAACGTTTGAGATTCGACAGAAACCCTGGTTCACGGAATTGATCCAAGCTACATACTGATAATTGGGATTAGTGAGTTACAATGGCGTTGCAAGCCATGAAACTGGTTCAGACCGGCTGAATGAGCGGGACAGGAAGGGGCTGAAACACTTGAGTCCTTGTGAGAGCCCCAGCTCCAGGGGCAGCCTCGGGGGAAGCTCCCCGGGCGATGACTGCGGTAATGGAGCCGTAGGAGCTCCACGAGGTGCAGGTTCAGCGTCTTAGAAGGATGAGCAGCGGCTCGCCACAGCTCGGAGGCGGGTGGGCAGCGCTCCAGGCCGAGGGCCCCGCGTCGGCAAAGACACAGGACCCACGACAAGGCGGCCACGGCCTGAGTCAAAAGGAAGGCCGCGCGCCTCCTCTCCAGCCCGCAGCAAGCGGGTGCCACGAGGCACTCAGCCGGTCCCCGAAGTTCCTCTCACGCGGCCCCAAGACCACCACCGTAGTCCAGGCCAACAAGCGCTGCCGGGACTCCCGAGGCCACGAATGAGCCGGGAGCCACCAGTAGCCGGCCAAGTCTCGCGAGAGCGCGGCCTCGCCCTCCCAGCATGCCCCGCGCCGCCGCCGCTGCCGCCGCCGCCGCCGCCGCCGCGCCGCGGCTTGAGGGCGGGAGGCTGGGGGAGGGTAGCGGAGCCGGCGCCGCCGCCATGTTGGGTCTGAAGCGGCTGCTGTAGGCGCCGACGGAGCGAGCGGGCGTGCGGAGCGGGCGACAGTGGCGTGGGATCTGCCTCTCTGCGAGCAGCTGGGAGCGGCGGCGGCGGCGCCATGAGCGGGGGCACCCCTTACATCGGCAGCAAGATCAGCCTCATCTCCAAGGCGGAGATCCGCTACGAGGGCATCCTCTACACCATCGACACCGAAAACTCCACCGTAGCCCTTGCCAAAGGTACGCGGGACCGGGCCTCAGGGTGGGGGCCGAGCCGGGCGCCGCTCGGGGCTGCTCCCCGCTCCGGCCCGCGGCCTCCTCGTTCCCTCCCCTCCCTCCGTCGAGCTCCGGGAGGCCTCTCGCCTCCCTTCTCCGGGCCCCGGCGTCGCGGGCCGGACCGCGGCCTCCCCGCGGCTCCCTGGTTTCCGCCCCCCGGAATGTCCGCGCCTGAAGCCCGGGGAACTACGGGACTGAGTGCGCGGCGGGCGGCCCTGAAGTCCGAGAACGGGCCGGAGAACACGGAGAAACGCGTCTTCCAACTCCGAAATTCGGGGCTTCTGCCGTCTTAGCACAAAACAAAGCCGGAGTATTCAAAGAATTTTTCCGCCCAGCTTGAGTTCATCGCGGATGCGTTGACTACACAGCACCCATTTTCTCACTTTGTTCATTTCAATTCGTGGCGATCTTCCTCTGGTGAACTCTTGAGTAATGTGCTAAAACTTTGGGTTTGCTCTGCGACGCAGACATTCTCGAAATGCCATCGATGCCGTGGAGCAGATCCCATCTCCCTCGGCTCATCCTCTGTTGGTATTTACCTGTTAAACCGGAATCCTCAAAGCCTGTTGTGCAACCACCTCATTAGGGCGCGTGGTAAAAATGCTTGCTGCTGCCCCGACGCCCCTGTTTCTGGAAACGGGTTCAAGCTTGATCCAGGATCCTTCTTGACCAGGCAAGCTTGACCTTTGATCCAGGCTCAGTGGGCGTTGACTGATCCCTCTGGAGGCTCTCTGGGAAAGGGAATTCGGCCGAGAAGGAAGGTGCCCCTACCCACAGTGTTAATATTTGGCATCCCTAGAGTCTGTGTGGGTTTTGTTTCCGTTCACACGTGCAGGGCCTTTGCTCCGCCAGGAAACCAGAAAGAAAATAAACTTTAGCTCCTGAATCTTAAAGGAAATCTCACAACAGTGTAAAATACTTTGAGGGAAGCTAGATAACCTAGGTGATTTTCCCAGCACTTCTGGTAGAGGTGGGAACTGCATAGCATGGTTAGGGACCCTGTGGATAGGTTAGGTCCAAGGATAAAGAAGAAGATTTTCGAAATCTGTAAAATTTTAAAAATCGTTAACAGATAGGGGAGTGGTTTCACGGGATCAAGTATTTAATAATATTTCTTGGATGCTCTGGTAAATCCTTTATTTATTTATTTATTTATTTATTTTTCTAAGATGGAGTTTAGCTCTTTTTGCTCAGGCTGGAGTGCAAAGGCAATGATTTCGGCTCACTGCAACGTCCGCCTCCCGGGTTCAAGTGATTCTCCTGCCTCAGCCTCCCAAGTAGCTGGGATTATAGGCGCCTGCCACCACCCCTAGCTAATTTGGTATTTTTAGTAGAGACGGGGTTTCACCATGTTGGCCAGGCTGGTCTCGAACTCCTGACCTCAGGTGATCCACCCGCCTCGGCCACCCAAAGTGCTGGGATTACAGGCATGAGCCACCGCGCCCAGCCTCTGGTAAATCTTTTTAATAGCCCTGGTGTTGGGACAAATCTTATACCTGGGTAGGGAACCTTTTGATGTTACAGAACTGTACACCATAAAGGAGTAGTATGAGATGGTGATAGTTGCACAACTCTGCAAATTTGCTGAAGATCATTGAATTATACACTTTTTAAAATCACCAAGTCTAATTTTAAAAGTAGTATGAAAAACCAGGGAGTACCCCCACATTTCCCTCTTCACCTTGTGAAACATTATGCAGTGACACATTACCTCATTAAAACACCTGTAGACTTGGCGGTTAGAAATCGGCTATAGGATGTATGATGGATGGTATTTGGTGTTTATTAAAGACTTTCCCAGTGATGCTTCTTAAGTAACTTAGTTTTTGCTTGGCCTTATTTTGAATTTATTTTTATATTTTTTATACAATAGTTACTTAGCTGTATAGTGTTTTTCTGGCTTTTTGAAATTATGAAAAAGCCTCTCTTTATGAAATTATGAAAAGTGCTGGGTGAGAGCCAGATATGGGTTGAAAATAATTTCTCATTAAAGTGGTTTAATAAATTTGTTTTAAAGTATTGCTTTACCTAATCTGAATTTAAAAGTGTCTTGCCAGCTTAGTGACTCAATAAGTTGGCTGTGTTACCTTTATTCCTCACAAAGAAAAAAAATACATTTGAAAATTTTAAAGTATTTTTGTTCTTTTTTAAAAACTACGAACATATCCTTTTATGCAGGAACCCCAAAAGTCTACATTTTAACAACCCACATTTTAAAAAACTTTTCAGCAGCTTTTAGAGTCAGTATTTCATTAGTCTGTAATAGTTAAATTCATATGACATAATGACATAAAATATAAATTTGTTCTTTGTGTCATGACTTGATAAATATATGAATATAGCAGTGAAAAATTTTTTTAATCATTGAATTTATGTTTGTACTCATGGCTTTGATATTTCATCCCACATCATTATATGCTTTTTCTTTTTCTTTTTTTTTTTTCTTTTTGAGATGGCGTCTCACTCTGTTGCCCAGGCCGGAGTGCAGTGGCACAATCCTGGCTCCCTGTAACCTCTGCCTTCCAAGTTCAAGCAATTCTCCTGCCTCAGCCTCCTGAGTAGCTGGGATTACTGGCGCGTGCCACCACGCTTGGCTAATTTTTGTATTTTTTAGTTGAGACAGGCTTTCACCATATTGGCCAGGCTGGTCTTGAACTCCTGACCTCAAGTGATCCACCTGCCTCAGCCTCCCAGAATGCCGGGATTACAGGCATGAGCCACCGCACCCGGCTGCTTTTTCTTAAGCAACATGAGTTAAATGTGTAACCAGTTTGGGGAATTTGATTATGTTCGCAAAAACTGACATTATCAAACCTTTATATATTAGTCTACATGATATTATCTAATCGAAAACTACATTATAACTGTCTAGTCAATACTGGACACATTTCAGATTTCAAGATTAGAAGCAAGGAGTTCAATCTTAAAATTTTAAAATTTACATGACTTGTTGAGTAATTCGATATCAGAAAATTTCACCTTCCATTTCAAAATTTGAACGAAGAATGGTAGTCTAAAAGATTAAAGCCAAAAGTGTTTGTTTTGTTTTGTTTTCGTTTTTTTTTGTTGTTGTTTTGAGACAGAGTCTTGCTCTTGCCCAGGCTGGAGTGCAGTGGTGCGATCTTGGCTCGCTGCAGCCTCCACCTCCCGGGTTCAAGCAGTTCTGCCACAGCCTTCCGAGTAGCTGGGACTACAGGCGCCCAACACAGCTGGCTAATTTTTGTATTTTGAGTAGAGACGGGGTTTCACCATGTTGGCCAGGCTGGTCTCAAACTCCTGACCTCAGATGATCCACCCACCTTGGCCTCCCAAAGTGCTGGGATTACAGGTGTGAGGCACTGCACCCGGCCTGAAGCCAAAAGTTTATTCATGGAATTTATAATACAGTGTGTATTTGGATGTAGAGATCCCTGTTACTGTTTTTAAACTATGGATTAAGAGTTAATCTCTTTGAGTAACAGTCTTAGCATTCTCTTTTGAACTTTTTTTTTTTTAATTTCTCAGGGAGAGTGTTATTGGGAAACCTAACTACACAGGCTGAAAAGATACATAAGATAAAAATGAAATATTTTTAAACAAACATCTTTGTAACCACCACCCAGGGCAAGACAGACATTGCCAGCATCCCAGAAGCCTCCCACCACCTATATTTTCCCATCACAACTATCACCATCTTAATTTAAGCTAGATATAAATGTTCTTCTGACATTTATAGTTTTACCATATAAGTTTACATCTCTAAATAATAGAGTTTAATTTTGCCCATTTTTAACTTTATGTAAATAGGATTGTGTTGTATATATTTTATTTTTAGCTTTTATTGTTTCATAATATTCCATCATGAATATAACACAAGTTTATTCCTTCTGCCATTGTTTTGGATATTGCATTTAGATTGTTTGCAGTTTGGGGCTATTATAAACAATGCTTTTATGAACATTTCTGTTTAAGTGCACTGGTGCATGTTTATTTCGTTTTCTTGAGATTATATACTTAGAATTTGAATTGCAAGAACATGGGGAATGTTGGTCTTTATCAGGTAATGCCAGGTAGTTTTTCAAAGTAGTTGTTTAGTGGTTTTTACTTCATTTATTAGTATGTAAGAGTTCTTGTTTCATATCCCTTACCAACAACCGTACGTGGTATCATATATTTCAATTCTAGCCAATCCTGGTGGGTATGTAGTTGTATTTAGTTTTAATCATTTCCCTCATTACTAAATGGGGCTGACCAGCTTTTCATATCTGGGTGTTTGGATTTCATTTTTCATAAAATGCCTTTGAAATCTTTTCCTTTTTTAAATCGAAACACGTCTTTTTCTAGAGTTCTGTATTCTGAATATATCTCCATTGTTGGATGTATATATTGCAAACATTTTTTCCATTTAGTAGTTTCTTTAAATTAACAGAAGTTCTTCATTTTAATGTAAACATGTTCATCAGTTTTTTATGGCTAGTGTTTCTTTTTTTAAAACATCATAGAGATACTTTGATTATCTTTAAACCTTTTTGTGCTTTGCTTTTTCACATTGACGTTTATAATGCATCTGAAATTGATTTTGTGTACAATGTGAGATATTCAGAGCTTTATATTTAGTAAGGGATTCACTTGGTTTATATTGTCCATATTATAATTTAGGGCTTGGATATTATAATTTAAATATATCTGGAACTATAAACTACTCTTGAAATTTTTGGCTATTTACATTTGATGTGGTATATAATTAGGGTAACCATATGGCCTAGTTTGCCCTGGTGGAAAGTCCTTGTTTGTGCCTGCTCTGGCATAATTATTAAAAACATCCCGGCTGGGCAGGGTGACTCAGGCCTGTAATCCCAACATTTCCAAAAGGTCAAGGCCGGGGTATTGCTTGAGCCCAGGAGTTCAAAACCAGCCTCGGCAATACAGGGAGACTCCATTTCTACAAAAAATTTTAAAAAGTGCATTAGCCAAGCATGGTGGCATGCATGTCTGTCGTCCCAGCCACTTGGGAGGCTGAGGCAGGGGGATTGCTTGAGCCCAAGAGGAGCTGTGATCATGCCACTGCACTCCAGCCTGAAACATAGAACAAGACCTTGTCTTAAAAAATAACAATGATAGCCTGTAATCCCAGCACTTCAGGAAGCTGAGGCAGGCGAATCACCTGAAGTCAGAAGCTCGAGACCAGTCTGGCCAACATGGCGAAACCCCGTCTCTACTAAAAATACAAAAATTATCTGGGCGTGCTGGTGCATGTCTGTAATCCCAGCTACTTGAGAGGCTGAGGCAGGAGAATTGCTTGAACCTGAAAGGCGGAGGTTAGAGTGAGCCAAGATCACACCACTGTACTCTAGCCTGGGCAACAGAGCGAGACTCTGTCTCAAAAAAAAAAAAAACACAAAATAATAATAATAATCTGTTTTCTCTTTTGAAAATGTTTCAGTGTGGATAAGTTATCACACCACATAATCAAAAGCCTAATTGCAGAGGTGCTGTGAAATGGTCGATGTGCCTTATTTTCTGCTAGAGATGTCACAGACTAGCTTTAGTTCTAGAAAGTGAAACAGGTAAGTTTGAGGGGCTTTGATCCTCGGAACCTAAGCATATGTCAAGAAGTCATAAAGGCAACCTAGAAAGGCTTTGATGTCAATCTGCTATGTATGTTTATAGATGATCTGTGTTGCAGTTTGTTTCTGCAGTTTGTTGCAGTTTGTAGTCTGTGTCACAGCTCTGAATTTATTTTCTTCTCAGCACTGATCATGACTTACACTTAATCTTCTTTGCTTATTTGCATATGTGTTTATTGTCTGTCTTCACCTTCCCCTTCACCTCCAGACTCTGAGCTCCTGGTATGAAAGGTTGTTTAGTTAGTGAGTAAATGGAAATGATTTAGCATTTTAGCTTATTGTTCTTGTAGAAGTATCTTGGGTATACCTCCAAATAATGCTTTTCCATGTTCACAATTGCATTTCCCTATAAAATTAAATTATCCTGCCTCACATTAAGAAATCTTGAAGAATTTCAGTGAGTAGGGATGCAAGAGGATGAAATCTAGTGACATAATTAACATTATTGGGGAGGTAAACTCTTTGTGACTCAAGCTCAATTATAATTTTCATTTAAAGTTTAAAGGAAGCCTCCATTCAGGGTGTAGGAAGAAATTACACAGTGGTGACATGTATGAATATTTTATGGAATAGTTCCAGTTGTGTTTGCACCTACGTCTATAAGTGAGTAGGATGCCTAAATAGGCTAAAATGAATGAAATTCTTATAAAAAATAAATTCTTACATTTAGTTAGCTTACCTGGATAATCATTCAAATGGAAACCAGGTTGCTACTGCACTGGGAAAAGAGACTTTATGAAGAACGATTATATAAGCCACTTGCCTTTAAAATAAGTTGTTCTTAAAATCAAGAGATTGGTGGAAGAATAGAAAAACAAGTAAATTGTTAACAGATTTCTTTAATCATCTGCTAAGTCTGGCTCATTGGCATAATTTATCTACTTCTTGATGTTAGTCACATAGTCATAAACTATTACCTTATTGGAGAGAGTGGAAGAGCTTTGTGTGATGGATAAAATACTTGCGGGGTGCTTTATTTGATTTCTTGCATTACTTGGGGATCTAAATCTAGCAATTCACAAAATTACTATCTAAAATGACAAAGATCTAGTGAAACTTCAAGCCACAGTTTCTTTTTGTTGCCCTATTTAGTGATGTTGCCAGTACTTGGAGCCTTGGAAACAGTTTATTATTGTTACATAGTCCGCAGAAATACTTGGTAATTCTGGGAGTCTGAAGTCAGGTGCCAGAAACTGTTCATTTTCTAGTAGGGGTAAGTAAGGTAAGCCATGATTTTCTAAGTCGGAAGTAAAGAAAACAGCATAAAACTGAAGAAAAAAAATAGTAGAAGGAAGGAAGTAGGAAGAAAAAAGAAATCTTATCTGTGCATGATACATAGCAGGAGTTTTGTATTTAACTCAGTGCCACAGTAATAATAGCAGTAACTACAGATAGTTTAACTTGAATTTAATTATTCCGTGCTAGAAGATGCTTGCTATAGAAACAATTTGTCTTTCTCTCATGATGCTATAAAATAATATATTAATTAGCTGTTTTAAAAACTAGATACCATTGAAGTAAATTTTGTTGTTGTTGTTTTGAGACAAGAGTCTCACTCTGTTGCCCAGGCTGGAGTGCAGTGGCACGATCACAGCCTTGACCTCCCTGGGCTCAGGTAATCCTCCTGCCTCAGCCTCCCAAGTAGCTGGGACCACAGGCACACACCACCACACCCAGCTAATTTTCTGTTTTTTGTAGATACAGGGTTTTGCCATGCTGCCCAGGTCGGTCTCTAACTCCTGGGCTCAAGTGATCTGCCTGCCTTGGCCTCCCAAAGTGCTGGGATTACAGGTGTGAGCCACAGTGTCTGGCTTGAAGTAAGTTTTTTAGTGGACAAAGTGTGAGTTGGTCTGTAAAATAATTTATTCCCAAGGGCCTTATTCTAGTTTTGTAGGGTTTTTTGTTTGTTTGTTTTTTTCTGGAAGAAAATGCGACCCAAAATGCCAGTTGGAATACTTAGCAGCTTTTTGGTCTTGGACAAGTTATTTAACCTTAGCTTTAACTTCTTCATCTTTTCAATAGGGATGGATAATAATGCCCATCTTTCAGAGTCATTCTGATAATTAAATGAGGTGATATAAAAGAAGTAACTAGTTTAATGTTGGTGCTTAATAGAGAATAGCTGTCCCATGTTATTTCCCACCACGATCTCCCTCTCTGTCTAGGTGCTCAGTCTCTCTAGTAGCCCAACTCAGTCAGTCATTCACACCTACTGTAGTCTACTGTCATCTTACTGCCTTTCACTGTCCTCTCATTCCCCTCATAACTTTACTTCCTTCTTTATCCTGCTTCAACTCCATGAGCAACCACGACAGTCAGTACACATTCCCTCAGCCCCCACCCCATTCCCCTCTTGCTGTCTTATACAAGAAATCACAACCCTGATTATATCAACACAGATGTGCTGACCAGCCTCACTCTAAATTTATGTTCGCTAGCCTCCGCAGTCATGGTCACTTCCTAGCAGTCACACTATACTTCCATAATCCATTTCACTTTTCTACATGGCTATTCCATTCATTTTCCTCAAGCCTCCAACACCTCCCCCATATTCACTTTCAGCCCCTTAACCGTGCTTTCTATAGCAGTTAACTGAGAAAAGAACAGCAAACGAAAGATAATTTTGATAAACTTACCCCTCACATACCCAGTTACCTGCATCTGTTCCCCAGACTTCTATGTTTTTTTCTGATCAATATGGATAAACTGTTCTTATTTCTGTCTAAGACCACCCTTCCACTTGTGCAGCATTTGTCCCCTCTTGGTGATTCAAGAACATTGCTCCAGCAGTTCTCTACTCTCCTCAGTTTTTCCTTCCCTAACGTATCTTTCTGTCTGCTTACAGATAGGCAGTTATTTCTTCTACCTTAAGAACAACCAAAAAACCCCACTGTACTTGAACTGAATTTCCTCTTTTCTAATGATTACCCCATTTCTATCCTTCCCTTTATAGCGAAACCCCTTGAAGAAGTTGTCTACACCACTGGTGTTCATTCATTTTTGAGCCCTGTTTACTAAGGTTTTTATTCCTACATATGAAGTTTTCTTATCAAAATTACCAAAGATTTCCATGTTACCAAATCCAGTAGTTAGTTCTTAGTCTCATTCTACTTCACCAGTCAGCATTACGTGGTACAGTTAGTCTGTTCTCTGTGAAGCATTTTCTTAACTTGATCGTATGCCATTTTTTTCCTCATATCTCACTGGTTACCTCTCAATCTCCTTGGCTGATTGAACCTGTAAGCCGCCAAATGTTGGGAGAGCTCCAGGGCTCAGTTATCTCCCCTTTTCTCTCTGTCTGTTAACATTTATTTAATCATCTGCATTCTTTTGATGATCTCATCCATCTAGTTCCTGGTTTCAAATACTACCTGTATATCACTGACTCCTATCTCTAGCCTGAATTTCTCCTCTGAACTCCTGACTTGTATATCCATTGCCTCTTTAACATCTCTACTTGTAGGGAAGTCTGCTAGAATCTCAATTCAGCATGCTCCAAACCTGTTCCTCCATCAGCCTTCCCCATCTAATCAAATGACAGCTCTATTCTAGTTGGTAAGACCAAAACACCTTGGAGCCATCCTTAATTCCTCTCTCTCTGTCTCACCTCATGTGATCCGAACCTATCAGCTCTGCTTTCAAACTAGATGCAGAATTTGACCTCTGACCACCCCTACTACCCTGGTCCATTATCTCTCACTAGTCTATTCAGAGATACTCAGATTCCTGTTTCTTGTTTCCAATATTGACCTCTCAGTTGATTCTTTCTCCTCCTCCCAATTTTACTTGAGTGAATCTTTGTAATTAAAAAATAAAATATATGGGAAATGTAGGTGACAAATTTTCTTAGTGAACCTATGTTTTCTTGTGCTTGACTGGTTGGTTGGCTATGTATTTCCAAATTAAGAGTCTTTTTTCTGTGGAACTTTGAAGTTACTGCTTTTTGTTCTTCTAATATTCTGGGGTTGCTGATGCCAGTCTGACTCTCAGTCACTTTTCTCTCTGGAAGCTTTTATTTAGAATTCTCTATTCCTGGAATTCACAAATGTGATCACACTGGTTTGTTGTTGTTTGTTTGTTTTTTGGTTTGGTTTGATTTTTCCTCTGAGTGTTTCTCTGTGGACCTTGTGAATCTGAAGAGTCAACTCTCGGCCGGGCGCGGTGGCTCATGCCTGTAATCCTAACACTTTGGGAGGCCAAGGCGGGCAGATCACAAGGTCAGGAGATTGAGACCATCCTGGCTAACATGGTGAAACCCCGTCTCTACTAAAAATACAAAAAAAAAAAAAAAAGCCAAGTGTGGTGGCAGGCACCTGTAGTCCCAGCTCTTAGGGAGGCTGAGGCAGGAGAATGGTGTGAACCCGGGAGGCGGAGCTTGCAGTGAGCCAAGATTATACCAGTGCACTCCAGCCTAAGCGACAGTGAGACTCCATCTCAAAAAAAAAAAAAAAGAGTCAACTCTCTTTAAATCTAAGAAATCCATTCATTCTCTCTACCTCTGACACGCCCTCCCTCCCCTCTCCCCCTCCTCTTTCTAGCTCCATCTCAGATAATTTCTATCTTGCCTCCTGCTCCCCAGCCTTGTTATTGTTGTTTTTAATTCCTCATGGATGCGTTTATCCTCCACCCTGCTTTTTCACTCTTATATCATATTTTCATATCTGTCTCTTGGTTTTATCATTTGGAGATTAAAATATAAAAACAGCCATAAGGAAGAATGCCCAACTGAAAGCAGCTTAGAGAGTCAACATTAAATTTAAACCATTGGGTAAAGATAGCAAACTGGACATGCTTTTACTTTTCCTTCCTGTTGATAAATCCTATCAAAACTACGTGAGAGGGACTTTTAAAAAATACATAAACCCGGCCGGGCGCAGTGGCTCACGCCTGTAATCCCAGCACTTTGGGAGGCCGAGGCGGGCGGATTACGAGGTCAGGAGTTCGAGATCAGCCTGACCAACATGGTGAAACCCCGTCTCTACTAAAAATACAAAAATTAGCCAGTCGTGGTGTTGTGCACCTGTAATCCCAGCTACTTGGGAAGCTGGGGCAGGAGAATCGCTTGAACCCAGGAGGCAGAGGTTACAGTGAGCTGAGATCGTGCTATTGCACTCCAGTCTGGGTGACAGAGCGAGTTCGTCTCAAAAAAAAAATAAATAAATAAATAAACCCATAAAGGACAAAACAGATTTGGAAAGGAGACAACATCAACACAGTTTGGAAGGCTGAAAAGCAAATAGATGAGTTTAAATGACTTAGCAAAGTTGAGAGCCGCAACCTAAGTAGTCAGTGGGAAAAGCCAAGATGTAACTTGACTTTCACCCCAAACTCCTAAAAGGCTCAGGAGTTGACATCAACAGGCACAATGGAAACTAGAAGATTGAAGTAATTGGGATGAAGGGTGTAAGTTTTGGGTTATAAGTTTAACTTATTAACTTTTAACTTTATTGGGTATAAGTTACAATACTATAAAATTCACCCACTGTAAGTGTGCGGTCCCGTGAAAGTTGTGTATCCATCACCACAGTCCAGTTTTCTAACAATTCCATCAACTCAAGAAGCTTCTTTGTTGATGTTTAGTCAGTAGCTGCCTACGACCCCCAGTCCTAGGCAACCTCTGATCTACTTTCTTTTCTAGACTTTCCTTTGCTTTTTTTTTTTTTTTTTGAGACGGAGTTTTACAGTTGTCACCCAGGCTGGAGTGCAATGGCGCAATCTTGGCTCACTGCAGCTTCTGCCTCCCGGGTTCAAGTGATTCTCCTACCTCAGCCTCCTGAGTAGCTGGGATGACAGGCATGCACCACCATGCCAGCTAATTTTTGTATTTTTAAGAGACGGGGTTTCACCATGTTGGCCAGGCTGGTCTCGAACTCCTGACCTCAGGTGATCCACCTGCCTCGGCCTTCCAAAGTGCTGGAATTATAGGCATGAGCCACTGCGCCCAGCCTTTCCTTTGCTTTTAATATGTAAATTATTAAATTGATTTCCTAATATTAAAACATTCTTGCATTTTTAGAAACCTTAAATTTCAAACAACTGTATTTCTCTATATCAATTATCAATTGGAGTAATTAGCCATTATCTATAATAGATTCATTACATGGAGTTCATGGTAGATTTCAGGGAGTCTTGATCCCCTGAAGTTATAAGCAATTTTTATTTACATACAGAAACATTTGGGGAGAGGGTTCATAGATGTCTTTAATTTTCCAAGACCCAGATAAATACAAGCTACCTTTGCTTATGCCTAAGTTAAAAGTTTTAACATATCTTTTCACTTTTCTCCCTTTGTCCCATTTTCCAGGTTTTATCTAATTTGGGGTTTAGGTTACAGATTGTTATTATTACATTGCTTCTATTTTTAGAATCCCTTAAGAGCAGTTTTATTAGCAATGTTGACTTAGATAAAACTGAGGGGGCTTTTTTGTTTTTTGTTTTTGTTTTTCGTCAGAGACAAGGTTCTTGAGGACACAACATTTAAGCTGGGGCCTGACAGATGAGTTAGAATTAGCCACATGTAGAGGCTATCTAGGAAGATGTTAAGGCTATCTGTTATGTTCAGTTACATAAGAGAGATCCTTTGTAAATGTGTTTTGCTTTGTAATAAACCTTCTAAGGAGCCAGTATTGTTTTGTTATTACATCACTCTCTAAAATTTCAAATTGCCTTTTTGGTTTTATAAGGACAAGATGGGCTCTTAACAAGATGGCTTTGGGGTTTTTTCAGTCGAAGATGATGTAACCTCTAGAGTTAAGTGCGAAGAAGTTGATTTTGAGAATATATTGCAGAAGGTGCAAGGAACGTCATCTGGGTTATGACCTCTGGAAGTGGAGGTAGTTTTTTGTCATTGGGTCGCCAGTGCTTGGCATGTGATCTGTGAGGTGATCGAGAATATTGCAGACACAAGGGCAGGAGTAATGCCTCTGTTAGGGGTGTTAAGTTCGTAGTGGGTTCAGGAAGAGATGGTGGAGGCTGAGGGACAGATGTTTTCATTCAGTGCAGTAATATTTGCTAACAGGAAGAAAGTAGTGTGGGTAAGGGTGAAGAAGGGGCCAGAGAAGAGAGTGCAGATGTGCAAAAAGTGAGAGTTTGTGGAAGCAGGCCGTGATGTGGTTCCAAGAGCTGGACTGTCGAATCTTATTTTTGTAAAGCTCTGCTCTTAAGTAAAAAACCCAGAGTCACCTTTCTACCATGCTACCTTCAGGGCCTGAGCAAGAGTACTGCGTTGTAGAAGAGGTGGTGCTTTTTAGTATTTAAGTAATTAAACCTTCCTTGTTGTATTAAATCCATATATAATACCTTATTCCAACATATCTCAGATAGTTTCTGTATCTCAGATAGTTTCAGCAAGAGTTTGTGTATGGCACCGAATGGACAAGAGCTGTACATATATATAAATGTCAGAAAGAGAAGAAAAATACTAACTGTAACTTTTTGGTTTCCTGGTTTGCTGCTTTTGCATGTAGACTGTTCTTAAATATGCTGAGGTTGGGTTTGTTTTTCCCACTTTCCCATTCTATCAACATCAGTTGTTATTTACTCTAAACAATCATTCTTTCATTTTATCCTAAGTGAGTTTCTTTTATAATTTAATTCAGTTCCCTTGGTATTAAACACTGTTCAGTACTTTGGAAGTAGCTTACTTAATAGCTTTTTCTGCTGTGTGATTTATTCAAGAAATATTCAAATGTCAGCTATATGTAGAGCACTGTGTTAGATTCTGTGGGAGTTGCAAAGATGATCTAGATACAGATCTTTCTCCAGATCTTTAAATTCTAGAAGGGTAGTATAGACAGAATGATAGAATGCTGTGTGGTTTTCAAAGGAAGAACAGATTATTTCAGCCCAGGTGGAGTTGGGTGATGGCTAATTTTATGTGCCAACTTGACTGGGCCACAGTGCCTAGATATTTGATCAAATATTTTCGATGTTTCTGTTTAAGTATTTTTTGTATGAGATTAACATTTAAGTTGGTAGATTGTGAGTAGCCTCCATCTGTGGGTGGGCCTCATCCAGTCAGTGGAAGGCCTTTAATAGAACAAAGACTGACCCCTGAGCAAGGAGTTCTGCCAGCCTGCTCTGCAGATTTTGGATTTACCAGGCCTCCTTAATCCCTTGGGCCAATTCCTTAAGTCTCTTTCTGTGTTTGTATATGCACATCTGATTTATTCTGTTTCTCTATAAAACCTGACCGATACCTGGAATCTTCAAGTTGAAATTTAGGATAGGGGGAGAGAGAAAAATAGAGGACAGAAAACCTGATCTGTGAACTGAGAATAATGAGCTTTGTTAGAATTTAAGTTTGAGTATGCTGGGACCAGGTCTTGGAGCTGATACAGGACTGAAGAGTTTTAACTTTACATCATAAATCTTATTCTAAGTTTTCATTTGAACCTGGTTTTAGTTTCTTAACTTTGTAAGCGTCTTTTGGATATTTCAGTGTTTCATTTGTTGCTCTCAAATTTTGGTATTCAACAGACTCGTTTCTTTTTCTTTTCAGTTAACATTAGAGTCTAATTTACAATTTTTAGTTCATGTCAAAAAAAAGTTCAGGCCGGGTGTGGTGGCTCACACCTGTCATCCCAACTCTTTGGGAGTCCAAGGCGGGCAGATCATAAGGTCAGGAGATCGAGACCATCCTGGCCAACATGGTGAAACCCAGTCTCTAATTTAAAAAAAAAAAAATACAAACATTAGCCTGGGCGTAGTGGTGCACACCTGTAGTTCCAGTTACTCAGGAGGCTGAGGCAGGAGAATTACTTGAACCCAGGAAGCAGAGGTTGCGGTGAGACGAGATCGCGCCACTGCACTCCAGCCTAAGCAACAGACCAAGACTCGGTCTCAAAAAAAAAAAAAAAGTTCAGGCTTTGGGAAATTTTTTTTTTTTTCTTTTGAGACAGTCTTACTCTGTTGCTGAGGCTGTAGTGTAGTGGTGTGATCATAACTCACTGCAACCTCCGCTTCTGGGGTTCAGGCAATTCTCATGCCTCAGCCTCCCAAGTAGCTGGGATTACAGGCGTGTGCCACCACAACCGGCTAATTTTTGTTTTTGTTTTTTCTTAAATTAGAGACAGAGGTTTCACCATGTTGGCTAGGCTGGGCTCAAACTCCCAACCTCAGGTGATCTGCCCACCTTGCCCTCCCAAAGCGCTGAGACTACAAGTGTGAGCCACCATGCCCAGCCTGGAAAATGTTAATAGTGTCATTTGGAGGGTACTAGCTTCACTTAACTATGTATTTTAAGTATATAATGTTTATCATGCTTAAATTTAGAACATTTTTGGTATTTTATAATGGAGGTATTGTATTGGGAAGTTTGTCACTACAACTTATTTCTCTGGCCTTGTACTATGATTTTATATACAAGTATTATATACACTAACAACCAGTTTGGCATTAGGATGATGTTTGAGCTTAACTAAATCTGGAGACTGGATTAGATGAGTGATTTTGCCAAATAATTTGACCCTGTTTTGTTGTTGTTGTTGTTGTTTGTTTTTTTAATGCATGTGATGCATTTCTATTAATAAATCTTTGGTGTTATTTCAAGCTAGAAATATAAAATTGATTCTATTTTAAGACTAATAAAATTATTAGCTGGGCATCATGGCTCACACCTGTATGTAATTCCAGCACTTTGGGAGGCTGTGGTGGATGGATCGCTTGAGCCCAGGAGTTGGAGACCAACCTGGGCAACATGGCGAAATCCTATCTCTACAAAAAATACAAAAATTAGCCAGGTGTAGTGTGTGTGCCTGTAGTTCTAGCTACTCAAGAGACTGAGGTGGGAGGATAGCTTGAGCTTGGGAGGTAAAAGTTGCAGTGAGCCGAGATGGCACCACTGCCCTCCAACCTGGACTGGATGACAGAGAAGGGACGCTGTCTCAAAAAAAGAAAGAAAAAATTATTAGGGCAATGTAGCAGCATGATGAAGTTTAAAATGTAGAGGACAACCACCCCTAGTTTCCCCATTCTCCCCAACTACTTTTGTCATTCTCTGTATTCTCTTGTAGGCTGTATTTGTAGGTGTGTGCGCACATGTGTGTTTGAAGTTGAAAATTCACATTACATGCAATTAACCATTATATTGTGTACAATTCAGTGGCACTTAGTGTAGTCACAGTGTTGTGCAACTACCACCTCTCCTTAGTTTCAAAACTTTCCATCATCCTACTAAAATACCCCTAGGCATTAAGTAATCCCTCTTCATTTCCCCCATACCCTGTTGACCACTAACCTGCTTTCTGTCTCCATGGTTTTTCCTATTTCGGATATATTATGTAAAAGGAATCATACACTGTGTGACGTTTTGTGTCTAGCTTCTTTTACTCAGCATAATGCTTTCACGCTTCACTCTTGATGTAACATGTATCAGCATTGTGGTTTTTTTATGGCTGAATAATATTTCATTACATGTATTTTTAAATATATATATCATATATATAAGATATATAGAGATCATAATTTGTCTTTTGTTGATGGGCATTTGGGTTGTTTCTACCATTTGGCTGTTTTGAATAATGCTGATATAAACATTTGTATACAAGTTTCTGTGTGAACATAATATAATCTCTGGTACTTTGTTTTGGCAGCCCTAGCAAACTATATTGTGTGCTTTATTTCCAGTGTAGTGCTTAGCCCACTTGCTGGACTGTAACTTCCCTGAGGGTGGGGACATAAATATAATGCCTGCCTAATATTACTTAAATATTCTAAGCCTGCTGAATCACTACATTTTCGTTAATTCATGATAATCCCCAAAATATCCCAGAATCAGATCAGTATCTATTCAGCTACATAATACTACTTAATAGTAGTAGTATGGCTTACTTTGAAGCCTAATGCTGTGTCAGCTTCAGAGATTAAGATGTCAGGAAACCAATAGTAGTACTTATTAGAGGCATTGCAAGTGGTATTTAGTGTTTAGTGGACCTTCAAATCCAATTCAGTGATATCAAATCCAAGTAAGCAAATAGACTGAGCTCCTTGAGAATAGGAACTGGTTTCCCTAGCATCTAGCATAGTACCTGGGACAGGTGGTGCCCAGCAAGTATTTGAAAGAAATGGGATGAAATGCAATGACATACGGCACCTATGTTCAGCTTAAAACTCCAGTCACATTACCTATGGGTATTTACATTGGAATGTGTAGTTGCTGTAGAATCCCAAAATGAATACTAGAATAACAATGTTCTTTCTCAAAGTACTACGTGTTATGAATGAAAAAAAAAATGATTAGAACATAGTTCAGATTTTGCCAGCCAGACAAAGGCATTTGTGCTGTAATCTGAGGTATGCCTTCCTGCACTAAGAGGAACAGGGTTTATGGGAAAACTAGGATTAGGAGCAGACCATTTGAAATCTGTGCATCTTTGTAATTTAAGCACTAATGTAAACCTAATAAAAAGATAGTAGTGTGCTTAAAGATAAGTTAAAATTTTTAAACAAATAATTTGGTAAATTTAGAACTTTCCCTTTAAAAACAGTAAAGGTGACCAGAAGTGGTGGCACTACTCAGGGCTAGCTGTATTTAACTGTTGTTACCTGCAAATGCAAAAACTAAATAACATTTTAGGAAAAATTGGAAATGAACCAATGTGATTTCTGAATGTACTGACATAATTCCCTTATTTACTGATTGCATATGAGCTAATGTATGTGTTGTAGTAGAATAGTTCCAGTAGTTCTTTACCTTTTCTGTGCTTATCATGCCTCCTTCCTTTCTACTGTTAATGTTCAAGTTTTAATCTTCCAGACTTCTCATTTGTTCTGTAACAGTATCTTCTAGCCACGTGTGCCCTTCTAATCTCTCTTGTGGAATTTGTTCTTCACAATACTACAAGAATTCTATTGCATTGAAAACCCCAAATCTTATTAAGCCAGCCTCCATCATTAGAGCATGTTTCTCAAACTCTTGGTGTGTGCAAATCATTCTTATTCTGTGATTTCTATTTTCATGCTTTTTCAGTTTGCTTCATTTGCCATATGATAGAGGTTTTCTTCAGACCATATTTTGGAAAGTATGCTCTTAGTTTTAAATTCTACTATGGGTTATTTCCAAGACCCATAGTAGAATTTAACAAATTCTTTCAAATAAAAAATTTTAAAGCCTTCGCTTATTATCAACTAGCCAAAAAAAAAAAAAGTGTATCAAGTGACTCCTACTTGACATGATGAGAGATGAAAGTGTAAGTTTAGATACTACTACTGTCTGTTGAGTTTCCTCTCTCTCCATTCATTTTAATCTCCCAATTTTTGTTAAAATGTTGTGATATACTGTTCTTAGTTTGTTACACTTTGTAACTTTGTAGTCTTTTCCAGAACTATTTCTATTCTAGAACCAAAGTAAATTGTCATGTAGACTTCTGTGTTGAAATGAATTTATTGTCCATTTCTTATCTTTAGATAACACTTTTTTTGAGTTATTTTGATATACCAAAGCATAAGTCTCTGTGGCTTGTAGTGGTCTGTTTTTTGTTTGTTTGTTTTGTTTTTTTCTGGAAATACAGTGAAAGCTTTTGATGAAATTTAGGCCTTCATGTTAAGACATTTCTATTCTGTTATATCTTTAATTATATTTTTCTTATTCTTTTGTCTATCTCAGGGGCAGCAGTTAACTGTTGGATCTTCATAACTATCATCTTCTCTCTAACCTTTTTAATGCTGTAGTACTTTTTCATGACATCTTGTTTACCTTTTCTCAAAATTATTCTCTTCTAGTGATTTGGTTTTGCTGCATTGACTGTTGTTGCATTTATTAGTTATGCTGTTTTATTTATCTTGTGTAATTTTCTTTCCTTAATTCTGCATGCTACCCTTTCAATGTTGTTTTGATCATAAAAGTCTATGCTATCTGTTTTTCTTGTGAATGTCGAAGCAGTTGTTTCAGAAAATTTCTTCTATTTTCTGTGATAAATACTAATACTGAATGTATTTCATCTACCTTTTGAAGACTGTGTCCTATCAGGGCAAACTGCTGGTAATGGAAAAAAAAACAAAATAAGTAAATGAAGACCGTGTCCTCTTTGATTCTTCTCTTCTTCTTTACTGCCTTTTTTCTTTATTTTGATACACCTTTTTCTTTCCTTCCATCATTGCCTCCCTCCTTTCCCTCTTTTCTTCCCTTCTTTCCATCTTTCCTGTAAAATTTTTCTTGATTCCCTGATTTTTCTACTCTTTTTTTCTTTAGTAGGTCCTTTCAGTACCTGCTGCTTGCCAAAACGTGAAATGCAGATTCTCTTTTTACTTGACTCTGAATTCACCTGGCTAAGCTCTGTTAGGCCTTAGGAAGCTTAATAGAGCTTCTCTAATTTTGTAGAAGAAGGGCCTTTGACTTTTTCCCTCTCTGCTTCAGGATGATCTCATCTGCTACTTTGGAAGCATGAGACTTTATTTGTTTTGATGGTACTGAGGTTAGGGGTGAGATTGATTTATTTGTAATTAGTCCTTTCTCCTCCTTATCCTTCCTTTTGGATAAAGGTAAAAATATAAAATCCTCCTGCCTGCTAAAGTACTGTTTGGCCATCAGAGAAAGGGAGCTTCAGGTAGGGCATTCCGCAGTCCCTGTCCCCATCTTAGCAAGTTGAAGATGCTAGTCAAAATTTCTCTGGGGGGCAGGAGAGGGCAGAGGATACTTACGTATGGATTCTGGGGTTGGTCTTTCAGTTTCAACTAACTCATTCTGTACCTGAATGATACTATTTAATAAAATTTCGTGGTATGAGTTTGAGAACTTGTCATGATTTTAGGGATATTTTAACTTCCTTTTTGTTTCTTTCCTTTAGTTTTAGGGAAGGATCTTCTGCCAAACTACCTGTGCCACTGTCTTTCCTGGAAGTCTCATAAGTACTAGAAAGAACTTTTAGAATAAGAGTGTAGGACATTATTTACACTGAAATAACATTCTTTTTGTTGTTTTTTTTTTTTTTTTTTTTTTTGGAGTCAGATTGTCATTCTGTCACCCAGGCTGGAGTGCAGGAGCGCCATCTTGGCTCACTGCAACTTCTGCCTCTTGAGTTCAGCCAATCCTCCCGCCTCAGCCACCTGAGCAGCTAGGACTACAGGTGCATGCCAACATGCCCAGCTAATGATTTTTTGTATTTTTAGTAGAGATGGGGTTTCACCATTTTGTTGAGGCCGGTGTCAAACTCCTGACCTCAAGTGATCTGCCCACCTTGGCCTCCCAAAGTGCTGGGATTGCAGGCATGAGGCGCTGCATCAGTTCTGCAAAAAAAAAAAAAAAAAAAAAAAAAAAAAAAAAAAGCGTATGCATTAAAAATACTAAGGGGGCCAGGCGCGGTAGCTCACGCCTGTGATGCCAGCACTTTGGGAAGCCGAAGCGGATGGATCACTTGAGGTCAGGAGTTCTAGACCAGTCTGGCCAACATAGTGAAACCCCATCTCCGCTAAAAAAAAATACAAAAATTAGCTGCGCATGGTGGCACACGCCTGTAATCCCAGCTGCTCAGGAGGCTGAGGCAGGAGAGTCGCTTGAACCCAAGAGGCAGAGGTTACAGTGAGCCAAGATTGCGTCACTGCACTCCAGCTGGGGCAACAGAATGAAACTCCATCTCAAAAAAAAAGAAAAAAAATAGAAATGTTAAGGGGTTTACTTCCTTTAGGGTACTCTTTAAATGAAATATGATGTTTCATATTCTCTATTTGGAACTTCTGTATGGATGCAGACATTTTCAGAAATCTCCCAGGACAATGAACCTGAAACTTATGTATTTATAAGAAACTTGGGGATTTGGTTATTTTATTTACTTATTTTGAAATAGGGTCTTGCTGTGTCACCCAGGCTGCAGTGCAGCCACGCTTCAGTACAGCCTCAATCTCCCAGGCTCAAGCGATCCTCATACCTCAGCCTCCTTATAGCTGGGACTACAGGCATGCACTACCACACCTGGCTAATTTTTAAAAATGTTTATTTTTTTGTAGAGACAGAACATCACTGTGTTGCTAGGGCTGGTCTCAAACTCCTGGGCTCAAGCAGTCCTCCCACCTTGGCCTCCCATAGTGCTGGGATTACAGGCATGAGCCACTGTGCCTAGCCAGAAATTGGCTTAAAATGCAGATTTTTGGACCCTGTCCCCAGCAAAAAGATTCGGTAGAAATCTTTATTCGTAGCCAGTTTACTGTGTTGCAGGTGGTCCCCAGTTTAACTTTGAGTAATGCTGTCTTCATTGTTAAAATAATCAGATTTAATTATATGGTAGATATTTTAGGTAACTAGGGTATTTCAAGCTGTCCCATGGGGCTGAGTAGCTGGCAGCTGCTTGACTTGGCTTCTAGAGGACTTACTGCTCAGCAAGGTAAATGTTATTAATACCTTCATTGCTCTCTGTGTCCCAAAGGTCAATACCCAAACTTTGAGATTTTGTAGACTGGAGGAATCTTTGTCTCCCACTCCTTCCCCAAGAAAGACATGGGTTGCTAATTTTTATTTTGTCGAATGAGGACATTAAAAATAAGTTAACCGTGAGCCAGGCACAGTGGCTTAGGCCTTTCATCCCAGCACATTGAGAGGCTAAAGCAGGAAGATCACTTGAGGCCAGGAGTTCAAGACCAGCCTGTGCAAAATAGCAAGACCTCATCTCTACTAAAAAATAAAAAAAGTTAGCTGGGCTTAGTGGCACATGCCTGTGGTCCCAGCTACGTGGGAGGTTGAGATAGAAGGATCGCCTGAGCCCGGGAAGCTGAGGCTGCAGGAAGCCATGACCACACCACTGCACTCCAGCCTAGGGGACAGAGACCCAGTCTCATCAATAAATAAATAATGAAAGGACATTTTAACACCCCACTACAACCACTAAAGATACAAATAAATAAAAATATAAGAGGAACACAACCTCATAATACAGATAGTCTTTTATATTGCATATATTTAACTTCGGGCAAAAGCCACTCTATTTTCCTCTTTAAAAAAACTTTTTTAGCTATAGATTAATGAATACTTTCTCAGACATTTCAGAACTACTGCTTAGTACTTGAAATACAACATTTAGAATCTGGGGTACTACCTGAATGTGATGAGTAGTCACACATCTCATATCCTTTGTTTTCTTGCCAGTTCGATCCTTTGGTACAGAAGACAGACCGACAGATCGTCCAATACCACCTCGAGATGAAGTCTTTGAATACATTATATTCCGTGGGAGTGACATTAAAGACCTTACTGTTTGTGAGCCACCAAAACCACAGTGTTCTTTGCCTCAAGACCCAGCTATTGTTCAGGTAACTGATGGTAAATTTGTCTTGGAGTACAGGTAAACTCCGCACAGGGTTAGCCTTGGCTTTTTTCTCTCTAGTTGAATGTTCATGTAGCTTATCATTTCCAAGTTACTGGGATACCTGAAATTACTGGATAATGTTCTCATCTAGGTTTTTCTCTTTGTATCATAAATTAGAACTAAGGTAAGAAACAGCTGAGGAATTTATTATGAAATATTTTCTAATTTCAACAACAATTACCATAGCTAACATTGAAGGCTACTCTGTAGAAGTGCTGTGCATATAAGATACCCTCTGAGGTTGGTACTATAATTATTCTCACTTTTAACAAGTGAGGAAGTTCAGATGGAGCCACAATTTGAACAGATCCAGGCAGCCTGCTTCAGAATCTAGGATCCGTGCTACCATGCTATTGAGATATGGTTTATATTGCAAACCAAGGCAATAACAGCTACTCTTAGGTAAGATTATTAGGCTTAATGGGGAAAAAAAAGCAAAATCACATTGTTCTGCATATGTTATAATATGCAGTGTTGGTTTTTGTTTTGTTTTTCTTTTTCTTTTTTTTTTTTTTTGACAGAGTCGTTGGAGTACAGTGGCGTGAACTCGGCTCACTACAACCTCCGCCTCCCAGGTTCAAGTGATTCTTCTGCCTCAGCCTCCTGAGTAGCTGGGATTACAGGCATGCACCACCACACCCGGCTAATTCTTGTATTTTTAGTAGAGATGAGGTTTCACCATGTTGGCCAGCCTGGTCTCAAACTACTGACCTCAGGTGATCCGCCCACCTCAGCCTCCCAAAGTGCTGGGATTACAGGCATGAGCCACTGTGCCTGGCCTGCAATGTTATATAATAAGAAAACACAAACATCAATGTATTTTAACATATTTAGATCAGCTCTTAAATCTCCCAATTTAAGCTTTTTAATAAGGAATTGTAAATTTTGTTGCAGCATAAGCTGGAGAAATTCTCTACTCTCATCTACCCCTACCCTTGTTAAGTCTTATTTTGGTGAAAGGAAGCCTGAAGTGGAAATGTGAATCTCTTTAAATGGAGAAGGAAGAGACACATTCTTAATAGAGATAGCTCCCTACACCAAACACTGGAGTTACCTTACTGTCTCTTTTATATGGCTTTTGATAATTCTCCAGGAAACCAGTTATTTGAGTAATCGGTTTTATGGAAGGAGAAAAACTAAGAGAGCGCATATGAAAATGGTGTTGAATAACTTCTTCCAATCATCATAAACTTCTACTTGATCTCCTTATTCATTCATTCAGTAGTATTTACAGAGTATCTGGCATGTGCTTAACACTAGTGGTGAACACACAGAAAAGGTCCTGCCATCAGTGAGTGTATGTCCTGGTAGCCTTTAATACACTTCATGTTTATATTATGAAACAGTTTATAGTAAGATAATATATGAAGTATACATGTATTAATATATGTTATATATTTTATATGCTTTAGGTTTAAGTTAAAGTTTTTATAAAATGTTCCTCAGCTTAATGTAACTATAAGTAAAAATGTAAATGGTTTTATGTGGGATATGTTTGTTTCTACGTCTGTGAATTTAATAGTAGGCCTCAAATGATTGAAAATAAGAGTAAAATCATACGTGAGATTTATATCAACATCAGACTAAAACTCATTATTACTAAGTGTGATTTTTCTCATATTTTTCTTTAAGCAAAGTTACTTTACTTAAGTAACTTTAATTCTTTCCTCAATCTATAAAACTCTTAATTCAAATGGGGAGTTTATTGTAGAAAAAAGTATTTGTAAGTCACATTGAGTATAATTGGCACATTATAGACAGATACTGAAATCAAAAGGTTGTTTGGCTATTTTAATATTAAGTGCATATTGTAATTCATTTTATATCTAGTAGTTATAATTTAATAGTTTTCTTAAAAGTAAAAATCTGGAATTTTTTTTTTCGTTATATACATGTTGCTTAGAGCTTGGAAACATAACTCATGATTTTCCTTCAGTCCTCACTAGGCTCATCGACTTCTTCATTCCAGTCCATGGGTTCTTATGGACCTTTCGGCAGGATGCCCACATACAGTCAGTTCAGTCCGAGTTCCTTAGTTGGGCAGCAGTTTGGTGCTGTTGGTGTTGGTATGTTTTCTTTTTCTTTTCTTTTTTTGTTTTTGTATTCTTCCTTTCTTTACCACAAAGGTATAGAAACTCAACACCAACTATTAGAAATGTTGTTTGATGTTCCTTTTGTAACTTTGTTTTATGGTATTCAGAACACATTTTGATGATATCTTAAAGCCTTTATTGATATTAGTGGGTTTTTAAAAGTCAGCTTTCACAGAGTAACATTTTTTTTTACTAGGTAAAAAAAAAATGGATATACTAGGTATATCCAATATCTACCAAATCTACCAAATTGGATATACTAGGTATATCCAATATCTACCAAATCTTATTGGTAATTGGTTTTGTTTTGTTTTTTTTAAAGACAAAGTCTCACTCTGTCACTC
Source organism: Homo sapiens (assembly GCF_000001405.40). Lineage (NCBI taxonomy): Eukaryota > Metazoa > Chordata > Mammalia > Primates > Hominidae > Homo > Homo sapiens. The sequence goes on from NC_000019.10 coordinate 34,197,135, forward strand.
AGGCTGGAGTCCAGTGGCACTATCTTGGCTCACTACAACTTCCACCTCGTGGGTTTAAGCAATTCTCGTGCCTCAGCCTCCCAGATAGCTGAGATTACGATATGCATCACCACACCCAGCTAATTTTTGTATTTTCAGTAGAGGTGGAGTTTCACTGTGTTGGCCAGGCAGGTCTTGAACTCCTGACCTCAGGTGATCCACCTGCTTCGGCCTCCCAAAGTGCTAGGATTACAGGTGTGAGCCACTGCGCCTGGCCTGGATTTTAATTAATAAATTTTTCTTTTTAATTTCTTTTTCTTTTTTTTTTTTTTTTTTTTTTTCTGAGGCAGAGTCTTGCTCTGTTGCCCAGGCTAGAGTGCAGTGGCATGATCTCCGCTCACTGCAACCTCCACCTCCCAGGCTTAAGCAGTGCTCCTGCCTCAGCCTCCTGAGTAGCTGGGATTACAGGTGTGCGCCACCACTCCCAGCCAATTTTTTTGTATTTTTAGTAGAGATGGGGTTTCACCATGTTGGCCAAGCTGGTCTCGAACTCCTGACCTCAAGTGATCCACCCACCTCAGCCTCCCGAAGTGCTGGGATTACAGGCGTGAGCCACCAAGCCCGGCCTAAAACATTTAAAAATGTTTATTTTAAACATACATAAGACATGCACACATAAAGATACGCATAGCATGATTGAGGGCTTGGTGTTTTGTTTCTGTAACACTGGATTTGAAACGAAACTATAATGAGAATGTATAGCAGGGCTGGGCGAATGACAGGCTTGCTTATGACTGGAGGGTCAAGGGCTATTGAGTGCAAAAGCTGGATGTAATCAGATTAGCTCAGTGTTTTGTTTTTATAGCTATGCATTTTAGCGTTTAAACCATGGTAAAGAACAGCTTTTAAAAAAAAATCGCTTCTCAGCCTTTTGGCTAAGCTCAAGTGTAAAAAAAAAAAAACAGCTTTAAATCTCAAGCTTTTGCCCCTAATCTTTTAAAATTTCATTGAAATAATTATCAGTTTACTGTTTCACTGCACCACAAATTTAGTTTCAGGTGTATCTTGAAACTCATTGATATGCTAATAAGTTTTATTAAAATTGTTAAATTCCTTCCTGTGAATATACTTTTTATACAGATGTGACTTAAGTATTTAAATGTTTTACTTATTCACAAAATAACAAAGAATGGCAAAAAAAAAGCAAACTAAAACTGAATGAGCTGGGCGCGGTGGCTCACGCCTGTAATCCCAGCACTTTGGGAGGCTGTGGGCGGATCACCTGAAGTCAGGAGTTCAAGACCAGCCTGACCAACATGGAGAAACCCCATCTCTACTAAAAATACAAAATTAGCTGGACGTGGTGGTGGTGCATGCCTGTAATCCCGGCTACTAGGGAGGCTGAGGTAGGAGAATCGCTTGAACCTGTGAGGCAGAGGTTGCAGTGAGCTGAGATCGTGCCATTGCACTCCAGTCTAGGCCACAACAGCAAAACTCCGTCTAAAAATAAATAAATAAATAAAACTGAATGAATATAAACAGAAACCACAGATGCTATTACATATTAAATTGATAATATAACCACACAGAGGGCTGGGTGCGGTGGCTTACGCCTGTAATCCCAGCACTTTGGGAGGCCAAGGCGTGTGGATCACGAGGTCAGGAGATCGAGACCATCCTGGCTAACACGGTGAAACTCCGTCTCTACTAAAAATACAAAAAAATTAGCCGGGCGTGGTGGTGGGCGCCTGTAGTTCCAGCTACTCGGGAGGCTGAGGCAGGAGCATGGCGTGAACCCAGGAGGCGGAGCTTGCGGTGAGCCAAGATCGTACCACTGCACTCCAGCCTGGGCGACAGAGTGAGACTCCGTCTCAATAAAACAACAAAAAAAACCACACAGAGGAAAAAATAATTCAGGTAACTTTTACACTCTTAGTAGGATATATTCTAACAACAAATAGAACTACTAAGAAAACTTGACTTTGATTTGTATTATTGGTGTTATTATTTATTTATTTATTTATTTATTTTGAGATAAGATCTGGCTCTCACCCAGGCTGGAGTGCAGTGGCACGATCCCGGCTCATTGCAACCTCCGCCTCCCAGGCTCAAGCCATCCTCCCACCTCAACCTCCCGAGTAGCTGGGATTATAGGCATGCACCACCACTCCCGGCTAGATTTTTCTTTTGTATTTTTTGTGGAGACAGGGTTTCCCCATATTTTCCAGGCTGGTCTCAAACTTGTGACCTTGAGTGATCCGCCCATCTTGGCCTCCAAAAGTGTTGGGATTACAGGTGTGAGCCACTGCACCCAGCCAGGTGTTAATTCTTAAACTGTTTTGTATGTATTATAGGAAAGGGCAAATGAATAAAATACTTATGTTGGGAAATAGTGTTTTTACCATGGAGACGGAAGATATAAATATGGAATGGGAAAGGTGAGAAAGAACCCTGTGGTGCTGAATGTAAATAGATGGTATGTGTATGGACTCATTTTTTAAAAACTGGTTATTTCCTAGCTCTGTTCGTAGAAAGGACCTAGAAACAATGGAAACCCCGTAGCAAGGGACACATGTAGACTCAGCTCTTAGTTTCTAAATACCACTCCCCACTAAAAGGAACAAGGGCCCATTGAAAAACAAAGGAAAAGACATACTTTTTTCATATAAAAATGCCTGCTAATAAGTAGAAGCAGTGGTAGATAAAGAAAATTGCCATTTTCTAATCTCAGTATAATAATTAGCGAGGATTATCATTAGATGCTGAAGTCATTGGGTGAAAGGTGTTAGGACAGCATATTAAGGTGGTCTTAAAGTATCATCCCACAATTTACAAAGGGGGAAAAATGTACCCTTGTAACACAGACATCTGGTGGTTACCAACTTCGTTGAGTGCTCAAGTTTAGCATTGCCATGAACAATTATGTGTCTCCTGTTGTGATGATTGGGGTGGGGGGCAAAACATAATATCACCTTTGTGGGGTTCTTGCTGAAAATACAGAATCTAATTTTGAAGAAATGGGCTTATATATCCAGAAGGTGGGTTGTTTTGCGAGACAGTTATCCACACTCTTCAAAAGATTCAATATTACAAAGAATGGAGAGAGGCAGCAGAACTGCTTTAGGCTGGCAAAGACTGAAGAGACATAACATCCAAATGTAATATAGAATCGAATACTGGGCTTTTAAAAAGTTGGCGTGTTTGTTTCCTGCAGGGGAGAAAAAGAAAACTTAAAAAGTTGGTGTGAAGAACATTTTAGGGACTACTAAGGAACTTTTGAGTATGGACTAATTGTTGGATTTTGTTATTATTGTTAATTTTCTGGTTAATCATATGGGAAAGTGTTTTTGTTTGGGGGAGGTGGTTTTGAAGTATTTAAAAGTAAAAGGGCCAAATTGATTTTAGCCTCTCTAAACAAAAGAAAAATGTGTATATTAAGGTATAAAGATGGAGAAACAGAGTGGGTTTGGTTAGATGTTAACAGTTGATGAGTCTAGGTGAGGAATATATTGATATTCTGTGTACTCCTTCAATTTTAACATAGGTTTGACATTTTTCATAATTAAAAATTAATTCCTTTTAGACTTACTTTAGGTGAAATAGTGTAACTTTGGTCCATAAATTTCCAAATCCAGTAGTAAGATCAATGTTATTTATTCATGTTAAATCAAGATATACTGTATGTTAACTGTAACTTAGAATCCTTTCCTGGGGATTCAAGTAAGGAATGATTGCAAATTGTATTATCCTTTTTGAGGCTCCTTTGACTAAATTAAATAGTTAACTGACTTTGAGATCATCATTATACTTCTTATGTTACCATGAAGTTTATGTAACTAATTATGTTAAAAAATTTGAACAGGATCAAGCACGTAGTATCTATATAGTAACTATTGCTTCTGCCATTCTTCAAGGTTTACTTTTTAATCAGAGTATTTTGTGGTTGTGAAATGCTTTTATAAATATTTTAATCTAATTTTAATATTATTGTGGGTTGTTGGTTTATTACTTGGGTGTCACAAAAGTAGAAGATTTTACTGGCATTTTCCATGTCAGTAGAGTAATTTTTGCAGGGTCAGATTATTTTTGATTAATTGATTTCCATATTGGTTAGGATAATTTGTGGAGTGGCTAATTAGAAAACTAGTGTTAGAAGTTACCAAATGAGGAAGAGGAAAGCTGTGGCATTGGTCAAGGTGACAGATGTTTTTCAGAAAAGGAATTAACTTAAATTTAGCTTGTTTTTTGAGATGGCGTCTTGCTCTGTCACCCAGGCTAGAGTGCAGTGGTGCGATCTCAGCTCACTGCAGCCCCCTCCTCCCGGGTTCAAGCGAGTCTCCTGCCTCAGCCTCCTGAGTAGCTGCGGTTACAAGCATGTGCCACCACGCCCAGCTAATTTTTGTATTTTTAGTAGAGACAGGGTTTCACCATGTTGGTCAGGCTGGTCTCAAACTCCTGACCTCTTGATCCGCCCGCCTCAGCCTCCCAAAGTGCTGGGATTACAGGCGTGAGCCACCATGCCCAGCCAAATTTAGCTTTTGTTGGCACAAAGTAAACCACATTTTAAGCTAGGCCTCTTTTCATTTTTGGTTCCTAGTATTCTGATTTTAAAAGGAAATTTAAATGAATCTGGATCACAGTATTGCTATTTGATGAGAAAATTTTTATATATTTACGTTTTCGTGTGTTATTACTATTGCTTTTTATTTTTATTTATTTATTTTTTGAGACAGGGTCTCTTTCTGTCATCCAGGCTGGAGTACAGTGGCACAACCACAGGTCGCTGCAGCCTAGACCTCCTGGGCTCAAGCAGTCCTCCCATCTCAACCTCCCTAGTAGCTGGGACTACAGGCATGTGCCATCATGCCCAGCTAATTTTTGTATTTTTGGTAAACACAGCATCTCAGCATGTTATCCAGGCTGATCTCGAACTCCTGGGTTCAGTCTGCCTGCCTCCGCCTCCCAAAGTGTTGGGAACCACCATGCCCACCCTTATTATTGCTTTTTAGTAAGTTTTTTTTTTTTTTTTTTTCCATTTGGTTGGTTGGTTTGGTTTTTGTTTTGTTTTGTTTTGTTTTGTTTTTGAGACTGAGTCCTGCTCTGCTGCCCAGCCTGGAGTACAAAGACGTTAGCACTTTGGGAGGCCATGGCAGGAGGATTGCTTGAGCTCAGGAGTTGGAGACCAGCCTGGGCAACATAGCTAAACCCTGGCTCTACAAAAAAAAAAAAATTAGGCAAGCATGGTGGCACACTCCTGTAATCCCAGCTGCTCCAGAGGCTGAGGTGGGGGGATTGCTTGAGCCTGAGAGGTAGAGGTTGCAATGAACCAAGAGCACGCCACTGCACTCCAGCTTGGGAAACAGAGCCAGACTGTGTCTCAAAAAAAAAAAAAAAAATCTTGCTTATAGTGAAAAACATACAAATTAAATCTACACTGAGACACCATTTCTCACTATCAGTTTGGCAAAAACTCAAAAGCTTGATTATATGCATACTCTTGGCAAGTATGTGAAGAATATATACTCTCATACATTGAGAAGAATAATATACCAGGTAGAATTAAAGGACTCACTCTGTTGCTGCCCAGGCTGGAGTGCAGTGGCGCATCTCCGCTCACTGCAAGCTCCACCTCCCTGGTTCACGCCATTCTCCTGCCTCAGCCTCCCTAGTAGCTGGGACTACAGACGCCCGCCACCACGCCCGGGTAATTTTTTGTATTTTTTTTAGTAGAGACGGGGTTTCACCGTGTTAGCCAGGATGGTCTCGATCTCCTGACCTCGTGATCCGCCCGCCTCGGCCTCCCAAAGTGCTAGGATTACAGGCGTGAGCCACCGCGCCTGGCGGACTTTTCTTAAAACTGATGCAAAAATAATTCTTATGTGTAAGAGATTAGATCATTACTGGCCTTAATTTCTGAACTCTTGGAAAAATTAAACACCTCACAATAAATGAAGCATCAAAACAGTATTTCCCTGTGTTACCATTGAACAGTAGCAAGAGCTTACTGCTGCAGTTAGAAAAAGGATTCATAGAAACAGTGAAAGGTATAGATTGACCAGCTATCTAAAGTAATTCTATAGCAAGGATTACAGTGAAGAAACATGGAGCAATTAGATGTTTTTTCTGTTATATTTACTCCAGTTGATTGTTTAAGTCTCATAATCTTATGTGCCAGATGGAGGAGTATTGGCTGAATAGACCATCAGTGGGTACATTTTAGTTGATTAAATAGCCAAACCATATTGGAGGATGGTTCTCTTAGGTCTCCAGTGTTTTGTAGAGACTAATTTTTAATCACTGAGTGATGAAGCCTTGAAGAGATGCTTACGAACTTTACAGTTAGCATAAAGCCAGGGGGGTGTTTCAACCATTATGGATGTTAAACTAAGGATTATTAAAGATCAGACCAGGCACAGTGGCTCACGCCTGTAATCCCAGCACTTTGGGAGGCTGAGACGAGTGAATCATTTGAGGTCAGGAGTTCAGGATCAGCCTGGCCAACACAGTGAAACCCTGTCTCTACTAAAAATACAAAAAAAATGAGCCGGGCTTGGTGGCGTGCGCCTGTAATCCCAGCTACTCAGGAGGCTGAGGCAGGAGAATCCCTGGAACCCAGGAGATGAAGGTTGCAGTGAGTTGAAATCATGCCACTGTACTCCAGCCTGAGCAACAGAGCGAGACCCTGTCTCAAAAAAAAAAAAAAGAAAGAAAGATTGTTAAAGATCTACTTTGGTAAAATGTGAAGGAATTAAACATTCCAGTTAAAAGGCAGAGAGTGTCAGACTGAATTTAAAAAAAAAAAAAAAAAGACAAGGCCCAACTATATTATGTTTATAAGAAATGCACTGAAAGTGAAAGAATAGAAAAAGGTATACCATACAAACAGCAATAACAAGAAAAGTGTGTAGCATACGTTAATATCAGACAAAGGAGCTTAAAGATCAGGATTTCTTCCAGAGGTAAAGGTTGGGGGGGCGTTCTTCGTAAAGATAAGGATCAGTTCATCAAGAAGATACAACAGTCCTAAATGTGTAACTTTTATAAAACAGTATACCCAACAATTGCAGAATATTGTTTTAAGTAGACATGAACTGCTCAACAATATAGACCAAATGCTGGACCATAAAATAAGTCACACTAAATTCCAAAAGGAATAAAATCATACATGGTATATTGTTAAACCACAAAATAAACTTGAAATTAATAAAGTTAACTTGAAAAATCCCCAGATAATTTGGTATCAAGTAAACTTGTTAATCACTAATGGATCAGAGGAGAATTTACAAGGGAAATTAGAGAATATTTTAAATCTAGACCAGATGTGATAGCATACACCTGTAATCCCAGCACTTTGGGTGGTGGCCAAGGTGGGAGGATCACTTGAGGCCAGGAGTTCAAGACCAGCCTGGGGAACATAGGGAGACCTTGTCTCTGCAAAAAAAAAAAAAAAATTTAAGTAGCTGGGTGTGGTTGTACATACCTGTAGTCCTAGCACTCAGGAGGCTGGGGTGGGAGACTTGATTGAGCCCAGGAATTCAAGACTGCAGTGAGCTGTGATTCTGCTGCTGCACTCCAGGAAAGGCGACAGAGCTAGACCTTTTCTCTAAAAAGAAAAAATTAAATTAAAAAAATTTTATTTTCAATTTAATGACCAGAAAGTTTGTGGGTGTAGCTAAAACAGTGTTTAGAAAAATTTTCATAGCTTTAAATACATGTATTAGAAAACAAGAATTTTCGGCTGGGCGCAATGGCTCATGCCTATGATCCCAGCACTTTGGGAGGCTGAGATGGGCAGATCGCTTGAGGTCAGGAGTTCAAGACCAGCCTGGTCAATGTGATAAAAACTCGTCTCTATTAAAAATACAAAAATTACTCAGGCGTCTTGGCATGCGCCTGTAGTCCCAGCTATTTGGGAGGCGGAGGCAGGAGAATCACTTGAGCTGGGGAGGCAGAGGTTGCAGTGAGCCAAGATGACGTCACTACACTCCAGCCTGGGTTACAGGGCAAGACTTTGTCTCAAATAAAAAGGAAAAGAAAATAAGAATTTTTAAAATCAGTGCTTTAAGCTACCAGTTTAAGAAGCTAGGAAAGGGCCAGGTGTGGTGTCTCCCACCTGTAATCCCAGCACTTTGGGAGGTCAAGGCGGGCAGATTACCTGAGGTCAGGAGTTCGAGACCAGCCTGGCCAACATGGTGAAACCCCATCTCTACAAAAATACAAAAATTAGCCAGGTATGATGGCAGGTGCCTGTAATCCCAGCTACTCAGGAGGCTGAGGCAGGAGAAACGCTTGAACCCGGGAGGCGGAGGTTGCAGTGAGCCGAGATCACACCATTGAACTCCAGCGTGGGCGACAGAACAAGACTCCATCTCACAAAAAAAAAAAAAAAAAAAAAAAAAAAAAATACTAGGAAAAATGGTTAGCTGGGCATGGTGGTGAATGCCCTTAGTCCTAACTGCTTGGGAGGCTGAAGTGGGAGGATTCCTTGAGCCCAGCAGTTCAAGGTTGCAGTGAACTATGATTGTGCCACTGCCTTCTAGCCTGGGTGACAGAGTGAGACCATGTCTCTAAGAAAAGTTGGTGAGGACGCCAGGGGACAGCTAGGAAAAAAAATGAAAGAAAATTATTCCAAAAGTAGTAGAGGGGGAAGAAAATAAAAAGATAAGAGCAGAAATCAATGAAGTAGAAATAGATTATATTATCAGCAAAGTCAAGAGTTTGTTTTGGGTGGGTTTTTTTATTTTTTATTTTTATTTTATAAGATTGATAAGTCCCTAACAAAACTGATTAAGGAAAGAAAGAACAACCAAGCAAGTTGCCAATACCAGGAATGAAAGAGTAGACGTCAGTATAGACCTTAAAAGAATAATATGGGAATATATGAATGTCAACAAATGTGATAGTTTGGATGAAGTGGGCAAATTTCTTGAAAAATAGCAAACCAACACAAGAGGAAATAAAATCTCAATATCTCTATATCTTCTAATGAAATTGAAACAGTAATTTAAAATCACCCAGAAAGAAAATTCTAGACTGTTTTTACTGTTACATTCTACCAAACATTTAGGGAAGAAATAATTTTCACTAATCTTACACAAACTCTTTCAGATAGCTATGCACCATGATGCATGCCTGTAGTCCCAGTAACTCAGGAGGCTGATGCAGAAGGATCTCTTGAGCCCAGGAGTTCAAGGCTGCAGTGAGCCATGATTGTGCCACTGCACTCCAGCCAAGGCAACAGAGCAAAACCCTGTCTCTTAAAAAGTAAAAAAAGACTGGGTACGGTGGCTCAAACCTGTAATCCCAGCACTTTGGGAGGCCGAGGCGGGCAGATCACGAGGTCAGGAGATCGAGACCAGCCCAGCCAACATGGTGAAACCCTGTCTCTACTAAAAATACAAAAAAAAAAAAATTAGTTGGGCATGGTGGCGCGCGCCTGTAGTCCCAGCTGCTCGGGAGGCTGAGGCAGGAGAATCGCTTGAGCCCAGGAGGCGGAGGTTACAGTTAGCTGAGATCGCGCCACTGCACTCCAGCCTGACGACAGAGCAAGACTCCATCTCAAAAAGAAAAAAAGAAAATTCAGAGAATACAGGAAGAGGAAATATTTGCTGACCCTATAACCAAGGCCAAATAACTGAAATACCAACTGTGACTGGATCGTTACAAGAAAATTATAGATCATTGTCCCCCATGAACATAAACGTAGTAATGTTTATTAGATGTAGAAGCCAGCACTTCAGAAGAAGGATTGTATATGATGACAAAGATTTATCTCAGGACTGCGAAGCTGCAACATTTGAAAATCAGTTGTAACTTACCACGTTAACAGACCAGGAATAAAGAATAGAGAATCCAGAAATAGACCCACTCAGATACTTAAAACAGAGTACCAAGACAGTTCAATGGAGAGAAAAGACATTGTTTTAACAAGAGGTGTTGCAGCAGCTGTTTATCTGTGGAAAAAATAAAACTTGACCCCTGGCTTAAACTATAAATTAAAAATAATTTGGAATAGATTATAGACATAAATTGGTAGTAGAATTGGAGTAGAGCGAGGGGGGTGTGGCACGATCAGGAACTCACGGAAGAGATTTGCTCTAACCATTGAATGCGTAATCCAGAGGACAAGCAATGGGAGGCCAAGCCAGGTGAGGAAACACAGAGCAGCCTGGAGATGCAAATATACATCAAAGTGGCTGATGTCTTGGTCATCACCCAGGAATACTAGAAATAACTGGATGGGTTCTACTCCCCACAGAATTCTTGAAAGCGCTAGTCCCCACATTACCGGGATATTGTGGGAAGTTGTATTAGGCTTCTCCTGAGCTTACTGGAGCTGCAGCCAGACTGGACTGCACCTCCAAGGGAGTCCCAGTGGCTCCCCTTGTCTAAGATACTGTGCTGCTTTCTGAAGCCACATTTTTTTTTTTTTTTTTGAGACAGAGTCTCACTCTGTCACCCAGGCTGGAGCACAGTGGCCCAATATTGGCTCATTGCAACCTCCACCTCCCAGGTTCAAGCAATTTTCCTACCTCAGCCTCCTGAGTAGCTGGGACTGCAGGCATGCGCCACCACGCCCAGCTAATTTTTGAATTTTTGTAGAGACGAGGTTTCATCATACTGGTCAGGCCAGTCTTGAACTCCTGATCTCGTGATCTGCCCACCTCGGCCTCCCAAAATGCTGGGATTACAGGTGTGAGCCACTGCGCCCGGCCCTAAAGCCACATTTTAAGAGGGATAAGAACAAATAGAATTCATTAAATTAGGAGTCCAAGAAAGGAAGGGGAGAGTGTCCTAAAGACCATGTGAAGTGAGTAATGGTTGAAGGGACTGGAGTTGACTAACCTGAAAATGAGCAAATTGCAAGGGGCATGATTGTAATCTTCATGTGTTTTAGGAGCAGAAGGATAAACTTCTGCTGTGGGCTAGACTGGTGAAAATATAGAAAATGTTGAGAGAAGAGGTAGGTTTTATTAACTGAAGTGAATAGTTTGAACTTTTATCTTGAGGACAGTGGAAGCCACCAGAAGGTCTAAAGCACGATAATGTTATTACATTTATATTTTGTAAAGAATCACTCTGACTACCATCTTTAGGTTGGATTTAGAGGTTGTGGAAGGGGGAGGTACTGTTGAAATATAGTGAAAACCTGCTTAGATGAAATACCAAGGAAAGAGCACAGTATATCAAAAGTGAATGATCCCTAAGTACTGTAGAAACTTAGAGAAGAAATTTGATATAACCTAGTATGGCAGAGAATTGGGCCCTTTCTAGGGACCTTTTTACTCATATTGCCAGAACTTTTTGCAGCTGCTTTAGGCAGAATGCAGCCTCACAGTCCTATCTTAAGGGGAAGCATTGAAACCAGAGTCCATTGTCTATTGCCTTGGAAATGCTAAAAAAGCTCCTCGTAAACCTGTCTGCTGATTTGGCTGTTTGTCCAGATACTTAGTATTAGAATCACTGAACCTTAATGTTGGTGTTGAATGTACCATTTCTGCTACTTCTCTAGTTGGTATGGGTCCTTGCTGTCCCATCTGCATAACTGCCTAGGACAGCACTCCATGTGTTATAAACATTGCTTGCATCCAAGGATAGTGGACAGTATATTGGCTCCCCCTTCCCCTGCCCTCCATATTGCCATAAAATTCCCAAACTATTCAGTACACTTTAATTTCCAAGATTATTAATTTGTACAGATGCTGGGGGGAGAGGTAGACAATTACCATCATTAAAATGCTGCATTACTTTATATCATTGAATAATGTCAAACATTTTTTAAAATTTTTTTATCATTTAAAAACATCTCTTTAAGCTGGAAGCTCTTTGACATCCTTTGGAACAGAAACATCAAACAGTGGTACCTTACCCCAAAGTAGTGCGGTTGGTTCTGCCTTTACACAGGATACAAGATCTCTAAAAACACAGTTATCTCAAGGTAAGCTATCTCATCCCTAAAATATTTCCATTCTAAACTTTTATAGTGGTTTTTGTCTTTCTGAATGTAAGAGCTTTTGCAGCTTGTAAATCGCGTGTATAATTTCTATTTGGCTCTTTTAAAATTTTTCTCCAAATCGCTGTATTGCAATGAATATATTATTGAATGACTCTCACTATTTAGACTTATTACAGTTCTTAGATCATGAAACTGAAATGCTGAGCATTCTCTAAGTTGGACTTTTTTTGCAAAGCAATTATATAACTTGTATGTAACACTTAAATATATCAAATTAGGCTCATACTCACCATTAAAGTTGAGCTATCCAAGATGAATTGGAAATATCATCTGAAAAAAACTGTATTATGCTGTTAACATTTTCCCTAACATCCTCACAGGATGGAGAGTAGTGGTTCTCAGTGTAGGCTACCCACAACTGAATCATCTGGGGTGCTTCTTAAAAATTTAAATCCTGAGACTTATACATCAGAATCCCTGGAGCCTGAGGATTTATATTTTAATAAGCTTCTTAAAGGATTGTTTTATTTCTTAAGATTCTGCTCTTCAACCAGCCAGTCTCATAATTTTAAATGGTTATCCATACCTTTTATTCTTATCTTTGTTTCTTCCTTTTTTCTTAATCTTTTTCTTTCTTTTATTTACTTATTAGAGATGAGGTCTCCCTGTATTGCCCAGGCTGGTCTCGAACTCCTGGGCTCAAGCGATCCATTTGCCTTGGCCTCCCCAAAGTGTTGGGATGTTGGGATTACAGGCGTGAGCCATTGGGCCTGGCTTTTTTTTTTTTTTTAAAGATAGGTCTCACTATGCTGCCCAAACTGAAATGCAGTGGCTATTTACAGATGTGATCATAGTGCACTGCAGCCTTGGACACCTGGCCCCAAACAAGCCTCCCACTTTAGCTTCCCCAGTAGCTGGGGCTACAGCCTTGTGCCACCATGCTCGGCTTTTCCTTATCTATTTTTATGCACTTTAGAAATGGGTATTTTTGGCTCATTGCTTTATATGAATGGTTTTTGTTTTGTTTTGTTTTTAAGTAAAACAATGTTGAGTCATTTCAGAAAGACCTATAGTCACAAGACAGTATTTTAAAAAGCTATTAAGGGTAAAAATTCAATGCTAAACATAATCTTATGTATTTCACTTAAGATATTTTGAAATAGTTCTTACTGTTACTCATATTGATTAGCTTAATTTTTTTCTTTTTTTTTTTCTTTTAAGATGGAGTCTTGCTCTGTCACCCAGACTGGAGTGCAGTGGCACAATCTCGGCTCACTGCAACCTCCACCTCCCAGGTTCAAGCGATTCTCCTGCCTCACCCTCCCAAATAGCTGGGATTACAGGCACGTGCCACCACGCCCAGCTCATTTTTTTGTATTTTTGGTAGAGATGTGGTTTCGTGATGTTGGCCAGGCTGGTCTCAAACTCCTGACCTCAAGTGATCCACCTGCCTTGGCCTCCCAAAGTGCTGGGATTGTAGATGTGAGCCACTGCGTCCAGCCTACTTGCTTAATTTTTAAACATTCTAAAGATTGTTTGTTTGTTTTTTGAGATAGGGTCCTGCTCTGTCTCCCAGACTGGAATGCAGTGGTGTGATCATGGCTCACTGCAGCCTCTACCTCCTGAGCTCAGGCCATCCTCCCAATTAGCTGAGATCACAAGCAAGCACCACCAGCTAGTTTTGTAGGGACGGGGTTTCGCCATGTTGCCAAGGCTGGTCTGGAACTCCTGGGCTCAAGTGATCCACCCACCTTGGCCTCCCAAAGTGCTGGGATTATAGGCATGAGCCACAGTGCCCGGCCTATTCTGGAATTTTTAGTTAAATCAGGAACACATGAAAAAGAAGCATAAATATTGAAATTAGCATTATTCATGAAGAATGAGAACTAATAAGGAACTTAAATTAGGCACAGGCAAAATGTAAATTAAATATACAAAAGTCAATAGTTCTGGCCGGGCACGATGGCTCATGCCTGTAATCCCAGCACTTTGGGAGGCCAAGGCAGGCGGATCGCCTGAGGTCAGGGGTTCGAGACCAGCCTGGCCAACCAACATGGTGAAACCCCATCTCTACTAAAAATACAAAAATTAGCCGGGCATGGTGGCGTGCACCTGTAATCCCAGCTACTCAGGAGGCTGAGGTGGGAGAACCCGGGAGGCAGAGGTTGCAGTGAGCCGAGATCACGCTACTGCACTCCAGCTTGGGCGACAGAGCGAGACTCCATCTTAAAAAAAAAAAAAATTTAATAGTCCTAAAGCCTAATCCATTGATTATGTAATGAGGAGAAAAGATGATTACAGTAATGCAAAATAGAAATTGTATACAAAATATATAATAAGAAATAAGTTGGTCATACTAAGAAATATGACCAACTTCTATGATAAATAATGTAAGACAGGGACATAAAAGTTGCATGTAATGGAAAAAACATATCTTATTGCTAGATAGAAGAACAAGAACAGTACCAGCACTTAGGGAGGCAAAGCCAGGATGATCACTTGAGCCCACGAGTTTGAGACCAGCCTGAGCAACGTAGTGAAACTTCATCTCTACCAAAAAATTTTAAAAATAAGCAGAGTATGATGGTGGACACCTGTGGTCCTAGCTACTCAAGAGGCTGAGACAGGAGGATCACTTGAGCCCAGGAGGCCGAGGCTGCAGTGAGCCCTAACTGCACTACCTCACTCCAGCCTGGGCGACAGAACCAAGACCCTGTCCCCCCCCAAAAAAAAAAGATGTTGGGAAGACTTTACTCCTCATAGTTAACAAATTTATTGCAAATTAATTAAAAATCAATGCAAATAGAATAGTAGGAGAACTTAGTAAAACAGTTTATCTTTAAAATAAACATGGAAGTGTGGCTGGACATATTTGAAAAATAAAAGTAATGGGTTTACTGACATGATAATAAAATGTAGCAATGCAGGAAAAAAGAAAGAGATGAATAGAAAGCAATAGGCAGGCAGAAACAGATCCGAGTATAAATAAGAATTTATCCTGGGTGCAGTGGTTCATGCCTGAAACCCTAACATTTTGCGAGTTCAAGATGGAAGCCAGGGATTTGAGACTAGCCTGGGCAACATACCAGGACCCTGTCTCTAAAAAAATTAAAAATTAGTTGGGCGTGATGTGTGCGCCTATCAGCTTGAGAGGCTGAAGCTAGAGGATTGCTTGAGCCCAGGAGGTTAAGGTGGCAGCAAGCTGTGATTGCGGCCCTGCACACTAGCCTAGGCAACAGAGCAAGAATTCATCTTAAAAGAATTTAGTAGATGATAAAGGTATTATTTTAAATTAGTGGAGAGAAGGCTGTCTGTTCCAATTAATAATGTTGCCTGATCATTTGGAGAAAGTCACTCTAGATTCTTTCCCTCATACTGAGCACCAAAAAATATATAAATTTTAAATAGATTAAAATGTTAAAAATTTTGAAGTATGTGTTTATTAAAAGAAAGAGGTGTATTTACATAAAGTTATGACAAATGACAAGTCCTAAGAGTTTGCATTTAAGTTTTATCAACTAAAATTGCTGAATTTCACAAAATTAAAATTCCTAGAATTTTAAGTGTGATAAGATTGTGAAGATAGCTCAAGGGAGTGTGTCTATAATATGCAGAAATCACTTCTGGATTTATTCCTAATAATGTATCCAGTATCACAGTATCACCTGTATTTCCCTGTTTATAACAAAACTGGCATCATGATGATTAGTAGGCCTTAATAGTGAAAAGGCTTTTTAAGTACACAACAAATGTTTCTGTACTTGCTCCGATTGCCCCATTGCTTGTACTTCTGTAGTACTTGTGAGCCATAGGATCTTTTCTCAAAAGCCTTGATAAAGAAGTTTTATAAACTTATAAGATGATTTAATGTAGTACCATAAAATTAACTGTAGCAGTAGGCTTTTTCAGGAAGACATGTGAAATAAAAAAAATTAGCAAGGTGTGGTAGCGCACATCTATAGTCCTAGCTACTCAAGAGGCTGAGGCAGGAAGATCATTGGGTCCCAGGAGTTAGAAGTTGCAGCGAGCTGTGATTGCGCCACTGCACTCCAGCCAGAGCAACAGAACAAGACCCTATCCTGTCCCTAAAAAACAAAAAACAAAATGTGTTTTATAAGTGATTATAAAATGTTTTTTTCATAGGCCAAAACTTACATAAACCATGATTTCCCATTATAATCCAGTGGAAAAATTGTAATGCTTCTATTAGTGGTAACTTAATTTTGAAATGTTAAGTAGATTGTGCCTGTGTCGGTTTCTGGGTTTTGATAAATGATCATTTATTTGGCTAACTTTGCCATTAATGGCTGAAATGGTATTGCACATTTGTAAGTGCATACTTTAGATAATCATAAATTGGGGAAATATTACTAATAAATTATCCCTGAATCATCTAGGTACATAATAATGCATTGTCAGCACTCACCAGTTGTTTGACACCTGCAAATATGCACAGATGGACAGTAACATTTGCAGCATATTTGGGGGATTTTTTTACGTGAAATGAGCATTTTTTTTAAGCAAAACATTATATTTTGGAATAATTATGAGATGTGAGTGCCTAAGCAGAGATGTACAGCAAACATTATCAGGACAGAAAGCATGATGGGAGCACCCGATGTTACATTCTTCAGTTCATGCTGTGACCAGGCGACCTCATAAAAGGAAAAATATAATGTATAAGTACAAACCCCATTTTTTGTTTTGGCTCTTTTATATTTGTATTTTTTGAGACAGAGTCTAGTTTTGTCACCCAGGCTGGATGCAGTGGACCGATCTCGGCTCACTACAACCTCTGCCTCCCAGGCTCAAGCAATCCACCCACTTCAGCCCCCTGAGTAGCTGGGGTTACAGGCATGTGCCACCACACCTGGCTAATTTTTGTATTTTTTTTGTAGAGACAGGCTTTCGCCATGTTGTTCAGGCTGGTCTCGAACTCCTGAGCTCAAGCGATCTGCCCATCTCAGCCTCCCAAATTGCTGGGATTATAGGTGTGAGCAACCGCGCCCAGCCAAACCCCATATTAAGCAAAAACTTGCCAAGAGATCTTTTAAAAGGCAAGGAATGAGTATGGCTACTGTGTAATTATCTGAAGGGTTTTTTTTGTTTGTTTTTTGGTTTTGTTTGTTTGTTTTTTTGCTGGCCTTTTAGTTTTTATGTTTAATTACCCAAGCCCCTAAAGCATTAAAGAACTTCACCTATCTAACTTTGTAGTTCTTTTACTTTATTTATTTATTTATTTATTTATTTATTTATTTATGAGACAGGGCCTTGCTCTGTCACCTAGGCTAGAGTGCAGTGGCACAATCTCGGCTCACTGCAGCTTCTGCCTCCCGGGTTCAAGCTATCCCATCTCAGCCTCCTGAGTAGCTGGGAACACAGGCACGCGCCACCACGCCTGGCTAATTTTTGTATTTTCAGTAGAGACAGGGTTTCGCCATGTTGCCTAGGCTGGTCTTGAAATCCTGGGCTCAAGCGATCCTCCTGCTTCAGCCTCCCAAAGGACTAGGATTACAGGCATATGCCACTGCGCCCGGCCCTTTACTTTCTTATAATAGAAATTTAATGGAGTTAATACCTGTAGATAGATGTAAAGGTATTGTTTTAGTCATCTACAGAAAGTACTAAGAAAGATTAAAACAAGTCACCATAGTCTTATGGTTGTCATTGGCGAAAGCCTGTGTTTGACCTGACTACAACATGATAATTTGTAGGATAATTCTAGGGAATCTCGTACCTGGCAGCAATTTTTTTTTTTTTTTTTGATGTAAACTCTTCCACTAAGTAGAAATAACAGATAAAATTGTGAGGGGGAGGGAGTTGTTTTGAAGCTGTTGAAGTTTTTTTTTAAATTATTATTATTTTTTATTTTTAACCTAATGACAAGCCCACTAAGGATACCATTCTTAATATCTGGTCTGATAAGTGGATTAATTCAAATTTGTGCTAAGGGTTTGAATTGATAGAAATAAAACTCTGGACAATTTTTTTTAGGGTCTAGATTATTTTGAAATCCCCAATAGGGTAGTTTGTTATCTTTTGGTTACATTTTAGGTCGCTCAAGCCCTCAGTTAGACCCTTTGAGAAAAAGCCCAACCATGGAACAAGCAGTGCAGACCGCCTCAGCCCACTTACCTGCTCCAGCAGCTGTTGGGAGAAGGAGTCCTGTATCAACCAGGCCTTTGCCATCTGCCAGCCAAAAGGCAGGAGAGAATCAGGAGCACAGGCGAGGTAGAACTTTAGCTGTTTACTGTTCCTTAATTGACTGATCAATGTTTTCCACTCACTTTATTTTCATTAGAAGGATTTACTTCATGTGAATGATCCCAGAAAATTAAACTGAATATGATAGAATGTTTGGTCTTTCAAATTTGACTCAAAGTGGTGGTGGTGTGGGTATAGTTTTTTGGGCATTGCACAGGCTTTGTTTTGGGTTTTTTGGTTTGTTTGTTTGCATTTCTAACTATGGAAGTTTTTGATGATGTACCCTGAGTTGATTTGGCACTTTGCATGTCTTCTTCTGTAGCTGAAGTACACAAAGTTTCAAGGCCAGAAAATGAGCAACTCAGAAATGATAACAAGAGACAAGTAGGTAAGTTCTTGGATCTAAAAGTCATATTCTATGCTTCTCAACAGGGAGAATATTTTAAATATATGATACATAATTACTATAAAAAAATGAAAGGCGGGGGTTGTGACTGTAAAGGAGGAGCACAGGGGAGTGTCACTGTGGTGACAGAACAGTCCTTTATCTTGATTGTGGTGGTAGTTTTGCAAATCTATATATGGTAGAACATCATAGAACTATGCATAAAGACATACCAAAAAATGAGTACATGTACAAACTGGTGACATCTGAGCAAGGTCTGTAGTTTAGTTAATTAGATTGTGCCTGTGTCGGTTTCTTGGTTTCGATAATGTACCATAATTATATAAGATGTGACTGTTGGAGTTTGGGAAGTTGGGTGATGGGCACAAGGGACGACTCTGAACTAGTTTTTCAATTTTTCTTTTCTATAATTACTTTAAAATAAAAAGATTTTTTAAAATTTTACTTTTCTGGGCCCGGCACAGTGGCTCACGCCTGTAATTCCAGCACTTTGGGAGGCCGGGGCGGGCGGATCACGAGGTCAGGAGCTCGAGACCAGCCTGGCTAACATGGTGAAACCCCGTCTCCACTAAAAATACAAAAAATTAGCCGGGCGCAGTGGCGGGCGCCTGTAGTCCCAGCTACTCAGGAGGCTGAGGCAGGAGAATGGCGTGAACTGGGGAGGTGGAGCTTGCAGTGAGCCGAGATTGCTCCACTGCACTCCAGCCTAGGCGACAGAGCCAGACTCTGTCTCAAAAAAAAAAAAATTTTACTTTTCTGGAAAAAAATTCTACTTAGTGGTAGGCCTTTTTTTTTCTGAGATGGAGTTTCACTCTTGTTACCCAGGCTGTAGTGCAGTGGTGTGATCTCAGCTCACGGCAGCCTCCGCCTCCCGGGTTCAAGTAATTCTCCTGCCTCAGCCTCCCTAGTAGCTGGGATTACAGCCGCGTGCCACCATACCCAGCTAATTTTTGTATTTTTAGTAGAAACAGGGCTTTGCCATGTTGGCCAGGCTGGCCTCAAACTCCTGACCTTATTTTCCACCCACCTCAGCCTCCCGAAGTATTGGGATTATAGGCGTGAGCCACCGCACCCAGCCAGGCAGTTATCTTTTAATATGTTCTTGAGTATTTCCTGCTAGAAGGATTTGTTCGTTTATATTTACATTTTCCTATGGCTTCTACTTTTGTGGTTTTTATGTTTTGTGTCAGTTTCAAGTTAGGATTATAAAATTGGTTTTCATTGTTTTCTATGCCTTTGGGAATGGAATTTTCTTCATGTTACAAGTTTGAAACGTTTCCTCATTAAAATTAAGCCCAGAGGCCAGGCACGGTGGCTCACACCTGTAATCTCAGCACTTTGGGACGCCGAGGCGGGCAGGTCACGAGGTCAGGAGTTTGAGATCAGCCTGGCCATACGGTGAAACCCTGTCTCTACTAAAAATAGAAAAATTAGCTGGGTGTGGTGGCACACGCCTGTAGTCCCAGCTGCTCGGGAGGCTGAGGCAGGAGAATCACTTGAACCCGGGAGGCGAGGTTGTAGTGAGCCAAGATCGTACCACTGCACTCCAGCCTGGGCAACAGAGCGAGAGTCTGTCAAAAAAAAAAAAAAAAAAAAATTGAGCCCAGATCCTGTTTTTGAATCAGTTGTTTAAGAGCTGTAGTTTTCTTTTATGATTATTGATTTAATAAGGTTTTATATTTTCTTTATCTGTTTTGTAATATATAACATTCTAAAATCATTCATTTTATTAATATTTTCAAATTTATTAATGGAAAATAAATTATAATTTTACAACTCTTCTAAATTAAAAAGGGAATGTATAATCTACCTTATTTAGAAAATGATTGAAAAATGATCTTTCACTTAATTTTAGAAATCTAGATATGATATTTTTAGATGTATATGTACTCTTCTCTACATTTATATATATATATATTTTTATATCCCCCCCCCCCGTGTTTTTTTTTTTTTTTTTTTTTTTTTTGAGACAGAGTCAACCTCTGTCACCCAGGCTGGAGTGCAGTGGGGCACGATCTCAGCTCACTGCAACCTCCACCGCCCGGGTTCATGCCATTCTCCTGCCTCACCCTCCTGAGTAGCTGGGACTACATATGCCATGGAATACAGAATTTTGTTTAATTTGACTCATTATATTTTACCCTTTTTATTCAGAAAAAGAGAGAGCTCCCCTCCCAAAATAAAATAACTGCCATACTATCTTTCATTGCCCTTCAAAACTCACCCCACCAAAGAGGTTCATTAACAGAACAGTGCATATTCTTCCCGATTTTTTTTGTAGATTTTACAGACACAGACATCTATACCCAAAACCTTTTTTTTTTTTTTTTTTTTTCCCCCTGGAGATAGAATCTCGCTCTGTCACCCAGGCTGGAGTGTAGTGGTGCGATCTCTGCTCACTGCAGCCTTTGCCTCCCGGGTTCAAGCCATTCTCCTGCCTCAGCCTCCTGGGTAGGTGGGATTACAGGCATACGCCACCACGCCTGGCTAATGTTTCTGTATTTTTAGTAGAGATGGGGTTTCACCTTGTTGGTCAGGCTGGTCTCGAGCTCCTGACCTCGTGATCCGCCCGCCCCGGCCTCCCAAAGTGCTGGGGTTACAGGCGTGAGCCACCGCGCCTGGCCCCAAAATATTTTTTTTTAAGACAGAAGGATCATGGTGTAATTCTGGCTTGTGGCCGAGGCATTTTTAATAGTAGAGGTGAATGTTTCAAACATCCTACTTATCTAGATTTATGTCTGGATATGCTGCTGTGGGGTTTTGTGGTTTGTTTTCTCAAACCCAGGCAGTTTGCCAAACCTCAGCAAACAGCGCAAACCTATCTTGTTACCCTGTAGTCACTTCTCATCCTTGTCAGTATGTGTGGAGCATTTCACGCAATTGTGATCATTAAACTCATACTGGTTTCTGTTCTGCGTTTTTCAGTTAACATCAAATATTCTTCCTCTGTTTTTTTCTTGTTAGTCATTTTTCTTGTGTTGGATATTTGGGTTCCCACGTTTTTCACTATAAATTATGCTGCTTTGTATTGCTTTATCATGTCTCTTATGATTGGCTGAAATTTTACTGTGTTATAGAGGAGAGAGAATGTGTAGATACAGGAAGGCTTGAATAATATAGAGCCATCTGGAGAGACACAGTAAAGATGGAGTAGGAAGTGTTTTGAGTCAGTAAGGATTGGTGCTTGTCTGTTTTTTATCTGTGATGTGGAAATAACACCTATTTTCTTGCAATTTGTGCCGATTAGTGTTTATTTTTCTTACTATAAATCTTGGTTCCTGTTATTCTTTCCATAAAAGGCTTTCTACATTTTGAGAACCCACTGTGTGTCTGGCACTTCAGTTTGCCGGTGTTGGGGATATAGCAGTAAGGAAAACAAAGCCCCTGACCTCAAGGAGCATACATTAATTTAGTGCAGAAGCCTCCACACTTGCCTGGCTGTATACTCTGTCAGTAACACATGTGAGTGTGGACTCCATAAATACAAATGTTTAGAAATTTTGTGTGAGCTATTCTCAGTCTACATATTAAATATTAGTGAAACTTAATTTTTTATTTTGTATAAAAAATACAAATACAATAAAATATATAGAGAGACCTGTAAGCATTTCTGTTGTTGACTGTTGAATCTAAAGAGCACAATAGCAACATCTGTGCTAAACCAGCTATTACATATTGAATGTCCTTTGTATATATTCTTTATTATCATAGCTCCAGGTGCTCCTTCAGCTCCAAGGAGAGGGCGTGGGGGTCATCGGGGTGGCAGGGGAAGATTTGGTATTCGGCGAGATGGGCCAATGAAATTTGAGAAAGACTTTGACTTTGAAAGTGCAAATGCACAATTCAACAAGGAAGAGATTGACAGAGAGTTTCATAATAAACTTAAATTAAAAGGTAAGCTTTGATTTTTCTTTTCAGAAAATAATCTTATTTGATCTGTGAATTACAGATGTTTCTCAGATTAGGTGTTTTTATGTAATTCAGATTAGCTGTCTTGACTTTTCTGATATGTGCTTTTGTTCTTAGAAGATAAACTTGAGAAACAGGAGAAGCCTGTAAATGGTGAAGATAAAGGAGACTCAGGAGTTGATACCCAAAACAGTGAAGGAAATGCCGATGAAGAAGATCCACTTGGACCTAATTGCTATTATGACAAAACTAAATCCTTCTTTGATAATATTTCTTGTGATGACAATAGGTACAGTTTTTAAGCTGTTCTTTTATCTTATGATATTGATTGAAGTGTAAAATGGTTTCATGTAAATTCACGAGGTTTAATGAATACTACCATAATTGTTTTGTTTTGTTTTGAGACAGTCTTACTCTGTTACTCAGGCTGGAGAGCAGCAGTGCAGTCACAGCTCACTGTAGTCTCAAGCTCCTGACCTCAAGCAATCCTCCCATCTCAGCCTCAGTAAAGGGGACTACAGTTGTACACCACCCCACCCGGCTAATTTTTTTCATTTTTTTGTAGAGATGGGGGTCTCGCTATGTTGCCCAGGCTAATCGTGAACTCCTGGCCTCAAGATCAGCCTCCCAAAGTACTAGGATTACAGGCGTGAGCCACCACACCTGGCCATAATTGATTTTTTAATGTTTTATTTGCTAAAAGAAAATATATACTAAAGTTCTAAATTATTCATTCAAAAGAAGAAATAACCATATACTTTTGTTTAAGGATATATTCATATTTGAATATTAGCAATTAAAACAAGCATTTAGGTAATGTCTAAGTAGGACCTTTTTTTCACCCCTGTATGTTACAGTTCAAATGAAGCCAGAACCGAAGTGCTAATCTACTTTGAAGTTTGCTGGTACCATAAAACTGCCAGATTGTAGTAAATGTGGGTCCAGAAAATTGGCAAATTATTGAGAGGTTAATTAAAGGACCCAGTGTGAGGAACTAACAGTTCTAGAGGTTCTCCTGCCCAATCCAAATTGTCATTGTCCTTGTCCTTTTCCTGGCTGAAGTTTGGTGCCCTCTGGTGGCAGTTGTTTGCTTCAATATAAACATGGATGGACATAATTCTGAGTCCCACGATTGGCTGGATGACAGCAGCAATAATTCAGATACTTCTTGGGTTACTTGGTATCGGGTCCATAGATTGGGCCAGGAACATAATGGGGACCTAAGGGCCCACCTTCCATCTCCTAGCTTCCCAAGACAAGGCCTCCCTGTCTGACTTTACCTTCTTTTCCCTTGGGGCTGAGTGGAAAGCGAAGTCAATTACCAATCTCATTATATCTGAATTTCCATTATTTTGGAGCTGTTACTATGTTTATCAGGTGTATTTGCAAGAAACTAATGTCAGTCATGTGTTCACATGAAGTTTAACAGAATATTACAGGAACATATTGAACTCATATGCCATGAACAACTCGTGATAACTTAGATAAGATGCTTTTTTTTTTTTTTTTTTGAGATGGAGTTTCGCTCTTGTCACCCAGACTGTAGTGCAGTGGCTCGATCTCGACTCACTGCAACCTCCACCTCCCAGGTTCAGGTGATTCTCCTGCCTCAACCCCCCAAGTAGCTGGGATTACAGGCACCTGCCACCATGCCCAGCTATTTTTTGTATTTTTGGTAGAGAATGAGTTTCACCATTTTGGCCAGGCTAGTCTCGAACTCCTGACTTCAGGCGATCCGCCCCCTCGGCCTCCCAAAGTGCTGGGATTACAGGCGTGAGCCATCACGCCTAGCCAAGATGCTTATTTCTAATTAGCTTTAGTAATTACTTAGGCTTAATTTGGGAGTAGCACTGCATATTTTGGCTGAGGGATATTCTTTTAAACCTGATATGCTGAAGATTATTTGCTTTTATAATAGAGAACGGAGACCAACCTGGGCTGAAGAAAGAAGATTAAATGCTGAAACATTTGGAATCCCACTTCGTCCAAACCGTGGCCGTGGGGGATACAGAGGCAGAGGAGGTCTTGGTTTCCGTGGTGGCAGAGGGCGTGGTGGTGGCAGAGGTGGTACCTTCACTGCCCCTCGAGGATTTCGCGGTGGATTCAGAGGAGGTCGTGGGGGCCGGGAGTTTGCGGATTTTGAATATAGGGTAAGTGTTACTGTTAATAAATTCTTTGGGGTTGACATGCATTTTACAAGACTCAAAACATTTTTACTTGTTTTTGTTTTGGGTGAATTGTTTTGAGGACATTAGAATAACTTCCATTTTGACTTTTCAGTAGAGGATATACGTGATTCAGATGTATATATAAAGACATTATACAAAAAAAGACAGTATAGTATCACCTTTATTTCATGTTAACAGAATATACTTTTAACACCCAAAGAGTCTATCTAGGAAGCACATACTCCCAGAATGGAAGGGCAAGCTTTAACATTTAATAGCAGTTAACATTTATATAGTATTTACCAAGTAACAAGACATTGTTTTAAATATTTTTTTACATATTAACTTATTTAAACTGCACATCAACTCTGTGAGGTAGGTTCTATTATTATCCCCATTTTACAAGTGAGGAAATGGGTATAGAGATATTAAGTAACTTGCGAAAGGTCACATAGCTAGTAAGTGATGGTGCTGGGTGTTGAGCCCAGCAAGTTGTTTCCTGAGTCAGTACTCTTAATTTGGTTTTGTTGAAAATTCACTACATTTTCCCTGGTTTTCTCCTTTCACCATGAAATTGAAAATGTTTCGATATATTGGCCTTCAGGAGCTACTGCTAGAGAATTCTGTAACTCTGTATAGTAGCCTTATGTGTATAATGTAGCTTTTGACAGGTGTCTGTAAATTAAGTCAGCATAGTAACTATCTCAGTTAACAGTAAACTATCTTAGTTTATTGATTTTAGAAGTAGTGGAGAGGAAGGGCTATAACAGAAAGGACCAAAATCTTGTAAAGAGTTCCACTTGTAATAGCAACAGGCAGCTGGAAACAGAAAGACCTGTTAGCAGGAGTTCCATTGCCCAGTACTTAAAACTGGCCATTGTTGAGATCTCTCTGGAAAGAGATCAGTATTAGTGGCTTTTGGACCTGCTCTATTAATTTTAATGCTTTTGATATTGTGCCATCACAGCCAAGACTGCCAAAAATTATACTCAAGTCACCAGCTTATGCCATCCAGCCGTTGGTGGCCTTATGTAGTTGCGGGACTTCTGACTTGCAAAATCACCTTCCCAGCTAGGAGAATCTGTCTTAGGAACTCCAGAATAGCCCTCGCTTATCACTGTTACTGCCCTTAAGTTTGCCAGTGACACCTTGCTTACAGAATTCAGCAGTAGTATTTTCACAAATATTTTATTTGCCATTAACTCCTCTGCAATATTTGACACTGACCAACCACCCAATTTGGGGTCTTTCTTCCTAGTCTTTAAAATACTCTTCTAGGTTTTCAATTTATACTCTTCCTAATTTTTTAATACTCTTCATTCTTTTTTTTGGGGGGTGGAGGGTGTCAGGGTCTTGCTGTGTCACCCAGACTGGAGTGCAATGGCATGATCATAAGTCACTGCAGCCTCAACCTCCCAGGCTCAGGCAGTCCTCCCACCTCAGCCTCCTATGTAGCTGGGACTACAGGCATGCACCACCATGCCCAGCTAATTTTTAATTTTTTTTGTAGACACTGGGTCCCACTCTCACTATGTTGTCCAGGCTGGTCTTGAACTCCTGGGCTTAAGCGATCCTCTCACCTCAGCTTCCCAAAGTGCTGGGTTTATAGGTGTGCCATGGTGCTTGTTCCATCCTCCCTTTTGTAAGCCTGTCCTGGACCCTATGTGTTTCTGCACCGCATCTCTATCTGCACTGTTTGCTGTCAGCTTAACCTTCCTCAGACTGATCTCATCATCTTCCTTCTCTCCTGTCATCTCAGCTCTGCCTCCTCCCAGTGTTCCATGTTGGCTCATGGTATACTGCCCAGGCACTAGAGGTATCCATGATTGTGGCCTGTTGCCATTTATTCCTTTGAGATGTCCCTGTCAACTACCATGGTAACCCACCAGTTGGGCTTCAGACCTTCGTCTCTCTTTACCCCACTTTAAGGCAGATCAGCTACATTTTGAACAACCTGTGACAACTCCTTGTTGAAGACCACATTGAGTCAGCTTGGTCTGAGAAAAAGTACATTTAAATTAGACTTGGATCCAGATGAGAATAATAGCAGTAGTTACTAGTATGACCTTTCAGACCCTTGGTTTTGACATTTGTGAATAAAGAGTTGCACCATTTATTCTGAAATAACACCTTTTAAAGATCATTAAACTTTCAGAGTTGGAAAACATCTGAGAGGTCTGACCTGGTTAAAACATAAACCTCTTCTGCAGTATCTCTTATAGGGGCTGGGAGCTTACTCTTCCCAAGGGCATCCATCCCACCCCAGGGATGTTCTAACTGTTACAATCTCAGCTGGGCGTGGTGGCTCACACCTATAATCCCAGCACTTTGGGAGGCTGAGGTGGGCGGATCACCTGAGGTCAGGAGTTCGAGACCAGCCTGGCTAACATGGTGAAACCCCGTCTCTACCAAAAACATAAAAAAAATTAGCCGGGCGTGGTGGCACACACCTGTAATCCCAGCTACTCGGGAGGCTGAGGCAGGAGAATCATTGAACCTGGGAGGCAGAGGTTGCAGTGAGCCGAGATCACGCCACTGTACTCCAGCCTGGGCGACAGAGCAAGACTCCGTCTCAAAAAAAGGAAAAAACAAACCTTCCATGCAGTAACTGTGTGTGCTCCATGTGGTTACTAATACAAACATTTTTTTGACACCATGTCACACTGTTTATCATTTTGAGCCTTTTGTAAAACTCGTATCACATATATTGCAGAATTGAAAATGCATTGTCATAGTTACCTCCATGCATCTTTGTCTACGCTCCTGTATCCTTGACAGATAGTCCAGCCTCTGCTTAGGTGTTGCCAGGAGTGATGGACTCAGCGAACCCTCAGGCATGGCCCAGTGTTTAGGAGGCTCAGTTGTGACATTGTAGTCCCTGCTCTTCTTAATTGTGTGAGGATCCCACTTGATATATTTGGCCTCATTCCTCATTACCCTTTAACCTATCTGATTCAAGCAAGCTGCCTCATGGTTATCTCACATACACATTGTGCTTGATTCCAACTCCATCCCCATTCATTTACCAAATATACAGAATTCTTCAGATATGCCAGGCACTATGTTGAGCATTGGTGCTGACCGATGTAGGCCCAGCCCTTTTGATGTTTACATTTTGGTGGGAGACAGACATAGCTAAAAGTCAGGTCCCCCCTTTCACTTATCCTTTACAGCCTTGCCCAAGTTTTGCTCTGTCTTCTCTTCCTTCCTACACTGATTTCCTCCTCTTCTGACCTGTGGCTATCTGCTTTCTTTGGCACACATTTTAAATACACTGACATTCCCTATTTTTTGTATTTAGTTTTGTTCTGCATCACCAGCTAGATGAGAACCTCTTGGCTTTAGTGAATATGTATTCTACTTTTCTTTCCATGACAACACTCAGCTCAACATGGAGCCATAGTGGGCTTGAAGTAATTGCTTGTCATGTTGATTAGGAATTTGCCACTCCAGCCTTCAGTGAGACCAAAGGTCTGTCAATGTAGCTAGCCTTTGATTGTTCATTCCAGAGTTGAATAATCCTTTCATCTGCCACTAGAGCCCCGAACCCAGCAGCCCTACACCTCCTAAATCATAAAATCATTTCACCTGGCACCTTTAAAGGTAGAAAATGGTGAGTGATCACTGTCACATAAAGGAGATTTACCACTGAAGATTAAACTTGTATCTGAAACATCTAACACTTCCTCCCAGAGATGGACATGGATGACATTTCTGCAGCCTTCATGAAATGAGTTGGCTTTATTTTTTGTGCTATATTAGCATGAGTCATTGTGGTTTGGGGGTAAGCATAAATGAGCTTGGTTGTTTAATGAAAACATGGGTAAAGATAAAATCATAAAGTTTTAGAATCCTTAAAAGAATCAGCCAAACTAGAATCTCTACGCTACCACACTCACATTAGATGATAAGGAAACTAAGGACCCCAAGAAGTTAATTGTCATGATTGAGGTACAAGCTAACAAATCCAAAACTCACTCTCTTGACTTGTGGCCTGATTTTCCTTAAGGGTAATATTGTAAATATAGGCCAGTGCAATGGTGTACACATGTAATACCAGCATTTTGGGAGGCCAGGGCAGGATTGCTTAAGCCCAGGAATTCAAGGACAGCATGGGCAACATAAGGAGTCCCTATCTCTATAAAAAAGTTTAAAAATTAGCTGGAGTGGTGGCACATGCCTGTAGTCCCAGCTACTCAGGAGGCTAAGGCAGGAGGATCAGTTGAACCTGGGAGGTCAAGGCTGCAGTGAGCCATGATCGCACCACTGCACTCCAGCCTGGGTGACAGAGCGAGGCCTGTCTCAAAAAAAAAAAAGAAAAGAAAGAAATATAACCTTATGGTAAGTTTGGTTGTATGGTGTTTTCCCCCTCCCACCGCCCATTCTTTTTTGAGGTGAGAATGGAAATCAGGACTAGCAATAATAATGTAACCAGCTCCTGTTTTATATGCTGCTGTCAGGGAGGTTAAGCCACCATGGTGGGTGATAAAAATCACATCTGTGTTTCCTCAGATGGGGTTCAAAGACAACAAGGTGTCTGAATGACTCAGCATAATGCTCTCTCTCCTCTCCCCCTTTCATTTTCTCCTTTCTCCCTCTCCTGTCCCCATCTCTTTCTCTTTTTTTTTTTTTTTTTTTTTTTACCTTTCAGAAAACCACAGCTTTTGGACCCTAAAAGGTCTGGATTGATCGTACTGCTTTCTGAAAGGTAAAAAAAACAAATACTTTGGGAGGTGTGAAGGTTGGCTTTGTGGGGGACAGCAGGTTCATCTTGTAGCTCATTGCTGTCAACTTATGCCATACCATATGTATTTCAGTTTAATAACGGGGTGCAAATGTTTTGGTGTTGTATACACAGATGAAGTTAAGTCTCACCTAGGAAATGTCTGTTTCTAACAGTTGGGGTGAGAATCAGCAGTAAAAACCAGGTATATGGTAGCAGCTGGTCTAGAGGAAAATAAAAGCCCTTGGCTCCAGCCCTTTGTACAGGCCTTTAGTTTAGGGTCAGTCTCTCTGGAAATCTTGAGATTTTTATTGCTTCCTCACTGGTTACTTTTTAAAAATTCCCCAGTCAGCTTTCTACTTTTCAGAGCTTATTTCAGATTTAAGAGTTATCCTTGTAAAATTGATTTTTAAACCATTGCTTCCTCCTGGCATGAAATTTTGGAGAGAAATGTTATACTGACTGGGTATTTTATTGCTTAGTAAAGACATCAAAGACTTGGGGATTTTATGAAACTTGTTTCAAAGTATGTTGACAGTTGTATTTGATGAGTTTGACTATTGAGTTGAGGGTTTAAGTCCTATCACTGCTTTTAAAAAATTATTAGGGAGAACAACCAAAGATGAGGAAGTATGCCTGTATTTTGGGGTGGGGTTCACCACTGCATTAACCTCTACTGACTGGAAGATGCAGTCAACAATGAGGTACTACTGAGTATGGAAGTTATAGAAGGAGTTTCGTGGAAATGAGTGAGACAGGTTTTTCTATGAAAGTAAAAGTGGGGGAGTATATTTAAAGATAATTTAAAATAAACTTGAGCAAAGTAAAAAGAAAATAATACACCAATAATTTGGAACATGAGCTAAATTTTTTTTTCTTTTTTAGAAAGACAACAAAGTTGCTGCATAGTCTACAAACAAGTCTCTGAAAATAGGTGAATTTCTAGCTCTTCATGGTCCTGAACATTGATTTCAGTCTTTGCAAAGAATGAAGAAGTGAATTCGCTGTACATTTGTCACCAGCACTGGGTTTTTGTTTTTTGTTTGTTTTTCCGCTTAATTTCAAAGATAAAATGCAGTTACTTTTGGGGGTGGAAGGCTCATCTTAAAACATGAGCATTAAATATATTTGGAATAGCAGAAGGTTAAGTAATTTCTTATGTATAGTTAAACTAAAGCAGTACTTCAGTGGGACTTAACAAGTATTTTTTCATCACTGAAAGGTTTTTTTTTTTTATCACTAAATTGTATTTGGCAATTGCAAGTTGCCTGCAGATAGGGCCGTGATACTGTGTTTTGAGCCACAGAAGGTTGTGTGTGTGTGTGTGTGTGTGTGTGTGTGTGTGTGTGTATGTGTGTGTCTTTTTCCTCCTTTCTTTTGGGGAATCCTGTAATATGAGGTAGCTTATTTCGTCAATTAATTAGGGTGCTGGATGGTAGAGAATTTTGTCAGTCAACTATGTACACACAGTAAATACTGTTTCTTAGGCAAAGGTAACTTTTTTATATAGTTGTAAAATTCCATTATATTCCATTGCCAAAGAAACATTAAGAACTTTGTATAGCTGTATAAAAAGCAACTAATTTTTTAAAGAATAAACATTTTAAAGTCAGCAAACATACTGTGTCCTTGCAGAAGTTGATGTGCTGAGCAGCAGCCTTATGGGTGGGTCTTTTTTTCTTAGTTTTCCAGGCTTAACATTTTTGATTTTGTTTTTTAATGTTTGGAACATAAATGAAGATTTGATACATTATTTCATTATCTAAAAAGGATTAATTATTCATGCTCATTGTAAGAACTTCATTTTGTAGCAAATGGCATATCACAGGATCTGTCCAGATAATCGATATTTTCAGTATACAAATGTAAATAATCACAGATGAGAATGTACTTAGCTGTATTTTCAAATAAGTAATCTTCCCCCCTTTTGTAGGACTTTAAAACTAGGCATCAATGAACCTGTTTTTCCTATTATGCCTGGAATTTAGTCATGATACCTTGACTCATTCCATCATATTTCAAGAGGATTCAGAGTGCTAGAAATTATTTTGGTAGCCTGTAACACACGGCAACACTGGTCCTTGGGCCTATGATGACCCACAGATGACTCAGTATAGAGTTCATTGCTAATTATAAATTACTAGTGAATCTTTTTGATATTTTAAGCTCTAGTGGGAAAAATCTGGCCACTTTTGTGTTTTTATGAAGGCCATGGAATAAAAGGATCCAAAGATTTAAATATTTTTATCTAATATTTTGATTGTTTTCTTAACTTTCTCCTTAAAACATTCAGTAGTGATAAAGATATAGAAACTGCACTGTAGGAGAATTGGAATATTTAAGGCTGGTTGACATTTTTTATTTTCATTTTATATCTTTTGTATAGCTCTACAAGGCAGTGTTTTGTAATTTGGTTTCATTATGAAGATCCAGTACTTGGCAGCCATAGTTTAGACAATATTGTTCAGTGCTGTTTGCTTGCATGTTAACAACAAAACCTTTTAGAGGACCCACAAATCATGATATTGAACACAGTTCCGAGGCATTCAGAGCATCAGAGCAAGTACCATGGCAATACATGTGTAGACTGTTGGAGATGTCCCGGGCCAATTTCAAGAAAGAAAACTGTAAATACTAGTTCTACTTGCTCTGAAATTATGAGTTTATGCGTTTTCCCAGCCCTCCGAATCACTGACTGGGGCGTTTTGTGCCCCAGCAATAACTGGCAGCATGGCATACCTGCAGTACCCCTTACAATATTAAAGCAAAGTTTTTATTCTAAAACAGAATAAAACTGTTCAATAAAAAATGCTCGTCAAAGTTCTTTCTCTTTAAATAGTAACATTCTGTTTCAGTAGGAACATAATGAAAGGAATCTTTTAAATGGAAGAGCGGAATTATAATGTTTGTATTCCCTGTAATAACTATAAATCAGTTACTTTATTTCTAAGATTGAGTTATTGTTGCAGATGTTTAGGGAAAGCTAAAAGCCCCTTCCTTCCCCTCCTGTGTGTAAATAAAATACTTCTGAGATCAGATCCGTGACATGAGGAGATTGAGCCACCCAGGCACAGGCCAGGCTGGAAACAGCAGCCAGAACACACTCCCTGTGGGCAGACGCATGAAGAAGATGCAGAATCTGTCTATTAAAACAGTTCGCTCCAAAAGCTGGGCTTCATGTGATGGTAGGGCAAGAGGTCGGGAACAGCAGTGCAGCACAGTGGCTCTCGGTGGGGTTACCTGACATCCTAGGAACACAGTCATCTGTTGCTTAATAATAGCGACATGTTCTTATTTTTAAATAGCAATGAGGTCTCACTTCGTTGCCCAGGCTGGTCTCTAACTCCTGGGCTCAAATGATCCTCCCATCTTGGCCTCCCAAAGTGCTAGATTACAGACATGAGCCACCAGGCCCGGCCATGACACATTCTGAGAAATGTGTTAAGCAATGTCATCATTGTGTGAACATCAGAGAGTGTACTACACAAATGAAGATGGTATGGCCTACTCCACACCTAAGCTATATGGTGTAGCCTGTTGCTCCTCGCTACAAACCTGTACAGCATGTTACTGTACTGAATACTGTAGGCAGTCATAACACAGTGGTATTTCTGTATTTAAAACATATCTAAACAGAAAAAGTATAGTAAAAATACGGTATCATAATCTTTGGGACCACCATTGTATACCCAGTCCATCGTTGACCAAAACATCATTAAGTGGTGCGTGAGTACTGAGGAATGTGAGGGGATGTGTTTTGGTTGTCACAATCACTGGGGATCACCACTGGTATTTAAAAGTAAGGGCCCGGATGGTAAATGTCCTGTGCTGTGCCACACAATCAGTTGTCCAACCCAAAGTGCAGTAGTGCTCCTCTACTCTGAGAAACACTGGCTAAAGTCCCTCCACATGGAAAGACAGTAAGTGGGAAATTATTTCCTGCCAACTTGAAAAAAAAAATTTACTACTTAGGAAATTGTCCGCTTGGGAATATTAATAATAAAGGGAACTTACTTCCTGTAGCACATCAGCATTGTGGAAACATTACCACATAGGAGTTAGGGCTTCATCCTGTTCTCTGTCAGTGCTTCACAAATCTCTGATCAGAATCTACCAAGGAGCATTTTTAAGTACAGATTCCCAGGCCCAGAGAGTGATTCTGAAGTTCCCTAGTACAGCAGAACCCAACCTTTTTGGCACCAGGGACTGGTTTCACCAAAGACAGTTTTTCCACAGATGAGCAGGGGGTATGGTTTTGGGGTGATTCAAGTATATTTATTGTGCACTTTATTTCTATTATTACATTGTAATATATAATGAAATAATTACACAATTCACCATCATGTAGAATCAATGGGAGGCCTGAGCTTGTTTTCCTGCAACTAGATGGTCCCATCTGGGGGTGATGGGAGACAGTGACAGATCATCGGGCATGATCAGTGAGTGCGCAACCGAGGTCCCTTGCATGCAGAGCTCACGATAGGGTTTCCAACCCTATGAGAATCTAATGCTGCTGCTGATGTGACAGGAGGTGGAGCTCGGATGGTAATGCTCACTCATCAGCCCGCCTCTCACCCGCTGTGCAGGCTGGTTCCTAACAGACCACGGACCACGACCGTTCTGCTGCCCAGGGATCAGGGACCCCTTCTCTAGTAGGTCCTAGGAATCTTACTGATCCCACAGGTAGTTGTGATTAGCTAGGTTTGGGAAGATGACTGTACAACACCAAAGCTGGTTCCTGCTTTGGGGGTGTTGATATATTTTCCACAGTAGGATTATCTTAGCATTTTTCCCATCCTTCCAAACCCAGTATATCCAGATTGTGACTGGGGCATGAAGAGAGGGATGGGACTAAGTGGAAAGGAGGGAACAGTTTTGCAGGATGGAATCAGGGGAAATGGGGAGGTTGAGACTCGAGTTTCCTCCAGAGTTTGGGTGCTTTGAGTACTGAGTTTTATTTCGTTTTTATTCCTGGCATAGGGTTTGTGTTCCTTCTGTCTCTTAATTTTGCATGCCAGTTGTCCCTGCCTCTGTGGGTTCTCTGCCCATCAGAGAAGCCGCTCCTTCTGCAGGGCCCCTCTGTCCACAGCATGGCTGAGAAGCAACTTCTTTTCCTGAGAAGGGTTACTTAGGCCATCCAATCACATCTGGATTCAGTGTGTTGCAGGATCCCCCTGCCCTGTTAGTTCAGAGATTAAGCTGTTTTACATAGTAAAGGTGGGGAGAGTGTCATGGTATAAAGTAATCCAGGTGAATGGTCTCTTCCTGTAGGAGTGCAGGTGTCACCAATTTGCTTTAGTTTACCTGTCCCGACTGGTTTTGGGGTTTTTTTGAGACGGAGTCTCACTCTATCACCCAAGCTGGAGTGCAGTGGCGCGATCTTAGCTCACTGCAACCTCTGCCTCCCAGGTTCAAGTGATTCTCTCCCCTCAGCCCCCCGAGTAGCTGGGATTGCAGGCGTGTGCCCCCACACCCAGCTAATTTTTGTATTTTTAGTAGAGATGGGATTTCACCATGTTGGCCAGGCTGGTCTCGAACTCCTCACCTCAGGTGATCCACCTGCCTCGGCCTCCTGAAGTGCTGGGATTGCAGGTGTGAGCCACTGTGCCTGGCCTGTTCTGACTCTGTTTAAAAGATAACAAGTATTAGGCTGGGTGCGGTGACTCACGCCTGTAATCCCAGCACTTTGGGAGGCTGAGGCGGGTGGATCACGAGGTCAAGAGATCGAGACCATCCTGACCAACATGGTGAAACCCCGTCTCTACTAAAAATACAAAAAATTAGCCTGGTGTGGTGGCGGGCACCTGTAATCCCAGCTACTTGGGAGGCTGAGGCAGGAGAATTGCTTGAACCTGGGAGGCGGAGGTTGCAGTGAGCTGAGATTGTGCCACTGCACTCCAGCCTGGGCAAAAAGAGCGAAGCTCCATCTCAAAAAAAAAAAAAAAAAAACCACGTATTATTAGTAAAATTGAAATCAAACTTAGGGAAGTATCATAGTACCATTAATCTGTCAATCTGAAGATGCTAAAAGGAGATTTGCTTAGCAGGCTGCCTTGGCTTCTCCAAGATGGGGAGACAGACAACTTCTTGGAAGCAGTGTCCTCCAAACAGAAATTGGTCAAGGAAGGGAAGTGGGAGAGAGAGCTTTGACTAGCAGAGGCTTGGAAGCCAGCCAGCCAGCAGCCAACAGTGCATGTGTGCATTGGGAAGCTAGTGGTCCAGGGACCAGGCACTGCTCCTGTGGGATCCATCCCAGCCCTCTAAGGAGCGGTGCAAAGGTTCTTATCCTATTTATCGGAGCCAGTGTCCAGAAAAGGAAGCTTGTGGTTTGAGACATTCTGTAAATCCGGTTCCAAGAGCACGAGGTAGGACTCTGAATCCGATGTGGTTTCTGTTCTCGGTGATGGTGCAGAGCTGTGAGCCAGTGGTAGGGTGTCCTTTAAATTCCAGCTCAGTACACTAGTTAATGAACTTGGCTGACTGATAAAAATGTTTTCAGGTTTAGCTCATGAACATATCAACATAGACCTAAATATAATTCCAGTTTGTCATGAATGTTGATTTTTTGAGGAAATGCTTTAAAATGTACTGATGCCCATGTTGTGGTTGTAAGGAAACAAAGCAGCTCTGTGAGGCCAAAGCATATTTCAGTTCAATAGTGAGGCTTTCTTAGAAAGAATGACTCATAGTCACTCAGAGTTGAGTCGCACAGAAACAACCGAGAGCAGACAGCAAGGAACGGCAGGGCCCAGAAGGTCCAGCCTTTCCCTCCAGGCTGAAGGGTTAGGGAAGATCGCCAACCTTAAAGGGGGTGTGAGAGGCCTGGGCCCAGGTGAGATTGTACTGAATTCCAGTAAACAGTGTACAGTCATTCCAGGACAGAGGACAGGAACATGTTTACTAGGTGTCTGGAGTGCACCTCTATAATCCTCATACACACTAATCCAGATAATCCTGGGATGCTGGCCTCACGCAGGATTGTTGATGAGAATGCAAATCCCAACATTGCAATTCAGGATTTTGCTTCTACTGAAAGCATTTTGTCAATGTTCTCTTTTGGGGTTAGCTGGGTGACAGTTCTCCCTTGCTGGATTCCCAGTACTTAATAGCGTTTCTTTGACTCAGTGGATATGTGGAACATTGCAGACTGCAATTTATAACACAGAACTGGGTATATATTTTCATTATAAAAGTAATACATGTAAAAAGAATGCAGGCCTCTTCTCTGATTGGGTGGTATTTTTAAAAAGAAACAAAGAATGCAGGCAGTGTAGATTATGTTTGTTTTTTAAAGGAAAGAGAAGAAAAAATTCTCTAATCCCACCACCCACAGCTGACCATGTTGACACTATTTGGGTGTATATTCTGTCTGGCATTATCCTGTACAGGCATATGCTCTTCAGCAAAAATGGATTTGGCCGGGCGCAGTGGCTCAGCCTGTAATCCCAGCACTTTGGGAAGCTGAGGCAGGCAGATCACTTGAGGTCAGGAGTTCCAGACCAGCCTGGCCAACTTGATGAAACCCCATCTCTGCTAAATGCAAAAATTATTAGCTAGGCATGGTGGCGGGTTCCTGTAATCCCAGCTACTTGGGAGGCTGAGGCAGGAGAATTTCTTGAACCCAGGAGGCAGAGGTTGCAGTGAGCCAAGATCGCGCCATTGCACTTCAGCCTGGGTGACAAGAGCAAAACTCCATCTCAAAAAGAAAAAAAGAAAAGTAGATGGGCACAGTGGCTCATGCCTGTAATCCCAGCACTTTGGGAGGCCAAAGCAGGAGGATTGCTTGAGCCCAGGAGGTTGAAGTTGCAGTAAGCCATGACCACACCACTGCACTACAGCCTGGGTGACAGAGTCTAAAAAAAAAAAAAAAAAAAAAAAAAATCCACATTTCTAAATGGGAAAATCTGAAGGCCTTGATCTGCTGCCAAGGGTCATTGGCTGTGTCTTTTGAAACATTTTTATTATGAAAGTGTCATGTGGTTATAGGATATGAGCTGCTTCAGCCCGGCACGGTGGCTCACACCTGTAATCCCAGCACTTTTGGAGGCTGAGGAGGGCGGATCACCTGAGGTCGGGAGTTCGAGACCAGCCTGACCAACATGGAGAAACTCCATCTCTACTAATCATACAAAATTAGCTGGGTGTGGTGGTGCATGCCTGTTATCCCAGCTACTCAGGAGGCTGAGGCAGGAGAATCACTTGAACCTGAGAGGTGGAGGTTGCGGTGAGCCGAGGTCACTCCATTGCACTCCAGCCTGGGCAACAAGAGTGAAACTCCATCTCAAAAAAAAAAAAAAAAGAAATGAGCTGCTTCAAACAGGTCCTCACTAAAGACCAATGACTGGCATTGCCTGAGCAACATAGGGAGACCTTGTTTCTACAAGTTATTTATTTATTTATTTATTTATTTATTTATTTATTTATTTATTTATTTGGAGCCAGAGTCTCGCTCTGTCGCCCAGGCTGGAGTGCAGTGGCACGATCTCGGCTCACTGCAAGCTCTGCCTCCCAGGTTCACGCCATTCTCCTGCCTCAGCCTCCCGGCAGCTGGGACTACAGGTGCCCGCCACCACGCCCGGCTAATTTTTTTTATTTTTAGTGGAGACGGGGCTTCGCAGTGTTAGCCAGGATGGTCTCGATCTCCTGACCTCATGATCCGCCCGCCTCGGCCTCCCAAAGTGCTGGGATTACAGGCGTGAGCCACCGCACCCGGCCTATCCAAGTAATTTTTTAAAAATTAGCTGGGCGTGGTGGCGCGTGCCTGTAGTCCCAACTACTTGGGAGGCTGAAGCGGGAGGATCACTTGAGCCCAGGAGGTTGAGGTTGCAGTAAGCCATGACCACACCACTGCACTCCAACCTGGGCAACAGAGCAAGACCCTGTCTCCAAAAGAAAAAAAGAAAAGTACACATCATAATTACCTATGTAACCGGCACCCAGATTATAAATCAGATTATTAACAGTACCCCAGAAACCCACCAAGCTCCCTTCCAGTAGTCCCCATCCCTTCAAGGCTAACTACAGTCCTGACTTCTGACACCATAGATTACCTTTGGTGTTTTTATATAAATGGAATTACACAGTATATACTCTTGTGTTTGGCCTCTCTACTCAGCATTGTGTTTGGGATTCATCTCTCTTGTTGCATTTGGCCATGGACTGTTCATTTTCATTGCAGTATAATATTCCATTGTGTTAATAGACCACAGTTGCTTCTTTCTACTGTTGATGCCGCATTTGGGTGGTTTCTAGCTTCTGGCTATTAAAATAATGCTGGTACTGTTTTTTCCTTCGGGAGAGAAGCCAGAACTAGAGTGGGTGAGAGGAATGCTGACCTAGCCCTCTTGAGGACTTGGAGCATGGTGAACCATATGGTAGTGCTCTGCTTGTCACTAACCATAAAGTACCATACAACCCTGATGTACAGTAGACATAGATGTAGATAATGGTATATATTAGAGCAGATCCAGAGTCAATCCTCCGTGTGCCTAGCCTCAGTCCCCTAAGGACAGTGCTCCCCCATTGCCCTTACTCACTGGCAGCAGTGGAATATTTCTTGCCCTACAAAACTGTGTTCAGGATGTGGATGCGGTCTCCTTGCTTCCCTGCTGATAAAAACTCCTACCCCAGTGAGGTTATGTGATCCTCTCACTCTCCTGGTGATGACCATTTAATGACCTGATCTCTGCCCATCATATCGTGAGAAGTCTGATACTCATCTTCCTCTTCCTCTCCCCTTCTGTCTTATTCAAAGTGACTTCAGCTGTTGTGTGATCTACCCATCTGTACTGGGGGTCCCCAGGGTAATCGCACGCATGGCTATGACAGTGTACAGTGACAGGATACAGTGACAGGATACAAAGCAAAATTCACAAAGGGAAAAGATGTGTGGGCAAAGTCTGGAGGAAACCAGGCTCAAACTTGCAACGGGGACTTAGAAAGCGGAGCCTCACGGGATGTGCTTAGCTTCTCCAGCAGGGAGTTGCAACAACATGCGTGGGATATTGTCTGCCAGGGAAGCTTCAGACTTAGTTGCCCAGGGTTTTTACTGGGGGCTGATTATGCAGACACCCTCTGCGTGGCACGTGCCAAAATTCCAGGCTCCCAGAAGTAAAGCACAAGCAAACCACATTGTTTACAACAGTCTGGATACAGTGCACCACTCCTACCAGTTCTGGGAATGGCGGGAACCCTCCTGAAATCCAGATGTCAGGCGAGAGCCAAACTTACAAGCAGGCCTTGTAAATGACAGCAGTCAAACCTGCTTCGTTAACTCCTCTGCACACTCGCCCACACCCTGGCTTCCGTCCTTGTCCTGTGACATTTTCCTGTTGTCCCCTCCTACCCAAAGCTGTAGACACACCTGGACCTTGTCCATCAACCTCAACTGCAACCACCTCCAAATCACAGACTTAGACACCCCGCCCTTTGACCTTCCAGCTGTCTTGCTGAAGAAATAGCTAAAAAAAAAAAAAAAAAAACATAAAAAAATTCAGGCCAGGCGCGGTGGCTCACGCCCGTCATCTCAGCAATTTGGGAGGCCAAGGCGGGCAGATCACGAGGTCAGGAGATCGAGACCATCCTGGCCAACATGGTGAAACCTCTGTCTCTACTAAAAATACAAAAATTAGCTGGGCATGGTGGCACATGCCTGTAATCCCAGCTACTGGGGAGGCTGAGGCAGGAGAATCGCTTGAACCCCGGAGGCAGATGTTGCAGTGAGCTGAGATCACGCCACTGCACTCCAGCCTGGCAACAGAGTGAGACTCTCTCTCTCAAAAAATAAATAAATAAATAAATAAATAAAAATTAAAAAGCAGTGACCTAACCCATTCCCTTCCTTAGTAACTGTTTTTAGCCTGGTGCAGAACTCCAGGTCCAGAATCTTTATACTTTCTCCGGCTTCATTAGTTCCCCCGTGCTTTCTCCACCGCCATCTCCAACCATCCTAAACTCCATGACTCACTCTTCATTTATCTTGCAAATACCCTAAACTCCTTTGCTTCTCTTTTGAGAAGCTCCTGCCTAGAGAAACTTCAACCCTAAAAGCATCCATTCATCCACATTGTCAATGTCTTCACCCAGGGGGTTGAGTCCTGAGGACAAGAATCACAGTTGAGCAAATCAATGCCACTGTAAATAATGCTGATTACTACCCTCAACCTTGGCCCTCAACTTTGTATATTTATACCTCAACCAGGTATATTTCTTTGTATATATATACCTCAACCAGGTGTATTTCTGTAATCACTGTGCCCTTAACTTTGCATCAAAACCAGTATATTTCTGTAATCATCTCTCTGCAGTCAGCAAGTGGTCTTACCATCTATTTCAAAGACAGCTGGTGGCTGTTGGATGAAAACAGTTTCAGACGCTTACCACACTCTAAACCAGCCTCATCTGCATCCCAGGCCCTATTAAAAGGAGGTAGGGGCTGGGTGCAGTGGCCCATGCCTGTAATCCCAACACTTCAGGAGGCTGAGGTGGTAGGATTGGATTGCTTGAGGCCAGGAGTTGGAGACCAGCCTGGGCAACATAGCAAGACCTCATCTGTACAAAAAATTTAAAAATTAACTGGGCTTGCTGGCACATACCTGTAGTCCCAGCTTCTTGGGAGGTTGAGGTGGGAGGATCACTTCAACCCCAGAGACTGAGGCTGCAGTGAGCTAGCTATGATTGCCGAGGCAGGTAAATCACTTGAGCCCACGAGTTCGAGATCAGCCGGGGCAACATAGTGAGACCCAGTCTCTAACCAAAAAAGAGAAAGGAGATTATTCTGGGGATCCTATACCTCCCACTCCTGTTTAACTGTCAGGATTCCTGAAGTGAAGGGAGACTTCACTTCTCAAGCCACTTGACCTATTCCACTGAAACAGTTCTTGGTAAGATCACCAACAATCTCCAGTGAGCATTTTTGTTTTGAGACAGGGTCTCACTCTGTCACTCAGGCTGGAATGCAGTGGTGCGAACACAGCTCGTTTCAGCCTCCTGGGCCCAGGCGATCCTCCCATCTCAGCCTCCAGAGTAGCTGGGACTACAGGTGTGCCACCACAACTGGCTAATTTTTTAATTTTTTGTAGAGACATAGTTTTGCCATGTTGCCCAGGCTAGTCTCGAATTCCTGGGCTCAAGTGATCTGCCTGCCTCAACCTCCCAAAGTGCTGAAATTAGCACCCAGCTGTATGTATTATCTTGGTTTTGTTTTTGTTTGTTTACAATTTTTTCCCCTGGAGTTTCTGATTGGCTCTTGGATGTTCTCTGTTACTTGGAATCTATTCCACTCTCCTTGTACTCACCAACTTTCTAGTTTAATTCAGACCATTTCTTCTTTGGACAGTTATTTTCTGTACAGCTTTTGGGTTTTCCTGGAGTTTCTGAATGTTTGTTCTTGCTGGTATTTGTTGCCTTTATCATATTCTCAAGTTTTTCCAACTCCTCACCCATACTATAATTCAGTCTACAAAATCTCCTTTTTTTCATACAGACTGTTCTTCCATAACCTTCCACCATTCTGCTAAGATCCAAACAGGCCAGGCATGGTGGATGATACCAATAATCCCAGTACATTGGGATGCTGAGGCAGGCAGATCGTTTGAGCCCAGGAGTTCGAGACCAGCCTGGGAAACATAGTGAGATCTTGGTGTCTAATAAAAAAGAAAAAAAATTGAAAAAGATAAATAACAAATAAAACCCAAATATATTGCTTCCAGGTGTCAACAAAGTCATGATCCTGAGATTTTGCCATCACTGCTCTCCTGGGCTACAATTAGAGTTGCTGGCACCATGTTTTCCATTCCTTTGTTTACTGGAATTTCTCCTTAGGGAGCTTTCTAGACAGGAAGGTCTCTGTCACATCTTCTTCCTCGTTTCTTTTTTTTTTTTGAGACAGAGTCTCACTCTGTCGCCCAGGCTGGAGTGCAGCGGTGCCGTCTCGGCTCACTGCAGCCTCTGCCTGCCAGCTTCAAGTGATTCTCCTGCCTCAGCCTCCCGAGTAGCTGGGATTACAGGCACCCACCACCACACCTGGCTGATTTTTGTATTTTTAGTAGAGACAGGATTTCACCATGTTGGCCAGGCTGGTCTCGAACTCCTGGCCTCAGGTGATCCGCCTGCCTTGGCCTCACAAAGTGCTGGGATTACAGGCATCAGCCTCTGTGCCCAGCCCCAGCCTTCTTTGCTTATTTAACAACAAAACGTCGAAGCAATTCTTATCTTAGTTGCTGACCCTTGATCTAGCATGCAGTGATGTTAAGTCTAATGCCAATTTGATTTTTTCTTTTCATTGTAGATTACCTGTTTCTTCCTCTGTGGAAACAGCATATTATCCTTTCTGTTAAGAAATGTTATGACTTCTCAAGAGTGTGGGTCTTTTTGTTTCACTCCAGTATTATGCTGGGCAGTTGTTAGGCCCTTTTGATTTAATGGTTTGTGTCTTCCCTTTAGCTTGGGTAATTTTTTTCATACCATCCTCCCTGTACTTTCACTAGAAGTCTCTTTTACTCAGATATAAGAGCTGCCCATTCGGCCGGGCATGGTGGCTGACACCTGTAATCCCAGCACTTTGGGAGGCTGAGGCGGTCGGATCACTCGAGGCCAGGAGTTTGAGACCAGCCAGGCCAACATGGTGAAACCCCATCTCTACTAAACTACAAAAATTACTTGGGCATGGTGGCACATGCCTGTAGTCCCAGCTACTCGGGAGGCTGAGTCAGGAGAATCGTTTGAACGTGGGAGGTGGAGGTTGCAGTGAGCCGAGATCGCACCACTGCACTCCAGCCTGAGCGACAGAGAGAGGCTCCATCTCAAATAAATAAATAAATAAATAAATAAATCCCTGTATCTCTTAGTTTTTTCTGCTATTTTCTTTCCTTTGCTATTGTTCATCTTAGTCTCTTTCCTGTAGTAGGCTTTATTAAAATATCAGTGGATTCTTGGCTGTCTGTCATTAGAAGGAGGCAAACGGGTGCCCTGGAGCTCTCTGTGTGACCAGGATTTGTTAACCAGCAGTGTCAGCTTTAAGGTAGTGATCTTTATTCTTGAGATTTCCGAATTCCAGAGGGCTTTGTTGTAGGATGCCAATCTCTCCAGATCCCACAGATGTCTACAGAGAAGAATCTTCCTTTTTTTTCTTTTAATCCTGATATTTATTTATTTATTTATTTATTTTTGAGACTTGAGTCTCGCTCTAACATCCAGGCTGGAGTGCAGTGGTGCGATCTCAGCTCACTGCAACCTCTGCCTCCGGGTTCAAGCAATTCTCCTGCCTCAGCCTCCTGAGTAGCTGAGATTACAGGCACGCACCACCACACCCAGTTAATTTATCCATTTATAGTAGAGACAGGGTTTCACCATGTTGGCCAGGATGGTCTCAAACTCCTGACCTCAAGTGATCCACCTGCCTCAGCCTCCCAAAGTGTGGGGATTACAGGCATAAGCCACCACACCTGGCCTATTTTTATTTTTTTTTTTTTTGAGATGGAGTCTTGCACTTTCGCCCAGGCTGGAGTGTAGTGGCACGATCTCGGCTCACTGCAAGCTCCGCCTCCCAGGTTCACGCCATTCTCCTGCCTC
This sequence comes from Homo sapiens, assembly GCF_000001405.40. NCBI lineage: Eukaryota > Metazoa > Chordata > Mammalia > Primates > Hominidae > Homo > Homo sapiens. Next base: position 34,241,051 of record NC_000019.10, read on the forward strand.
AGCCTCCCGAGTAGCTGGGACTACAGGCGCCCGCCACCACACCCGGCTAATTTTTGTATTGTAACAGGGTTTCACCATGTTAGCCAAGATGGTCTCGATCTCTTGACCTTGTGATCCGCCCACCTCGGCCTCCCAAAGTGCTGGGATTACAGGCGTGAGCCACCGCGCCCGGCCTATTTTTATTTTTTGAGAGAGAGGGTCTGGCTGTGTCACCCAGGCTGGAGTGCAGTGACACGATCTCGGCTGGCTGCAACCTCTGCCTCCTGGGCTCAAGCCATCCTCCCAACTCAGCCTCCCGAGTAGCTGGGATTACAGGCACACAACACCACGCCCAACTGGTTATTAAATTTTTTTTGTAGAGATGGGGTCTTACCGTGTTGCCTAGGCTGGTCTCATTCTGGTCTCAAGTGATCCACCCACCTCAGCCTCCCAAAGTGCTGGGATTACAGGTGTGAGCCACTACGCCTGGCCCTGTGAGGTATTTTTCAGCAGCTTTCTAGACTGACAAGAGCAGCTGGAAGCATGGCAACCCCAGGCAGAGCATAGCGTGCTGCCGCCTCGACTGTGCTCAAGGGGCGCTAGCGTGCGGGAGGAGCCACCTGCCTGGGCCTCTGGAAGGCTTCTGCCTCTGAGCCAGCAGGTACAACAGGGAACAAGAGTGAGAAGGGGACTTGAAAACAGGAAACCTAATTGAAGGTCTGCACAAGTAGTGAACAAACCTGTTTCTCACTGCTGCAGTCGGCATGGCTTATAATTAAGCAGCATACTGTTACAAAAAACAAACAAAAGAAAGAGTCTTGGCTGGGCGCAGGTGGTTTATGCCTGTAATCCTAGCACTTTGGGAGGTTGAGGCGGGTGGATCACTTGAGGCCAAAGAGTTTGGGACCAGCCTGGGCAACACAGGGAGACCCCATCTCTACAAAAAAAAAAAAAAAAAAAAAAAACAAAACAAAACAAAACAAAAAAAACACTAAAATATTAGCCAGCCATGGTGGCATATGCCTGTGGTCCCAGCTACTCAGGAGGCTGAGGAAGGAGGACTGCTTGTGCACAGAAGGTCAAGGCTGCAGTGAGCTGTGATCATACCATTGCACTATAGCCTGGGCAACACAGTGAGACCCTATCTCAAAAAAATAAGTAAAATTTTAAAAAAAATTAAAAATTAGCCGGGCGTAGTGGCGTGTGCCTCTGGCTCCAGCTACTCAGGAGGCTGAGGCAGGAGGATCCCTTGAGCCCAGGAGGTTAAGGCTGCAGTGAGCCATGATTGTGTCACTGCACTCCAGCCTGGGCAACAGAGCCAGACTCTGTCTCAAAAAATATATAAAAATAAAAAATTATTTTAGAAAGAAAAATACTTGACAGGCTTATTCCTGCCCAATTCAATTTATAACTGTTTATTCATGTGTTGACATCTTAATGCAGTCTTTTTAAATAAAAGCAACTTCATTAAGAAAGTAAAGGAATAAAAGAATGGCTACTCCATAGGCAAAGCAGCCTTTAAGGCAGTCTTTTTTTTTTTTTTTTTTTGAGACGAAGTTTCCCTCTTGTCGCCCAGGCTGGAGTGCAATGGCGCGATCTCGGCTCACTGCAAACTTCGCCCCCCAGATTCAAGTGATTCTCCTGCCTCAGCCTCCCAAGTTGCTGGGATTACAGGCATGCGCCACCATGCCCAGCTAATTTTTTTTTTTTTTTTTTTTGAGACGGAGTTTCGCTTTTGTTGTCCAGGCTGGAGTACAATGGCTTGATCTCAGCTCACTGCAACCTCCGCCTCCTGGGTTCAAGTGATTCTGTTGCCTTAGCCTCCTGAGTAGCTGGGATTACAGGCATGCGCCACCACACCTGGCTAATTTTGTATTTTTAGTAGAGACGGGGTTTCTCCATGTTGGTCAGGCTGGTCTTGAACTCCCGACCTCAGATGACCCGCCTGCCTCGGCCTCCCAAAGTGCTGGGATTACAGGCGCGAGCCACCGTACCCAGCCAGGGCAGTCTTAAAGGCAAAGAAGGTGAACATTTGTGCTTAATTTCCCATCTAGAGTGAGCAAATCTCTCTGCCTCTACCCTGGTTCAAAGCCCCTTCACCTCTTGCGTGGACTATGTTAACCTCCTCATTGGTTATCCTCTCTTCATACTGCATTCTTCTGTGCCATATTCTGTGCAGAGGCCAGAATGCACTTTGGGGAACACAAATCTGATTGTCAAATTCTGTCACATGTCTTAGAGAAGGCATCTAATCTGGATGCCTTAAGAGATGGTGGCCAGGCAGGGTGGCTCAAACCTATAATCCCAGCACTTTGGGAGGCCAAGGCGGGTGGATCACTTGAGGTCAGGAATTCGAGACAGTCTGGCCAACATGGCGAAACCTGTCTCTACCAAAAATACAAAAATTAGTTGGGCGTGATGGCGCATGCCTGTAATCCCAGCTACTCAGGAGGCTGAGGCAGGAGAATCACTTGAACCTGGGAGGCGGAGGTTGCAGTGAGCCCAGATTGTGCCACTGCACTCCAGCCTGTGCGACAGAATGAGACTCTGTCTCAAAACAAAAAAGAAAAAAGAAAAGATGGTGTCCTTCTGGAAGTTGTATTGCCGCAACTATGGTCTGATGGGAATGAGATCATGGTGTCAAACAGACCCATGCTAAGGCAGCCCCCAGGCAGAGACTCCTCTCCCCATGGCCTCAGTACTGGTCTAGAACTCTGAGTCATAGATCTAAAAATAAGTCACAGGGCTGTGAGCTAGCAGGACAGCTGCACACCTCTGGGTCTGTGGCAAGCCAGTGGTCCGCAGTGGGGATGCCCTATGTCCAGCACTGCTGCTGCTCCTTCGTCTAGAGGCCTTCCTTGACCGATAAAGCAAGCAATGCTGGGTAGCCCACACCCCCTATAACTTTGGCCTGGAGGTGTCCCTGGATCAGATGCCTGTCTGAGTCTGGCTTCCAGACTGTCAATGGCTTGCTCTGCAGCTTTCACCAACCCAGGTCACGACTTGTGCTTACAACACCTCTTTGGCCGGGCACGGTGGCTCATGCCTGTAATCCCAACACTTGGGAGGCCTAGGCGGGTGGGTCACTTGAGGTCAGGAGTTCAAGACCAGCCTGATCAACCTGGTGAAATCCTGTCTCTACGAAAAATACAAAAATTAGCCATGCGTGATCAGGTGGCACGCACCTGTAATCCCAGCTACTCGCGAGGCTGAGGCAGGAGAATCACTTGAATCCAGGAGGCGGAGGTTGCAGTGAGCCGAGATCGCACCACTGCACGCCAGGCTGGGGGACAGAGCAAGACTCCGTCTCAAAAAACAAACAAACAAAACACCTCATGTCTGGGCCAGCCTGCTTTCCTCCTCTTTTAGCTGGTACTTGGTTTAAATCTGGAAATCCTGGAGTCTTTGGAATTCCATTGACCTGAGCTGGGTTACTGTCCTGGTGTCTGTCTCTAGCACGGTTGGAAGGTAACTGTTCTTATGAATGGAAAGGAGGTGTTGGTGTCAGATGTGTTTATAGTTGCATTATCTCAACTTGAACTTCGTCTTGTTCTCACCTAACTTGAGGAAGCAAGGAAATTTGGAATTCAAATATTCTAATAATATTTGTTATTAAGTGAGGACATTCAAATCATACATTCAAATATTAGTAATGTCTGTTACAGCAAACTACCAGAAAAGGACAGCAAGCTACAGATGACCTGGCAATGATGAGCCCATAGGGACTGTTAGTGGGAAGGCTGACAGTTCCTGGCACGAGCCCCAGGGTGCCTTCTAGAGCAGGCTAACATCTTCTCACACTTGATCCCGCCCCTGCTCTCCCATGCACAAACGGGGTGTGCAAACAGTCTGTTTAGCTTTTCAAAAATAAAGAGGAGGCCAGGCGCGGTGGCTCATGTCTGTAATTCCAGCACTTTGGGAGGCGCAGGTGGGTGGATCACTTGAGCTCAGGAGTTCAAGACCAGCCTGGCCAATGTGGTGAAAGCCCATCTCTACTAAAAATACAAAAATTAGCTGGGTGTGGTGGTGTGTGCCTGTAATTAGCTGGGATTACAGGTGCGTGCCAGTACTCGGGAGGCTGAGGCAGGAAAATCACTTGAACCCAGGAGGCGGAGATTCCAGTGAGCCGAGATGGCGCCATTGCACTGCAGCCTGGGCAAGAAAGCGAGACTCTCTCAAAAAAAAGAAAGAGGAGCTGTCCAGGCGCAGTGGCTCATACCTGTAATCCCAGCACTTTGGGAGGCTGAGGTGGGTGGATCCCTTGAGATCAGGAGTTCGAGACTAGCCTGGCCAACATGATGAAAACCCATCTCTAAAAATACAAAAATTAGCTGGGCGTGGTGGCATGTGCCTGTAATCCCAGCTACTCAGGAGGCTGAGGCAGCAGAATCTCTTGAACGGGGGAGGCGGAGGTTGCAGTGAGCCAAGATCACACCAGTGCACTCCAGCCTGGGCGACAGAGCAAGACTCCGTCTCAAAAAATAAATAAATAAAATAAAATAAAAATAAAGAGGAGATTAAAATTCTCAGCAAACTAGAAACAGATGGTAACTTTTTTTTTTTTTTTTTTGAGACGGAGTCTTGTTCTGTCACCCAGGCTGGAGTGTAATGACGAAAACATGGCTCACTGCAGCCTCCAACTCCTACACTTAATCAGTCCTCCCACTTCAGCCTCCCAAGTAGCTGGGACCACAGCCGTGTGCCACCATGCCTGGCTAATTTTTGTATTTTTTGTAGAGATGGAGTTTTGCCATGTTGCCCAGGCTGTTCTCACACTCCTGGGCTCAATTGATCCTCCCACCTCAGCTTCCCAAAGTGCTGGGATTACAGGCGTGAGCCACCTTGCCTGCCCTACAATTAAGTAAAATATCAAAATACAGAAACATCATTTGTTTCTGTCTACAAGCAACAAGTAATTAGACAATGAAAAGTCAAAACATTGCCATTTGTAATAGTACCCCACCAAAACAATAAAATACCTAGCAATCTAATGAAAAATGTGCGAAAAATGTGCAAGACTTCTACACTGACAACTGCAAAACACTGTTGGGAAAAGAGCATATCTTCAAGACCTTGGAGTAAGCAGAGAGGACACAAAAAGTGATCATGTCTTTGAGGCTGAGGTAGGAGGATTGCTTGAGCCCAGCAGTTCAAGGCTGCTGTGAGCTATGATTGTGCCACTGCACTCCTACTGGACAACAGAGTGAGACCCTGTCGTAAAAAAAAAAAAAAAAAAAAGTGACTGTCTGCAAACAACCCCATTACCCCCTCCACCACCAAGAGCACTTGGCTGTGAAAACCCCTTTCCTGAAGGCTTTAAGATATTCCCACTGAAACTAACATGTAAAACCCAGCCTAGAAGCCCTGACTTTTATTTCCATAAAGAATGCACAAGCCAACAGTAATAACTTTGGCTACCTAAGAAAATCAGTTCTGGAATCCCCGAGGGGCCCTGTAAGTGGGATGTTCTGATTCTGCAGCTTTTCTGACAATAGGAATGTGAAGCCCTTAGAAAAGCCAGCCGGAGCAAATCTGCTTTTTTTCTCAGCAGGGAGAGCCAGCTCCTGCTGAGATCAGGGTACATTTTCTTTCTTTTTCCTTTTCTTTTTTTCTTTTTTTTTTTTTTTTTGAGACAGAGTCTCACTCTTTCCCCCAGGCTGGAGTGCAATGGCGTGATCTTGACTCACTGCAACCTCCACCTCCCCGGTTCAAGCGATTCTCCTGCTTCAGCCTCCCAAGTAGCTGGGATGACAGGCACCTGCCACCACTCCCAGCTAATTTTTGTATTTTTAATAGAGATGGGGTTTCACCATGTTGGCCAGGCTGGTCTCCAACTCCTGACCTCAGGTGATCCGCCCGCCTCAGCTTCCCAAAGTGCTGGGATTACAGGCGTGAGCCACCAGGCCGGGCCTTCTTTTTTTTTTTTTTTTTTTTTTGAGATGGAATCTCCCTCTGTTGCCCAGGCTGGAGTGCAATGGCGTGATCTCGGCTCACTACAACCTCCACCTCCCAGCTTCAACCTCTTCTCCTGCCTTAGCCTCCCAAGTAGCTGCGATTACAGGCATGTACCACCATGCCTGGCAAATTTTTGTATTTTTAGTAGAGATGGGGTTTCACCATGTTGGTCAGGCTTGTCTTGAACTCCCGACCTCAGGTGATCCGCCTGCCTCAGCCTCCCAAAGTGCTGGGATTACAGGCGTCAGCCACCATGCCCGGCCTAGGGTGCATTTCTTTGGCATCTCTCACAAATGTGGGTCTCGTTCATCCCAGCTCTTGGGTCACAGAGGAGCTCCTGAAGCCTCCTTCCACTCATTTGTCATAGGCACCAACCTCAGAGACGCTCATGTTTTTCACGGGACCCGGCTCTAACTCTGCCTCTATCCAGATGCACAGGGGGCCAGATGCATTCCGGAGTGACCCCTGTTTCCTGGTCTTGACCTTCTTGGCCTCCTAAACAGCAAATTACAGGTATAGGTCTGGTGGTCTCTAAGGCACCATCTCATGCCTGTGTGGATGCTGAGGGTCCAGTTCACAGACCTTTCTGCAGAGCTGGAAGGCCGTAGCTACCATTCCTGAAGATGAGGGCCTGGCCTCCATCTTTAGACCTGTGGGCTCCATCCCTTTTTCTCTTTTCTCTTCCCTTCTCTTTTTTCTCTTCTTTTCCTTCTTTTCTTTTCTTTCTCTTTTCTTTTCTTCTTTTTTTTTTTTGAGACAAGGTCTGACTCTATTGCCCAGGCTGTAGTGCGCAGTGGCGCAATCTCAGCTCACTGCAACCTCTCACTCCTGGGCTCAAGCGATCCTCCCACCTCAGCCTCCCAAGTAGCTGGGACTACAGGTACATGCCACCATGCCAGGCTAATTTTTGTTATTTATTATTATTATTATTTTTTGACACGGAGTCTTGCTCTGTTGCCCAGGCTGGAGTGCAATGGTGCGATCTTGGCTCACTGCAACCTCTGCCTCCTGGGTTCAAGCGATTCTCCTGCCTCAGCCTCCCAAGTAGCTGGGACTACAGGCATGAGCCACCATGCCCAGCTAATTTTTTTGTATTTTTAATAGAGACAGGGTTTCACCATGTTGGCCAGGCTGGTCTCAAACTCCTGACAATTGTGATCTGCCCACCTCAGCCTCCCAGAGTGCTGGGATTACAGGCATGAGCCACCGCACCTGGCCTAATTTTTGTGTTTTTTGTAGAGACAGGGTTTTACCATGTTGCCCAGGCTGGTCTTGAACTAGTGAGCTCAAACAATCCTCCCACCTCGGCCTCCCAAAGTGCTGGGATTATAGGCGTGAGCCACAGCATCTGGCCTCCATCTTTTTTTCTCAACACTTTGGTGCAAGGAACTTGAAATAAAGAGGTGGCATGACATGACGAGTGCCTCAAACCTGTGTAGTGGGTACATTTTTTTCCCTCCTTCTCCATATGTATGTGTATTTGATGAATTAAAATAAATAATTTGAACCTGCAGGGCATGGGTATAATATCTGCAGATGGACTCACAAAACAGAAGGTGATATGTCCACAATACAAAATGCTCTCAGGTAAGCTTGAGAGGTTCAAGGCCATCTGGTCCCCAAAGCACCACAAAGGCCACCAAAAGGGCCCCAAGGTTGACAATGTTCACACTGATCTCAGAACTGCATATATAGCTGAGTGGTTCTCCATGACTCCTGGCCCACGGAAGGGGCCAAAATGGTGTGAGCATAAGCGGTTTCTGGCACATTACTCTGGGGCCATGAGGTTCGGGGTAAAGTGAGCCGCAGCTTTTACATGTTAGTTTCAGTGGGAATGTCTGAAAGAAGAGCCTTCAGGAAAGGGGTTTTCATAGTCAAGTGCTCCTGGTGGTAGAGTGGGCAATGGGGTTGTTTGCAGAGAGTCACTTTTTTTTTTTTTTGAGACAGGATCTCACTCTGTTCCCCAGCAGGAGTGCAGTGGCACAATCATAGCTCACAGCAGCCTTGAACTGCCGGGCTCAAGTCATCCTCCTCCCTCAGCCTCCCCAGTAACTGGGACTACAAGTGGGCGCCACCATGCCCAGCTAATTTTTGAAATTTTTTGTAGAGCTGGAGTCTCACTTTGTTGCCCAGGTTGGTCTTCAACTCCTAGCCTCAAGTGATCCTCTCACCTCAGCCTCCCAAAGTGCTGGAATTACAAGTGTGAGTCACCGCACTCCCCTGGGAGCAAATTTTAGCTTTCCTGGTCTCCCTTGTGCAGGATGTGAAAGCTGTGAGATAGGCTGTAAGCCCCAGGAAGGGTAGCTGCATTCCAGAGTCTGCAGGATTTGGGAACAGGCGTGGACATGGCTGGCCAGACACACGTGGGCAGGTGTGTCAGAGTCTGCCCCATGGGGAAAGGGCCAATTTAACATCTCATTTGTGACTGGTTGCGGTGGCTCACGCCTGTAATCTCACCACTTTGAGAGACCGGGCTGGCAGACCACTTGAGCTCAGGAGTTCAAGACTAGCCTTGGCAACATGGCGAAATCCTGTCTCTACAAAAAATACAAAAACTAGCCTGGCGTGGTGGTGCATGCCCATAGTCCCAGCTACTTTGGAGGCCGAGGTGAGAGGATGGCTTGAGCTCAGGAGGTGGAGGTTGCAGTGAGCCAAGATCATGCTACTGTACTCCAGTCTGGGTGACAGAGCCAGACCCTGTCTCAAACCAACCAACCAACCCATCTGGTGTTTACCAAGTGCATCCAGGTATGGTCACTGATGGATTCTATGGCAAGGTCCAGTGGCCCCTGGGGCCTGTAGCAAGAGCTAGGAGGACCTCTGAATAACAGATGGGCTTATCTGAGACTGTAGGAGCTACAACTGGCACACTCAAAAGCCAGCCGCTGGCCAGCACTTTGGGAGGCTGAGGTGGGAGGATCACTCTTGAGCCCAGGAGTTCAAAACCAGCCTAGGCAACATGGTAAGGGGCCGTCTCCACCAAACAAACAAACGACAAAACTTGCCACCATCATTCCTAGCTCCTTTTCCAGCCTACAAAAGCAAGAGGACACTAGCACCCAGGCACACTTCCTCCAAGCCAGCTGTCCTCTTCCCTCTTACAACTCTCCTCCTGTGGCTCGGGTCCTACAGCCCAGCCCCTCATCTCAGGAACACTCTTGCCCTACTCTCCGTTACTCAACCTTCTGAAGAATCATTGCTCCACCTTCTTCCCTTTCACCTAAAAGCTACTGGACAAGTCCCTTAGTAGAAAGGAGATGTCTACAGGCCAGCACGATGGCTCACGCCTGTAATCCCTGCACTTTGGGAAGCTGAGCAGGGCAGATCACCTGAGGTCAGGAGTTCGAGACCAGCCTTGCCAACATGATGAAACCCCGTCTCTACTAAAAATACAAAAATTAGCTGGGCGTGGTGGCGGGTGCCTGTAATCCCAGACACCCAGGGGCTGAGGCAGGAGAATCGCTTGAACCTGGTAGGAGGAGGTTGCAATGGGCCGAGATTGCACCACTGCACTCCAGCCTGGGTGACAGAGTGAGATTCCATCTCAAAAATTGATAAACAAATAAAATAAAGAAAGATGTCTATAGTTGTCAACCTGCAGTGAATCCTCAGTACTACTGGGAAATTCTACCATGTTTCTTTTGTCCACTCACCTTTGTGCTTCCAGACCTTTCCCACTCCCCTCACTCTTTGCTGCAGTCTAAGGTAAACCTACCACCAAGCATTTTATTTATGGATTTATGTATTTTGAGACAGAGTCTCGCTCTGTCACCCAGGCTGGAGTGCAGTGGTGCAATCATGGCTCACTGCAACTTTGAACTCCCTGGGCTCAAGTGATCCTCTCACTCCAGCTTCCTAAGTAGCTGGGACTACAGGTGTATGCCAATGTGCCTAGTTAATTTTTGTATTTTTTGTAGAGACAGGGTTTCACTATGTTGCCCAGGCTGATCTCAAACTCCTAGGCTCAAGCAATGAGCCCACCTTGGCCTTCCAAAGTGTTGGGATTACTACTGTGAGCCACCAGGCCCGATCCCACCAAGCATTTTAGATCCCCTCCTTCAAGCCTTTTCAGAACCTTCACAAGAAGAACCAGATCATCTCTCTCCTATATCCTCAGCCACTTTCAACCAGATCTTCCTCTTTGACCTTAAAACATGTTTAAGTCTCTTCTACCTTAAAAAAGCAACCACCAAGGCCAGGTGCAGTGGCTCACACCTGTAATCCCAGCACTTTGGGAGGCCGAGGCGGTGGATCACTTGAGGCCACGAATTCAAGGCCAGCCTGGCCAGCATGGTGAAACCCCGTCTCTACTAAAAATACACAAATTAGCTGGGCATGGTGGTGCGTGCCTGTAATTCCAGCTACTCGGGAGGCTGAGACAGGAGAATTGCTTAAAACTGGGAGGGAGGCCGGGCACAGTGTCTCACACCTGCAATCTCAGCACTTTGGGAGGCCGAGGCGGGCGGATCACGAGGCCAGGAGATCGAGACCATCCTGGCTAACATGGTGAAACACCGTCTCTACTAAAAATACAAAAAAAAATTAGCCGGGCGTGGTGGCGGGCGCCTGTAGTTCCAGCTACTCAGGAGGCTGAGGCAGGAGAATGGTGTGAACCCGGGAGGCGGAGCTTGCAGTGAGCCGAGATTGCGCCTTTGGACTCCAGCCTGGGTGACAGAGTGAGATTCCGTCCAAAAAAAAAATTCAACCACCAAGAAAGGTATCCCCTCAATCTACACTGACATCTCCAGCACATACCTCTCTTCTAAGCTCCAGATCCTCATCCCCAAGTGCCTTATTGGTGCCTCTTCTTTGATGCCATGTTCACACTGGAACTCGGGCCATTCTTCCCATCCTCCACCCTCCCAAATATGGTCCTCTTCCGGGGCTTCCCAAAACAATGAGTGCCAGCACTACAATGGCTCATCCCAGAGACCCAGGAGACATTCATGATTCCTACCTCTTCCTCACCCTCCATATCCATTTCACCACTGATTTTACATCAATTTTATTCCAAAATCTTTCTCAAATTTGACTTTCTTTTTTTTTTCCATCCCCATTGCCACTACCATAGTCCATGAATGGTTTTCAAAGGGAGGTTCATGTACCCCATAGTATGGGAAGGCAATCCATTGGGATACTGGGAGAAAATATTAGAACTTCTACATTTCTTTCTTTTTTTTTTTTTTTTTTGAGATGGAGTCTCGCTCTGTCACCCAGGCTGGAGTGCAGTGGCGCAATCTCGGCTCACTGCAAGCTCTGCCTCCCGGGTTCACACAGTTCTCCTGCCTCAGCCTCCAGAGTAGCTGGGAATACAGGCGTCCACCACCACGCCCGGCTAATTTTTTGTTGTATTTTTAGTAGAGACGGGGTTTCACCATGTTAGCCAGGATGGTCTCGATCTCCTGACCTCATGATCCGCCCACCTCGGCCTCCCAAAGTGTTGGGATTACAGGCGTGAACCACTGCACCCGGCCTCTTTTTTTTTTTTTTTTGAGATAGATTCTCGCTTCATCGCCAAGGCTGGAATACAGTGGCGTAATCTCAGCTCACTGCAACCTCTGCCTCCCAGGTTCAAGTTGTTCTCCTGCTTCGGCCTTCCAAGTAGCTGGGATTATAGGCCTCCACCACCACGCCTGGCTAACTTTTTGTATTTTTAGTACAGATGGGATTTCACCATGTTAGCCAGGATGGTCTCGATCTCCTGACCTCATGATCCGCCCACCTCGGCCTCCCAAAGTGTTGGGATTACAGGCGTGAACCACTGCACCCGGCCTCTTTTTTTTTTTTTTTTGAGATAGATTCTCGCTTCATCGCCAAGGCTGGAATACAGTGGCGTAATCTCAGCTCACTGCAACCTCTGCCTCCCAGGTTCAAGTTGTTCTCCTGCTTCGACCTTCCAAGTAGCTGGGATTATAGGCCTCCACCACCACGCCTGGCTAACTTTTTGTATTTTTAGTACAGATGGGATTTCACCATGTTGGCCAGGCTGGTCTGGAGCTCCTGACCTCAGGTGATCCTCCTGCCTCAGCCTCCCATAGTGCTGGGATTACAGGCATGAGCCACCATGCCTGGCCCGTCTCTATGTTTTTGACTACTCTAGGTACCTTATGTAAGTGGAATCATAGGATATTTGTCTTTGTGACTGGTTTCTTTTGGCATAATATCTTCAAAGCTCATCTATTTGCATCGTAGCTGGGATTATAGGCATGCGCCACCACGCCTGGCTGATTTTGTATTTTTAGTAGAGACGGGGTTTCATCATGTTGGTCAGGCTGGTCTCGAACTCCTGACCTCAGGTGATCCACGCGCCTTGGCCTCCCAAAGTGCTGGGATTACAGGCGTAAGCCACGGCGCCCGGCCTCCTTCAACGCTGAGTAATATTCTATTGTTATGTTTATACCACATTTTGTGAACCCATTCACCCGTGGATGGACATTGGGTTGCTTCCACCTTCTGACTAATATGAACATGGGTGTACACATTTATATCCACTCTTGCCTCCCCTCCGTAGTCCTTCCTTCTCCACACTGCATCTAGAGTAACCCCTTTACACTCTCAAGTATGGACAAATCACCTCTTGCTTAAAACTCATTAGTTTTGCAACACTGTCAAGTAAGACCTAACTTCTCACCACTCTGATTTATTATTGGAACACAAAACTGGGCCATGCTCCGTGGCTCAAGCACTTTGGGAGGCCGAGGTGGGCGGAACACCTGAGGTCAGGAGTTTGAGACCAGCGTGGCCAACATGGGGAAATCCCGTCTCTACTAATAACACAAAAATTAGCCGGGCGTGGTGGCGCACGCTTGTAATCGCAGCTATCCGGGAGGCTGAGGCAGGAGAATCACTTGAACCCGGGAGGTGGAGGTTGCAGCGAGCCAAGATCACGTCACTGCACTCCAGCCTGGGCGATAGAGCAAGACTCCGTCTCAAACAAACAAAACCCACAGAACTGGAAGACCCTTGCTGCTGCTTCTGCGTAATGTGTTCTCCTCCCTTCTCGTTTTTTTTTTTTTTTTTCTCCCTTCTACCCCTTAGGACCTCAGCTCCTGCTCTTTCCCTGGGGGAATTCCGGATCACTCTCCTTTACTAGGTCAGGGTACTCTCTCCCTCCCTCTTACTCTTTCCCCTCCTACCACTTGTCACCATTGGTACTATATTATCACCCGGATATGTGACAATGGTATTGTGTATTTACCACTAAGGAATAAACTTATGAGGGAGAGAGCACTACCCGTTCCTGCAGTGCCCGTCGGGGCCTGGCATCTAGGAAACACTCCATACGCCAGTAATCGATTTCAGTCAATTTCAGTAATAAATCCAGGAGGACGCAGCCCGACCCCTCCCGCCCGGGGGCCAAGCCATGGTGGGGGATCTGGGTGGACCTCCGGCTCTGGCCGCCAGTCCTCAACCTCCGCCCCGGCCGTCCCGCTTGGGGGCCCAGGGTCCCAGGAGAGGAGGCTCCGGGGCGCCCCCTCCCCTCTAATGCGAGAGGAGAGTCCGCTCTAGGCGCGGGATCCGCAACCTCCCCGCGTCCGCCCGAGGCGGGGGCGGGGCCGGACCGGAGACGTAACTTCCGGTGTACACAGCCGGTCCAAGGCGGTGCGCTGGGGGCCGGGGCGCGTCGCAGGTGAGGAGCGGGCGCGGCGGGCGCAGGCGGGGGCTGGCGGGCGGGGTCGGGCGGTGGGCGGTGGGCAGCGGGGCCGCGGGCCGCAGCCAGGGCAGACGGCGAGACGGGCCCGCGGGGCGCCGCTCCGCTCGGGGCCGCAGGGCGCGGGGCCGTGGGCTCCCGCCCCTTGCCCGCCCGCTGTGGAGGACGCCGGGCTTTGCGGGCGCTGGCCGGCCGACGGAAGCCCGGAGGGGCCTCCTGGCGCGAACCCGGGACCTGGGGGCGCGTCGGAGACTCGGCGGCCGCGGCACCGCAGGGGCGGGTCGGCGCCCGTCAGGCGGGGAAAGGGGACGCTCCCTCGGTTCGCCGGGGCCCGGGAGGTCGCGCTGGCGCCAGGACCCGCTCCCGGAAGCCCGCGGAGGGAGGGCGGCCTGCTGGCGGCAGGGGTCCGCTGGGGCTAGCCGGGGAGGCGGCCCTCACGCCATCCCGGGGCTGCCGGGCGGGCTGCGCGCACCTTCCCGGCGGCGCCAGGCTGCCGAGGAACGCGCTTTTCCGGCCCTGCGGAGCCAGCTGGCGCATTGGGCCCGAGGGGAGGGTCCGCGGGGACCGGGAGGGCCGGGGCTGAGCGTGGAGGACCCGAGCCCGAGGGACGAGCGCAGAGTCAGGGGTGTGTCTTTCTGCGCCGCGCGGTGCGAGGAAAGAAGCGTGCCTGGTTGGCATGATAAGAATTTTGTTTAGACTTTTTAGAAATTTTCCAGAGACTCAGCTTTGGGGGCCTCCAGTTTGAAAATACCTTGTTCTGGTCCCTCATCCCCATTATAAAAGCAGTTAATTCTCCTTTCCTGGCAAAACACTCAAGACGACACAAAAAGTCTTAAGGTAGAAAATGACAGTCATCTGCCAGTCTACCATTCAGTGACAACCACTGCTAACATTTTGGTGATAATCAATAAATACAGATAGGTATTGTTATTTTTATGGACTTTACAGTATGTGATTTAACCACCGATGAGCATTGAGATAGTTTCCAATTTGTCACAAGATAAACAATTCTGCCGGAAGGATTTGTTTGATATGGTCTTTTTTTTTTTTTTTTAATAAGAGACTGTTGCCCAGGCTGGTCTCAAAACTTCTGGCCTCAAGCGACCCTCACGCCTTCGCCTTCCAAAGTGTTGGGATTACAAGTGTGAGATATTACACCTGGTCTGATTGTTATCTTAGAATAAATTTACAAATGGGGTCAAAGGTAACTTTATTTGTTTTTTTTTGAGACAGTCTCCCTCTGTCACCCAGGCTGGAGTGCAGTGGCGGGATCTAGATTAACTGCAACCTTAGCCTCCCGGGTTCGAGCGATTCTCCTGCTTTAGTCTCCCGAGTAGCTGAGATTACAGGCACCCACCACGCCCGGCTAATTTTTGTATTTTTAGTAGAGACAGGGTTTCGCCCAGTTGACCAGGTTGGTCTCGAACTCCTGACCTCAGGTGATCCGCCTGGCTCGGCGTTCCAAAGTGCTGGGATTATAGGCGTGAGCCACCGTGTCCGGCCGTAACGTTCAATTTTTAAGAATACATAGTATTTGTTTTCCTTTGACATATTTGGACAATTTTTCTGTCTCTTTGTCATAAAAAAAAATTCCAGCCTGGCGCGATGGCTCATGCCTGTAATCCCAGCACTTTGGGAGGCCGAGGCGGGCGGATCACTTGAGGTCAGGAGTTCTAGACCAGCCTGGCCAACGTGGTGAAACCCGGATTCAACTAAAAAAATACAAAAAAACACATTAGCCAAGCATGGTGGCGCGCTCCTGTAGTCCCAGCTACTTGGGAGGCTGAGGCAGGAGAATCGCTTGAGCCCAGGAGGCGAAGGTTGCAGTGAGCCGAGGTCGTGCCACTGCGCTCCAGCCTGGGCAACAGAGTGAGACTCCATCTCAAAAAAAAAAAAAAAGAAATTCATGTTTGCGTCTCATCGTTTCATGGTTTTATTTTTTTGCCTTTAGTCTACCTAAAATTCATTCTTGGTTTAAAATATGAAATATTTTGTAAATGGCTAGTCAGTTCCAGATTTATTGAATAATATGTAAGCTTTATCATTTTATCATATTTTAGACTAAAAGTTCTAAGTGTATGTTTGTAAGGGCTACTTACAAAGTTCATATTTACATTTTGTGTGTGCTTAGATGTTTTCAAGTGTCTTTAAAAATCACAGTATTTTCTTTTCACAGTATCTTCACAATATTTTGTTTTAAAAAGAAATCATTTTCCAATACAAGTACAGGGAATATTTCATGTTTGAGATTTTTTTTTTCTTTTTAAAGCAAAAAGTTTAGTTTATTGCCGTTTCATTTGCTTTCTTGCTGACAAGATAACAAACTCCATATGAAGAGTTCAGGTTTGTTGTGGCAACTTTTCAGTGTGGCATTTGAGATTCTAATCTTCCTCTATTTTTGCACACAAATACGTAGGTTGGCATTGGAGACCAAGATAGAAAAGTTCTCAGATTCCCTTGGCAAGCCTAGATTTTTCAATCTAAAATTATCTCCAGATGTTTGGAAGACCATGTTTTAAGCATCCTTTTTTTTTTTTTTAAGCAAATTGCACATGATTCTGTGAAAATTTTAGTAAATGTTTGTTCTGTTGAAAACCTATAGCCTAATACATCAGGATCCATGTGTCAAGTGGGTCTTCCAAGTCTATAGGAAATAATTGTTTCTGAAAGCTAGCAGGCTGGGATATCACATGGGTTGGGTGTCCACTCTCTTTTTTTTTGAGTCGGAGTCTCCCTCTGTCCCCGAGGCTGGAGTGCAGTGGCGCAATCTTGGCTTACTGCAACCTCCACCTCCCAGGTTCAAGCAATTCTTCTGCCTCAGCCTCCCTAGGAGCTGGGATCACAGTTGTGAGCCACCACCCCTGGCTAATCACTCTTTTTTCCTCCTGTAACTTTGTCCTTAGTGAAAAATGATGATCTTCCTAGGTAGGCAAAAAAATGTTGGTTTAGATAAGGAATTGATTTGTTTTGGAGTTATTGAAAAGCAGGTTGCCGTTTTCTCTGAAGTGTAAGTTCACAGAGAGCCTGAATGTTGTGTTTGGATTAAGGAAAAACAGCAACAGGTTGTGCTTGTGCTTCAAATGTCTTTAACTCTACTGAAACTGCCCTCTTGAGGGTCCCCTAACTGATGCATGCAGTGGCCATTGCTTAATTATTTTCCTTGACTTTGATCTCAGGTATTTGGCATGGTGAGCTATTCTTTCTTGCTCTCGTGAATCTCCCATTGATTGGCCTTCTTTTTTCTTTTTCTTTTTTTTCTTTTTTTTTTTTTTGAGACAGAGTCTTGCTCTGTTGCCCAGACTGGAGTGCAGTGGCTCGGTCTCAGCTCACTGCAACCTCTGGCTCCAGGGTTCAAACGAGTCTCCTGCCTCAGCCTCCCGAGTAGCTGGGATTACAGGTCTGCGCCACCACCCCCAGCAAATTTTTGTATTTTTAATAGAGATGGGGTTTCACCATGTTGGCCAGGCTGGTCTTGAACTCCTGACCTCAAAAGTGCTGGGATTACAGGCGTGAGACACCACGCTTGGCCTTGATTGGCCTTCTTGACTTGGAACTAGTGTGGTCATTTCCTGAAATCTGTGACTGCACTTTCTCATTTGTCTTTACTGCTTCTCTTCATACATCTACCTTGGGGCATTTTCTGAAGCCTAGTTTTGTACCTCTTACCCCCGCTCCAAAACATATTCCTTCCCACTTATCCAGTATATGAGTCCTGGGTAGAGAACCACCTCATTTCCTTACCTCTGCCACCACTTAGTGACCCCCGACTCAGAGTTTTCTGCAGGTCAATTCTTTTTCTCCTGTTCAGTAACCCCTGGACATGTTCCTGAGGCCATGCTTTCTCCAGGTGAAGAAAATATCACTTCTGGCCGGGCGCAGTGGCTCACGCCTGTAATCCCAGCACTTTGGGAGGCCGAGGTGAGCGGATCACGAGGTCAGGAGACCGAGACCATCTTGGCTAACATGGTGAAACCCCATCTCTACTAAAAAAAAAATATTAAAAAATTAGCCGGACATGGCGATGGGCGCCTGTAGTCCCAGCTACTCAGGAGGCTGAGGTAGGAGAATGGTGTGAACCTGGGAGGCGGAGCTTGCAGTGAGCTGAGATCGTGCCACTGCACTCCAGCCTGGGCGACAGAGTAAGACTCCGTCTCAAAAAAAAAAAGAAAAGAAAATATCACTTCTTTGCGAGGACAAGGTGAGAGGATTACATGCTCTCAGGAGTTGGAGACCAGCCTGGGCAACATAGTGAGACCTCTGTCTCTTAAAAAAATGAATTTTAGGTCTGGCACAGGGGCTCATGCCTGTGATCCCAGAAGTTTGGGAGGCCAAGGTGGGAGGATTGCTTGAGATCAGCCTAGGCAACATAGTGAGACTCCAAAATTATCTAGGTGTGGTGGTCCATGCCTATAATTCCAGCTACTTGGGAGGCTGAGGCCGGAGGATTGCTTGAGCCTAGGAGGTTAAGGATTCAGTGAACTGTGATTGTGCCACTGCACTCCAGCCCAAGCAACAGAGCGAGACCCTGTCTCAAAATAAATAAGTAAATAAATAAATAAATAAATATCACTTATCAAGGTGTCCTGTCCTTCCTGACTCTTAAGGTTCTTACCAGCCGGTGAATCACATCTTCCTTCTTGATATGGATTGTATTTGCCATTTGCTTTCTATCCCTACACCTCGATTTAGACTTTGTACCTTTTCTTAAGGGATTTCAGGCTTAACGTGGTCCTACTCTGGATGTGAAAGAGGAGACCCAGTGAATTTACTCAAGAATTGAGTTAGCTCACATTTATGGAGTACCTACAGTACAGCCCAGTTACTTTACTGGAAGATCAGAATACAGAGCTGGACAGCACATCCTGGGAAGAATGCCAAATAAGCAATTGTCATAAAGTATTATAAGTGCCTAGAAGGGGAGTCACCAAGTAACCTCTCCCAGGTTTCAGAGATCTTGCGTGTCTTATTTACTGCTTTGATCTCCAGGGCCTAGAACACAGTGCGTGGAAATGATGAAGTTTTTTTTGTTTGTTTGTTTGTTTGTTTTGTATTTCATTCAGTTTAATGAGGGGACATGAGGAGCCAGGGGCAGAATGATATGGTTAGGCTGTGTCCTCACCCAAATCTCATCTTGAATTGTAGTTCCCATAATCCCCACATGTGGTGGGAAGGACCTAATGGGAGGTAATTTAATCATATGAGCAGTTTCCCCCATGCTATGCTTGTGATAGTGAGCAACTTCTCACAAGATCTGATGGCTTTATAAGGGGCTTCCCCCTTCACTTGGGTCTCATTCTTCTTGCTGCTGCCATGTGAAGAAGGACGTGTTTGCTTCCCCTTCTGCCATGAATATGTTTTCTGAGGCCTCCCAGCCCTGGGGAACTGTGAATCAATTAAGCCTCTTTCCTTTATAAATTACCTAGTCTTGGGCATTTCCCCATAGCAGGGTGAGAACAGACTAATAAACCTTATTTTAAGAAATTGCCACAGCCACCCCAACCTTTAGCACCCACACTCTGATCAATTAGCAGCCATCAACATCACGGCAAGACCCTCTGCCAACAAAAAGTTTACCACTTGCTGAAGATGCAGATGATCATTAGCATTTTTTAGTAATGAAGTATTTTTAAATTAAGGTATGTGCATTGTTTTTGTGACAATGCGATTGCATACTTAACAGACTACAATATAGTGTAAATATAACTTTTATATGTACAGGAAAATAAAAAACATCATGTGACTTGCTTCATTGCGATATTCACTTTCTTGAAATGATCTGGAATGACACCTGCAATATCTCCAAGATAAGCCTATAATATCTTTTCCTGATAATTTTGGCTATATACTTCTTGATCACCTTTTCTATGACAAGGATTTGGTAATATCATTTTTTTATTTTTATTTTATTATTATACTTTAAGTTTTAGGGTACATGTGCACAATGTGCAGGTTAGTTACATATGTATACATGTGCCATGCTGGTGTGCTGCACCCACTAACTCGTCGTTTAGCATTAATGAAGTATTTGTTGAAGGAATGAATGATCATCTGAGAATGAAATCAGAAAAAATGTCATACACATTAGCTATCTATAGAAAAGATATAAGTCAAAAGATATTTCGTAAATGTAGTTTGAAGAATCTCAGGGAAAACTTTAAATTCAACCAAACTGACCCAGCTATAACCCCAGGAAGGCATGCATGGAATGTGTTTGTAGCTGGAAAGCTTAAACTTAATTTTGTATCCTCAGAAGAAATACTTGTGTTTCTGGGAGAGGATTGGGACAGTGTCTGGAAATTGGGGTGGCGGGTCCAAGAGAGGAATTACGTGGTGTGTGTGTAGCACTCTCTGGGGGCCTGACCAGAGGAGCAGTGCAGCGTTCCCTCCACAAAGCCATCTGCACTAACACACAGATGGGCGTGTCCCTGTTGTTGCCTCTGGCTGCAAGGGTCTCTCCCTTGCTTAGCGTCTGTCCTCCCAGTACCATCTGAGTAGAAGATAGCTGCACGTGGAGATTTCTTGGTAAGGAGAGAATGTGAGTGGTTGAGGGCTCTGCATCTAAGCTGCTTGGATCAGATCCTGGTCTTGGGATGCTGGCTAATCTTTCAGTTTTCTGATTTGTAGAATGGGGATAATAGTAGCACCTTTCTCTTAGTGTTGCAGTGAGGGCTCTGAGCGTGCTACCCGGCACCTGTGATAAGTATTCAATGACAGTATTAGCTCTCGTTGGTATTCATAAAGTAGTAACTGGCCTCTGGTTCATACATCAGTTTTCTTTGAGCTTAGATAGCCTAAATAATTAATCCCCATGGAACTGCTTGCTTCTGGGTGCATTGAATAAGCTGATAAACAGACACTGGGAAGTAATGACAGATAAGCTCTTCCTACACTGCTCATCCAGGGAATCCAGCCTGCAGTTCTCAGGGGAGACTTCTGGAGAAGGCTGTTCTTGAGCTGAGTACTGTGGGAAAAAGTAAGTCCAGTGCCACAGCAAGAGGGGAGGACTCTTGGGCAGGGGCATGACACGTCCAAAGGTGTGGAGGTGAGAGCAAGCATGAGGTATTTGAGCTGCAGGAGATTGAGGGTAGAGTCTGGACAGGTATGAATAAGGAGTAGAGGGAAATGACATTGGAAAGTGGGAGCAGTCCTTGAAATAACTAATAACAATGTCTAACTGGGCACTAACAGCACTTCAGGTCCTGTGCTGAGTCCTTCGACTCACTGCGCTAACCAGGTTTGATGCTGAGAGCTTTGTCTACATTGCATTGTTTAATCCTCACAACAACCCTTTGATGTAGGTACTTACCTCTGGTATGTGTGGCATCATGTCACATGTCACCTGGTAGGTCTCCCTGCCTTTTTTTTTGAAATGGAATCTTGCTCTGTCACCCTGGCTGGAAGGCAGTGGCAGGATCTCGACTTACTGCAACCTCTGCCTCCCTGGGTTCAAGCGATTCTTCTGCCTCAGCCTCCCGAGTAGCTAGGACTACAGGTGAGTGCCACCATGCCTGGCTAATTTTTGTATTTGTAATAGAGGCGGGGTTTCACCATATTGGCCAGGCTGGTCTTGAACTCCTTACCTTGTGATCCGCCCACCTTGGTCTCCCAAAGTGCTGGGATTACAGGAGTGAGCCACCATGCCCAGCTGCTGCTTTTTTTTTTTTTTTTTTTTTTTTTTTTGAGGCGGAGTCTCTCTCTCACCCAGGCTGGAATGCAGTAGTGCGATCTCAGCTCATTGCAACCTCCACCTCCTGGGTCGAAGCAATTCTCCTGCCTTGGCCTCCCAAGTAGCTGGGATTACAGGCATGCGTCACCACGCCCAGCTAATTTTTGTATTTTTAGTAGAGATGGGGTTTCACCATATTGGCTAGGCTGGTCTGGAACTCCTGACCTCAGGTGATCCGCCTGCCTTGGCCTCCCAAGGTGCTGGGATTGTAGGCGTGAGTCACCTCGCCTGGCCTCTGCTTCTTGATTCAGCCTGCACATGGCTGCCAAGATAACTCCCAGTGTCTTATATATGTTTAAAAGCTTTTTGTGATCCTGTTTCCTGATGAAGTCCAAGCACACTAAGATCCTCTGACTTCATGAAAAACCACGAAGTTAAAATGTAAAAATATTTATATCTTAGAATTTAATAAAAACAGGACAGGTGCAGATGTGGATCAAGCTCAGAGAAATCAGTGAAAGAAGCAAGGTACAGAACAATGTATGTTTGCCCATTTGTGTTTTTCTAATTTTAAAAAATTTCTCCACTTTTGAAGTAATATGAGCTCATTTGTTTAAAAAAATATATATAGGCCAGGCATGGTGGCTCACGCCTGTAATCCCAGCACTTTGAGAGGCTGAGGCGGGCGGATCACCTGAGGTCCAGAGTTTGAGACCAGCCTGACAACATGGTGAAACCCCACCTCTACTAAAAATACAAAAATTAACTGGGCATGGTGGCGGGTGCCTGTAATCCCAGCTGTCCAGGAGGCTGCAGCAGGAGAATTGCTTGAACCTGGGAGGTGGAGGTTGCAGTGAGCCAAGATCGTGCCACTGCACTCCAGCCTGGGTGACAGAGCAAGATTCCATCTCAAAAAATAAATAAATAAAAATAAAATAAATAATGTCTCCCTCTCTCGATAGAGAGATAGATAGATAGATAGATAGATAGATAGATAGATATACATGAAATAGGTTTATAAGTGCAGAAATAATTTATGGAATGATAGAAAAGAAACAGTGGTTGTTTTTGGGATGAGACCCCAGAAAACCAGGCTGTTAGGCTGAGTTAGCTTTTTCTTTGCATACCATTTTGTATGGTGTGAATTTTTTTCCCTGTGTATATGTATTTTCTTTTTTTTCTTTTTTTTTTTTTGAGACAGAGTCTTGCTCTGTTGCCTAGGCTGGAGTGAAGTGGTGCAATCTTGGCTCACTGCAACCTCCGCCTCCTGGGTTCAAGCGATTCTCCTGCCTCAGCCTCCTGAGTAGCTGGGATTACAGGTGCCCGCCACTACGTCTGGCTAATTTTTGTATTTTTAATAGAGACAGGGTTTCACCATGTTGGCCATGTTGGCCAGGTTGGTCTCGAACTCCTGACCTCAAGTGATCCATCCACCTCGGCCTCCCAAAGTGCTGGGATTACAGGCGCGAGTCACCGCACCCGGTCTATGTTTTCATTTTAACAATAACTTTTAAAATAAATGTCTATGATGGACATGGCTGTTGTGTAGAGTGAATGTAGCATGGAGGTTAAGAGTGAGGACTGTGCAAGGCGGCTTGGGTTCAAGGCCTGCCCCTGCCTTGACCTCAGTTTACCTCCTCTGAAAATGGGGAGGTAGTAATACCTGCCTCCTGGGGTTGTAGTGAGGCATTACTGAGTTAATATTTGTAAAGTCCTTGGAACAGTTCCCAGGAGGTATGTGTTTGTCGTCGTCTCTGTTGCTCTGTCCCTGTGCTATGCATGACCGTAAGTGTAAAGATGTGTCCAGCCTCTGTCTCTGATGCTCCCAGTTCATTTGGAAAGGGAGAGCATGCAGCTAATGACAGAGACAGCAGAGGCTGCAGGAGTCAGAAAGGCTCCTTGGGAACTGAGGTGGCCCAAGATGGTTTCATCAAAATGATGGTTGTTAAATATGGGTAATTTCTAGAGGGAAAATAACACAAAGGGACTTTTTCCATGTTGTGTGTCCCAGCCAGCCTGAGGCAGGCAGAGGAGTCAGAAACAGGACAAGAGCTTTGAGGAGGCCTGAAATTTGGACGTGTCATGTGATGACATGTCTTTTTTTTTTTGGAGGGGGGGACGGAGTCTTGCTCTGTTGCCCAGGCTAGAATGCAGTGGCATGATCTCAGCTCACTGCAAGCTCTGCCTCCCCGGTTCACGCCATTCTCCTGCCTCAGCCTCCTGAGTAGCTGGGACTACAGGTGCCCGCCACCATGCCTGGCTAATTTTTTGTATTTTTAGTAGAGACGGGGTTTCACTGTGTTAGCCAGGATGGTCTTGATCTCCTGACCTTGTGATCCGCCCACCTCGGCCTCCCAAAGTGCTGGGATTATAGGTGTGAGCCACCACGCCCGGCTGGCATGTCATTGTTATATGGCAGAGTTTTTCTTGGCATATATGAGACAATGATATGATTTGTAAATGGTGACATCTTTGACTCAGTGAAGTGTGGTTGCTCTGCCTTGATGTTTGGAATGGCTATGAGGTGTTCTGTGTGACGTATTTAACAATCCTCGTAATGCAGGGCACGTGGGAATAACCAGTGTTGCCAGTGAGTGTTCTT
This sequence comes from Homo sapiens, assembly GCF_000001405.40. Classification (NCBI taxonomy): domain Eukaryota; kingdom Metazoa; phylum Chordata; class Mammalia; order Primates; family Hominidae; genus Homo; species Homo sapiens. The sequence continues at coordinate 34,264,904 of NC_000019.10, forward strand.
GACGCAGGCCTCTACATTAACCGTGAGTCTGTTCTAGGATTCGTGCCTAGATAGAATATTGCTTTTCTTTCTTTTTTTTAAGTCATTTTGATTATGTTCCTTGTGTCTGGGCCACTGTCAGTTAAGTGTGTTTTCAAATTGGCAGTGGCAAAGAATCATAATGGGAAGATTTTTGAAAGTGGAATTAGAGCAAGATATTACCTGAAAAAAAATCTGATTTTCTTACTAAAAATGATTTTGGGATTAAGTACTAGTGAGATGCTAATTATGGCCAGGAAACCTGGAAATAACTCGCATCTTCCCTCACCCCACCCCCGGTCCCCGAGGTGGATATATGTTCATGGGAACAGAGTTTGGGGAAAGCTGGCTTGGCTCCCAGACTTGGGTGCCGCAGGCTCTGGTGACCTAGGCAGGAAGAGGCGGAAGTGGTTCCTCTCACCAGCCACAAGGACCTGTGCTGCTCCTGGGTGTCAAGGTGGGAGAGAATGCGCTACATCCTTGTGCTTGAGTCACTTTGTAATGTACTTTGTAATTCCAGGTGATGCCCCTCCTCAACTGTGTCCCTTCTGTTCCTGCCTTTGGCTTGGGGTTGAAAGAGGAGGGAGTGGTGGGCACGGAAATGGGAGGAGCCATGACCTCTTTCCCCTCCAGCGCATAGGGCATTACTTCTTTTAGTTTGTTGCCTGGACTTGGGAGTTGGGCCCAGAGCTGCAGGAAGGTAAGTTTTATTTCTGAAAGTTGTTTTAACTTACAGATTTTGGGGGTTCGAGGGAGTTTGTTTTCGACTAGTAGAAGACAAGAATTAAGAATTGCAGTGGAAGATGAAATGCTATCTTCTTACTAATCCACGCCCTCTTTCAGAGCAGTAGCTTTCATTTACGGAGACTGAGGGTATGGCAGAGGCTGTGCTTTATGGATTTAATCCTCAGCAGTACTGAGGCACAAGAGTTAGGCGACTTGCTCAAAGTTAGTAAGTGCCATTTATTCAGCTGATATTTACTAAGAGCAGGAATTCACATCTAGATCAGTCTGATTCCCATACCCGTACCAGTAACTACTGCATTTTGGAAGTGCGTCGTTTCCATGAAGTTTCTTTGTATTGGAGCATCTACCTGAAAGGCAAGGGCCTGAGCATTTTCTCCTTTTCCCTTATTAACGGTAAGCTCCTTGAGAGCAAGCATTATGTCTGTCTCTTCACCACTGCATCCTGGGTTCCTGGAGCAGTGCTATGCACTTAGGAGAACCTTAGTGAATGTTTGAGTATGTGAAGGCTCATGGCGCAGATAAGTGGCAGAGCCAGAAGCCAGCCTGGAGGTGAACCACTGCGGGCCTGCTCTCTGGGGCTGTCTTCCCTGCCTAGCGAGTGGATGGTGAGGAATCACCTAGAATTTTCTCATTTCTTAATGTTTGACCTGATGAAATATTGGGAAGAATGAGCTTCCTGGCTGTGACTCTGATTTTCTGTTGTTTTTTTTGAGACAGGAGTCTCGCTTTGTCACCCAGGCTGAAGTGCAGTGGCGCAATCTCGGCTCACTGCAACCTCTATCTCCGGGGTTCAAGCGATTCCCCTGCCTCAGCCTCCTGAGTAGCTGGGACTGTAGGCGCATGCCACCATGCCCAGCTAATGTTTGTATTTTTAGTAGAGATGGGGTTTCACCATGTTGGCCAGGATGGTCTTGATCTCTTCACCTCGGCCTCCCAAAGTGCTGGAATTACAGGTGTGAGCCATTGCATCAGGCAACTTTCTGGTCTTTTTGAGGGATGGGAAGGTTTGCTGGGTATGCAAAATTGGAGTCAGTGTTCTCAGCTTGGAAGAGATGTTATAATTTATTGATAGAATTTTTTATGGATGCCTTAAATTCTCAGAAATGATTTTGAATCTTAAGTTTATCTAAAATTTATATAATCCTTCTCCATAGTGAGAAAAAAATTTCTAAATTATAGTTCGATTTACCTATTTATATATAAGCTTCTGGATAAATACTTGTTTTTTTTTCCTCCATTTGAGGTTAATTTTGGATAGGTTCCATAGTGCAAAGTTGTTAAGAGTGGCAGTATAGAATTTTTAAGTTTTCTTGGGCCAGACATGGTAGTTTATGCTTGTAATCCCAGCACTTTGAAGGGCCGAGGCGGGAGGATCGCTTGAGGCCAGGAGTTCGAGACCAACCTGAACATCACAGCGAAACCCCATCTTCTGCAGAAAAATTTAAAAATTACCCAGGCATGGTGGTGTGTGCCTGTAGTTCCAGCTACTTGGGAGGCTGAGGTGGGAAGTTGCCTGAGCCCGGGAGATCAAGGCTGCAGTGAGCCGCGATCACACAACTGCAGTACTCTAGCCTTGGCAACAGAGCAAGAGACTGTAAGGTCTCACTGCAGCCTCAATCTCCCTGGCTGAAACCATCCTCCTACCTCAGCCTCCCAAGTAGCTGGGACTACAGATATATGCCAGCACACTGGGCTAATTTTTTTTTGTTTACTTTTTAGTAGAGTCGAAGTCTTGCTATGTTGCCCAGGCTGGTCTTGAGCTCCTGAGCTCAAGCAGTCCTCCTACCTTGGCCTCCCAAAGTGCTGGGATTACAGGTATGAGCCACCGTGCCCAGCCAAGACCCTGTCTTTAAAAAAATAAGTAAAAACAAAAACAAAAAATAGAATTTTAAGTCTTCTTAAATAACTTTCTAATGGACACAATTAGTTTTCAGTAATCCAACCTTTTTTTTAGAAGTTTTGAAAACTTTTTTTTGGATACCTGGGCTTTTGCACATTGTACCACACTGTAACAAAAATAAACCGCAGGTTTCTAACTGGTGTAGACTGTTGATTTTTTTTTTTAACAAATTAGGTTTGAATAAATTATATAATTGCTTTGTGGTTTTTTTGTTTTTTTTTTTTTGATGGAGTCTCGCTCTGTTGCCCAGGCTGGAGTGCAGTGGGGTAATCTTGGCTCACTGCAACCCCTGCCTCCCAGGTTCAAGCAATTCTCCTGCCTCAGCCTCCTGAGTAGCTGGGATTACAGGCACCTGCCACCATACCTGGCTAATTTTTGTATTTTTAGTAGAGACGGGGTTTCACCATGTTGGCCAGGCTGGTCTCGAACTCTTGACCTCGTGATCCACCCGCCTTGGCCTCCCAAAGTGCTGGGATTAGAGGCGTGAACCACTGCACGTGGTGCTTTGTGTTTTTTTTTTTTTAAATCTACTTAGAAATAAATTATTTTCACCCCCTGATTTACACTTGAATTTCCACTAGCAACACAATTTGTTGTCACAAATGTTTTCATAGTACTTGGGCACATTTGATGCAGAAATTTTTAATGGTCCAAGACTATTTTAGTTGATAGATGAAACCTTCCTTTTACCTGAACAAACTTTTTCGGAAGTTTAGGAGCCAGCTTTGTTCATCCTTTGGTGATAGGTGGTGGTTTGTATGTGTTTGTAGACAAAACTTTCCTTGGCGGGGATTTGCCCCTTTTTTCGTTGTTTCTTCTTCCTTTGAAGATCTCTGTTTAACAAAGATTTTTTTTTTGGCTCACAGTGTTCCTGTAATAGAATTCCTTCAAGAGTTCTAATACTAGTTTTGTTTTGTTTTGATGGCAGCAGGTTTTGAGAGTGAGCTTTTGACTTCATAAGAAGACTAAAACAACAGTCTTAGAGTACAGTTAAGTCCATTTGTTACCAGAAAATCAGACAGACAGCTAGGTCTGTCCTCATCAGGACCAAGTAATACTGGATTTTTTTTTTTCATTAAATGTTCACTATTTTTCTTTGTATGAAATTGAGGCCAGGTATAGTGACTCACACCTGTAATCCCAGCACTTTGGGAGGTCGAGGTGGGAGGGTTGCTTGAGTCCAGGAGTTTGAGACTGGCCTGGGCAACACAGTGAGACTCCGTCTCTTAAAAGAAGAAAGAAAAAAGAAATTGAATATGTGGTGATTACTACCCGTTTCATTTACTTTTTTACTTATTAACGTAGTGACTGTTTAAAAAAAGTTACGCATTGATCTTCCTGTTCCTTCCCCACCAAAAATAAAAGCAAAAACAACAAGCCACCCCTCAAATGAAACAAAATTAAGCCTGTTCTTTATCTATATTACTACTTAGCACATTTGACCTATTTTTTTAAAACCTCTGTTATTTTGAAAGTAAATTTTGGCTCTGTTGACCTTGCGGTTAGAAAAGTTGTTCTTCTGCTTAAATGAAATGATCAGTTGTTTGTAGATTACCAAATATAAAAGCTCTTCAGAACCGCTAATGATAAGTTGCTTTGGCTTCATAGAGGAACGCCATGGTTTGTGGTGGTAAATTGTTACAGAGCAAATGTCAGTACCAGAGGCGGTCATGGATCACCACGTGGAAGCAGGTTGTTCCCACATGAGATTGGTAGCGAGCCGGTGCTGCATCTGTCTCCTTTCCCACTGCATCCTGGGTGCCTGGAGCCTCACAGGGTTGACCCGTGTTGGGGGTGGGGATGGTTGTAGAAGCCTCTTTATTTTTACTTGTGATAGATTCTGGCACTGATTAGAATGTTTATTCAGTAGTTTTTTTCCTATCCGCCTGAGTTTTCATAGCTCAGTATAGGATAACATGGGCTTCGGATTTTGTCAACCAATCAATTATATAGTAGCTCTTTTGTTTTGTTTTTAAAATTTATTTCTATTTATGTATTTATTTATTTATTTTGAGAGAGGCCCTTGCTGTGTTACCCAGGCTGGAGTGCAGTGGCATGATCATAGCTCACTGCAACCATGAACACCTGGGCCCAAGTGATCCTCCTGCCTTGGCCGTCTGAAGTGTTAGGATTACAGTGTGAGCCACCAGACCTGACCTTTGTTTTGTTTTAGTAGCTACCTCTTGACTAGAAAAATAGTTTAATCTTGGCCTCCTTAAAACCTTTTCATTGATATTTTTTACTCTGCTAGAACAGTTCAGTTTTTGCATGTCTTCAAGTGAACATGCTTTAGTATTAATTCCATGGAAGCCATTTCTGTAGAATAGGCTAGTGTCCAGTTTTGTCCAGTTTTCCTTTTGGAGCAGTGTCTCAGGCACAGAAATAGTCTGGGCTTGGTGGACCCCACCCCAAAGTGTCACTTCTTTTCCTCTGGCCTTGCTCTCCATGCCCGCCTTTCTCTTCTGATGTTTTAATGATACCCTCCCTGCTCGGTGATTTGTGTTCAGGAAGCTAGGCAGTGATTACTTTTGTTTCTGCTTTGTGAACTTCCTCCCCCACTTCCTATTTTTACCGCAGTTGCACAGGAAATGAGGCGGCTCCTGGCTGGCTGCTGCTAAGCAGTGATTTTAGGTGGCAGAGGACAAGGCCTCAGGGCCTGAGCCATTTAAGGCATTTTCCACCTTAATCTTTTCACTACCTTCTTCCTCTAGGAGTCATAGGAACATGATTTTGTGATTGGGTTGAGGTGACATCATGTCCTCAGCCTTGTGGGTGGAGACAGGGGTTGCTGTTTAGTTGGAGGACAGCACTTTTGTGAAGGAAGTGAGGGCTTTTTTCAGCAGTAACAATGTGGGTGGAATGTCGTGGCCCTGTGGCCTCTGCAGCTTGAGGGAAGGTTAAGTTGAAGGGACAGGCCCTGTTGCAGGTAAGGATAGGGAGGTGGATTCTGGTTACTCTCTAGAGGGCCTTGACTGGCAGCTTGAAGTGAGCTGAGGAGCCTAGTCTGCTCTCTCAGATCTTTGAGGGGGGCCTCAGCCTCTATGGCACCCTCCTTCCTCTGAACCCATGGCATTTGTTTTCTAAACGACTTATTTAGCATTTATCAGTCTCTTTTTTGATGATGCCTCTTCTTAGCTTATGGACCCGTTATAGCTTAATTTATGGAGAAAGTTTGTATCATCTCCCCAGAAAGAAGTAACTTGTTATACATTAGTTAACTTGAATATGGAAGGTGCTCAAAGCATTAGTTTATCGGAGATTCTTAAGAGCTGCACTGTTGACATTTTGGGGTAGATAATTCTTTGTAGGGGCTGTCTTGTGCATTATGGGATGTTCAGCAGCACTTCTGGCCTCTACCCACTGGATGCTACCCACTAGCACTTGCCCAGGGTGACAACCAAAACATCTCTAGACATTGCCAGATGTTGGTAGGGCAGAGAAGGACACAAAATTATACTTTTCCCCACTTGTTGAGAACCACTGTGTTAAAGAATTGAATTACTAATTACTAACTTATAAAATGGAATAAAGTAGAATGTTTGGTTCCCTGGGATTAAAGCCATTTGTTAGTTTCTATTTTCATATCTGACATTCTCATAATTCTTAGTTTGCTACTTAGAGTATGCTGTGCTCTATCAGCTTCAGCTAGTGTTCAGGTATACCTTCTGTGCACTTTCTTTTTTTTTTTTTTTTTTTTTTAGATGAAGTCTCACTCTGTTGCCCAGGCTAGAGTGCTGTGGCGTGATCTTGGCTCACTGCAACCTCTGTCTCCCGGGTTCAAGCGATTCTCCTGTCTCAGCCTCCCTAGTAGCTGGGACTACAGGTGTGTGCCACCACACCCAACTAACTTTTTGTATTTTTAGTAGAGACAGGGTTTCACCATGTTGGCCAGGCTGGTCTCGATCTCCTGACCTCGTCATCCACCCGCCTCGGCCTTCCAGAGTGCTGGGATTACAGGTGTGAGCCACCACGCCCGGCCCCTTCTGTGCACTTTCATTGAAAGAACTAGGAGCTGGGCGCGGTGGCTCATGTCTGTAGTACCAGCATTTTGGGAGCCGAGGCAGAAGGATTGCTTGAGCCCAGGAGTTTGAGACCAGCCTGGGCAATGTAGAGAGACCCCATCTCTACAAAAAATCAAAAAATAAAAATTAGCTGAGCTACTTAGGAGGCTGAGGTGGGAGGTTCACTTGAGGGAGGTCAAAGCTGCAGTGAGCTATGATCGTGCCACTGTGCTCTAGCCTGGGGCATGGAGCAAGTCTCAAAAACAAAAACAAAAACAAAAACAAAAAAACTAGGGCCTGAGCCTTTGGCAGGCTGGCTTCTTGTCCTCATAGAAGGCATTCTGTCAGCTTCTGTGCCTTGATATTGCTTGCTCTGGAAGTCAATTTCCTTGGAAGCTGAGTAGTGCAAGGGTAAGGAGGAAATGAGAAACATTTAGGATATAATAATAATAGGTAACATTTATGGAGCAGTTGCTGTAGAAGAGGCACTGTGGTGAACAGGATTGACAGGATTGAAAGGACAGGCTAGACAACAGGACGGGGACCATCTGGAATAACACCTTAAGTTTGGGTTAAAAGTTGGTTGTGCCTTTGACCAAGCAAGGCAGTAAATATAGCAGGAGGAGTGGGAAATAGAAAGGTGACAGGGTAAAACTTTTTTTGAAACATAGTCTTGCTCTGTTGCCCAGGCTGGAGTGCAGTGATGCAATCTTGGCTCACTGCAACATCTGCCTCCTGGGTTCAAGTGATTCCCAGATAGCTGGGATCACAGGCGCCCACCACCATGCCCGGCTAATTTTTGTATTTTTAGTAGAGACAGGGTTTTGCCATGTTGGTCAGGCTGGTCTCAAACTCCTGACCTCAGGTAATCCACCCACCTTGGCCTCCCAAAGTGCTGGGATTACAGGCGTGAGCTACCGTGCCCTGGCCATGAAAGGGTAAAACTTGAAGACCCTGCAGAGATGTCTCCTGGGTCTGGTCCTTGGAGAGGGAGGTCTTGACTGGAGAGTTGAATTTGGGAATCATCAGCAGTGATACGGAGTATGATCTCCTAGAGAGAGGTCACTTTTCATTGCTCCAGCTCAGCTTCTCATCAGTTCCAAGAAGCTGGAAGCCTTAACCATCTTCTAGGAGTGGTAAGCAGAGTGCCATGGTCTGGATATTTGACAGAGGTGGGATGGTGCAAGAATGGAGAGCTCAACCTGTGGCAGCAGATTGCCATGTCCCAGACCTAGCTGTGTGGTGACCACTACCTTAGCCATGTGGTGAGAACATGAAGAACTCACTTCATCTTATTAGATGCCTCACCTACCTTATGGGGTCATTGTGATAACCTTGTAATTTGATAACACGGCCAGGTGTGATGGCTTACGCCTGTAATCCCAGCACTTTGGGAGGCCAAGGAGGTTGGATCACTTGAGGTCAGGAGTTCGAGACCAGTCTGGCTAACATGGTGAAAACTGTCTCGACTAAAAACACAAAAATTAGCCAGGTGTGTGACGCACACCTGTACTCCCAGCTACTTGGGAGGCTGAGGCTGGTCAATCACTTGAACCCAGGAGATGGAGATTGCAGTGAGCCGAGATTGTGCCACTGTACTCCAGCCTGGGCTTAACAGAGCAAGATCCTGTCTTGAAAATAAATAAATAAATATGATAACATGTGAAGTGCATAGCACAGTGCCTGGCTCTTACCCACAGTTAATGTCAGCTGTTTCAAGATATTTGATATCTAAAGCTCCAAGTATAATGCTTGGCACGTCATAGACACTTAGTGACTGGTCCATTTCTTTGGGGAGTACTTATGTGGACGTGGCATGTCTTCACTAGCTTATTTATTTATTTTAAGCAGAACCTTATTTCTAGCATCTAACTACTGCCTCCGTGGTTGGCAAGGGTGACTTCATGAATGTTGTAAAGGAATACCATTAAATAAGTACTGAGGACAAACTAATAATTCAACAAATATTTGTTAAATGTTTACATCATGCTTAGCACCCTTGGATGTTTTGAATGAGCTCAGGGGTCCTGGGGGTTGGAGGTGACAGGGAAACACAGAGCAAACCGGCAGTTGTGATCTAGCATGTTATGCTTCAGTAGAGTTAATGTTAAGGTGGGGCTAAAAACAGGGTGTTACGGCAGCAGAGGAACCCCTCGCTCAGTCTGTCAAAGTGGTTTCTCAGAAGAAGTGATGCCTAAGTTAGACATCCAAGAGGAATGAGAGTGAGCCAAGAGAGCTTTCCAGACAGTAGAAATGAAATGTGTGGCCAGGTGGCGAGAAGGAAGATGGCACATGTAGGAAGTGGGTGGTGTTGGGGCGGTGTAAGAAAATTGGGAAGGGTAATGGAGAGCCATAGTGGATTTTAAGCGCAGAGTGGTGTGATCACATTGATTCTAGAGTAGTCACACAGCATCCAGAGGGGAGTAGCCCAGGCATTTGGAAGATCACTCAGGAGGCGCCTCCATAATTCAGGCAGGAGGTAAAAACAGTAGCTTTGGTACGGCAGTGAAGATAGAAGGAAAAGGACTTGAGAGATACTAAGAAGGCAGGAAGGGGCCGGGCATGGTGGCTCATACCTGTAATCCCAGCATTTTGGGAGGCCGCGGCGGGTGGATCACCTGAGGTTGGGAGTTCGAGATCAGCCTGACCAATATGGAGAAACCCCGTCTGTACTAAAAATACAAAATTAGCCGGGTGTTGTGGTGTATGCCTGTAATCCCAGCTACTCAGGAGGCTGAGGCAGGAGAATCGCTTGAACCCAGGAGGCGGAGGTTGCAGTGAGCTTAGATCGCACCATTGCACTCCAGTCTGGGCAACTAGAGCGAAACTCCGTCTCAAGAAGGCAGGAAGGATAAGACTGTGATTAATTGGATGTGAAGGAGAGTGAAGAGTAGAGGATAACTCCCAGGTTTCTGCCTTGTTCAAGTAGGCAGATGGTGATGTCATTTGCCAAGACTGGGAAGGCATATTGAAAGACTTGGAAGATTTGGTTTTGGACTTTTGATTTTGGGACCTGTCCACTAGGCAGTTGAATATTTGGGTTCTGGAGCACAGGACAAAGATCTGGGCTAGAGGGATGGATTTGGGAATCTTCCCAGAAGGAATATGTTGCTCTTAGAAACAGAGAGGGCATAGCACTTAAGGTCTATCAGAGGAGGAGTAGCTCAAAGGGGCAACTAAGAATGGCCAGAGAGGTATGAGGAGAGCCAGCACTAAGCGTCTTTTCGTGTTAGCAGCTTACAGAGTTGCTTCACTTTGTAATGTGGTAACAGATAGAGGGAGCTAAAAAAGTAGAGTTCTAAGGAACGTCCGAGCAAAGCACTGAATTTTCCAGGCATTTTCTCTTGCCTGGATAGATATTTTAAATTTATGAATGTTGAGAATAAAATTCTTCAAAGCATTTTTCTAGAGTGCATTTCTAAATACGGTTTGAGTCAGTCTGAACTGACTAAAAACATGGAAATGGTTGGGCTTTGAACTTCATAGACAATAACTTCACTAATCTGCCTAAAGAATTTCCTGTAGTGTCTCCACATTATCAAGGGTAGATATTTGGATTTGCATTTTTGTGGATTGGAGAGGACAGAACATTTTCTGTGTTTTTTTTTTTTTCCTCAGAAGAGGGAATTGTTTAGGAATGATTCATCTTTATATTTTTTGTAACAGCTTTATTGAAATATAATTCACATACCATACAGTTTATCCATTTAAAGTATATAAATTGGTGGTTTTTAGTATGTTCATAGTTATGCAACCATCATCAATTTTAGAATATTTTCATCACTCTGCAAATAAACCATATACCCATTAGCAGTCATCCCTTATTTCCCCCATTCCACACCCCCACCCCCAGCCTTAGGCAACCATTAATTGACTTTTTGTTTCAATGGATTTACGTAATTGGTACAGTTCATATTAAGGGAACTTTGGGTCTGGTTTCTTTCACTTAGCATAATGTTTTCAAGGTTCATCCATGTATCAGTACTTTATTCCTTTTCATGGCTGAATAATATTCCATTGTACAGTTATACTACATTTTGTTTGTCCATTTGTCAATTGATAGACATTTGAGTTGTTTCCAGTTTTTGGTATTATGATAATACTGCTCCAAACGTTCATCTGCATGTTGGTTTGTAGACATGTTTTTCATTTCTCTTGGATATATATACCTAGGAGTAAAATTTCTTGGTTGTGTGGTAATTTTATGTTTAACCATTTGAGGAACTGCCACTGTGTTTTCCAACATGTCTGTACCATTTTGTATTACCCTGAGCAGTATATGAGGATTCCAAATTCTCTAACATTTTGTCAACACTTGTTATTGTCTGTTTGATTATAGTAATCCTAGTGGTTGCGAAGAGGTATCTCATTGTGATTTTGATTTGCATTTCCCTGATAGTTAGTGATGTTGACTGTCTTTTCATATGCTTATTGGCATATCATCTTTGGAGGGTTCATCTATATTTGTGTTTTGTTTGTTTTTTTTTCTTTAGAGATGGAGTCTTGCTCTGTCTTCCAGACTGGTGTGCAGTGGTGCCATCTTGGCTCACTGCAGCCTATGTTTCCTAGGTTCAAGCAGTTCTCCTGCCTCAGCTTCCTGAGTAGCTGGGATTACAGGTGTGCGCCACCACGCCCAGCTAATTTTTTATTTTTGGTAGAGATGGGGTTTCGCCATGTTGACCAGGCTGGTCTCATGCTCCTGACCTCAGGTGATCTGCCTGCCTCGGCCTCCCAAAGTGCTGGGATTACAGGGGTGAGCACCTGTGCCCAGCCCATCCATATTTGATCATCAGTTTTGGCAAGGTAAATTAAGTTGCAAAACCTGAAACTTTAAAGGAACAAACATAACACATTTGATTGTAGAAATGAGGGAAAAAGAGTGTGTGTGGGTATGTGTGTTTATGTACATATGTGTATATGTACAGTGGAAGATGCCATAAACAGATTTGTAAAAGTTAAAGGACAGGCTCCCCAGAGAAATAGCCAGTGTGCTCCATCCACATCAAGCCTGAGTGTGAGAGAGTTCTGGATAATCCTGTTACCTGGCTGTGACTTTGGAAGTGGAGACCATGATCTCTGCCTTCTCCCTCATATCATCTGTCTTAAGGTCACAGATACCGCAGCCACTGCCAGGTTTCCACAAGCCAGTCACCTTTCAGGTGGAGAAGTAGCTTGCTATAGCAGCCAGTTTCTCGAGTTTGCGCGACAGTGCCACTGGAACAATGGCTCATTCATGTCAGATTTCCAGAGAGTTGGGCAGCACACTTGTGAGAATCCAGCTGTGAACAAGCCATTGCTGTCTTTAGGAGCTTATGTGCCAGGTGGTAAAGTGTACATATGCAAATAAAATGGTAAGATGATTGCAAGTTGTCATGAAGATAAGACAGCATTGTAGGGGTGAGGTGACCCTAGATTAGACAGGTTGGCTGCAGAAGGCTTCTCTGAGGGTGTAACACTTGTTTTGAGAGCTAAAGGATGAACGGGAGGAGCATCATGAGTAGGAGGGAGGCAGGAGCTTTCTGGATAGAGGCAGCAGCGTGTGTAAAGAGCTTGGGGCACTAGAAGAACTGGAAGATAAATGGTGTGACTGCAGAATGATGAGTGAGACTCAGGAGGCACGACATGAGGCTGGAGAGGTGGGCAGGGCTGTGCAGGTCTCAGTAAGGAGTTTGATTTTATTCAAAGTGCCAGGGACCATTGGATATAAATTCTTCATAAACTGCATGCAGAAGAGAGATTAAAAGGTTGGCAGAAAGGAATAAAAATGAAACTGGAGGACCAAGCTGGTAAAAATTGCCCCCAAGGGTCTATCAGAATCCTAACTCACTTAGACCAATAAGATCAGTGGTTACTTATGAACAATACGTTTGAAAAGACCTATGAAAAAACACGTGAAATTTGGAGTTTCTCTGTCTCTCATGTTTCCTGTAAGTAATTCGCTAGATATAGAGACTCGATTAGATTTTGATTCAGTATTTTAGGCAAAAATATTTTTTGGGTGGTACTGTGTACTTCCTATTTTGTCACAATGATAGGCATATAATTATATGTTTAGTTCCCCACTTTAATGATGCTAAAATTAATTAGTGAGTTCAGGTGTTATGCCTGATTCCTTCATCATAAACTTCTCCATCAAGTTTCACCAAATCATTTTAACAGTGATTAATAATCATTGGCTAGATACACTATTTCATTAGAGTTGCAAAATAATAGTTTTCCTAGCATTTCTTCTTTATTTATTGGCTAATTTTCTTTGATTAAGCACTTTCCTAAATGGAGTATTCAAAAAAAAACTATATAAACAGGAAAAGCAGGATAAATGCTTGATTTCACCCCCCCCCCCCACCCCCAGCAGTTTTCAGAACAATAGCTTGGTGCCTTAACACCTCCACAGAGAGATGACCAATGGAATTTTTCTTAATATCATTATTGACTCACTTTTTTTATTGTGGTAGAATATGCATAACACAAAATTTACAGTTTTAACCATTTTTATTATACATTTCAGTGGCATAAGTACATTAACAATGTTGTGCAGCCATCACCACCATCCATCTCCAGAACTTTTTCAACATCCCAAACTGAAAGTCTTGGCCAGGCATGGTGGCTCATGCCTGTAAACCCAGCACTTTGGGAGGCTGAAGCGGGTGGATCACCTGAGGTCAGAAGTTTGAGACCAGCCTGGCCAACATGGTGAAACCCTGTCTCTGCTAAAAATACAAAAATTAGCCAGATGTGGTGGCATAAGCCTGCAGTCCCAGCTACTTGGGAGGCTGAGGCACGAGAATTGCTTGAACCCAGGAGGCAGAGGTTACAGTAAACCGAAATTGTGCCACTAGTACTCCAGCCTGGGTGACAGAGCAAGACTCCATCTCAAAAAAAAAAAAAAAAAAAAAAAGTCTTGCCTATTAAACAGTAACTCCCCATTTTCCCCTTCTCTCAGCTCCTGGGCACAACCTCTCTTCTACTTTTTGTCCCTAAAAATTTGACTATTTTAGGCACCCCATATATATGGAATCACACAGTATTTGTCCTTTAGTGTCTGGCATCTTAGCAGAGTATCTCCAAGGTTCATCCATGTTGGAGCATGTTATTAGAATTTCCTTCATTAATTTTTTTTTTTTATTGACAGGGTCTCTGTCACCCAGGCTGGAGTGCAGTGGTGCAGTCAAGCTTACTGCAGCCTCAGATGCCTGGGTTCAAGTGATCCTCATGCCTCAGCCTCCCAAGTAGCTGGAACTACAAGTGTGCACCATAATGCCAAGCTAATTTTTAAATTTTTTGTAGAGACAGGGTCTCGCCATGTTGCCCAGGCTAGTCTCAAACTGGCCTCAAGCGATCTTCCTACCTCAGCCTCCCAAAGTGCTAGGATTACAGGCATGAGCCACTGCTTCCAGCCTTTCTTCCTTTTTAATACTAAATAATAGTCCATTGTATGGATATACCACATTTGTTTATCTATTCATCTTCCATGGACATTTGAATTGTTTCCACCTTTTGACTATTATGAATAATGCTTCGGTGAACATGGGTGAAGAAATACCTGCTCACGTCCTTGCTTTCAGTTCTTTTGGGTAGATGCACAGAAGTGGATTTCCTGAATCACATGGTAATTCTATGTTTAATTTTTTAAGGAAGCACCATACTGTTTTCCACAGTGGCTGCACTATTTTATATTCCCACTAGCAATACACAAGGCTTCCAATTTCTCCATGTCCTTGCCAGCACTTTTTGTTTTGTTTTGTTTTTGAGACAGTGTCTCGCTCTCCGTCCCAGGCTGGAGTTCAGTGGCCCATTGCGATCTCGGCTCACTGCAACCTGTGCTTCCCGGGCTCAGGTGATCCTCCCACCTCAGCCTCCCAAGTAGCTGGGACCACGCCTGGCTATTTTTTTTTTTATTTTTAGTAGAGACGAGGTTTCTCCATGTTGCCCAGGCTGGCAGTGGCCAGCACTTATTTTCTGTGTTTTGTTTATTTTAATATTAGCCATCCTAATAGGGTATGAAGTGGTATCTCACTGTGGTTTTGATTTGCATTTTCCAAGTTATATTATTCCCTAGTTGTACTGTCTGTTCTTGCCTTACTGTAAAGAAATACTTGAGACTGGGTAATTTATAAACAAAAGTGGTTTAATTGGCCGGGCGCGGTGGCTCACGCCTGTAATCCCAGCACTTTGGGAGGCCGAGGCGGGCGGATCACGAGGTCAGGAGATTGAGACCATCCCGGCTAAAACGGTGAAACCCCGTCTCTACTAAAAATACAAAAAATTAGCCGGGCGTAGTGGCGGGCGCCTGTAGTCCCAGCTACTTGGGAGGCTGAGGCAGGAGAATGGCGTGAACCCGGGAGGCGGAGCTTGCAGTGAGCCGAGATCCCGCCACTGCACTCCAGCCTGGGCGACAGAGCGAGACTCCGTCTCAAAAAAAAAAAAAAAAAAAAAAAGTGGTTTAATTGGCTGTACAGGAAGTATGGCAGCATCTGCTCCTGGGGAGGCCTTAGGGAGCTTTTATTGGTGGCAGAAGGCAAAGCGGAGCAGGCATCTTAAATGGCAGGAGCCAGGACCGAGAGAGAGAAGGGAGGTGCTGCCCACTTTTAAACAACCAGGTCTCATGAGAACCCACTCACTATTGAGTACAAAGGGGAAAATCCACCACATGATCCAGTCACCTCCTCCCAGGCTCCACCTCCAACATTGGGAATTACTATTCAACATGAGATTTGTGTGGGGACACAGATTTAAGCTATATCACTAGTGATTAGTGATGTTGAGCATCTTTTCATGTGCTTATTAGCTGTTCGCATATTTCTTGGGGCAAAAGTCTATTCAAGTCCTTTGCCCATTTAAAAATTGGATTTTTGTGTTTGAGTTGTAGGAGTTCTTTATATATTCTGGATATTAATTCCTTTTCCCATATGTGATTTATAAATATTTTCATCTATGGATTGCTTTTTGCTTGTAATGTCCTTTGATGCCTAAAAGTTTTGATTTTGAAGTCCAGTTTATCTGTTTTTTGTTGCCTGTGCTTTTCGTGTCCTATCCAAGAAATTATTGCTAAGTCTGAACTCAGTAATTTTTATATATTTAATGATTTTCACCCCTAAATGGTTATTCTTTTTGATGCTTAAGTTGTCCCATTATTGATCGTTAATGGCACTTATTTTTCGGGTTTTCTAGGTGCTTTTGACATGAGCCTAGTAGTGTTATATGAGTTCCCTGCTTTCTGGCTTTACAAGAAGTCCGGGGCTTATCGGAAAAATTTCTGATCCCAGATCCAGAATCAGCCATTTCTTTAACTAGTTCTGATTCTTTTTGGTGGGAAATGGTATTAAGGGCATTCATTACAATTAAGATGTAAATTCCAGTAGGTTTTTTTTTTTTTTTAGTAGAACTAGGAAATACATACTTTTTGGAAAGAAAAAGATACACCATGATTTCAGACTGATTTACTTCCAATTCAAATGAAGGATTAAAGGATTTTTATATCTTTGATTTTATATTTGTCTTTTCTCATTTGTTGACAGTAACACCAGAGGGGTCCAGTCAAAACACGATTTTATTGATTGACCGATTGATGGAGACCACCTCACTCTGTCGCCCAGGCTGGAGTATAGTGGCGCCATGTTGGCTCACTGCAGCCTCCACCACCTGGGCTCAAGTGATCCTTCCACCTCAGCCTCATCAGTAGCTGGGACTACAGGGATGCACTACCATGTCTGGATAATTTTGTTTGTTTGTTTGTTTTGAGATGGAGTCTCACTCTGTCACCCAGGCTGGAGTGCAGTGGTGTGATCTCAGCTCACTGCAACCTCTGCCTCCCGGGTTCAAGTGATTTTCCTGCCTCAGCCTCCCTGGTAGCTGGGACTACAGACGCCTGCCACTATGCCTGGCTAATTTTTGTATTTTTAGTAGAGACGTGGTTTCACCATATTGGCCAGGCTGGTCTCAAACCCCTGACCTTGTGATCTGCCTGCCTCTGCCTCCCAAAGTGCTAGGATTACAGTCATGAGCCACTGCACCTGGCCAATTTTGTTTGTGTGTTATAGAGATGGGGTCTCACTGTGTTGCCCAGGCTGGTCTTGAACTCTAAAGCATTCCTCCTGCTTTGGCCTCCCAAAGTGATGGGATTACAGATGTGAAGCACTACACCTGGCCGAAACACAATTTTAAACTTGAAATAATTCTTCTCTGTGTGGCTGTGCCACTAATTTGGTAAATAATATAGATTCATTTGTCTTTTGTTTCATTTTTAGGGATATTTTTCTTTTTTATATTTGCTTTTTGCTTATATATTTACGTAGTTCTAAAGATAAAACCATAAGTAAGATAGATTGAAAGAAGTCTGGCTTTCCTCCTTGTCTTTGTTCTTCTCTATACGTTGTAGGTAAACATCTTTGTTGGTTTTTGGTTTATTCTCCCATGGCTTATTTTAAAAGCTACAAGCGTGTGTGTCTGTGTGTTTCTGTATTCCCTATACCTTACTTCATTCCCATTTTATTTCTTCTCGTTTTTATCTTGGCAATCATATTTCTTATTTCCAAGAATTCATTGTTGATTTCTACTTCCTTTATGATTTGTTTGCTTTTGGTTTTTTTTTCTCCCCCCGAGATGGAGTCTTGCTCTGTTGCCTAGAGCTGGAATGCAATAGTGCGATCTCGGCTCACTGCAACCTCCGCCTCCTGGGTTCAAGCAATTCTCCTGCCTTGGCCTCCTGAGTAGCTGGGATTACAGGCGCACGCCACCACACCAGGCTAATTTTTGTATTTTTAGTAGAGACGGGGTTTCACCATGCTGGCCAGGCTGGTCTTGAACTCCTGACCTTGTGATCTGCCTGCCTTGGCCTCCCAAAGTGCTCGGATTACAGGCGTGAGCCACCGTGCCCAGCCCTGCTTTTAAGGATGCACTATCTTTCCAACACTGTCTGAGGAATACCAGTCAGAATTTCTTTTCAGGTGTTTTTTCTGGGACCTAAAATATGTATTTCTTCTGAGGTCTGATCACCTTTTCATCTTAGTTGTCCTTTTTTGTCCTTTTGGTTTTCCTTCACTGTCTGGTGATCCTTATCAATGAAGAACTGGGTTGTTCATATAGGTAATTTGCAGGAGGTCCCTCTGTTTTTCAATAGTCCTCTTGCCTTAGTGAGAGTTGGCTGATTGAGGAATGGGAAGTACAGATGAAATCAGGTTGATTAACTGGTTTCCCACTCCTGATTTCTCTACCTGCTGATTCAAAGCTGGGCATTTATCCAGCTCCTCCAGGAAAAAGGGCTCTGCCTCTCTGTTCTCTTTTGGCCCTGCATGTTGTAAAAAGTGGCCAGCTTTGCTCTGGTCTGTCTTGTAATATAGTTTCCTCTGCTTTCTCTCCATCCTCTAGAAGATGGCCTGCAGTTAAATAGACTGTGGCCCTCAGACCTTCTCATTACTGTTTTGCTGAGATTCCCTTGTGAATGTCTTTATTGTTATGTCACTGGGATTTGGGGAGGATGGAGAGGTAAGTGCACTTGCCTGTTTAGCCTGTCGTTTTGAAATGAAACTCCTTTTGTCATCCCATTTCTGACAGTAGGACTGCTTGCCACTCTCTTTTCTCTGTTGGTTTAAGGACTGAAGTGGATCTAAAATTATTCTCTGTATTCACAAATCATAGCTATCAATCTTTAGTCAGATGGGAAAACTTAATTAATTAATTCAGGGACTAAATTTCTCTTTATAGCTGCATAGTCCATGTAAGTAGAAGTTAGTTATCAATGAAGTGTGTGATGCTTCCTGCCCTGCGATTGGTAGATTTCTATTTGGTTCAAGGATTGGGTAACTTTTCAAGACCTTTCCTGTTTGTCAGTGACTTTTTTCCAGAGAAGCAGAAATAACAAGGCCTGCTTCCTTTGCTTGCTTTGTGGGAATGATAATATCATCATCATCAAACATTTAGTGCTTAATATGTGCCAGACATCATTCTAAGTGCTTTATATGTATAAACCCATTTAACTCAATAACAGTGGTTACTATTATCCTTATTTTATAGATGATGAGACAGGCAGAGAGAGGTTAAGGAACTTGCTCAAGGTCAAGCTGATCCTGACAGCCAAGATCTCACCCTATTAGTCAGACGCCCAGGGCCATTCTCTTCTTCACTTCAATCGTCTTATCTTTCTAAAGGGAAGTGCTTCAAGAGATTTTCTTAGGATGGCTGACCACTTTTCATGTCTTGTCAACCATAGGTATAAGAAAATCCTCTAATACTGAGTCTTCATCTAGTTTCTTTCTTTCTTTCTTTTTTTTTTTTTTTTTTTGAGACGGAGTCTCACTCTGTCACCCAGGCTGGAGTGCAGTGGCATGATCTCGGCTCACTGCAAGCTCCGCCTCCCAGGTTCATGCCATTCTCCTGCCTCAGCCTCCCAAGTAGCTGGGACTACAGGCGCCCGCCACCATACCTGGCTAACTTTTTGTATTTTAGTAGAGACGGGGTTTCACCGTGTTAGCCAGGATGGTCTGGATCTCCTGACCTCGTGATCCGCCCGCCTCAGCCTCCCAAAGTGCTGGAAGTGCTGGGATTACAGGCCCGGCTTTCTTTTTTTTTTTTTTTTTTTTTTTGAGACAGTCTCACTCAGTCACCCAGGCTAGAGTGCGGTGGTGCAATCTCGGCTTACTGCAACCTCCACCTCCCAAGCGATTCTCCTGCCTCAGCCTCCCAAGTAGCTGAAATTACCGGCATGTGCTACCACGCTCGGCTAATTTTTGTATTTTTAGTAGAGACAGGGTTTCACTGTGTTGGCCAGACTGGTCTCAAACTCCTGGCCTCAAGTGATCTGCCCGTCTCAGCCTCCCAAAGTACTGGGATTACAGGCATGAGCCACCATGTCTGGCCTTCGTGTAGTTTCAAGCATGTCCTTTATTGCCTGAAATAGAAATCGCTGATGACTCTAATTGTAGAAATGAATATTTTAAATGATATAATTATGGCTGAATTCAGTTTTAATCTGTGGAGAACTTTTGCAAATTATGTTGAAAAGATGTTACTTAAAATGTTCTTTTCTGCTATGTATTTGATTTTTTAAGTAGCATTAAAACTTAAGAGTACATGACAAATCTCACAAGTCTTGGCTACACTAACTTCTGAGGTCTTTCACAATGCGTATTTATTTCCATGCAGCATGAATAGTGGATTCATAAATGGTGAATGTTTTCCCAGTGAAAATTCTTTTTAAGAAAATACGGAAAAGAAATGTCCTTAAATGGTTTGAACATATTTTAGCCTGACAGGCAGATAAATATGAGGGTGGAGAAGCATGTGAAAAACATTTAGACAGCATTAAGAAGAATTTTATTAAAATAATGATAATAATAATAATTAGCTGGGCACGGTGGCATATGCCTGTAGTCCCAGCTACTGGGGAGGCTGCAGTAGGAGGATCATCTGAGCCCAGGAGGCAGAGGTTACAGTGAGCCGAGATCACGCCACTGCACTCCAGCCTGGGTGACAGAGCCAGACCCAGTCTCAATAAATAAATAAAAACAGAAATAAAATAATAAAATCCAGGTGTTCGTGTGTGTGTGTGTGTCTGTGTGTGCATTTTCAACATTTTGTTTCAGAAATGTTCAATCATATACAACATTGGAGCAAGTGATATGATGCACCTCATGTACCCATCACCTAACTTCCAACAGTATTTTGTCAGGGGATATTATGATCACTGCCATGAAGACAAATGCTTAGGTAGGTATTACCACCTTCTCTGTACATTGTTTCTTGGCAAAATGTCATTTGAAAATGATAGAACTCGGGCAGGCATGATGGCTCATGGCTGTAATCCCAACACTTTGGGAGGCTGAGGCAGGCGGATCACTTTGAGGTCAGGAGTTTGAGACCAGCCTGGCCAACGTGGTGACACCCTGTCTCTACTAAGAATACAAAAATTAATCAGGCGTGGTATCGGGCACCTGTAATGCCAGCTACTCAGGAGGCTGAGGCATGAGAATTGCCTGAACCCAGGAGGTAGAGGTTGCAGTGAGCCGAGATCGCACCACTGCACTCCAGCCTGGGCAACAGAGTGAGACTTCATCTCAAAAAAAGAAAAAAGAAAATGATAGATCTTGAATGTATTTCAGTTCCATGACCTTTTTTTTTTGTTTGTTTCATCGTGTTAGCTAGGATGGTCTCGATCTCTTGACCTCGTGATCCAGCTGCCTCGGCCTCCCAAAGTGCTGGGATTATAGGCGTGAGCCACTGTGACCAGCCAGTTCCATGACATTTTAAAAAAATTCAACACTATCTAGTTTTGATTACAACAAAGATCTGCACAGGAACACCAGATCTGTTAAGAATTAGCGAAAACTAGTTTACATGTTTTGAATGTTTTTTCTCTCTGCTTGGGTAGGAACCCCAGGCGTGACTGTGATACTTGAGCAGTCTTGTTAGAAGCAATTATGTTACAAACAGAACTTTTCATTGATCTGTGTAACCAGCCCCTTGGTTCTCAGAAAAAGAGTTGTGGCCAGGCACAGTGGCACACGCCTGTAATCCCAGCACTCTGGAAAGCCGAGACAGGTGGATTGCTTGAGCTTAACAGCCAGAGACTGGTGAAACCCTGTTTCAAAACAAACAAACAAACAAAACAAAACAAAAAAACTTATTTATCACTTTGGAAGGGAGGTGCCTTTCTGTATTATTATTATTTTTTGAGACGGAGTCTCGCTCTGTTGCCCAGGCTGGAGTGCAGTGGCATGATTTCGGCTCACTGCAAGCTCTGCCTCCCGGGTTCATGCCATTCTCCTGCCTCAGTCTCCCGAGTAGCTGGGACTACAGGTGCATCCCACCACACCTGGCTAATTTTTTGTATTTTTAGTAGAGACAGGGTTTCACCGTGTTAGCCAGGATGGTCTCGATCTCCTGACCTCTTGATCTGTCCACTTTGGCCTCCCAAAGTGCTGGGATTACAGGTGTGAGCCACCGTGCCCAGCCAACCTTTCTGTATTCTTTTTTTTTTTTTTTGAGACGGAGTCTGGCTCTGTCGCCCAGGCTGGAGTGCAGTGGCACCGGGATCACGCCATTCTCCTGCCTCAGCCTTCCCAGTAGCTGGGACTACAGGCGCCCGCTACCACGCCGGGCTAATGTTCTGTATTTTTAGTAGGGATGGGGTTTCATCGTGTTAGCCAGGATGGTCTCGATCTCCTGACCTCGTGATCCGCCCGCCTCGGCCTCCCAAAGTGCTGGGATTACAGGCGTGAGCCACCATGTCCGGCCTTTGTGTATTCTTGAATACACAGGAATATTGGTGAGAATCCCTGAGTTGCACTACAGTCGGCATCATCAGGCGTCCTCATTCTTGTGGCTGTCAGCAGATTTTCAGTGGACCCCCAGTTTGGCTCTCAAATTATAGCATACATCAGAATCATCTGGGGAACTTGTTAAAAAAGTGTATTCTCCAAAAAATTAGTCGGGCATGGTGGCGGGCGCCTGTAGTCCCAGCTACTCAGGAGGCTGAGGCAGGAGAATGGCGTGAACCCAGGGGGCGGAGCTTGCAGTGAGCCGAGATTGCGCCACTGCACTCCAGCCTGGGAGACAGAGCAAGACTGTCTCAAAAAAAAAAAAAAAAAAAGTGTATTCTCTGCTTCTCTCCCAAAGATTGATTCGTTAGATTTGGATTGCATCCCAGTAATCAGTATTTAAATAGTCATTCCAGGAAGGGTGCTATCCTGATTCTAGTATCAGAGAAGGAAGTCCTTAAAAGCCATTGTTGGTTTTCACTGGCTGCTACTAGGTTTTTTTGTTGTTGTTTGTTTAGAGACAAGATCTCACTATTTTGCCCAGACTGGACTCGAAGTCCTGGACTCAAGTGACCCTCCTGCTTTGGCCTCCCAAAGTGCTGGGACTGCAGATGGGCACCACTGTGTCCAGCCCTCATCCTAGTTTTACTAAGGTTGGTAGGTGGTGAAAAAAATTGCTAAAAATGTTTTCATCCTTTAACATGCTCAGTGAGTGTTATGACAACCCCACATAGACTTTTACTGCCTACAGACAGATTTACTGTCACAGAGGTTGTCTTAGTTCAGGCTGCTTTGACAAAGTACTATAGACTGGGTAGCTTATAAACAACAGAAGCTTATTTCTCACAGTTCCAAAGTCTGGAGGTTTAAGATCAGGGTGCCAGCACTGTCAGGTTCTCATGAGAACCCTCTTTCGGGATGCAGACTGCTGACTTACCATGTTCTCATATGGCAGAAAGAGAGTGAACTGGCCTCTTTTTATAAGGGCACTAATCTCATTTATGATGGCTGCACCCTCATGACCTAAATACCTTCCAAAGGCCCTACCTCCAGATACCATCACAATGGGAATTAGATTTCAACATATGCATTTTTGGGGAAACATTCAGTCCGTAACACAGGTGCACCCTTAGTTGTGGGCAATTCAGTTCTGATGCTGTGGTCTGATGACCACACCCTGACAACATAGGTGCATAGTGGGTAGTATGATTGCAAAGGATCTCGTGTTTTTCTCTGTGGTTCCACTAAATTCTTTAGTCCAAGCCTTAGGCCTCCCCTGCTTGGTCACCTGTTGGACCAACACTAGGTACAGGAAGTGCAGGAAGCTCAGTTTACAAAAAGTCATCTGGTGCTTCCAGCTGTATGTAGCTTCCTCTGAAAGAAAAGGAAGCGTGGGGAGTGTAGAAAGCAGTTAGTTCTTCACCTGAGGCTGCAGTTCCAAAACTGAATGGAAACTGTGGTGTTTGGGAAGTGTGTTTGACTAAAGTTTCCTTTCCTCAATTTCTCAAAGGAAACTGTGACTCTTCCCCCACCATCTTCCACCCCTTCAGTTTCCATACATACAAGAAAGAATGATGTCCTGGAGCAACCTCTGGAGAACAACTGTGGGGCCTCCCCATTACAAAACAGCCTCCCCTGTGTGCAATCAGAATTGCTTTCGTCTGGGCAGAACCATACAACACACAGCTGGGCTGTGTGGAGAGCTGTGGCCGACTGTAGGGCTTGCCCGCTAGTCTGTATTTTCCCCTACATTTCTCTACCTCTCATATAGTGGAATTGGTACCACGCAACCACCTCTGGCCTTTGATGGTGGCCTTTGACATGCAACCACCTCAAAGCCAAAGGGCTTTGAAGGGAGGTGATGTGTGTCACTTTCAGTGGGAAGTATTAAAGAGTGGGTATGAGTTTTGACTTTCTTTTTCTGTGCTAGGGCAACCATGGGAGACATAAGTTCTAGTAGTGTCCCTGTAAGCTGAAGAAGGGCTGCTAGACCCACAGTGAATTTTTGTGAACAAGAAGTAATCTGGGCTGGGCGCCTTGGCTCATGCCTGTAATCCCAGCACTTTGGGAGGCCGAGGCAGTCGGATCAGTTGAGGCCAGGAGTTCGAGACCAGCCTAGCCAACATGGTGAAACCCTGTTTCTACCAAAAATACAAAAATTGGCTGGGCATGGTGGTGTGTGCCTGTGATCTCCCAGCTACTCAGGAGGCTGAGGTAGGAGAATTGCTTGAACCCAGGAGGTGAAGGTTGCAGTGAGCCAAGATTGCACCACTGCACTCCAGCCTGGGCAACAGAGCAAGACTCCGTCTCAAAAACAAAAAGTAAATCTGGTTGGGCATGGCGGCTCACGCCTATAATCCCAGCACTTTGGGAGGCTGAGGCAGGAATCAGTTGAGGTCAGGAGTTTGAGACCAGCCTGCGCAACATGGTGAAACCCTATCTCTACCAAAAATACAAAAATTAGCTGGGCTTGGTGATGCATGCCTGTAGTTCCAGCTACTGTGGAGGCTGAGGCAAGAGAATCACTTGAGCTCAGGAGCTCAAGACCAGGTAGGTTGCAGTGAGCCAGGATCTCACCTCTGCACTCCAGCCTGAGTGACAGAGCAAGATTCCATCTCCAAGGCCAGGCATGGTGGCTCATGCCTGTAATCCCAGCACTTTGGGAGGCCGAGGTGGGCGGATCACAAGGTCAGAAGATCGAGACCATCTGGCCAACATGGTGAAATCCCGTCTCCACTAAATATACAAAAATTAGCTGGGTGTGGTGGCGCGTGTCTGTTATCCCAGCTACTCAGGAGGCTGAGGCAGGAGAATCGCTTGAACCCAGGAGGCAGAGGTTGCAGTGCGCCAAGATCATGCCACTGCACTCCAGCCTGGTGACAGAGCTAGACTCTGTCTCAAAAAAAAAAATAAAAAAAAGTAAATATTAGGTTAAGCCATTTATTTCAGGATTTGTTACTGCAGCATAGCTTGATCTGTCTGCCAGTTTGAAGTTCTGAGAGTCAAGATACCTGAGTTTGATTCTGAGACTACATGTGGTCTAGTGCAAGACCTTTAATGTCCTGAATCCCCTTTTTAATATATAAATTGAAGGGTTTAAGTTAGATGATCATGAAGGGCCTTTTTGGCACTTAACATTCACAGATGCTGGATGGCAGCACTCAAATGCAGATGTTCCTTGACTTATGATGGGAGTTTATGTCCTGATAAACCTCTCATAAGTTGAAAATATCCTAAGTTGAAAATGTAAGGACCGGGCGCAGTGGCTGATGCCTGTAATTCCAGCACTTTGGGAGGCTGAGGCAGGAGGATCGCTTGAGCTCAGGAGCTCAAGACCAGCCTGGGGAACATGGTGAAACCCAGCTCTATAAAAAATACAAAAATTAACTGGGCGTGGTGCTGTATGCCTGTAGCCCCAGCTACTCAGGAGGCTGAGGTGGGAGGATGGCTTGAGCCCAGGAGGCGGAGCTTGCAGTGAACCAAGATTGCACCACTGTACTCCAGCCTGGGTGACAGAGCCAGACCCTGTCTCAAAAAAAAAAGAAGAAAAGAAAATGCATTTAATATTCCTAATGTACCAAACGTCATAGCTTAGCCTTGCCTACCTGAAATGTGCTAAGAGGACTTCACTTTAGCCTGCAGTTTGGCAAAATCATCTACCACAAAGCCTTTTTTTCTCTCTCTCTCTCTTAGAGACAGGGTTTTACTCTGTTACCCAGGCTGGAGTACAAGGGCACAATTACAGATCACTGTAACCTCAAACTCCTGGGTTCAAATGATGCTCCCACCTCAGTCTCTGAAATAGCTGGGACTATAGGTGACCTGGCTAATTTGAAAAATTTTTTTGTAGAGGTGGGGTCTTTCTGTGTTGCCCGGGCTGGTCTTGAACTCCTGGCCTCAAATGATCTTTCCAGCTTGGCCTCCCAAAGCGTTGAGATTACTGTTGTAAGCCACCATGCCCAGCTACAAAGTCTATTTTGTGATAAAGTTATAAAGAAATTTGGATCAAAACTCAAAACTTGAAGTATAGTTTCTACTGAAAGCATATTGCTTTTTTTTTTTTTTTTTTTTTTTTTTTTTTTTTTTTTTTTTTTTTTTTTTGAGACAGAGTCTCACTCTGTCACCCAGGCTGGAGTGTAGTGGTGTGATCTTGGTTCACTGCAACCTCCGCCTCCCAGGTTCAAGCGATTATCCTGCCTTAGCCTCCCAGGTAGCTGGGATTACAGGTGCCTGCCACAATGCCCGACTAATTTTTGTATTTTTTAGTAGATACGAGCTTTCACCATGTTGGCCAGGCTGGTCTCAAACTCCTGACCTCAGGTGATCCACCCACCTCAGCCTCCCAAAGTGCTGGGATCACAGGTGTGAGCCACCGCGCCCAGCCGCATATTGCTTTTTTACCATTGTAAAGTAGCAAAACTGTAAGTCAAGCCATTGTAAGTCAGGAACCACGTGCACACTTTTCTGATTGATGTACAAAAAGGAGACTAAGTCTGGCACTAAAGTCATCCCTGGAAAACTTATTTATTATTATTAGTTTTTGCTATTAAATGAGAAGTTAGTTATGTGAAGAAAGTGACAAAGATGAAGTAATACTTTTTTAAAAATTAGTTTTATTGAGATATAATTCACATAATTAGTTTATTTGGCTCATGGTTCTGGGAAGTCCAAGGTCATGGCATTGGCATCTGGTGAGGGCCTTCTTACTGCATCACCCCAAGGCGAAAGGTGGAAGGACAGGAGAGCTCAAGAGAGCAAGAGATGGTTGAACTTCTGTAACAGATTCACTCTCACAATAAATTAAACCACTCCTGTGATAATGCCATTAATCTATTCAGGAGGACAAGAGCCTTCATGACCTAATCATCTCTTACAGGTCTCACGTCTATACACTATTGCACTGGGGATTAAGTTTCCAATACAAGAACTTTGGATGACATTTCAAGCCATAGCAACCACTATTTAACTTCAGAACATTTTCATCACTCCCCAGAAAAGCTGTACACATTAGCAAGGACTCCTCATTCCATAAATCTACTTTTTTTTTTTTTTTTGAGACAGAGTCTCACTCTCTCGCCCAGGCTGGAGTACAGTGGCACCATCTTGGCTCACTGCACCCTTCACCTCCAGGTTCAAGTGATTCTTCTGCCTCAGCCTCCTAAATAGCTGGGATTACAGGCATGTGCCACCATACCTGGCTAATTTTTTTTGTATTTTTAGTAGAGACGGGGTTTTACCATGTTGGCCAGGCTGGTCTCAAATGCCTGGCCTCAAGTGATCTGCCCCCCTTGGCCTCCCAAAGTGTTGGGATTACAGGCGTGAGCCACCGCACCCGCCCAGATCTACTTTTTTATCTGTGTAGATTGCCTATTCTAGACATTTCATATCAGTAGACTCATACAATAGGAGTCTCCTTGTCTGGCTTCTTTCACTTAGCACAGTGTTTTTAAGGTTCGTCCATATTGTAGCATTTATCAGAACCTCATTCCTTTTTATAGTTGAATAAATAATCCATTATATGTCTGTACTACATTTGTTTATTCATTTGTCAGTTGATAAGCAATTGGGTCGTTACTACTTTTGACTATTATGAATAATGCTGCTATGAACATTTGTGTGCAGGTTTTTGTTTGGACATATTTCTTCGTTTCTCTTGGGTATATACATAGGAATGAAATTGCTGGGTTATGTGGTAACACTATATTTAGCATTTTGAGGACCTGCCAAACTGTTCCATAGTAGCTATCCCATTTTACTTTATTTTTTTTTTGAGACAGCGTCTCACTCTGTTACCCAGGCTGGAGCACAGTGGCACGATTTCGGCTCATTGCAACCTCTGCCTCCTGGTTCAACCAATTCTCCTGCCTCAGCCTCCTGAATAGTTGGGATTACAGGCATGTGCCACCACACCCAGCTAAATTTTTTTTTTTTTTTTGAGTCTCGCTCCATCACCCAGGGTGGAATGCAGTGGCGTGATCTCGGCTCACTGCAAGGCTCCGCCTTCCGGGTTCATGCCATTCTCCTGCCTCAGCCTCCCAAGTCACCCAGCTAATTTTTGTATTTTTTAGTAGAAACAGGGTTTTGCCATGTTGCCAGGCTGGTTTCTGACCCCTGACCTCAAATGATCCTCCCGCCTCTGCCTCCCAAAGTGCTGGGATTACAGTCATGAGCTACTGAATTCGGCCCATTTTACAATCCTATATGCAATGTATGAGTGTTTTGATGTTTCCACATCTTCATCAATACTTGTTACTGTCTTTCTTACTGAAGTAATCAGTTTTGATAAAGCAGCCATATGGCAAACTAAACAGTGAAGAGATTTTTACATGCATATTAGCTTAAGTTGCTCTCTAAACAGTTGTAGTGTGTATTGGCGTATTTATAAAAATTTGCACTGTGAGCTTAGCACTAAAGTAAATGTTAATGACTAATAACATAATTCTTCAACTTGTTTAGCTTTTGGAAAATTTTTCATTTCAAAAATGAAGCACTCTTGAAGGGAAAAAAAGGAGTAAATAAAAAATGAGTTGTTTGATCCTCTCTCTCTTGATTCACCAGATGTAATTGTTCTCTTGGAGCATTTTTTTTTTTTTAAAGACAGATTCTCTGTTTTCCAGGCTGGAGTGCAGTGGTGTGATCATGGTTCACTGCAGCCTCAACTTTTCAGGCTCAAGTGATCCTCCCACCTTAGCCTCCCGAGTAGCTGGGACCACAGGTGCACACCATCATGCCCGGTTAATTTTTGTATGTTTTTGTAGAGACAGGGTTTCGCCATGTTGCCCAGGCTGGTTGAACTTCTGGGCTCAAGTGATCTGCCTGCTTTGGCCTCCCAAAGTGCTAGGATTACAGGTATGAGCCACTTTGCCCAACCTCTTGAAGCATAAACATATAAACACACACACACACACACACACACACACATATTTCTTTTTTTTTTTTTTTTTTTTTTTTTTGAGACGGAGCCTTACTCTGTCACCCAGGCTGGAGTGCAGTGGTGCGATCTCAGCTCACTGCAACCTCCGCCTCTCAGGTTGGAGTGATTCTCCTGCCTCAGCCTCCCGAGTAGCTGGGATTATAGGCACGCGTCACTACACCTGGCTTATTTTTGTATTTTTTAGTAGAAATGGGGTTTCCTTCTGTTGGCCAGGCTGGTCTCTAACTCCTGACCTCTCAGGTGATCCATCTGCCTCAGCCTCCCAAAGTGCTGGGATTACAGGTGTCAGCCACTGTGCCCGGTTGCATAAACTTATTTTTATAAATTATGTGCTTCTAAATTATCAGGTGGACTGTGCCTTACATGTATAGGCTTGAGTAGGCTGAGCATGGTGGCTCACACCTATAATCCCAACACTTTTAGAGGCCAAGGTAGGAAGATGGCTTGGGGTCACGAGTTCAAGGCCAGCGTGGACAACATAGTGAGACCCTGTCTCTACAAAAAAAAAAAAAGAAAATTAGGTGGGCATGGTGGTGCATGCCTGAGGTCCTGGCCCCTGAGGAGGCTGAGGTGGAGGATTGCTTGAGCCCAGAAGGTCAAGGCTGCAATGAGCCATGATTGTATGACTATACTCCAGTTTGGGTGACAGAGAGAGACCCCATCTCTAAAAGCAAAAAAAAAAAGTGAAATAAAATAAAAAATCGTTGCTATCTTTTATTAATATTCTGTTTTGGGAGACATTATTCTTATATTTTCCTCACACTTTTTAAATGTGGTTTCTTTTAGTTCTTTGAACATACTTAAATTGACTTAAACTCTTGTCTGTTAAGTCCAATATCTGGGCTTCCCTTGGGAAGAGTTTTCTATTGTTGTTTTTTCCCTTTATATGGGCTATATTCTTTTGTTTCTTTGCATATCTTCCAATTTTTTGTTGAAAACTGGACATTTTATTTTATTATTATTTTCAGACAGAGTCTCTCTCTGTCGCCCAGGCTGGAGTACAGTGGTGTGATCCAAGCAATTCTCATGCCTCAACTGCCTGAGTAGCTGGGACTATGGGTGGGCAGCAACACACCTGGCTAATTTTTTTTGTATTCTTAGTAGAGACAGGGTTTCACCATGTTGGCCAAGCTGGCCTTGAACCCCTGACCTCAGGTGATTTGCCCACCTCGGCCTCCCAAAGCACTGGGATTACAGGCTTGAGCCACTGTGGCCAGCCAACTGGACATTTTTAATGACATAATGTGGCAACTCTGAAAATCAGATTCTCCTCCCTCTCCAGATGAGCTCTAAGTCAGGTAAAATACAGAGATATTTGCAAATGGGGTATTTTGGGGAACCACCAGACAGGTTAAATAATGCCAATTTCCTGGGAATGGTACTTTGAAGGAGCTGTAGCCCAGTTCTGCTTCCTCTGGTAACTGCCAGTCTTCTGGTCTTCAATGTGGATGCAGCTGGTAGTTTTCAAGGCTATTATGGAGCTGGAGAGCTAGGAATGGGACTCAGTCAAGTTAAAATGCTACAAAACTCACTGTTCTTACCAGGATTCAGCTATTTATCTTTGATAAATTATCCCCAGTTTGCTAAAAGCCTATTTCCAGAGTTCTGAAAAAGGTGATTCTATTATTTTGCCAATTTTTCATTGTTTTTATGTAGTAGAGAATTTTGGTCAGGGAAAGTCCTTATTCTGCCATTTTTGATGATACTCTTTCCCTCCCCTTTTTAGGCTTTTATTTTCATGAATCTTGTATCTCTTGGTGTTTTGTTTTGTTTTGTTTTGTTTTGTTTTCGAGACAGGGTCTTGTTTTGTCACCCAGGCTAGAGTGCAGTGGTGTAATCATGGCCCACTGCAGCTTAAAACTCCTGGGCTCAAGTGATACTGCTCCCTCAGCCTCCCAAGTAGCAGAGACTACAGGTGCACACCACCATGACCAGCTAATTTTTTAAATTTTTTGTAGAGATGGGGTCTTGCTCTGTTGTTCAGACTAGTCTCAAATTCCTGGCCTCAAGCGATCCTCTTGTCTCAGCCTTTCAAAGTGCTGGGATTACAGGCTTGAGCCACTACACCCAGCCTAATTTTTGTATATGATGTGAGGTCGGGGTCCAGATTCATTTTTTCATGTGGATATTTAGTTGTCCCATCACCATTTATTGAAGAGACTGTTCTTTCCCCACTGGATGTTTTTGGCATCCTGGTCTAAAATCAGTTGACTGTAGATGTATGGGTTTATTTCTGGACTTCTAATTCTACTCCATTGATTTATACATCTTTCCTTATGCCAGTATTTCACTGCTTTGGTTACTATAGCTTTATAGTAGATTTTGAAATCAGGAAATATTACTTTTACAACATTTTTTCTTTCAGTATTTGTTTTAGTCATCCTGGATCCCTCGCTTTTTTTTTTTCTTGCGTCAGTTTGTTTGTACAAATAGCACAGGAGGATCCCCGCCCCATGCAGACGGCAGCCCGAGGGGGTCGCAGCAGTCCTTCTGTTCTCACATTTGTAGACAGAGATATCTACTCTGAAGCCTTTGTAGGGGCCTGGGCACCTTTGGGAGCTTGAGCTGGAACTGAAGCTGGAGCTGCAGTCTGGGCGCTGATTTGATCCTTGGCCTTGGCCTTTAGCCGGCACAGCCTGAGTCCCTTGGCAGTGCGGGCACGAGCACACTTCCCAAGCTTGGGGTGGGCAATGTAGGCAAGTCGATCGAGCTTGTGGCTGACACCCTTTGGGATCTTGGGCTTAACCTCCTTGGGCTTTACGAGGGCCTTGATAGCCTCGGCACGTGCACTCATGGCCTTGGCATTGTTGGCCTGCATCTTCTTGAGGCCCTTCTTGTGCTTCTTGGCAAAGTGCATGTTCCTCAGGAACCTGGGGTCCATCCACTTAAGAGATTTGTATCTTTGTGATCGGGGTTTCTTGATAGCATTTCTGTGCCATTTTCGGGACTGGTTGTGTGTGGTATGGTTCTTGGACTTGGCCCTGTCTGTACCTTAAGCCGCAGCTCCCGAAGCACCTAGAACTGGAACCCTCACATTTTTATATGATTTTAGGGCTTTGTTTTATTTTTGGGGACAGAGTCTTGCAGTGTTGCCCAGGCTGCTCTTAGACTCCTGGGCTCAAGTGATGTTCTCACCTTGGCCACCTCTAAGTACCTAGGACAGCAGGCATGCACTACCACTCCTGGCTTCCAAATGAATTTTGGGGTCAGCTTGCCCATTTCTGTAGAAAAGGTAATTGAAATTTTGAGGCCGGCATGGTGGCTCACGCCTGTAATTCCAGCACTTTGGGAGGCCGAGGTGGGTGGATCACTTGAGGCCAGGAGTTTGAGACCGGCCTGGCCAATATGGCGAAACCTCATCTCTACTAAAAATACAAAAAATTAGCCAGGCACTGTGACGCGC
The DNA here is from genome assembly GCF_000001405.40 of Homo sapiens. Lineage (NCBI taxonomy): Eukaryota > Metazoa > Chordata > Mammalia > Primates > Hominidae > Homo > Homo sapiens. The sequence goes on from NC_000019.10 coordinate 34,297,161, forward strand.
ACCTGTAATCCCAGCTACTTGGGAGGCTGAGGCAGGAGAATCACTTGAACTCTGGAGGTGGAGGTTGCAGTGAGCTGAGATTGTGCCACTGCACTCCAGACTGGGCGACAGAGCACAACTCTGTCTCAAAAAAAAAAATATTTTGATAAAAATTGTGTTGAATCTGTAGATGAATTTGGTGAAATAGTATAACTTTAAGCATTATAAGTTTCATTTAGAGAAAGTTTGGAAGTATGTAAAGTGAAAAAGAGTTTAATGTTTGTGGTTTTTTAATTAGGTAAGCATATAGGTCTCACTTGGTCTTCCAGATCTGTCAAAGGAATGGGGGCAGGCTCTCCTAGAGCCAGAGGCAGCCGCGGTAGAGGAACTAGGAAGCTGGTGCACCACTGAACAAAGATAGAGTGTTTCTCAGGGCTGCATAAGACACTCACTGTGGCCAACTCAGGTGAAGGTTTTCCTTCAGAGGCCACAGAGTCTCCACGGGAACAGCCTGCCCCGCTTCAGCATTCCTGTAGAGTGCTTCTGTTGTATATCAGAATCTATAAATTGTGGAGCACTCGGGTGGGGATAGATGTGATTGCCTTATTTGTCATGAATTTGAAAAAAGAAAACATTTTGGAACACATTTTTTACAAGTAGCCATTTGATATTTGTTTCTTGAAAAGTTTATGAGATTTTTTTTAAAGAGCTCAAATTTTGTTGAACATAGAGCCATAAATAATGGTTGTTTTATTGACTTTATATGTTATGTGTTTGTATCCACAGTGTCCTTCTCATCTCTTGCCTTTGTAACCTACCTAATTCCTGTGTTGCCAACACAATCATAGAAATACAAAGGAATTATGGTAATTGGCCATAAGTGACGAAGTATGAGTTACATTTAATTATATATTCAAAAAAGGAAAATAGAAAACCTGGTTATCAATAAGTAGACGAAACTATATACCACCATTACATAGGTTGCAGTTGAATATGTGGTCAAGCACGGTGGCTCATGCCTGTAATCTCAGCATTTTGGGCTGAGGCGGGAGGATCACTTGAGCTCAGGAGTTTGAGACCAGCCTGGGCAACATGGCGAAACCTCGTCTCTACAAAAAATACAAAAATTAACCAAGCATGGTGGTACATCTGTAGTCCCAGCTGCTCCGGAGACTGAGGCAGGAGGATTGCTTGGGCCTAGGAGTTCGAGGCTGTAGTAAGCCAAGGTCATGCCACTGCACTCTAGCCTGGGTAACACAGTGAGACTCTGTCTCAAAAAAAAAAAAAAGTTGGCCAGGCGCAGTGGCTCAGGCCTGTAATCCCAGCACTTTGGGAGGCCGAGACGGGTGGATCACCTGAGGTCAGGAGTTCGAGACCAGCCTGGCCAGCATGGTGAAACCCCATCTCTACTAAAAGTACAAAAATTAGCCAGGCATGGTGGGCGCTTGTAATCCCAGCTACTCAGGAGGCTGAGGCAGGAGAATCACTGGAACCTGGGAGGCGGAGGTTGTGGTGAGCTGAGACCACGCCACTGCACTCCAGCCTGGGCAACAGCAAGACTCCATCTCAAAAAAAATAATAATAATAAGTTAAATATGTGGTAAATGTGACTTTCAGTGAAACGTATTTGAACTTTTGTTTGGGAGAGCAGATGGTTTCAAGCAAATGTTATTCCTGATTTTAGCTTTATGAGAAGAGTCACAGTATTCCGCTGTTGTAGGTATCAGAAACTACAACCAGCGATATCCAGATTCTGCTATTTGAACCTATCCAGAGTCAGGGGTTCTAAGAAGCCACCCAAGGTGTGAAACTGGTATACCTTGCCAGGCTCCCGCTCTGCACACCCAGAGGGAAACTGGTACCGGAGTGAGGATTGGAAGAATCGTGTCTGTAAACCGCCTGCCAGCCACTCCCTTCTCCAGGCTCTGTTTCTGCACCCTGCACTTAAGCCCAGCTTGGTATCCGACTGTCCCGTCCTACTTTGGGACCTTTGCCGTGGTGGTCCTTTACCTTGTGAGTCCCACCTGTCCCTTTTGCACTTGTCCAAACCTATCCTACAATCAAGGCCTACCTCAGAAGAATATTTTTTTCGTAACAACCTTTTTGATTTCCCTTGCCCTTTGCCCATCTCTGCCTTTGCTGATGCCCCATAAAGTTTATGAGTGCTGTGTGTGTCAACAGCCCTCACCATAATCTGAGTACTCATGTGATCCTCCTGAAGCTTGTGAGCTCTTCAAAGAGGAAAGGAGAAAATGCTGAACGTGGATCCAGGCCCTGTTCAACGTGCCAGCCTCAGCTTTGAAGGGGCCAGTCTAGAATCATACTTTTTTGGTTGCATTGTTTTTGTATTACTACTTGAGGAATTTTCTAACAGTCATCATTTCATAGTTCAGTGCTCACTATTGTACCTGCTCCTCTAAGGTTATAATATGATTTCTTATTCATTTGTAGCCCACCTGTGTGGATAATAGCATCACAGGAGTTATTGTCCAGAATTACTGTAGCCTTCCTCACTTTATCTTATTTTTCCCCCCGACAGGAAAGGACTTAGAAGCCTTACAAATACATCTGTGCATTCTTGCTTCAGACTTTACAACTGAGGGCCAGCCCAGTCTGGAAGCATCTCTTATTAATGTTACAAGGAAACCGCTACCTCAGCAAACAAAAGGAATGGAGGAGGAGACTTACAACAAACGCCATTTAAAAAAAAAAGAAAAACTTGTTTTCAGGAAACATTAGAGGAAATTTGGAGAATTTCAGCATTGCATAGAAGCAGCCTTACAGGTAAACGGATTTGACGGGCAGGCTCTGTCAAAATTCTGCAGAAGTTTGATCTTCCTTCTTAAGGACTTTGTGTGAAGTAATTCTTTACTGCTTTTAAATTGCTGTTGATCAGCTTCTGGGTTTTTGGGTTCTAACTTTTTTGGGTATATTGAAGACACAGTGTATTACATTATATTACATTTTTAAACGTTAAGTTATTTTTCTGCCATTGTAAATACAAGTATCAAAATATTCTTGCAAAGAAGTAAACATTTTTCTCAGCAAGCATATCCTTTTAGTAAGAGAGTGGAATGCTAAACAGTTCTTATCCAGCATTTTGGACATCTTTTATTTTTTGTCAGAGATCCTGTCTACACTGAAAATATTAATTATATAAACCTGTTGTCTCTCACCTCTACATTGGATCACATGGTCACCTGCCTCATGGAAATGCCTTTTTTAAAACTTCGATTTGCAGAACTCCACTATTTTTATACCTAGCTACAGTTTTGAGAAAGAAGAATCAGAACCCTGACCCACTTACGGTTGCTGGGACAATTCCCCCTCCCGCATGTATTGCTGCAGTGCCCAGGACAGTAAAATGGACTACAAGCGGCGCTTCCTGCTTGGCGGGTCCAAGCAGAAGGTGCAGCAGCACCAGCAATACCCGATGCCTGAGCTGGGCCGAGCACTGAGTGCTCCCCTGGCATCCACGGCCACCACTGCCCCCCTGGGCAGTCTGACCGCTGCAGGCAGCTGCCACCATGCCATGCCCCACACTACTCCTATCGCCGACATCCAGCAGGGCATCTCCAAGTATCTGGATGCCCTGAACGTCTTCTGCCGTGCCAGTACTTTCCTCACAGATCTCTTCAGCACTGTGTTCAGGAACTCTCACTACTCAAAGGCAGCCACACAGCTCAAAGATGTGCAGGAGCATGTCATGGAAGCAGCCAGTCGGCTGACCTCGGCCATAAAGCCTGAGATCGCCAAGATGCTAATGGAACTTAGTGCTGGGGCTGCAAATTTTACGGATCAGAAGGAATTCAGTCTCCAGGACATTGAGGTAGAGTATCTTTTGTGTCATACTTGTGTAGGAAAATATACTACAAAGGTAAGTGAGAATATTGTCTTAAGTTTTTTTCCAAATCACTGTAATAGTAGCCTTTGTCCTCTTGCTGTTGGTACTCTGTCTTTGTAAAAAATGTGTGCGTGCCAGGTTCTGAATTGCTTTCATATCAAATTCAGTAGGTTAAGGGTAGGTGTGGTGGCTGTAACCCCAGCACTTTGGGAGGCCAAGGCGGGAAGATCGCTTGAGCTCAGGAGTTTGAGGCATCATAGTGAGACCTTGTCTCTACAAAAACTAAAAAAATTAATTAGCTGGGTGTGGTGGTGTGCACCTGTTGGATAGATTTTAAAAATTACTTTTAGCTGTTCAGAGAGTTAATCTGGCATTAGTTTTTCCATCCTTCTACATCCAGAAGCCCTGACTACTCCAGAAGCCCAGAAGCTGAGGTGGGAGGATTGCTTGAGCCCAGGAGTTTGAGGCTGCAGTGAGCCGTGATTGCACTGCTGTACTCCAGCCTGGACGGCAGAGTGAGACCATGTCTCAAAAAAAAAAAAAAAAAAAAAAAAAGAAAAATTATTAAACAAACCAGCCAATATTTTATATTGTTGTCTTTCAAATTTTCAAGTCAGAACCTAATTTTCAAATACCGTACTGGTAAAAGTTATTAGTGAGTACTGAGAATTCTAAATACGATTATGAGCTTTATTTGTGGATTTTTTTTTTTTTTTTGAGACGGAGTCCTGCTCCGTCGCCCAGGCTGGAGTGCGGTGGCACGATCTCGGCTCACTGCAAGGTCCGCCTCCTGGGTTCATGCCATTCTCCTGCCTCAGCCTCCCTAGTAGCTGGGACTACAGGCACCCGCCACCTCACCCGGCTAATTTTTTCGTATTTTTAGTAGAGATGGGGTTTCACCATGTTAGCCAGGATGGTCTCGATCTCCTGACCTTGTGATCTGCCCGCCTTGGTCTCCCAAAGTGTTGGGATTACAGGTGTGAGCCACTGCGCCCAGCCTTTTTTTTTTTTTTTTTTTTTTTTTTTAAGTCAGTTTCGCTCTTGTTGCCCAGGCTGGAGTGCAATAGTGCAATCTTGGCTCACTGCAACCTCCACCTCCCGAGTTCAAGTGATTCTTCTGCCTCAGCCTCCTGAGTAGCTGGGATTACAGGCATGCGCCACCATGCCCGGCTAATTTTGTATTTTTAGTAGAGACGGGGTTTCACCATGTTGGTCAGACTAGGGTCTCAAACTCGCAACTTCAGGTGATCCGCCCGCCTCAGCCTCCCAAAGTGCTGGGATTACAGGCAGGAGCCACCGCGCCCAGCCGTTTTTTTTTTTTTTTTTTTTGAGACGGAGTCTCACTCTGTCACACAAGCTGGAGTGTAGTGGCACGATCTCAGCTTACTGCAACATCGCCTCCCAGGTTCAAGCAATTCTCTGCCTCAGCCTCCCGAGTAGCTGGGATTACAGGCGCCCACCACCACACCCGGCTAACTTTTTGTATTTTTAGTAGAGACAGGGTTTCACCATCTTGGCCAGGCCGGTCTCGAACTCCTAACCTCAAGTGATCCACCTGCCTCAGCGTCCCAAAGTGTTGGGATTACAGGTGTGAGCCACCCTGCCTGTCCTGTGGATTTTTATTATATTGAATCTTTGGTTTTTAGAGAGTCCCACACGTTTATAGAATAATTTTTCCAATTCTAAATTCACAGTTGCTAATATTCAGATGTATTTGAGTCTTCTTCAGTACATTTCTTGGGGTCTTTGATAGTTTTTTTTTTTTTTTTTTTTTTTTAAAAGACAGAGTCTCTCTCTGTCGCCCAAGCTGAAGTGCAGTGGCACTATCTCGGCTCACTGCAACCTCTGCCTCCTGGGTTCTAGCAGTTCTCCTGCCTCAGCCTCCTGAGTAGCTGGGACTACAGGCTCACGCAGCCATACCCAGCTAATTTTTTGTATTTTAGTAGAGATGGGTTTTCACCGTGTTGCCCAGGCTGGTGTCAAACTCCTGAGCTTAGGCAATCCACCCACCTCATCCTTCCAAAGTGCTAGGATTACAGGTGTGAGCCACCACACCCAGCCTCTTTGATAGTTAAAATGAAATATTATTCTTTTAGGGCTCTAGATTACAATGTAAGATTAGAATACAAGTTTCATTCAAAGTAAAGATGACCTTTTTTCTTGTCTTATTTTAGGAAATGATTTATTCAACTTTGATCTCTTATATTCGTTTGATAGATTTTAAAAATTACTTTTAGCTGTTCAGAGAGTTAATCTGACATTAGTTTTTCCATCCTTCTACATCCAGGTGAAGTTCTTGGATATGAGATCCTAGGAAGGAGAATGTTCCTTACCCCATCCTGGGGTTAAGATCACCAGTCTTTTGGGTCGGATCTGATTATTTAGGTGCCTGAATAAGCTAACTAACACTGCTTTGGGTTAACCAAAAAAAGAACTTGACTTTTAAGTAACACAACTAATTTTTACTGTGTTTAAAAGTGATTTTGAAGGAATTTCCAAGAAGAACTTAGAGTTATTTCTTAAGAGACACAGCATCATTGGTATAAATCAGGGTTTATCAAGCTTTTTCTATGAAGGGCAGACAGAAATTTTAGGCTTCATGGACCACATGTGGTCTCTCTCACATATTCTTTGTTTTTGTTTTTGTTTTGAGACGAAGTTTCATCTTGTAGCCCAGGCTGGAGTGCAATGGCGTGATCTCGGCTCACTGCAGCCTCCGCTGCCCGGGTTCAAGCAATTCTCTTGCCTCAGCCTCCCGAGTAGGTAGGATTACAGGCGCCCACCACCATGTCTGGCTAATTTTTGTATTTTTAGTAGAGATAGGGTTTCACCGTGTGGGTCAGGCTGGTCTCAAACTCCTGACCTCAAGTGAGCCACCCACCTCAGACTCCCAAAGTGCTGGGATTTACAGGTGTAAGCCACCGCTCCCGGCCTTGTTTTTATTTTTATTTTTTACAATCCTTTAAAAATGTAAAAGTCAGCTTTACTTTGTGGGCCCATCTATTCTATGGATGGGGTTTGGCCGATGGGTTCTAGTTTGCTGCACCTGCTGGTATAAGTGTATAGTCACTTCCTTGGGTCAGGGTCATTCTACTTTGGATCTATCTTTGTAATTTTTTTTTTTTTTTAGACAGAGTCTTGCTCTGTTGCCCAGGCTGGAGTGCATTGGCGATCTCAGCTCACTGCAACCTCTGCCTCCTGGGTTGAAGCAATTCTTATGTCTCAGCCTCCCAAGTAGCTGGGATTACAGGCATGTGCCAACACACCCAGCAAATTTTTGTATTTTTAGTAGAGACAGGGTTTCGCCATGTTGGCCAGGCTGGTCTCAAACTCATGGCCTCAAAATGCTGGGATCACAGGCGTGGGCCACCGTGCTCGGCCATCTTTGTAATTTTTTTTTTTTTTTTTTTGAGACGGAGTCTTGCTCTGTTGCCCGGGCTAGAGTGCAGTGGCGTGGTCTTGGCTCACAGCAGCCTCTGTCTCCTGGGTTAAAGCGATTCTTGTGCCTCAGCCTCCCAAGTAGCTGGGACTGCAGGCACGTGCCACCACACCTGGCTAATTTTTTTTGTATTTTTAGTAGAGACGGGTTTCACCATGTTGACTAGGCTGGTCTCAAACTCCTGACCTCAAGTGATCCACCTACCTCGGCCTTCCAAAGTGTTGGAATTACAGAGGTTAGCCACCACGCCCAGCCATCTTTGTAATTTCTAATTGTTTCTATGATCATATTTTATACCCAGGGATACTGTCATTTTAAAGTGTGTATAAAATGGCTTGTCATAATTTTATTTTTATTTTTATTTTTTATTTATTTATTTATTTTTTTGAGACAGAGTCTTGCTCTGTCGCCCAGGCTGGAGTGCAGTGGCGTGATCTCGGCTCACTGCAAGCTCTGCCTCCCAGGTTCACGCTGTTCTCCTGCCTCAGCCTCCCGAGTAGCTTGGACTGCAGGCGCCCGCCACCACGCCCGGCTAATTTTTTTGTATTTTTAGTAGAAACGGGGTTTCACCATGTTAACCAGGATGGTCTTGATCTCCTGACCTCGGGATCCGCCCGTCTCGGCCTCCCAAAGTGCTGGGATTACAGGCGTGAGCCACCGTGCCCGGCGGGCTTGTCATAATTTTGTTTAAAAATTCAACACATAAAAAAGCATGCCTTTACTTCTCAAAAGAAACGTAAGCAGTGAAACTTCTACTTTCCTTTAGCACCTCATTCCTTTCCCCAGAAGTGACCATTAGTAACTGGTTGTTGTATGCCATTCCAGACTACCGTCTGTACATGCATGGATATGTACAGATGTGTGCAGCTTTGACTTTTACATAAAGAACCACGTTGTTCATCCACCATTGTGCCTGGTCACTGCTTGATAGAGATATGGCAAGACAATAGTTAGGAACACTTTGTCCTCTCCTAGAAAGTGTTGAACAATCTTAGACTCTGACAGCTGTCACCCCATGATGACATAGCGCTCTTAGCTTTATTCAGGACTTCAGGCAAGAGTGGTTTGAAATATAAGGCCAAAGGCTTTTATTTTAACCTGAGCATTACTGAGCTCTTCTTCAGGACATGCTTGCAGGTATTGGAGGAAACAGAGCTTGACCTGCAGGGCCCTTTGCTTTCCAACCCTGGAGGGCAAGTGCGCCTGTTGCCCAGGGCAGGACAATTAGAGAAGATAACCAGCTGTGAGCAGTAGGGGCTTGGTAAGCCGCTGGGGCACAGCAGTACCTGCTTTGTTTCTTCTGCTTTCCTGGGACTGGCATTGACCACTGAAGCTGAGAACGGGAAATACTTATTGTTGTAGTTTGGAATTTTGACTTGGCTTTCCACATTGAAATGCTGATTAGATAGTTGGAATACTACCATGTTTTTTTGTACATAATGGGCTGAACAGGCTTTCCCAGACGAGTCTGGAAACTAAGTATTTGGTGGGTTTTCCAATTTATGCGTCTATTCTGAGTTTCAAACAGCTGACTTACAAGTGAATTTCTAAATGTGATTGCCAAGCATAGGCCCGCAGACTTCACGTTTCACTTTTTCCCCAGAGCAATATTTGTTGTTTCTGGAATTTATGTACTGCCAGGGGATTTAGCCATAGGCCAATAAGGGTCTCTCTCAGAATTTTCAGCAACTCAGATGAAATGGCTAGGCATTTGGATTTTTTCCTTTTGGTTTTTTAAGGATTTTTATAAGCAAGGCCCTGAGAGTCACTTTGACATTCATCCCTGGGGAAAGAGGTCTGTGGCCTAACATTGCCAGGCAAGGCCTCTACTCAGGAGCTCAGTCCAGGACTGTGGGTGAGAAAAGCTCTGGATTCGAGAGTATTCAAATATTTGACCATTTAAGAGTTAGGACAAAGGATGATCCTGTCCCCTTGCCATGTGGCCAGTGCATGTGTGCAGTGTTCCCAGGTGCTTCTGACTTACAGCCAAGTTTGGGCTGTGGTTATTGATTGACAGATACTGATGCCTTTGTCCAGGAATGGTGGTTGCTGACTGTGTGCTCTGCCACCCTGCCTTGGAACCAGCAGGGCATATGTGAGTCCTGTCCAGTCTATACTCACCAGTGACTTTGCCCCTTAGCCCGAGTGGTTCACCCTCACAGTCTCTCTGTTAGAGAAGTGAGTTGTGACTATGGGGTTTCACTAGCTGACTAGTGCCTGTGACACTGGTACATCAGCCTAGGAAGTCAGTTACTGGGCACAGAGTCAGAAGACCTGGGTTTGGAAGGTGACATCTATCACTTAAATAAAATTACTTTTTCAGTGGAAGTGTACATAAATAAAAGAATCAAAGTGACTTGTGATTTGTGCATTCATTCCACAGATATTTATTGTATGCCTTGTTTCTGCCTGATACTACTCCAGCATGTCGATTGCAGTAGTGAACATGACAGAAATCTCTCCCTTCATGTAGCTAGAAGGGAGTTTCGATCTTAGAGAAGGTAGTTAGAAAAGGTACCACTGAGAAGGTGACATTCGAGTAAAGGCCTGAAAGGGATGAGAGAGCAAGCCTGTTGGCCCAGAAAAGAGGATTCCAGGCGGAGGGAGCGCCGAGCACAGAGTCCCAGAGGCAGGAGCCAGCCTGGAGTGTTGGAAGAGCAGGAAAGAACCTGCTGTGGCTAAAACAGAGTGAATGGAAGGGAGAGAAGCAGGGGTGAGGTCAGAAGGGTAAAGAGGGGCCACTCTGGTGTCTGTTCTGAGTAGCCAGGTAGGAGGCAAGGTGAGGTACACCTCTGAAGGGCAGGGGATGGGAGGGCAGCAGGCTGGGCCCTGCCATTCTTTTGTAGTGAGCAGCGATGCCACTTCTCCCCTTGCCTTCTTCATACTGGGTAGCTCCAGGGCTCTGGTTTTACGTTGGGTCCTCAGTGTTGAGAGGTGTTGGTCCTCTATGTAGGCAGTCCAGGAACCCAGGGCAGCCATGGGGCTCCCAGGAGTTGTATGTCTCTAAGGAGACTGTATTTTATAAATTCCAGCATTTTTATTGACTTTTCAAGTATTTACCATCTTGTGAATAAGCAGCCAGACTTATATGTATATATACGTATTATATATATATATGCCAGACATATATATAAAATATGTATTTTTTATATATGTATGTATATATATACACATACGCACACACATACATATATATACTTATATATACATATATACTTATATATACATACTTATATATACATATATACTTATATATACATATATACTTATATATACATATATACTTATATATATACTATATATACATATATACTTATATATACTATATATACATATATAGTATATATATACTATAAAATATATATACTATAAAAAAAAAATATATATATATATTTTTTTTTTTTTTTAGAGATTAGGCCTTGCCATATTGCCCAGGCTAGCCTCGAACTCTTGGGCTCAAGCAGTCCTCCAGCCTCAGCTTCCCGCGTATCTGAGACTGCGTAGCTGAGACTACAAGTATGTATCACTGGGCCTGGCTCTCAAATCTTTACACAGTTGCATCTTGGCTTTCAGTTTGACACAACAACAAATTTCTTTTGTATACTATGTGATTACCTGTGAATATGTTTGAAATAATTTATCTGTGAGTGCTGACTGACTCTTAATTAAGGACCTTAATTCAGGTATATTAACATTTATTTTGGATAGATATATACCAGAAATATTGTAGAGTAACAATAATGGAAAATATTAGAAGCTGGTTTCAAAAATACGATTTGCATTAACCTTAATGGAATTGAATGTGCATCCTGTTCCTTTTTTTTTTTTTTTTTTTTTTGCCCTAAAGGTAAAAGTAAGTGTTACTTGTTTTGACTGGTAGATCTTCTGTAACAGATTATGGAGTAAATATTTCCTAATGGTATGTGCCAGATGAAAGTTCATATTGCTGCTGCTAATCAGAAACTGAAGTTCACCTCATAAAAAGCTTGTATGAATCCAGTTTTGAAACTTGCTAATTTCAGGTCAGTGTTTTTGGCTTACTTTTTTGCTGAGGTGAATCTGCTATTACCTAAATTGTCTTCAGACTTTAGCCTGTAGAGGAAGCTGTACTTAATTAAGCAGCTGGAATTTGGGTGATTCTGTAAATTTGCATTGTGGTCAACAAACATGATTTACCATCTGTCTAGCCCATTCTACGTGGGTGGAAGCCACCAAGGCCATTGGGCATCTGTCACTGTGGAGGGACTGGACCCTTTGACTTTGATTTGTCAAGACAAGCATGTGCAACCAACTCATTATTCTGATAAATGCTAATTAAAAGGAGAAAAGTAAGGAAATAAGCAAATTTCCTGCTTTTCCAGTAGAAACTGTTTTTCATGGTAACCAAATAGCCCTAATGGATGAGAGAAAAATCTCCACTTTGCAGACTGTGATCAATTCGGTGACTCAACCAGTGGCCAACAGTGGAGGATGAAACCATTTGTTGGAAGGTTGCTGAGGAACCGCATTTGGGAGAATCAGGCCTTCCGCACCCAAATCTCATTGATCAGCCTTAGTGTCATGGAAATGGAGACAGGTCATCACGTCTCCTGATGTGCTGCAGCAAGAACCGCACAACACATCTAATATTAATAATATTCTACTTCTCCCTCTTTAAAAAAAAAAACAAACCCTGAAATAATCTAATCAAGCTTCTAAAATGAATCCAGTCTACAGGAAATGTGGGGTGTAGTGACGCAAGTTATGCAATACCACGAGAAGGCAACCAGACAAATTCACAATGTGGCATATCCTGTAATAAGTTGACCTGATTTGTTCAACAAGTCAGTAGCATTAAAAGAAATTACACAGAATGTACTGTTCTAGATTAAAAGAGTTAAGCAATATAACAACCAAATAAAATTACCTTTTTGGGGTTGAGGTTCAAACCAAATGTAAAACATAATTTTTAAAAGATAAGTTGGGAAGCTTGAACACATACTGAGTCTTGGTTGATTGGGATTTACTTCAAAAAAAGAAAAAAGATGGGGAAGGATAGATGGTAAAAGCATGGCAAAATGTTAATGGAATTGAAACTTTTAATTTTTTTGTAGAGACAGGATCTTGCTGTGTTGCCCAGGCTGTGAGCCCAGGTCTCAAACTCCTGGGCTCAAGTGATCCTCCCACCTCAGCCTCCCACAACACGGGGATTATAGGCTTGAACCACTGTGCCTGGCCATAGGATTGAAGTGTTTTGATGGGTACATGGGGGCTTGTTATGTTCTGCTTTTGTGTACGTTTGGACCTTTTCCAAGTTTGCAAAAAGTGAGAGAGAAATTCAGGAATGTATTAAAGACGTAATATATCAGAGTACCCAATAAATAACTCCATTTCATGGAGGGCTTTTCGCATGTGAAGTGGTCTTCTAACAGAAAGGGGAGCATTATTGAGTAGTTAGAAAACCCAAGGTGTAGGGATGAAGAGAAAAGCAGGTGTTCTTCAAAAAAAATGAAGAGAGTAAAAGTGAATCAAAGGAGAAAATGGGAACAGAGAAAAGACCGTCTCTGAAAGTGGGAGGCCAGCAGCAGGTGGGAGTCAAGGAAAGAATGAAATGTTGCTAATTTTGGGGACTAGTGATTGAATGGCAATGTTGCTGTCTTTTTAGAGAGTAGGATTTAAAATTTTGAGTTGCTGAAAAGGCTTGCGTGATGTGCTAGAAAAATTAGGTTTGGTGGGCAGATTAGAAGGAAACAAATAGGAGAGTTCATGGAATATAATTTCAGATAGAACTGGCTTTCCTGAATTAATTTTTTGGTTCTAGTCAGCTTAGGAGATCTCACAGGATTGGATAATGGCCTGTTCTGGCAGCCTCCCTCCTCTTTACAAACCAGGAACCTGAGCACCCATAAAACAGCATTTGCCTGAAGTCCTTCTGAGGCCAGCCCATGTATGGGTTATGTGTCCTATGTGTCTGCTGCCTCCCCACTGCCTCGGGCCAGTGCAGTCTAGTGCAGAGGGGCTTGTTGGCAGAGGCCATCCCCCTGTGAGAACAGGCTGTCTTGCCCCTCTGCTAATGGTGAAATGTCCAGAGCCAGGAAATCAGAAATAGCGTGATGTAGAGGCACCCCTGAGCACCCTTGCTCGCACTAGGGCCCCTCCTGAGTAGGCCCAGCCACCTGGCCTGCCTTCCTCTTCTCCCAGCTGAGCCACCCACCCTCCTCGATAAATACACATGAGCTAGCTGCAAGCATTGCACAGATGACAAGGACAATAAAAGCACTCCAGGACTGGTAGGCCAGATAAATAAATAGACTGGCACTAGGTGTGATGAGTGCTGTGATGCAGATGGAAAATAGCCTGAAGTCTGTTGATTCGGCAAAACTTTCAACTGCTCCTCTCCCCGCACCCAGCTCACTGTGCCAGGGCCAGCCCTCATACCAGAACCTCCTACCTAACTGAGAGCGCATCTGAGCAGGGGCAGGGCAGAGAGCCCAGTAGGCCCTGGGGAGAGTGAGGAGATACTGGTAGTTGCCTCTGAATATCCAATCTCTTTTTTCTTTTTTCCTTTCTTCTTTCTTTCTTTACCTTCTTTCTGCCCCCGCCCCCCCGCAAGACAGGGTTTCACTTTGTTGCCCAGGGTGGAGTGCAGTGGAACAATCACAGTTCACTGCAGCCTGAACTCCTGGGCTCAAGCAATCCTCCTGTCTCAGCTTCCCAACTATCTGGGTCTACAGGTGCATGCCACCACACCCAGCTAAACTGTATTTTTTTGTAGAGTTGGGGTTCCATTACATTGCCCAAGCTGCCATTTTTTCTTAGTAACAAACTCTCATTTTGTTTTCCATACTGTACCTGGAATAAGGACTACACCTCTTAGTTCCTTAAAGCTGGGAGTGGTCACTTGAATAAGATCTGGTTCATGACGGTGTAACTAGAAGTACTGCATGAGATTAGTGGGATATCTCCTTAAGGGGAAATTGGTGCTCCCTCCTCCTCCAATTTTCTACCGTCTCCAGTGCGTGCAGAATGACTGATGGCCATTTAACCATTTATAATCGTGAAGTCACCTAGAAATAGGAGCCTCGCATGAGTGTGCCGAGCAGAAAGCTAGGAAGTGGGCTCCTTGTGATGCCCTGGCGTCTCCATTCCAACCCTGGTCCATCTGCTCTGGATTTGTTTTACCTTAGAAAAAAATAAACATAATTTTTTTTTCTTTTCCCCCCTCTGAGATGTAGTTTCGCTCTTGTTGTCCAGGCTGGAGTACAGTGGTGCGATCTCGGCTCACTGCAACCTCTGCCTCCTGGGTTTAGGCGACTCTCCTGCCTCAGCCTCCCAAGTAGGTGGGATTACAGGCGTGTGCCACCACACCCAGCTAATTTTTGCATTTTTAGTAGAGATGGGGTTTCACCATGTTGGTCAGGCTGGTCTCAAACTCCTGACCTCAGGTGATCCCCCTGCCCTGGCCTCCCAAAGTGCTGGGATTACAGGCATGAGCCACCACACCCGGCAACATAGTTCTTATTTAAGCCACTGTATTGGTTTTGGGTTTGATTTTTTTTTAATTAAAAATTATTATTATTATTTTTATTTTTACTGTAGAGATGGAGTCTCACTGTGTTGCCCAGGCTGGTCTCAAACTCCTGGGCTTAAGCGATCCTCCTGTCTGGGCCTCCTAAAGTGCTGGGATTACAGGTGTGAGCCACCATGCCTGGCCTGTTTCTGTTTTTGTTTTTGTTTTGTTATATGTAGATAAACCTGATTCTAATTAAGTGGAAGCAGGAAGACTAGTTAAGGGGCTATTAGAGCAGTCTAAATGAGGGATGATAGTAGTTTGGAATAGAAGGGTAGCAGACGTGACTAGAAGTAGTTATGTGTATTTTTACTGTGGTAAAATATATGTAACATAAATTTTGCCATTTTAACCATTGTTAAGTGTTCAGTAGTATTAAGTACACTTACATTGTTGTGCAAGCATCACCATCATCCATCTCTAGAACTTTCTTATCTTCCCAAACTGAAACTCTGTACCTGCTCAACAATAACTCCTGGTTGCCCTCTCCTCCCAGCTCCTGGCAACGAACATTCTTTCTACCTCTATAAATTTGACTACTCTAGGAACCTCGTATAAATGGAATCATAGAATATTTGTCCTTTTGTGACAAGTGTGTTTCACTTAGCATAATGTCTTTAAGGCTCATTCATGTTGTAGCTCGCATCAGAATTTCCTTCTTTTTAAAGGCTGTGGCCGGGCGCGGTGGCTCATGCCTGTAATCCCAGCACTTTGGGAGGCTGAGGTGGGTGGATCACCTGAGGTCACGAGTTTGAGACCAGCCTGGCCAACATGGTGAAACCCCATCTGTAGTAAAAATACAAAAATTAGCTGGGCATGATGGTGAATGCCTGTAGTCCCAGTTACTCAGGAGGCTGAGGCAGGAGAATCGCTTGAACCTGGGAGGCTGAGGTTGCAGTGAGCCAAGATCGTGCCATTGCACTCCAGCCTGAGCAACAAAAGTGAAACTCCGTCTCAGAAAAATAAAAATAAAAATAATAAATAAATAAAGGCTGATAAATATTTTAGCAGTTGTATTTTGCATGGTTTATGACATGCGCACCTGGGTCACTCACTCCCTGGTAGTGCTATTTACTGAGATGGGGAGTAGTGGGGAAGAGTAAGTTCAGATAATAGGTCTGTGATGCCTATTAGATATCCCATGGGTGATTTCTACAGGATAGTTGCATACACAAATCTGGAGTTGAGGGTTGAGGTCCAGAACTTGGAGACCCTCAGTCAGTAGACAGATGTAAAGCTAGAGAACTGAAGGAGGTCATCAAGGAAGAGCGTAGCTGGAGAATGAGTAAACCCTGGGGCACTCCCACATTTACAGTCAGAAGATGAATAGGAAGCCGCCCAGGAGTCTGAAACTGGAACAGCTGGAGAGCTAGGAAGGAAATGAAGCAAGGGTGATGCTGCTGAGGGGAGGTGAGGCCTCCTCTCCACCCCATTCCAAGATTTGCCATGGTTACACCACTTGGAACACTGTGCAGATACAGCCGGCTGGGAGTGTCCCTGTCAGATGGGGATATTGGGATCCCTGTCTCAGTGCGGCAACATGGGAGGCATCTAGTGCGACAGAGCGGCCTCACCCAAGTGATGTGTCATGATGAGGATAATGTTCATGGAGACTGATTTCCATTTGCCAGTTCCCTGTTTGTCTTTGTAATCAGTTTATCAATAGTATTCTTGATGGAAGTGACAAATTTTAACAAAAAGTACACTCATGTGAACAAAAAGAATTTTCTGACCTCTGATGGGCTCTTGAGGCCATATATCAGGATAACTTAAATATGTTTTTATCTCTGCCCACAATGTAAACTTGTTTATGGAGAAAACTTGCATTTTGTTTTTATTTATTTTTTGAAACGGAGTCTCGCTCTTTCTCCCAGGCTGGAGTGCAGTGATGTGATCTTGGCTCACTGCAACCTCTGCCTCCCAGGTTCAAGCAATTCTCCTGCCTCAGCCTCCCGAGTAGTTGGAATCACAGGCATGCACCACCACGCCCGGCTGATTTTTGTATTTTTTGTAGAGACAGGGTTTCACCATGTTGACTAGGCTGGTCTTGAACTCCTGACCTCAAGTGATCCACCCGCCTCAACCTCCCAAAGTGCTGGGATTACAGGCATGAGCCACCGTGCCCGGCCAAAACTTGCATTTTGAATGGGAAAAATTACTCAAGAGTAATTAACGTGGACTCAGTTATCTTGAGTGGCCTTTCATTTTTTCCCTGGATGATATTTTGTAATTATTATTATTAGGTATGCTAAGGTTTATAGCAGTGTAGCTGCTATAAATATAAATATAGAAATGTAAAACTTCCTGTGTGTATTGATATGGTAACAGATTTTTAATATATTTTGGAAAGCAAACTATAAACACACAATCTACTTTTTGCAAAAAAAAATCTATAGGTACAAATATGGGCTGTTTAGTAATCGTACAATCAATGGTTATACCTATTTAGGAATATTTAGAACTATTTGTATGTTTGTATAGCTAATCTTTTCCCCCCTGATTTATTGATGGTGAGTATTACTGATACAAAAAGTTTTGTGCACCACAGTGCTTTGCCCATGAAATATGAGCTCAGAAACTGCCTGTGCTGTTATTTTCACCAGCAGTGAAGCAGCGTGTCTGGGGGCAGAATGTACTCTTGTCTGAATTATTAGCATTTGGTGTTGGTTCTGCCACCCTTGGGCCTGAGCTTGCTTTCTCCCTCGTTTGTTCTAAACATAGCATGGCACCTTTTGTATCCTGTAGGTTATTGCTGACTGCAAGGAGACTTTGTTGTTCTTTAGTTAGTTTTTTACATATTAGTTTCAGTAAGCCTGTTTCTTACATTTTTCTACTGTAGCATAATCTTTGTAAGTACTTTCTATAGCCCAGGCATGGTCTGCTGCATTCTCTGTGTCTCTGGGGATGCATTTAGGTCTTTGTGTCACATTCTGGTGTGTAGCTCATTATGTAATGACTCGAATGATCATCAGAACAAAAGATACCTCATTAAGAACAAGGTTGAGGACACTAGGAACCTAATGTAACATTTAAGGTATAAATGAGTATTGAAGAGAAAGAAATGATTGAATGCTTTGGAATTTCTAATACAAGCACCCATCTTGTACCTACTTACACTGGACTTTTAAAGTGATCGGAAATAAATGGTTGTATGAGAGTTTTACTTGTTCCTCATTCTAAAGGGATATGAAAAAGATGAACTTGAGTTCATGAAGTTGAGCAGAACAATGAACTTAGTGATAAATTATTTGTATTGATGTGAAAATCACACCATGTTTTGGGAAATGGGGTGGACTTGGGCACTCCATAGTTCCAACCACATGCAGGTATTATAGGCTGAGTCAGGCCTGAGCCTAGAAGAGGAATAACTGCAACTAAACTTTGAAATATTCCAGGAAAGCAGAGTTGACATGTAGGTTGATCTGCAACAACTACAGTGGTATAGAAAGGGTGGTCTTGGCTGGGCGCAGTGGCTCACGCCTGTAATCCCAGCACTTTGGGAGGCCAAGGCGGGTGGATCATGAGATCAGGAGATCAAGACCATCCTGGCTAACACGGTGAAACCCTGTCTCTACTAAAAATACAAAAAATTAGCCTGGCGTGGTGGTGGGTGCCTGTAGTCCCAGCTACTTGGGAGGCTGAGGCAGGAGAATGGCATGAACCCGCGAGGCAAAGCTTGCAGTGAGCCAAGATTGTGCCACTGCACTCCAGCCTGGGCAACAGAGCAAGACTCTGTCTCAAAAAAAAAAAAAAAAAAAAAAGGGTAGTTTTTTGGTGCTCCAAATGGGAAGGCCTTAAATTAAAATCTGTTTTACAATCTGAATAAAATATAAATATCATCAAAAAGAAAAGGTATTCTGGTTATGTACATGAATACAACATCCTTAGCAGCAGATGTTGTGTGTGTGCAAGGGAATAGGAAGGTAAAGATGCACCCTTCTCCTCCACCATCAAGGGTTGCTAGAAAACAGGCTCTCATTCAGTAGACCCCGATAGCTGTCTGTAATCCATAGCTCCTTCTCTGATTAGTATTTATCCACTATTGTGGCTTCATTCTGGATCTTGTCATAGGTAGAAAGAGTAGCCTGGTGGTTAGCAACACAGTTTTCGGAGTCAAACAGACCTGGTGTCAGATCCCTACTTATTACCTGCTTGACATTGAGCAAGTTTCTTTATCTCTGTAAACTTCAGTGTTATCATCCGTAAAATGGGTGAATTGCTCACACCCCACAGGGATGGTTCACCAAACATAAGGTGCTTGGTATTTAAACACTCAATAAATGGTAGCTGTTGATAGAGCTTCACTGGCATTTTAAACTTAAAAACCTGCCTTTGGCCACTCTGCTCATCCACTCCCCAGCTTCCCCCATGTGTTCTGCAATTTGACTGAACCACACAGTCCAGGAAACTTTCTCCATGTGAAGGAGAAAATAGCTTTCCACAGCCCTGGGGTCACACTCTCCCAAACTTATGTCAGGAAGACGCCCAAAGACTGGCTCATTCCTGGGTCAAGGAGAGTGGGGTCTGTTTCAGGAGAGGAGCTGAGCTAAGACCTGAGATCCTCGGAGGGGAAAGGTGGGCAGAGGCAGGCTGGAGGTTGAGCTCTGTACTCTCTCAAGAGAAGGTGGTGGTTATGCATCTGTTACTCTGGGTAAATTTTTAGAGCAGATATCTGATGAAACAGCTGTTTCCAAGGTCCAGCGTTAACCATTGGTTTGATTGGCTTTGAATAAGTTATTTACAACACAGATATTTTGTTACAATCATAATTTGTATGACTGAGTTGGTCTCCAGGCATCCTGGGTAGGAGAGGGAGGTGTACAGTAGCTGAGCTGTTGTCCTCATTCCTTATTTATAGGAAAGAAGCTTAGGTTAAATGACTCATCCAAGGTCAAACACATCCTAAGTGGTGGAGACAACACAGACAATGCCTTTTAAACTGACCTGTGTCTCTTCCCCCACTCCTTCCTACAGCAGGGTTCTGCCCTCCTTACTGCCACCCCACAGCAAGAGGGCTTCCTCCACCTCATTCTCCCCAGGGGTGATGGCCTTGTCAGAGAGCATCCTGTTCTTGATCTGGGGGCCCTCCTTCAGGCCTTCAGCCATTCCTCAGAACTTTGCCCCTTAGTAGGGGAGGGGACAGGGTAGCTCTCCCTTTGCCCTCGGTCATTTCCTTGAGGAGCCTTTTCCTTCCCATCCGTCTGTGTTCCTTTCCCAGCAGCACCCGGCCTTGCATATCTGTTCATTGCCTGTTGTCTTCCCCATTAGAATGTCGCCCTGGCGAGAGCAGGGACTTGCTCATTCTCTTTCCAGTAGTGTTCCCAGCTCTTTGTGCTTGGTGCATATCAGGCATCCCCATCTTATATATTTATTGAGAGAATGAATGACTAAGTTGTGTCCATCAGAGCTGTGAGAGTGTGAACCCAGAGCTAATGGAGCATGGCGTCTTCCCTTTTTCCTCCTCCTCCAGCTTCCCATAGCTGCCAAGGTGCTGAGGAAGGAGTGGGAGGAATAGTTTGTGTCCCTGAGGAGCCGGCTCACTCCCCCTCCCTGTGTCTGCAGTGGGTGGGGAGATTGAGGAAACCCTCAGCCTACACCAGTTAAGGTGGAGTTCCTGTCACATGCAAGCCGATGCCAGTTTAGAGTCTGCTGAAGGCAGTGGGGCACACAGGTGAAGGGCATGGACACTTGAGTCAGGTGACTGGTCCACCACATGCAGATTGTGTCCCGTTGACAAAATTTTGTAGCCTTTCTATGCCTTGATCTTGTTGTCTATGAAGGGAGGATGACCTCATAGGGTGGTTCCTGGGATTGAATGCGCTAGCCCATGTGACTCTCCAGCATTGGTCAGGTACAGGCTGTGTGCTCCACTAAAGCTGTCTGTGTGCTCTACAGGACTAAATAGCTGCTGCTTATTCTACTCCTGGCACCTGTCTAACTGGCCTAGGTGCGCTGCCTTCGTGTCCCTCACCCTGCCCAGTCTAGCACAGAGCACTGGGGGAAGGGCTCTGAAGGAGGTGTGAGTGGAAGCCCAGGAGTTTGGGGGGCTTCAGCCTGTGATGTCGGTTGTTGTTCCCTCTGGAGGGCAAGTGCTTTGGTGTGAGATTTGTGTGCGGTTTTTTGTTTGCTTTAGTTTGGTCCTGGTGATTTCCACAGGGTGAGGAGGGATTCGGAGATAATAAGTGTCTTGCTGGGAACTGGCTTGCCCCTGCTTCTCCAAGAAGAAACAGCTCTGACTCTTGGGAACTGAGAGGGCGTGTGGCAAAGGTAGATGCTGAGGCGAGGCAAGGCGAGAGGTCCACATGCGTGCCACAAGGCAGAGAGTCCACGTGTGCACCTGAGGGGAGAGGAAGGTTGAGTCTTACTGTGTGCTGCTCAAGGGACAGGACAGTGCATGGGCACTGTGCTGGATTTTGGTTCCTTGTAAAAAGCAATGGCTATAGTTCCCTGACCTTCACCACTTGCGTGAGGCAGTGGGCTGAGGGCCGGCTGTGAGTAGGCTCTCTCAGGTCCACTCCTGCTCAGCTGGGTGAATTGCAAACTCAATAAAGTAAGTTGTTGTGAATAAGTAATCTGCATAAGCCAAAGAAATATAAAATATCTTCCACAAAAAATTATTAGGGAGCAGGATAAAAGAGCTGCAAAAGGTTTTTGTTGGTATTATTGCCAAATCTGATGTGGGCAAAACAACTATGAGAAATTAGGAAAAAATGTCAATAATCTGGAAGGTTTGTGGTCAAGTTGCTTTGTAAGTGGCCAGTTTTTGCCCTGTGTTAAAGAGGAAATAAGGCCGGGCATGGGAGCTCATGCCTGTAATCCCAGCCCTTTGGGAGGCCGAGGCAGGTGGATCACCTGAGGTCAGGAATTCAAGACCAGCCTGGCCAACATGGTGAAACCCCGTCTCCACTAAAAATACAAAAATTAGCCGGGTGTGATAGTGCACCGAGGTCAGAGAATCGCTTAAACCCAGGATGTGGAGGTTGCAGTGAGCCGAGATCACGCCACTGCACTCCAGCCTGGGTGACAGAGCGAGACTCCATTTCAAAAAAAAAAGATAAATAAGAAATGATAGAGAACACATTGTAACTGTGGTTTATGCAAGAAAGTAACAGGGAGGAGCAGCAAAGGAGCTGTCAGAACAGCCTTAGCCCATACCAGAAGGCTGCCAGAGAAATGCACAATCATATCTGAAAATGTTTGTGGCACATAGTATATATTTAGTATACATCTTATTATAATTACATATTCATGTGTATAGTATTTTTTAAGTTAATTTCCTACTTGGACTATTAGCAACCAATCACTGATATATATCAGGTTAATGGGTTTCTACTGTACTCATGAGTGGAGCTGTCCATTATATTTTCTTGACTCCTGGAAGACTGGTCTGTCAGCTTTGTTTCCTAAGACTGGAATGATGACATACAACTATGTTAATAACTATGTTAACACTCCTACTAAAATAACCGGTATATTTGGATTCCATTTTCAACGGAATGTCTTATGGTCAAACTGGCCTTCTTTCAGATTTTTAGTTGCATGGTTTTTCCTTTACCTTCTGAATACTGTATGGACGTAATTGCTGTTGTGGATGGCTGTGGTTCAGCAGGAGCTCAAAGACACCAGAAGTGGTGTGAGTCCAGATATAGGGGGTGGAGACAGGATTGGGGGTTACTTGGTGGGAAATGGGAAGAATTATTTCAACCTTGGGCCTTGTTATTTGATGGAAATGTTTTGACTTCCAGGCATCAGTCACCGAGGTCCAAACACAAAAACAAAGGCAGATCCTTCTGAAGCATGGTGGCCTTTTAACTTTGTATGATTTTGGATTTCCAGTTAACTATTGCTTCTATTCAAGTTGGTCATTGAAAATTTACTGCGCGAATCCAACAGCAACCCACAACCTAAACATCCCTGGCTGTCTTGTTTTCACAGGTGTTGGGGCGATGTTTCCTGACTGTGGTGCAAGTCCATTTCCAGTTTTTGACTCATGCGTTACAGAAGGTCCAGCCGGTGGCTCACTCTTGCTTTGCTGAGGTCATCGTGCCAGAAAAAAAGAACAGCGGCAGTGGCGGCGGCTTATCTGGCATGGGCCACACACCTGAAGTAGAGGAAGCTGTGCGGTCCTGGCGGGGGGCTGCTGAGGTAACCCTGGCTTTGGGGAGATTGGTGCCTGTGTTCAAATAGGAGAGGCTCCAGAGGGCCTTTGCCTGTTGATTCTCAAAACAGCCATTTCATTTAGAAATGTACATTTTAAACTGTTATCATTGGCTTGTTCATTCATTTAACAGTGAACATCTTTGTGAATGCCCACTTTGTGCCAGGCATGTGCCAGGCACTAGGATGACAACCTCTACTCACAGCCTCCTGGGAGAATAGGCTTACAAAAACAGGGCTAAGGGGCCAGGATGGAGATATGCGGGAGCCAGAGGAAGGGAGGGCCCTGTCTCTGAACGGTAGTGCTGCAGGAAAGCTTCTAAGATGGGGGACCAGTGAGAAGAGGCTGGCACCCAAGTCAGGAAAGACGGGGTGGAGCTGTCTGGGGAGGGTAAGTGGCCAGCCAGGCAGCGAGGCAGGCGAGCAGGAGTGTTTGGCAGACGGATGGGATGACAGGCTCCAAAGATACAACCACAGCAGGGCGAGAGCTCAGTGGACACAGGGAATTTTGTGTTTTTTGTTAGTCAAATCATTCCCTATAGAAGTGCTTGGAATCTTTGTAACTTTTTAAATTCTTTAAGTTTTTCTTTTTCTTTTTCTTTTTTTTTTTTGAGACAGGGTCTTGCTCTGTTGCCCAGGCTGAAGTGCAGTGCTGCGATCAAGTCTCACTACAGCCTGTACCTCCGGGCTCAAGAGATACTCCCACCTCAGCCTCTTCCAAGTAGCTGGGACTACAGGCTCATGCCACCATGTCTAGCTTATTATTATTATTATTACTTTTTTTTTTTTTTTTTTGGTAGAGATGAAGTCTCACTATGTTGTCCAGGTTGGTCTTGAGCTACTGGGCTCAAGCGATCCACCCACCTCTGCCTCCCAAAGTGCTGGGATTACAGGCATTAGCCACTGCACCCAGACAAGATTCTTTTTTTTTTTTTTTTTTTTTTTTGAGACGGAGTCTCGCTCTGTCCCCCAAGCTGGAGTGCAGTGGCGTGATCTCAGCTCACTGCAAGCTCTGCCTCCCAGGTTCACGCCATTCTCCTGCCTCGGCCTCCCGAGTAGCTGGGACTACAGGCGCCCGCCACCAAGCCCGGCTAATTTTTTTTTTTTTTTTTTTTTTTTTTGTATTTTTAGTAGAGACAGGGTTTCATCGTGTTAGCCAGGGTGGTCTCAATCTCTTGACCTCGTGATCTGCCTGCCTTGGCCTCCCAAAGTGCTGGGATTACAGATTTGGACAAGATTCTTAATTGGTCTAACTCTGCCTAGATCCTCATTTGTCAGTGCTTTACATGTGATTTCAGCAGTTCTCCAGTATGCTTTATGTGACTTCATGAAGTTTTTTTTTTTGAGACGGGGTCTCACTCTGTCGCCCAGGCTGGAGTGCAGTGGCACGATCTTGGCTCACTGCAACCTCCGCCTGCCGGGTTCAAACAATTCTCTGCCTCAGCCTCCCAAGTAGCTGGGATTACAGGCGCCCGCCACCATGCCCGGCTAATTTTTGTATTTTAGCCCCAGCTAATTTTTGTATTTTTAGTAGAGGCAGGGTTTCACCGTCTTGGCCAGGCTGGTCTTGAACTCCTGACCTTGTGATCCACCCACCTTGGCCTCTGAAAGTGCTGGGATTACAGGCGTGAGCCACTGCACTGGGCCAACATGAAGTCTTTTATCCCTTGGAAGATCAGCTATTTCCCAGCACAGCAGATATGTTTATAAAATCTAGCCATCATGCAAGAGCTAGACTGAGTGGTTGGCTCCCTAGTGGATAGAG
This sequence comes from Homo sapiens, assembly GCF_000001405.40. NCBI lineage: Eukaryota > Metazoa > Chordata > Mammalia > Primates > Hominidae > Homo > Homo sapiens. The sequence continues at coordinate 34,321,894 of NC_000019.10, forward strand.
AGCGCAGTGGTGTGGGATGGTATGGCATGGTCATCAGGGATAATGTGAAGGAGAATTGTGGGATTCTCCTCTCGTGGTGACAACCTCATGACTAAATGGTGGGCTGCAGGGAGCCGCTCCGGTGGGGGGATTCTAGCCTAGCGCAGGGTTGCTTTCCTAGTCACTCTGGTGTGGCATTCTCTATTCCTTTTCCACAGCCAGAAGAATTTAAGCTTAAATAAAAGGCAATCAAAAACAGCTCTGAAAAAGTCTGTTTTAAGGAGACTTTGCCTATAATCAGTGACATTTCTTTTGGGAGACAGAGTTTCGCTCTTGTTGCCCAGGATGGAGTATAATGGCGTGATCTTGGCTTACTGCAACCTCTGCCTCCCAGATTCAAGCCATTCTCCTGCCTCAGCCTCCCGAGTAGCTGGGATTACAGGCGCGCACCACGACGCCTGGCTAATTTTTGTATTTTTAGTAGAGATAAGGTTTCACCATGTTGGCCTGACTGGTCTTGAACTCCTGACCTCAGGTGATCCACCTGCCTTGTCCTTCCAAAATGCTGGGATTACAGGTGTGAGCCACCATGCCTGGCCATTAGTGACATTTCTTGTAGGCATTTTAATACTTATTTCTTTCCAGTATGAGAAATAAAAAATAAATCTTAGAAGTTGAGACTTTAGGACTTACTGCTCCATTTTACAGAGTAAAAGATAATTTTCTTTTTTTTGAGACGGAGTCTTGCTCCTTCGCCCAGGCTGGAGTGCAGTGGCGCAATCTCGGCTCACTGTACCCTCTGCCTCCCGGGTTCAAGCAATTCTCCTGCCTCAGCCTCCTCAGTAGCTGGGATTATAGGCACCCGCCACCACGCCCAGCTAATTTTTGTATTTTTAGTAGAGATGGGGTTTCGCCATGTTGGCCAGGATGGTCTCAAACTCCTGACCTCAGGTGATCTACCTGACTCGGCCTCCCAAAGTGCTGGGATTACAGGTGTGAGTCACCCACCTGGGCCAAAAGATAATTTTTTTAAACTATCCCAGCAGGCAAACACAGATTAAAAGATAATTTATGGTTAGCAATATAGTGATTCATTAAATAATGTCTAGTTCAAATCATTCCATAATTAACTTGGCAAAGTATTTCTTTTCTTTTTTTTTTTTTTTTTTTTTTTTTTTGAGGTGGAGTCTCGCTGTTGCCCAGGCTGGAGTGCAGTGGTGCGATGTTGGCTCACTGCAGGCTCCGCCCCCCGGGGTTCACGCCATTCTCCTGCCTCAGCCTCCCGCGTAGCTGGGACTACAGGTGCCTGCCATCTCACCTGGCTAATTTTTTGTATTTTTAGTAGAGACAGGGTTTCACTGTGTTAGCCAGGATGGTCTCGATCTCCTGACCCCGTGGTCTGCCCGCCTCAGCCTCCCAAAGTGCTGGGATTACAGGCGTGAGCCACGGCGCCCGGCCTAGTATTTCATTTTATGTTTTGGAAATTTTCTTTAATAAAATTTTCAAAACATGATTTTTCACATGTTAATATTGTCCAGTCTCTAGTTTTATTATTTCAATTTCATGCCATTTGCTGCATTGTTGTCATTTCTTTTTAATTTTCACTGTTTTCTTGCATGTTTTGGTCTGTCTTTCATGCTAAAGACTTCCTAGGGCTTTCTTTCTGTTCATCAGAAAGGCCCTGGAATGCTAATTGGAGGCTGTGTGTGGGGGTGGGACCTGTTAGCTTTATTGTAGATGGCTAAGCCCTGAGGTCCAGACCTGCACCTTGTTGCCTTGTCATGTGACTTTACAACCCTCGGTGTCCTCCTGGCTGCTGGGCCCCAGCCTCCTGACTGTTCAGCTCACACACGTGAACCTAACACCTGCCTTGGTCCCCTGCTCCATCTTCTAGACAACTCATGCTGAGGACCAGCCCACAGGAGGAGGCCTCCGAGTTCTCTCTTGACGTCTTCACCTTGACCTTTTTTGCCACCATTTTAGTCTGTCCAGGCCTTTCTGCCCTTTCTACATTCCCTTTGCTTTCAGCCAGTGATGCCACCCCCTACTACACTGAGCAAATAGAATCTCCCTGATGGCAGCCCTTCTTCCTCATGTGGCCAAGCCACCACCACTCCTGCCATCCCTCTTCACAACCATCTTTTCTTCCTTCCCCTGCCTCATGACAGCAGAGGAGGTGCCCTCTCCTCCTGTCCAGGCTTGCCCCGTGCTGGCCTTGCCCCCATCCTCGAGGGCCCAGCTTCTGTGGTGCGACCTAGTGTTTTCTCTCCCTCATCCTCAGCCTGTTCCCACCAGTACACAAAGATGCTTCCCACAGAAAAGTCCACTCTGCCCTGCCCTGTTTCTCTGCTCTTTTCTCAGCCAACTTCTTGGAGTAGTTGTCTACCTTTTTTTCACCTTTCATTCATTCTAAAAAATTACTATTTTATTTTTACTGCACCTTGTGGCTCCTTACTGCTCCTGGCACACCCCGTGGACAGTTTACTCAGAGTAGTCTAAAAAGTAATTATTATTGAAGTATTTCAGGCACATAGAACATTTCACACCCATCAGTGTATCTTCCTTTTAGCTGCCTGCCATATTTGCTCATGCCTGTTACATATTTTTAACAGAAAAATATCACCAGTGCACTTTTTTTTTTTTTTTTTTGAGACTGGGTCTTGCTCTGTTGCCCAGGCTGGAGTGCGGTAGTGATCACAGCTTACTGCAATCTTGACCTCCTCGGCTCAAGCAATCCTCCTGAGTAGCTCAGACTATAGGCATGCACCACCATGCTTGGCTAATTATTTATTTTATTTTACTTTTTATTTATTTTTTTAAAGACAGGGTCTTGCTATGTTCCCAGGCCGGTCCCAAGCTCCTAGGCTCCTGCACCCGGTCTGTAAATGCACTTGAATCCCTTTTGTACCTCTCCACTTTCTTATTCATCCCTTTGTCTCTAGAGATAACCTCTGTTGAATTTGAAGCGTGTGATCCTTGTGCATATTTTAATATTTTTTCCGTATATGAATGTATCTATACATAAGGTATTATTTTACACAGTCTGAAACTTTATATACATAATGTCATTCAGCTTGCTGAAATCTGGCTTCCACTCCTATACAAGAACATGCCTTCTCTTATCAAGGTCATTGGTGCCTTCTTCCATGTTTTCAAATCCAGGGAACCCTTTCAACAACTTTCAGCAGCTCACAGCAGTGTGGAGAATATTCCTCCTTGGAAATACTCTCAGCTTGTGACATCCAAGAACCAACCTTTCTTTCCTCTTGGGTCATCCTTTCTTCATCTAGTTTACTGGCTTCTCCTTCCTCAACACAATTTCTGAATGTGAGTTTCTCCAGGCTCAGTTCTAGCTGCCCTTCTCCCTAGGGGTTCTCCATCCAGTCTTGGGACTGAAAAACCACCTGTGTCCTTGGAGGGGGCTCAAATGTGTGTGATCAGTGAGCAGCCCACTTCCTGTGGGCTTCAGGCCCCTGAGCTCAGCTGCTACCGGGGGTCTCACAGGTGGCTCAGGCGTAGCCTCTCTCCACTCACCTGTTCCTCCCTAGACCCTCTCTATGCTAGTGAGTGGTGCCATCCCACACTGGCTTCACTTGAGAAACCTGAGATTTATCCTTCAGCATTTCCGTCATGTCTACACCCAGTCCAATCCTTAAGAAAACCCGGCAGTTCCCACCTCCAAAATCTTATCCCAGATCTGTCCCCTTCTTCCACGTCCTTCATCGCTACCCTTGTTCAGGGAATCGTTACTTCTCCCCTCCCTGTCTTGCTCGCCTTCATTTTAAAATTGGATGATGTCGCTTCTCATTTCCTTAGGGTAGCATGTGGACCCCTCAGCACGACCTGCCTAGACCTGCCTAGTCTGGCTCCTGCCTTGATGGCCAGCCTTATCAGTGGCCACCCTGCCCTCGCTCACTGGGCTCTAGTTCCTTGGATGTGTCTTTCTTTGTTACCTTGGATCCTCGGCCTGTTTCACGGACCCGTCTGTAGGTCTTGACACCCCCCACCCCACCCCACACACATGCAATTCCATTCACGACCTTCTCCTCTAATTCTCACCCTAAGTGCTGCTTTCTGGGTGTCTAGGACATTCCCTGGTATAGTCCTCTGTTTGTTTCCCGCAGTGTTTTTTCTCCATTTATAATTCTGTGTTTTCTTTGTTCACCTTTTTGGCCCTGAGGCTCTCAGCTCCAGGAAGGTAAGGAGCAGCTTTGTGCTTCAGCACGTACCTAACATACCACCTTGTGAGCTAAATATTTGACTGAAAGATTCTTAGAAAGAGTCAAACAGTTTTAAACTGTGAGACTCTTAGGCTTCAGGCAATGGTGTTTACATACAGTTTGTGAAACCAAAGCTTTGGAACTTTACGGCATTATAGCTGCTAGTCATTTTCCTGTAGTCTGCAAGTTTTGTAAATATTACAACTCCTACACTGGCCCAGCAGAACAAAAGCTAACTGCTAAAAAATGTTACTTGGTTCACAGAATTGCAACAAAAATAGAAATCTAAAAACAGTTCATCTGGAATCCCATCTAATAAATCAAATATATATTTTTCTGTATTCTCTTCTTGTCCTGATCCATGTATCTGTTTTCTGCATTTAATCGTAAAATGACAGAGATTAGTTTCTCCTTTTCTATCTTGCTTATCTACTCTTCATAAACATATGTAGTGACTGAATAATAAATATTTACTTTTCTGTGCAGATTTCAAAAGCTCTGTTTTTCTGTTAATATGCCAATGTATATTTTTCCTGTTATGTATTCATGTGGTCTTTTCCTTCACTGAATAGGAATGCCAACCATGTATGTTCTTCCTTTTTTTTTTTATTCTGGAAACTCCAAGTACCAATATTCTAGGTAACCTGTCTTTTTAAAGCAGGAAAGTTAAAAATGTCTGAGTATATACACACATATATATGTGTGTATATACATATATATATAACAAATAACAAGTAGGTAAGTCTTTTTTCCAGGGTTCCTAAAATAAAGGGAGATTTCGGCCGGGCTCGGTGGCTCAAGCCAGTAATCCCAGCACTTCGGGAGGCCGAGGTGGGTGGATCACCTGAGGTCAGGAGTTCGAGGCCAGCCTGACCAACATCATGAAACCTTGTCTCTACTAAAAATACAAAACTCAACCAGGCGCAGTGGTGGGTGCCTGTAATCCCAGCTACTCGGGAGGCTGAGGCAGGAGAATCGCTTGAACTCGGGAGGCGGAGGTTGCAATGAGCTGAGATAGCGCCACTACACTCCAGCCAGGGTGACAGAGTAAGACCTTGTCTCAAAATAAAATAAAATAAAATAAAATAAAATAATAAAATAAAAAATAAAGGGAAATTTCCTTTCTCTTCAGGATGGTTAATTAGGCTTTCAAAATTTGGGCTGCTCACTTTGCAATACAAACAATCTAGAACTTCTAGTTTATTTGCTTAGATGGTTTATTGCTGCATTTTACTTGAGGGGGTTTTTCTTGTTGTTGTTATTGTTGGTCTAATGTTGCTAGAACTGTACCACCCTCTTTTACCTACCAGTTACTATATATGTTACAGGCGACATCTAGACTAAGAGAAAGAGGCTGTGATGGTTGCCTGGCAGGAATTGAAGTTCAACAACTCTTTTGTTCTCAAAGTGCAGCAATTCCTGAGCACCAGCTAAAAGAACTGAACATAAAAATCGACAGTGCTTTGCAAGTAAGTTTTTCAGAACTGACATACTGATTTCCACGGGATAGAAACAAGGGAGGGAGTTAAAGTTGTGATGTTGAATCAATTAGAAAGGGTTATAGAGTAGTAATTGACCTTTTAATAGCTATAGAAATTTAAGATTTCTATTTCCATTGAACTTTGTCATCTTATAATTTGCTTTACGATCTTGATTGTTAAAAATAATTTATTTCCAGGCATATAAGATAGCTCTGGAAAGCTTAGGACACTGTGAATATGCAATGAAAGCCGGCTTCCACCTGAATCCAAAGGCGATTGAAGCAAGTTTGCAGGTACACTTTTCCTTCCTAAAGCTCTGGGGACCTATGGCGCTGCTCCTGCAGTCTAGTGTGAACCAAGTGTTTTGACAGATGAGCGATGGGTCACCTCTCCTCTTCCATCCATGCCTTTTCCAGGGCTGCTGCAGCGAGGCGGAAGCCCAGCAGACGGGGCGGAGGCAGACACCCCCGCAGCCCATGCAGTGTGAGCTCCCCACCGTCCCTGTGCAGATAGGATCGCACTTCCTGAAGGGCGTCTCCTTTAATGAGTCGGCCGCCGACAATCTGAAACTTAAGACGGTAGCTTTCCATGGGGTTCCAGCAAATGAGTGTGAACTTGAAAATAGAGTTCTTAAGAGAAATGTAAAGGCTTGCGAAGGATGTAGATTAAAAAAAAAATGGGGCCGGGCGTGGTGGCTCACGCCTGTAATCCTAGCACTTTGGGAGGCGGGCGGATCACCTGAGGTCAGGAGTTTGAGACCAGCCTGATCAACATGGTGAAACCCTGTTTCTGCTAAAAATAAAAAATCAGCCGGGTACGGTGGCACGCACCTGTAGTCCCAGCTGTTCGGGAAGCTGAGGCTGGAGAATTGCTTGAACCCATGAGGTGGAGATGGCAGTGAGCTGAGATTGCGCCATTGCACTCCAACCTGGGCGACAAGCAAAACTCTGTCTTAAAAAAAAAAAAAAAAAATTAAAAAGCAGACCTACGGAGACTTTAATCAGACATTTGCCAAGCAAGTTTTCGTTTTGTTTTGTTTTGTTTTTTTGAGACGGAGTTTTACTCTCTCGTCCAGGCTAGAGTACAGTGGTGTGATCTATCTCAGCTCACTGCAACCTTCACCTCCTGGGTTCAAGCAATCCTCCTGCCTCACCCTCCCAAGTAGCTGGGACTACAAGCATGTGCCACCAAGCCTGGCTAATTTTTGTATTTTTAGTAGAGACGGGGTTTTACTGTGTTGGCCAGGATGGTGTCGAACTCCTGACCTCAGCTGATCCACCCTACTTGGCCTCCAAAAGTCCTGGGATTACAGGCATGAGCCACCGACCTGGGCCTAGGCAGTTTTATTCATAATTTTATTCAGATGTTTAACAGAAAGGGTTTGAAAGTACACTATAAGATATTGTTTATGATTAATGTCTCTCAGTGGACTTGTATGAATTAAATAAGAAGAGAGATGTTGTTATAATGCTGCAGTGATAACGATTATTTGTGGAACATCATGTGTTCCAGTCATTGTGCCAGGTGCTCCACATCATTGTCTCACTTAATGCTCACCCATGAGGTAGGGGTGCTGCCCTTTGGCCCACCTGCCACATGGGAACTGATACCCAAGGTCACACAGCTAGAAAGTAGAAGAGCTGGAATTTGAGCTTATGTAATCTGTTTCCAGAGCCTGAACACCTGACTACTTGGTCATCCAAAATAAAATTGAGATTTTAATTAGTATTTACTTGTATCAGATGATTTTGTTTCCCTATTTGGAGGGATTCAGAATTTCAGAATTCCTCAACCAGTTCACATCAGTAGATTGCTAAATAATTTTGTGCTAGTATAGAAATACCTGTGTATATTATCGCATATGTATCCATATCTAGTCATTTACTCTATGGGGCTGAGAAAATCTCTGAGAGTGATTGATGATAATTACTAAGGAAATTAAAATGGCATAATTAGGGTGTATTTAAAATGCTCTTCTTGAGCCAGGCGTGGTGGCTCATGCCTGTAATCCCAGCACTTTGGGAGGCCGAGGTGGGCAGATCACCTGAGGTCAGGAGTTCAAGACCAGCCTGGGCAACATGGCAAAACTGCATCTGTACTAAAAATACAAAAATTAGCTGGGTATAGTGGCAGGCACCTATAATCCTAGCTACTCAGGAGGCTGAGGCAGAAGAATTGCTTGAACCCAGGAGGTGGAGGTTGCAGTGAGCTGAGATTGTGCCAGTGCACTCCAGCCTAGGCAAACAGAGCAAGGCTCCATCTCAAAAAAGAAAAAAAAAAAATGCTCTTTTCCCAGGAGTTCAAGACTAGCCTGGGCAACATAGCAAGACTCCACGTCTACAAAAAATTTAAAAATTAGCTGAGTGTGGTGGTGTGCACCTACCTGTGTGGTCCCAGCTACTGGGGAGGCTTGAAGCAGGAGAATCACATAAGCCTGAGGGGTCTAGGCTGCAGTGAGCCATGTTCGTGCCACCGGACTGCAGCTTGGACGATAGAAAAATACATAAATAAAATGCTCTTCTCTTGAGGATGATTGTATAAATGCATTTTTACAAATTTTAGAACCTTGCATGGCTTTGTCTTGAGGTGTGAACTCTCTTCTTATCAATCTATAGCATACAATGTTACAGCTGATGAAGGAGGCAGGCTGCTATAATGGAATCACATCCAGGGATGATTTTCCTGTGACTGAAGTGCTGAACCAGGTTTGCCCTTCCACATGGCGAGGTGCCTGCAAGACGGCGGTGCAGCTGCTGTTTGGCCAGGCTGGACTGGTGAGTGAGCGTGGGTGGTGGATGATAGGTAGAATACCAAGATGTTTCAAGCATGTGAGGATGTGGTGCAGACACATGTGTGAAAATATTGAATAATTTAAAAAGTTATTTGGTGCTGTGGAATTTAGACCAGGCAGGTAGACAAGGTAAAGGAAGAGCAGCATTTAAAAATCTCTTTAAAAAGAAAAACCAGATTGATAATATATATTTGCAGGGAACCTAGTTGCAAAATGATGCTATGGGCTTTGCTTATTTTAAGAAAAAAACCATTACAGTCTGGGCCCCATGGCTCATGCCTGTAGTCCCAGCACTTTGGCAGGAGGATTGCTTAAGTCTAGGAGTTTGAAATCAGCCTGGGCAACATAGTGAGACCCTGCCTCTTTTTTTTTTTTTTTTTTTTTTGTGTGTGTGTGTGTGACAGACTCTTGCTCTGTCGCCCAGGCTGCAGTGCAGTGGCGCAATCTCAACTCGCCGCCTTCTGGGCTCAAGTGATTCTCCTGCCTCAGCCTCCCAAGTAGCTGAGATGGTAGGCACCCGCCACCACATCTGGCTAATTTTTTTTTTTTTTTTGAGATGGAGTCTCGCTGTGTTGCACAGGCTGGAGTGCAGTGGCGTGATCTCAGCTCACCACAACCTCTGCCTCCCGGGTTCAAATGATTCTCCTCCCTCGGCTTCCCGAGTAGCTGGGACTACAGGCACGCACCACCATGCCTGGCTAATTTTTGTATTTTTTAGTAGAGATGGGGTTTCACTGTGTTGGCCAGGCTGGTCTCGAACTCCTGACCTCGTGATCTGCCTGCTTAGGCATCCCAAAGTGCTGGAATTACAGGCATGAGCCACCACACCCGGCCCTTAAAAAAAAAAGAAAAAAACATTACATTAGTAACAAGTTGACAGGGCCACTTGATCTAGCCCCTATTCTGGAGCTACATTGGATGTCTGTTGCTCAAACATCCCATGCTTCTTCCTGTCCCAGGCCTGTGCTCTTGATACCCCTTTTATCTGAAAATACTCTTCTCTCTGATTATCATGTAGGTCACTCCTTATCTTCTTGGTGTTAGCTCCAAAATCACCTCCTCCAAGAGGCCTCCCTTGACCACAGTGGTATAAGTAGTACCCCCATCCAGTCACTGTATACCGCTGCTGTTTATCTCTTTCTTAGCAATAAAGTAACATCAACTAAAAAGTAATGATTTGTTCATTTCATCTTTCAGAGAAAAAAAAAACTTTGCCCAGAGTTGGGTGGGTCAGGAGATCAACATCTGAAATCACCATTTAGCTTTTTGTTTGCATCACTGACCCATAGAATCTTACGTATTTGATCTCCCTTTCTAGTAAACGACTACTTTTCAAAAACATATGGTGGCAGGGCGTGGTGGCTCACACCTGTAATCCCAACACTTTGGGAGGCCGAGGCAGGCAGATCACCTGAGGTCAGGAGTTCAAGACCAGCCTGGCCAATATGGCGAAACCTCGTCTCTAAAAATACAAAAATTATCCAGGCGTGGTGGCGGGCACCTGTAATCCCAGCTACTCGAGAGGCTTAAGCACAAGAATCACTTGAACCCAGGAGTCAGAGGTTGCAGTGAGCCGAGATTGTGCCACTGCACTCCAGCCTGGGTCATAGAGTAAGATCCAGTCTTTAAAAAAAAAAAAAAAGGATATGGCATTTCAGTCAGAGGTTGGAAGGACCTAATTAGAGATTAAGAAAATTAAAGAACTTGTTTTTTAGTCTGGTTCCTACTTTATTCACAAAAAGAGCTATTGAGGGTATACTGTCGTTTTGTTTCAAGCGGGTTAGGGCTCAGGTGGCCCAGCTCACAGTGGGGCTGTCTTGTGGAGGCTCAGATGAGGGCTTGTTCACAGTAATGAGTCACATTTCCTTTGGGATCTTTTCCTCAGTATAGGGACCTCCAAAAGAAGTAGTAAACCAGAGATGCCTTGCTGAAGCGTGGAAGAGCCCATTGGCTTTAGTATATCGATCCATATTCCCAGAGACCATTTAGCTGAAACTGCAAGGACCATGCCAATGAGTTCCCCTGAAAGGAGTATGCAAAATAAGGCCAAAAGGCACAAAGGCTGTTTTGAGAAAACACTGTAGATTAAAAAAAAAAAAAAGTTCCATGTTATTCAGAGAGCAGAAACTTCTTCCTAGTTCCTTGCGTCTTGATTGTAGGACACATTTCTGTGTGACTTTAGGTTATGGTTCTGGGGATGGGAGGAGAGAGGAAACACCTGTGTGGTCCAACAATGGCTATTCCTTTGACAGGAAGTTTTTTCCAAAGGTCATTGCAGATCAGCTATGGGAACTCTGTTTAAACCAGTGAAAGCTGGCTCCATTAGAAGCTGAATTTGGAGTATGATACACAACTCTGTACAGTTTTACCCCTTCTGAAATATTACAGATTTGGTTTTAAAATATTTTATGATTTTTTAAAACATTCTTTTAGTTATTTGAAAATATATTCATCACTTTGTCAAACTCTAGATTACATAGGATACTCTTATCACCTATCTAGTATTAAAGACTCTTCCTGGAAATAAGAGGAAATCATTCAAAGAAGGGTTAGTTCTTCCTCTGTCCTGAAGTAATTCAGTTTTTATTGATGGTTGAGGATAAGATAATCTTTAAAAAAGTTTCATCCACTTCTGGGCGTGTCATGACAAATGGGCTTATCTGAAGCATTGGTTTGACTTTTTTGTTTGTTTGTTTGTTTGAGATGGAGTCTTGGTCTGTTGCTCAGGCTGGAGTGCAGTGGCGCAATCTCGGCTCACTGCAACCTCTGCCTCCTGGGTTCAAGCTATTCTCCTGCCTCAGCCTCCTGAGTAGCTTGGACTGCAGGATCACCACACCCAGCTACTTTTTGTATTTTTAGTGGAGACGGGGTTTCACCATGTTGGCCAGGGTGGTCTCAAACTCCTGACCTCAAGTGATCACTTGCCTAAATCTCCCAAAGTGCTGGGATTACAGGCGTGAGCCACTGCACCCAGTCTGGTTTGACTTTCAGTGACACTTTTACTTCTTTTAAGTGCATAAAGTAAAAAATACTAAGATAAAGGACGCAAATTAATTCCTAATTAACATATTTATAGTTTGGAAAAAGTGCTAGAGGTGCTTGCCAGTTCAATTTAATTCCATGCCCAGAATGTGGTTTCTGTTTATTGAAATGTTCTTAGTTTTGGTCATCTGTTACTACTTGCTGTTGTCTTCACGGGGCCCTGACTGGCCTTGGCATAACTAGGCTGCTAGGGGAATAGTTCTTAGAGAGTCATTTTATGTATTGGATTTTATTCTGATTTGTTTTCTCTCTGAAAGCTGGTTGTTATTTGTTTTTTTTTTTTTTTTTCGATCTTAGGTGGTGGTTGACACAGCACAGATTGAGAATAAAGAAGCCTATGCCCCCCAGATCAGTTTAGAAGGCTCTAGAATCGTGGTTCAAGTCCCATCCACATGGTAACGTGCCTCTTACTTTCACCGGAGCCTAAGCTCTGACTGACGTTTGCACATCTTTGAAATGATGGCCTTGTTTTGAACAATGCCCATGCTAGCTGACGCAACAAGTCTTGCTGCATGTGCAGGTTTATGGGCAGCAGTGGTATGTTAGTGGCATGTGTCATGATTATTGGTCTGTGATGAGGAAGCCAAGAGGTCTGAAAAATGGTCTCATTGACCATAATGTAACTAAAATGTTATATACTCTTGGATCATAATGAGCAGTATTATCTTTGTTACTGAGTCTACAGCATTTAAACATAGTATATCATTTTCTCTAAGTCACCCAGTGTTCACTAAAGCCCAGTAGAGAACATAGAATTCCTTCTCCTCTGTTCCAACTACAATCCTGATGATCTTGAGCTCATGTTGTGACACACCCAGTGTCTTTACAAATCTTGGGACAGTCATTTTTAGATATTATATTTGTAACACTTATAATAGATAAAAGATTATTCTTAATTTATTTTTTTTTAAAAAAAGCTCCTACAAATCAGAAGAAAATGGGCAAGGGACATGAACAGCTAAGTCAGAAAAGAAGACATATGATCAACAAATAGATTAAGAAAATGTAATGGCCAAGTGCGGTGACTCACACCTGTAATCCTAGCACTTTGGGAGGCCAAGGCGGGCAGATCGCCTGAGGTCAGAAGTTTGAGACCAGCCTGCCCAATGTGGTGAAACCCCATCTCTACTAAAAATACAAAAACTATCCAGGCATGGTGGTGGGTGCCTGTAATTCCAGCTAATCAGGAAGCTGAGGCACAAGAATTGCTTGAACCCAGGAGGCGGAGGTTGCAGAGAGCTGAGATTGCACTATTGCACTCCAGCCTGGGCAATAGAGCAAAACTATCTCAAAAAAAAAAAAAAAGAAAAAAGAAAATGTATAACTTCACCTAAAAATCAGAGACAAAGTAAAGAAACCATATGGGGCCAGGTGGGGTGGCTCACACCTGTAATTCCAGCACTTTGGAAGGCCGAGGCGGCCAGATCTCCTGAGGTCAGGAGTTCCAGACCAGCCTGGCCAACATGGTGAAACCCTGTCTCTACTAAAAGTACAAAAATTAGCCGGGCGTGGTGGCATGCACCTATAATCCCAGCTTAAGGCAGGAGAACCGCTTGAGCCTGGGAGACAGAGGTTGCAGTGAGCCGAGATCGTGCCACTGCACTCCAGCCTGGGTGACAGAGCGAGACTCCGTCTCCAAGAAAAAAAAAAAAACCGTTATGATGTCATTTTGCCCAGAATATTGTTAAATTGTTTTAGAATAACAATACTAAATATAGTGACAATACTAGTTTGAGCCAGACTGTGAAACAGGCAAAGAGGTTGTTGAGTAGAGACTAAATACAACCTTTCTGGAGGGCAATTTAGTATATTAGAAGCCTAAAATAAGGGATATGACCTCAACAATTCCACAGTTTCACCTCTAGAAATTTATCTTTGTGATATGTATTCACATTCAGCTATAAGGATGAGTATCATAGCTTTATTAATAAACAGGAAAAACTAAGCATATATTGGAAGGTATTTGCTATTAAAATGGTAATCTGCATGAATATTTAGCTATAAGAGAAAATATTTAAATCATTTAAGTAGGCAGAGATACTAAGGAACAAAGAGGTGCTGTTGGTGCCTATGTGGACTAAAATGGTAGTTGGGTAAGGCATACAAGTTGTATTTAAACCATTTGTTCTTTTTTTTCGAGACAGAATCTCGGTCTGTCGCCCAGGCTGGAGTGCAGTGGCGCAATCTCGGCTCACTGCAGCCTCTTCCGCCTGGGTTCCAGTGATTCTCCTGCCTCAGCTTCCTGGGTAGCTGGGATTACAGGCGCATGCCACTACGCCCAGCTAATTTTTGTACTTTTAGTAGAGACAGGGTTTTGCCATGTTGGCCAGGCTGGTCTTGAACTCCTGACCTCAGGTGATCCACCTGCTTCGGCCTCCCAAAGTGCTAGGTTTACAGGCGTGAGTCACCGCGCCCGGCTCATTTGTTCTTGAAATGTAAGAGTATAATAGTAGATTCTGTCAAAAGTGTTTAGAGTCTATGAATATATTTAAGTAAATGTTGGCAGTTCACTTTGTGTCCTAAAACCTCCCTTCTATAAGTACTCTGCCACCAAAAAGTTCTTTTATTTTTTTAAATTATTATTATTATTTTTTTTTTGGTAGAGACAAGATCTCATGCTGTCCCCCAGACTGCAGTGCAGTGGTGTGGTCATGGCTTACTGTAGCCTTGAACTCCTGGGCTCAAGCAATCATCCCACCCTGGCCTCCCAAGTAGGCGGGACTACAGGCATGTGCCATCATGCCTGGCTAATTTTTAAGTTTTTTGTAGAGATGGAGTCTCACTATATTAGCCAGGATGGTCTGGGACTCCTGGGCTCAAGCGATCCCCCTGCCTTGGCCTCCCAAAGTGCTGGGATTGCAGGCGTGAGCTACTGTACCTGGCCCAAAATTTTAAGTTAATTGTAGGGTGGCATACTGTGTCCTGAAATTAATGGTAATTTATACACATATTTTCATTTCTATCAAACAGTAAACCAGAGGCTCACTTTCTGTAAGATTTTTGTGTTACTAAATTCTTTTTTTTTCTTTTGTAGTCAGTGTTCTGCTGAAATGTGTTCCTGAATTTTTTTTTTTTTTTTTGAGATAGTTTCGTTCTTGTTGCCCACACTGGAGTGCAATGGTGTTGTCTCGGCTCACTGCAACCTCCACCTCCTGGGTTCAAATGATTTTCCTGCCTCAGCTTCCTGAGTAGCTGGGATTACAGGCACCTGCCTGCATGCCCAGCTAATAACTTTTGTGTTTTTAGTAGAGATGGGTTTCACTATGTTGGCCAGGCTGGTCTCAAACTCCTGACCTCGGGTAATCCACCCATCTTGGCCTCCCAAAGTGCTGGGATTACAGGCGTGAGCCACTGCACCCAACCCTGAATTCTTAAATTTTTCCAATTCAGGCTGTCATTGGAAAATGTTAAAACTTAATCAGAATTCTCATTTTGAAGAGTTTGAACTTTTGGATAGTTGGGTGAATATAAACAGTCAGTGCAAAAATGGCTAACACTTGAGTTTGTTTTGAAAACTCTCCCTGTGGGGTTGATTTCATTTGTAACTCATTGCACCCCCGCAAAAAACACCTTGTAGACTGTGATTTCTTGTAGAGGTGCCCTCTGCTGGGTGCTTTTGGTAATTTTGCAAAATTTTAGTTCTGTTTTTTTTTTTTTTTTTCAAATTACAAAATACTGTATGTGCTTGTTGGGAAGAACACAAACAGAAATGATTGCTTTACTCCACCTGGAGAAAAAGGATATTGCTATCCATCCATGCTTTGTTTCACCAAATATTTACTGAACACTTACTGTGTACCAGACACTGTTCTGGGCTCTGGGAATTTAATTATGAGCAAGACACACAGGGTCCCTGCCCCTCATAAACCAACTTGAGAATAGAGAAGGGGGAGACAGCTGTTAAGTATAAGAGATGAGTTCAGACACAGGCAGGCGTATGATGGAAATGAGAGGAGAGTGCCATTATATGATAGAGAATAAGTAGGATAGAGATTCGGGGGAGACTTTTAGACGAGTCAGTCTGGAAGAGGGTCTGAGGATGTGACATTGGATTTGAGAGGAGCCTGTCATGCAGAGAGCCGATGGGGAACACACTTCAGGCAGAAAGAATGCCAGTGCAGAGGCCTCAGGAGTGACCCAGCATGGAAGGAGATGTGCTAGGTGGTGATGAGGATGGGAAGTTGTAGACGTCAAGACTTGCAGGGCCCTTGAAGGAATTGGGTTTTTATCTAAGAACAGGTAGAGGGTTTTAGGCAAGTCTTGGTGATTTGTCAACAGAATGGGTTTAGCCACTTAAGGGCATTTTATTGATCAGCTCAAGGCTGATGAATAAAATAAAAATGCCAGTTTGTTGATTGTTGATTTTTCAGAAAGATTAATTATCATCACCAGGAGCTGTAGTACTCTTTTCTACATGGCCAACAAATGCTCTCCTAGTGGGCAAACATGTGACAAGCCAAGTCACAACCAGACTTGGCTTGGGAACAAGAGCAAATGTGTCCTGATTATCAGTGATTCCAGATGGAGAGAATTGGGTGCACTGAACCTTGGGCAGGCTCAGCTGCCAAGATTCTCTCTGAGGAGTCCAAGGTCTAGCTGGGCACTAGCAGAGCTTGCGTTGTTGTTCACCCTTTCCAGGCTTCTGAGCCTGGCCGGCTCTCATTTCATTCTCTGATATATTTCTTCCCAAGTCAAAGTCATGTTAGGGAGTACTGCTACCTCCTTGAGTGACTTTGTAAGTGTTGAGTTCACCATTTAGCTTCCAGAGTGCCCAGGATCTGGCAGACATCATCTTCCTAGTAGACCTATGCTGCTCAGACTGTTTTCCCTCTCAGAAAAGGGCTCTTGGCCAGACCAAGTGGCTCACACCCGTAATCCTAGCACTTTGGGAGGCTGAGGCAGGAGGATCACCTGAGCTCAGGAGTTTAGGACCAGCCTGGGCAACATAGCGAGACCCCATCTCTACAAAAAAATTAAAACATTAGCCAGGTGCGGTGGCACACGCCTGTAGTTCCAGCTACTTAGGAGGCTGACATGGGAAGATCGCTTGAGCCCAGGAGGTCGAGGATAACAGTGAGCTTTGATCACACCACTGCACTCCAGCCTTGAGGATAGAGTAGGACTCTGTCTCGAAAAAAGGTTGGGGGGCTCTTGGTGTAGGTACCCTGAATGGACGGTGGAGACCCAAATGATGAGAAGCAGTTGGCCATACCAAAATCTCAGGAAAGAGAAATTCGGGCAAAGGCAGCAGCAAGAGCAAAGGTCCTGAGGTGTGGACAAACCCATCCAGGGAGGAAGAGAAGGCCTCACAGCTGGGACAAGGTTGAGGGGCTGGGCACAGAGGGCTTTGAGGGCTGTGGTGAGGGTTTAGATTTTATTTCAATCACGATGATATCCCATTGAAGAGTTTTAAGCAGGGGAGTGATGTGCTCTGATTGGCACTACAGGAAGCTCACTCTGGCCCCTATATGAAGGATGGGCTTTGGAGGTACAGGAGTAGAGAAAAAGAGGCCAGGTGAGAGCTTGGTCCTGAGACCCAGGAGTGGTGGTTTCCTGAAGCAGGGGGTTCATAAACAAGGTGGCGAGAAGTGCTTAGATTCTGGATGTGTTTTATAAGAAGAGCTGTCAGGATTCACTGATGGATTGCATGCAAGATGTGAGGGAACTAGAGAGGGTGTGTAAGTTTTGGGGTAGACAGTTGTGTTGTTCACTTATTGGAGAAGTCGGCAGGAATCAGAGTGTCTGAGCTAGCACAGACCGCACAGGTTAAGGGCTCAGCCCCACAAGGCTACTCCCCACTTCAGATGCCATCCACAAGTCCCAGGTTGTCACCCGACTTCTAACCAATCGGCTATAAGTTGGGGGTTCCCAAAACCTCCAGGTTTGATATTTTGCTATAATGGCTCACAGAACTCAGTAAAACATTTAATTATATTTAAGGTTTATTATAAAGGATATTATAGCAGATACAGATTAACAGCCAGGTGAAGAGGTGCATAGCGTGAAGTGTTTGGGATGGGGCTCCAAGCCTCCATGCCCTTGCCAGCTATGCCCTGTGCCCAGCACCTTAGTGTGTTCACCAGCGTGGAAGCTCTCAGAACCCGATGGTCTGATGATTTTTATGGAGGCTTCATCATATAAGCAAGTCATCTTATTAGAACAAAAGACACTATCACCTAGGAAATCTCAAGGGTTTTAGGAGCTCTGTATCAGGAACTGGAGGCAGAGACCAAATATATATTCTGATATCATGAGACCTCAGACCTTTTTGCTTCCTACTCCTCTTGTGGGGCAGTGAGTTCCAGGATCAGCCCTGTTGTTCTCTCCATGTTCTTACAGTTACTGAATTTTTGCTGGGCGCCAGAGGTACATAAAAGTTGTAGCCTTTTCTATGAGACCTGCTTGAGACACCTTTGCAGAGAAATGCAGCCAAGACTAATGCAGCCTAATCTATGCCTAGGTGCCTGAAAGAAGACCCTGCTACCATGTCCCTGCTGCAGAGAAGCCTTGATCCTGAGAAGACCCTGGGTCTAGTGGACGTGCTCTACACAGCTGTGCTGGACCTAAACCGCTGGAGGGCTGGAAGGTTGGTGTCTGTGGTTTGCATTAGATGCATACCGAGGGACAGTGTGACTATGCACAGTTTCATGTGTGCTTGTGTCATTGATAGTATACGGTATTGTAAAGAAGGCAGTAAGGACTTTTTAGTAACTTTTATTTTCAGAATAATTTAAAACCTGCAGCAAAGTGGCAAGAATAATACAAAGAACTGCTCCATGCCCTGTACCAGATTCCCCTATTTGCTAACTTTTTTGCCTTCCTTTATTTTGTCATTTGAGAGGAAGTCCATCAAGAGGACTTTTAACTCAACTCATATTCTCCTTATGAATTAAGAACAGAGAAATGTTTAGAAAATTTGCTTATGTCTTTTAGAATTTTTTTTCTTTTTCAATCAGTTCTCTCAGGTTGAACTTGAGAAATGTGTATACATCTGGTAGTGGCCTTAAACATCTAGCCATGGCCCCTCTCCCTTTTTCTTTTCTTTTCTTTTCTTTTCTTTTCTTTTCTGTCTTGGTCTTTGTCTTTGGTCTTGTCATCTTGTCTTTTTAGGATCTGGCTCTGTTGCCCAGCCAGGCTGGAGTGTAGTGGTACAATCTCAGCTCACTGCAATATTGCTCTCCATCCATGCTATCCATCCCATCCATCCCCCAGCTCCTGGGCTCAAGTCATCCTCCTACCTCAGCCTTCCGAGTAGCTGGGATTACAGGTGTACGCCCAGCTAATTTTTGTATTTTTCATGAAGATGGGGTTTCGCTGTGTTGGCCAGGCTGGTATCAAACTCCTGACCTCAAGTGCCTGCCTCGGCCTCCCAAAGTGCTGGGATTACAGGCGTGAGCCACCATGCCCAACCTTTTCTCCCTTTCTTAACTCATGAGTACACAAAGGCCAGAATAGTGAAGTGACTTTTCCAGGGTCACACAGCCTTCACCTGCCTCAGCTCCTGCCCCATGCCCTTTCGCTCTTTAGGGCTCCATTTTAGTATGGGAAAAATGTGCTCAGGAAACTTTGAAAGTCACAGCCATCTGTTGGGACAACGTTGGCACATAGTATCCCTGCATCCCCCCACCACCTCCCTCTGCTTTGTGGAGTTGTCCATTGTCCCTCTGCTGCATTTGCGTGGCTGTAGCCCCTGTCCTCCAGGCACAAATCTAGCTTCTGCAAGTTGCATCCCCACATCTAGCCATGCTTTCCCCTCCTGTGCCACCATTAGAGGATTTCACTGAATCACACTCCTCAGGCCAGAATCCTAGCAGAACTTCCAGTCCTGCGTTAGACACTGTAGATTTCATACTCTCCAAACCCCTGGGTGTTCATTTATATATAAAATAAGTGAACCCGATACCAACCTGAGAGGTTTTTCTTGCTCTCAACGCCATTCTTAAATACAAAGAGGTCCATTTTATTATTTTATATATTTGTCTTTTTTTTTTTTAAACAAATTTCTGTTTAAATAGGGAGCAAGCTTTACCCTGCATACAGATCCAGCTGCAAAGGGAGATCTGTGATTTTGGCAACCAGGCTGACCTGCCTTCTGGAAATGGAAACAAATCTTCAGGTGGCCTGCAGAAGACATTCTCCAAACTGACATCCCGGTTCACCAAGAAAGCTTCATGTACCAGCTCCAGCAGCAGCACAAATTATTCCATCCAAAATACCCCTTCCAAAAACATCTTCATAGCTGGATGTTCCGAAGAGAAGGCCAAAATGCCTGGCAATATTGATACAAGGTTACAAAGCATTTTGAACATTGGTAATTTCCCCAGGACTACAGACCCTTCACAGTCAGCTCAGAATTCCAGTAATACAGTGGCCAATGGCTTTCTCATGGAGAGGCGTGAGAACTTCCTGCATGGAGATGACGGCAAGGATGAGAAGGGTATGAACTTACCAACTGATCAGGAAATGCAAGAGGTGATAGATTTTCTCTCGGGCTTTAACATGGGCCAGTCACATCAGGGCTCTCCGTTGGTGACAAGGCATAATTCTGCTGCCACAGCCATGGTGACTGAGCAGAAGGCAGGAGCCATGCAACCACAGCAGCCGTCACTGCCTGTGCCCCCTCCACCACGGGCACCCCAGGCTGGGGCACACACACCTCTGACACCCCAGCCGGGACTGGCACCTCAGCAGCAGTCCCCAAAGCAGCAACAACCTCAAGTCCAATACTACCAACACCTACTCCAGCCCATTGGACCGCAGCAGCCCCCGCCCCAGCCTCGGGCACCTGGGAAATGGGTACATGGCTCATCCCAGCAGCCAGCGCAGGCTGTTGGAGCAGGTCTGTCTCCTCTTGGTCAGTGGCCTGGCATATCTGATCTCAGTTCTGACTTGTACAGCTTGGGTCTGGTGAGCAGCTATATGGATAATGTGATGTCAGAGGTTCTGGGACAGAAGCCGCAGGGACCTAGAAATAACACCTGGCCCAACCGTGACCAAAGTGATGGAGTCTTTGGAATGCTGGGAGAGATTCTGCCTTTTGATCCTGCAGGTATGTGAGGCCTCCCATCCCTCGCCCAGTGTCAACAGCAAATGCAACTGCCGAGGTCTTCCCAGGGCCTGTCTGCTGCAGCCTTA
This sequence comes from Homo sapiens, assembly GCF_000001405.40. Lineage (NCBI taxonomy): Eukaryota > Metazoa > Chordata > Mammalia > Primates > Hominidae > Homo > Homo sapiens. Next base: position 34,342,542 of record NC_000019.10, read on the forward strand.
CTTGTGAAGGTGAAATCATTTAATCCCCCTTTACGACCCTTTCTCACTGTGGAGGCAAGTATGGGGCAGATCTACCAAGATGGGAAACAGTGGTGAGAAAGGGGCTGAGAACATGAGTGGACTATTTTTCTTACTTTATAGAGAACAGAACTGAGGCTAAGAGAGGTTACTTGAACAGCTCAAAGTCCCATAGTTCAAGTAGGCTCCAGTCTAGGCCTGCCTACTCCCGGCAGCCAAGGTCAGCAGCCCTTTGTGGGGTGCTTTTTTCCTGATTATATAACCTGTTCTTTGCGATGCTTTTTTTTTTTGCCTAAACTCTAGGACCTATGACAGGTGACAGACACCCTCCTGCCTTCATAGAATACAGCTTCTCCTGGGCTAGACAATGAAAATACCACCAGAGTCATCTTAAAAAATTAGAGAAGGAATTTACAAACAAGAACAAACTAGGAGGAGGAATTAAGGGGGAAAAGCCAAAAATAAGTAAATTAGAAAGAAAAATAGAGTAGAAATTGCAAATAACTCTAAAGGATCTTTGGAAGACCAATAAAATGTATAAGCCAATTTATTCTAAGCTTGATTAAGGGAGAACAAAGAGAAACAAAATTAGGAAATAGAAAGGATACATTAAAAGCGCTTTAGTGGCTCATGCCTGTAATCCCAGTACTTTGAGAGGCTAAGGCTGGAGGATCACTTGAGGCCAGGAGTTCGAGACCAGCCTGGTCAACATCACAAAACCCTCATCTCTACTAAAAATTAAACAAAATTAGCTGGGTGTGGTGGTGCTTAGGAAGCTGAGGCGGTAGGATCCCTTGACCCCAGGATTTTGAGGCTGCAGTGAGCTATGATCATGCCACTACACCCCAGCCTGGCTGACAGAGAGAAACCCTGTCTCAAAAAAAAGCCACTTTAAGACAGTACCATCTAAGACTTAATAGCAATACATTTGGAAATTCAGCAGAAAATGGATTCTTTCCTAGCAAAATAGGCATTACAAAATTATACCAAGAAGTGGAAAACCTGGCCAGGCATGATGTCTCATGCCTGTAATTTCCAGCACTTTGGAAGGCTGAGGTAGGCAGATTGCCTGAGGCCAGGAGTTCAAGACCAGTTTGGCCAACATAGTGAAACCCCCATCTCTACAAAAAATAAAAAATTAGCTGGGTGTGGTGGCACATGCCTGTAGTCCCAGCTCCTTGGGAGGCTGAGGTGGGAAGATCGCTTGAGCTCAGGAGGTTGAGGCTGCAGTGAGCCATGATCACACCACAGCAGCCCAGCCTGGGCAACAAAGTAAGACTCTGTCTCTAAAAAATAAGTAAATACATAAAAAATAAAAAAGACTATCTACTAAAAGCTAATAGCAAATAGTGCCTTATATAATGAAACAAAAATCATTTCAGTTAATATCAGGAATCAGACAAGGGCGACTGTTATCACCTGTAGCATGTAACTTTGTCTTGGACTTCACAGCAAATGCAGCAAGACAAAAAGCAATAAAATAAGTGGTCTAAGCTTTGGAAAATGATAAATTAAGCAGCACATCTTTTTGCTGATAATAGAATTGAACCCCCCCCACAAAAAAAACCATCTAAAATTAGTAAGAGAATTTGGTAACATAGGTACATGCAAACTTTTTTCTCTAATTTAGCAAAAGGCATACACAGAAGTAGAAAATGTATTTCATTCACAGGGGAGTACTGTGAAATGTTACAAATAAGTATAGCAAATACTTGTACAAGTAAATCACCACCATAAGAGGACACTCCAGGCCGGGCGCTGTGGCTCACGCCTGTAATCCCAGCACTTTGGGAGGCCGAGGCGGGCGGATCACGAGGTCAGGAGATCGAGACCATCCCGGCTAAAACGGTGAAACCCCGTCTCTACTAAAAATACAAAAAAATTAGCCGGGCGTAGTGGCGGGCGCCTGTAGTCCCAGCTACTTGGGAGGCTGAGGCAGGAGAATGGCGTGAACCCGGGAGGCGGAGCTTGCAGTGAGCCGAGATCCCGCCACTGCACTCCAGCCTGGGCGACAGAGCGAGACTCCGTCTCAAAAAAAAAAAAAAAAGAGGACACTCCTTGCTGAAACACCCAGCATTTGTTACAGGAGGGAAGTTAATGCTGGGGTTAACACTCCTTTCTCTTTTTTTTTGAGACAGAGTCTCACGTTGTTGCCCAGGCTGGAGCGCAGTGGCGCGATCCCCACTTACTTGCAACCTCTGCCTCCTGGGCTCAAATGATTCTCCTGCCTCAGCTTCCTGAGTAGCTGGGACTACAGGTGCCTGCCACCACACCCAGCTAATTTTTTTTTTTTTTTATACGGAGTCTCGCTCTACCGCCCCGAGGCTGGAGTGCAGTGGCGCGATCTCGGCTCACCGCAAGCTCCGCCTCCCGAGTTCACGCCATTCTCCTGCCTCAGCCTCCTGAGTAGCTAGGACTACAGGCGCACGCTACCATGCCCAACTAATTTTTTGTATTTTTCATAGAGACGGGGTTTCACTGTGTTAGGCAGGATGGTCTCTATCTCCTGACCTCGTGATCCGCCCACCTCGGCCTCCCAAAGTGCTGGGATTACAGGCATGAGCCACCGCGCCCATAGAGATGGGGTTTTGCCATGTTGGCCAGGCTGGTCTTGACCTCCTGACCTCAGGTGATCCACCCACCTCAGCCTCCTAAAGTGCTGGGATTACAGGCATGAGCCACTGCATCTGACCATTGCTCATGTCTTCTGAAAATTCTTCATGCCGCTGCTCTTGCTGTTTTGTGCTTGCTCCCCTTGGGTGGATGGATGTAGGAAACCCTTGTGCCTGCAACCCTGGGCCACAAGAAGGGTAAACACCTCCATCCTGCTAAGAAACAGCAAGCCCACTGGCTGCCACCCACTGGTGTGGGCACAGTGCGTTTTCTCAGTTGATCATAGATGGTGTGTACATTTTTTGACTGTCATATAACTAAATCCAGAGTATAAACAGTATTTGTCAGAATTGTGTCATATTTGAGGCCGGGTGCAGTGGCTCATGCCTGTAGTCTCAGCACTTTGAGAGGCTGAGGCCAGCGGATTGCTTGAGGCCAGGAGTTCAAGACCAGCCTGGCCAACATGGCGAAACCCCGTCTCTACCAAAAATACAAAAAAATTAGCCAGGTGTGGTGGCACACACCTGTAGTCCCAACCACTTGGGAGGCTGAGGCACGAGAATTACTTGAACCCAGGAGGCAGAGGTTGCAGTGAGCTGAGATCACGCCACTGCACTCCGGCTTGGATAACAGAGTGAGACTTTGTCTAAAAAAAGATTTATTTTTAATAAATGAATAAGAATGTTATCATATTTGACCTCTGAGTCCTGGATACCTCTTCTGTCTGTAGACTACAAATCCTACTCTTTCCCTTCTGGGTGTTCCTTTCTGCACCTGAAGTCCATGGTGTAGTTTTCTACAGACCTTGCCCCGAGGGCATAAGATCTGCATAGCCCTTGATGCAGATTAAGGAGGGGCACCCCTCTGGACAGAATCAGAGGGCGCCATCTAGTGGCCCCGTCTAGATAGGCAAAATCAGTGCGGGATGGGGAACGGGAGACAGGCCAGCATGACTGAAATCATCTTGTGACAGTGCCCTAAGGATAAGTTGATAATGGGATTGTGCCCTAGTATCTTCCCTAATTTTAAGCTAAAAAATGCATTGCTGAGTCACATTTGATTTATGATGCATGGATGCTTTCCTGCCATATGTTTTTTTTGACACTTTCTGTAAACGCCATCTGTGCTTTTCTCCCATTTGTACTGCCCTGTATATCCCCGTTCAGCATTGCCAGTGTTTCCAGCCACCTCTTAAAGCATTCTGAAGTTTCATTTTATTCTTTGCCACACTTAAGATGTTCAGATGGAATGAGCAAATCTCCTGTCAATAGCCAGGAAAATACTAGATCAAACTTTAGCTTAAGTGGGATCAGCATATAACCTCTATCTGGCTGACCCCAATGCTTTGATGCTTTGTTAACGTTCAGGTTATCAGTTGGCCAAAGTCATCATCTGATTTTCGAAGTTGTTAGCTAATGACTCTAGGCTACATACAGAGCACCAAGACAATGGACTTTTTTTGAGTTGGAGTTTTGCTCTTGTCACCCAGGCCGGAGTGCAATAGCGCGATCTTGGCTCCCTGCAACCTCCGCCTCCCAGGTTCAAGTGATTCTCCTGTCTCAGCCTCCTGAGTAGCTTGGATTACAGGTGCCTGCCACTACGTCCAGCTAATTTTTGGTATTTTTAGTAGAGACGGGGTTTCACCATGTTGGCCTGGCTGGTCTCGAACTCCTGACCTCAGGTAATCCACCTGCCTTGGCCTCCCAAAGTGCTGGGATTACAGGTGTGAGCCACCAAGCCCAGCCCAGTTTTGTTTTGTTTTGTTTTTAAAGACAGGGTCTAGCTCTGTCTCTCAGGCTGGAGTGCAGTGGCGCAATCTTGGCTCACTGCAACCTCCACTTCCTGGGCCCAAGTGATCCCCCCACCTCAGCCTCCCAAGTAGCTGTGACTACGGGTGCACACCACCACACCCAACTAATTTTTTTTTTTTTTTTGAGACAGAGTCTCACTCTTTCGCCCAGACTGGAGTGCAGTGGCACGATCTCAGCTCACTGCGACCTCTGCCGCCTGGGTTCAAGTGATTGTCCTGCCTCAGCTTCCCGAGTAGCTGGGATTACAGGCGCCTGCCACCGAACCCAGCTAATTTTTGTATTTTTAGTAGTGGTGACAGGGTTTCACCATCTTGGTCAGACTGGTCTTGAACTCTTGACCTCGTGATCCACCCACCTCAGCCTCCCAAAGTGCTGGGATTACAGGCGTGAGCCACCGCGCCTGGCCCACACCCAGCTAATTTTTGTAGAGATGAGGTTTTGCCGTGTTGGCCAGGCTAGTCTCGAACTTCTGGGCTCAAGCGATCTGCCCACCTCAGGCTCCCAAAATGCTAGGATTACAGGAGTGAGCCACTGTGCCTGGCTGATGCTGGAAATTTTTTAAGTAATTAGTATTTGTCTTTAAAATCTAGTCGTAGGGAAATCAAACCATTTTTCTCTCTTTTTGTTTCTTTCACACTTAGCCTGCCTCTATCCTAGGCATAGCCCTTCATGACAGCCCTGGCACACACCATGCCTCAGCCCTAGGTGCGGCAAGTCCCATCTCCCCACAGCAGGGTGCTGGGCACAGCCTACAGCCCACGCTGTGGGGCACAAGCCTGGCAGCTCCTCACTGCCTTTCATTGCATGTGTGACCAGCACGTTAGCAAAGCGTAGGGAAGGACCAAGAGGCCAGTTTGTCCCCAAACCCGGTTTATTCCTTTGTCCCAATGCAGTGGGCTCAGACCCAGAGTTTGCACGCTATGTGGCAGGAGTGAGCCAGGCGATGCAGCAGAAGCGGCAGGCCCAGCACGGTCGCCGGCCAGGCAACCCCCGGGGCAACTGGCCGCCTATGGATGACGCGCATCGGACCTGGCCCTTCCCCGAGTTCTTCACAGAAGGGTGAGTGCTGGGTACTTCAGGGAATCTGAGCTTGAGACCCAGGTGTCCCCCGAGGGGCCTGTGAGAAGAGAGGCTCCTTGCCTGTGTGCATTCTTTTCAGGCAGTTCAATTCCAAGCCCCCATGTGAGAGAGTGACATGGGATGAAATCTTTAGGGGTCAGAGTCATGTGGCTGACTGTTAGATGCCAAGTAGTGTGATGTATCCCTGTGAACGTGCCATTGGTATACATTCATGATTTTCAAAACAGACTCTTCAGCCCTAGACAAGGCTCTTACATGATGGTGCTTGTGAGGTGAAGGCATGTTTCACACGGCCTTTATACTGAACTGAGTGTGGCTGCGAAGCCCACGTGATTTATGGAACGCTGTCATTATAGCCTATGAAAAGCAAAAGTGTACAATTGAGATTCTAGTATATTGAGAGAATTGCAAATTTTTATTGTAAAGACAACTGGGGATTTTTTTATATCCCATATTGCTACATGGTTAATAAATCTGGATGACTAAAGACCAGCTCAACTTTTTGTTTTTTCTTATTTTTAAATTTTTTTTTTTACTTAAAAATTTTTTTTCTTTCAACTTTTAAGTTCAGGGGTACATGTGCAGGATGTGCAGGTTTGTTGCAAAGGTTAATGTGTGCCATGGTGGTTTGCTGCACAGATCATCCCGTCACCTAGGTATTAAGCCCAGCATCCATTAGCTATTCTTCCCCATGCTCTCCCTCCCTTGCTTTTTCTAAAACAAATTTCATATACAAACCATAGGCTTCTTAGAGGAATAAAGGGAATTGATGAATATGTATTACTTTTGAAATAAGGCAAAGGAGGAAAACCTCACGTTTTAAGAAGGGAGAGACAAGAGACCACTATTTGGTTATGGGATGAATGCAGGGTAAGGACTGCCCTTTCAGGGTGGGGTGGCGGGTGGTGGGGCTGCAGGAGGCCCTGGCCCAGCTTCTCTCTCTGGCTTTCAGGGATGGCCTGCACGGTGGCTGGTCGGGTGCTCAGGGAGACTCTGCCAGCTCGAGTGATGAGACATCCTCAGCCAACGGGGACAGCTTGTTCTCCATGTTTTCAGGGCCTGACCTCGTTGCTGCTGTCAAGCAGAGAAGGTATGAAGGGATTTCTAAACCAAGGTGGGGAGAGAAGGGCATGTGAATGCAACCCATGGCTCACTCCCTGGGAAAGCCAGGAGCCCAGTCACCTCCAGTCTCCCTGTGTGAGAGGAGGGGCTCTTCCAGCAATGCCTGGCTGAAGCCTCTGAAGAGCACCTGCAGGAGGCGGTTTCCACAAGGAAGAGCCGGCCTCATCTTGTGCAGATCAATTTGGGAGACGGGGTGGCCGGTGCTGGTCTGTGCCTTGCAGGAGGCACCCATTTCTGTGGGAAGAGCAGGCCTTTGGTTGCGAGTTCTAATCTGGACTCACCAACAGGCTCTGCAACCCTAGACAAGGGGCTGGCCCTCAATTACCCTCCATCTCTTTATTAAAGATGGATAAAATGACCTCTGAATGGCGTTTCAAAGTTGGGAAAAGTAGTAATTAGCTTTCAAAAGTAGTCACAAAAATTAAAATGGGCTCTGAACTGAGAGGAGAGCTTGGTTAGAAATAAGTAGAGAAACTGCTGTGGATATGAGAAAGCAAGGTCAGGGTGGCAGACTAAGGACCATGGGCAGGAGTAGAGGGCACGCAGGGCTCCCAGGCACTCGAAGCCATGCTGTAGAGCAGAGTGGGAGGCCGGGTTACTTGGTCCCTGCTGGACAGGCCAGGCTCTGTCAGATAGGCAGTGGGGAGCGGGTAGGTGAAGACAGAATGGTACTTGCACAGAATAGTAGTGGGGTGGGGGGTGGCATTGACCAATCACGAGCACACATTCAGATGCTTTCTGTCCACACTTGTAGTCCCAGCTACTCGGGAGGCTGAGGTGGGAGGATCACTTGAGCCTGGGAAGTTGAGGCTACAGTGAGCTGTGTTTGTGCCACTGCACTCTAGCCTGGGCAACAGAGTTAGACCCTGTCTCAAAAATCAAACAAAAAATCATGTCAGGTTAGGCTAGGTGCTCTGAAGGAAAATAAAGCAGGGTATGAGGGTAGTAAATGCAGAGAACAGGTGGATGTTCTATTTCCAGCACTTAGTCAATGAGGCTTCTGATGAGCAGAGAGCTGAACAAAGTGCGGCAGCAACTGGTGGGGAATCGGCAGTGGGGTGTGGGTGAGGTAGGAAGAGTCAAGGATGACACGCAAGTTTTCTGCCTGAGTTTCTGTGAAGGGCGCCATGAACTGAGGTGCTAAGCCTGCAGGAGGAGCAAGTTTGAACCGGGGGTGGAGTTTGAGACTTTTCTTTCAGACATATGACTGATTCGACTTCTAAGAAGTCACATCTGGCACCATCTCTGCAGAGACTGTTGTCTGCATGCAGGAGTGCTGGCTCTGATCTGGCCACATCCTGCCTTTTTCATTCAACCTTGTAACAGACTTTCATGTGATTAGTAAAACGAATGGGCTTTAAGTCACATATCCTTAGTGCTTGGAAACAGTATCTCTCTCTTTTTTTGTTTTTTTGAGACGGAGTCTCGCTCTGTTGCCCAGGCTGGAGTGCAGTGGCGCGGTCTTAGCTCACTGCAAGCTCCGCCTTCCGGGTTCACGCCATTCTCCTGCCTCAGCCTCCCAAGTAGCTGGGACTACAGGCGCCCACCACCATGCCCGGCTAATTTTTTGTATTTTTAGTAGAGACAGGGTTTCACCATGTTAGCCAGGATGGTCTTGATCTCCTGACCTCGTGATCCACCTACCTCGGCCTCCCAAAGTGTTGGGATTAAAGGCGTGAGCCACCGCACCCGGCCGGAAACAGTATCTCTTAAATAAATTAACAAAAAGCCGGCCGGACTCGGTGGCTCACACCTGCAATCCCAGTACTTTGGGAGGCTTAGGCGGGCAGATCACCTGAGGTCAGGAGTTCGAGATCAGCCTGGCCAACATGGTGAAACCCCATCTCTACTAAAAATACAAAAATTAGCTGGGCATGGTGGCACGCACCTGTAATCCCAGCTACTCGGGACGCTGAGGCACAAGAATTGCTTGAACCTGGGATGCAGAGTTTGCAATGAGCTGAGATCATGCCACTGCACTCCAGCCTGGGAAACAGTGAGACTCAGTCTCAAAAAAAAAAAAAAAAATAAAATAATAATAATAATAATAATAAAGCCAAAGAAGGTGGACTCAGCAGCTGAGTAAACCAGTGCCTGTCTTTGCCTGCCACCTCCACCCCCAGCTCCTCCACCTGCACTGGCAGTGCAGGAGCGCCGTCATTCACTGCTGGCTCCCCTTAGCCGCCTTTATGCCATTGACCCAGGCAGGCCTCCTCCCCTCCTAGAACCAGGGCCTGGAGATGCTGGAGCCTAGCACTAGTGTGTACCCTACAGGTGGGCTGGGCAGGAAGCCAAGCAATCACTGCCCTGAGCTCTTGGTTCTTGCAGGAAACACAGCAGTGGAGAGCAAGACACCAGCACGCTGCCCTCACCACCTCTCCTCACCACGGTGGAGGATGTGAACCAGGTATTCAGGCAGGCTCTGTGGGCACAGACTTGGGCTAGCTTCCACAGCTGCAGTTTTCAGAGGGCCTCAAAGTAATGAGGGATCTTCTTTGTGGTGATTAATTTTGTGTAAATGATTAGCCACCTCAGCTGACTCAGAGCCACAGGAAGCTCTACGGCTGTGCTGTCCAGTGTGATAGCCATTCACCACATGTGGCTATGTAAATTTAAATACAAATAAAAATTCAGGCCGGGTGTGGTGGCTGATGCCTGTAATCCCAGTGCTTTGGGAGGCCAAGGCAGAAGGATGGCTTGAGGCCAGGAGTTCTTGACCAGCCCAGGTAATATAGACACTGTCTCTGCAAAAAAATTAAAAGATCAGCTAGGCATGGTGGCACATGCCTGTAGTCCTAGCTGCCCAGGAGGCTGAGGCAGGAGGATGGCTTGAACCCAGGAATTTGAGATTACAGTAAGCTATGATTGCACCATTGCACTCCAGCCTGGGTGACAGAGCGAGACTGCCTCTAAAATACTTTTTAAAAACAATCAGCCGGGCGCAGTGGCGACGCCTGTAATCCCAGCACTTTGGGAGGCCAAGGCGGGTGGATCACGAACGAGGTCAGGAGATCGAGACTATCCTGGCTAACACGGTGAAATCCCATCTCTACTAAAAATACAAAAATTAGCCAGGCATGGTGGCATGCGCTTGTAATCCGAGCTACTCAGAAGGCTGAGACAGGAGAATCGCTTGAACCCCGGAGGCAGAGGTTGCAGTGAGCCGAGATCGTACCACTGCACTCCAGCCTGGGCGAGAGACAGACTGCATCTCAAAAAAAAAAAAAAAAAGTTCCTTTCCTCAGTTTGCACTAGTCACATGTGGCGAGTGGCTACCATACTAGACCGTATAGGCACAGAACATGGCTATCATTGCAAGAAGTTCTGTTGGACAGGGGTGTGGGAGTGAGTGGGGCTCTCACCCGGCTTCCTAGGAGGGAATAAGGGCCAGGCATCTGGGGAGGTGGGAAATGATGATACATTGCCCGAAATGCCACTAAGAACTCTCTTTTGTTTCTCAGGATAACAAAACCAAAACGTGGCCACCCAAAGCACCCTGGCAGCACCCTTCCCCGCTTCCCAGCACGCTGCCCAGCCCCAGCGCACCACTCTATGCAGTCACCAGCCCTGGCAGCCAGTGGAACGACACCATGCAGATGCTGCAGTCCCCAGTGTGGGCCGCAACCAACGACTGCAGTGCCGCTGCCTTCTCCTATGTGCAGACCCCACCCCAGCCCCCACCCCCACCAGCACACAAGGCAGCACCCAAGGGCTTCAAGGCCTTCCCTGGGAAGGGTGAGCGCAGGCCAGCCTATCTGCCCCAGTACTGACCCCAGGCCAGCCAGCCTGCCTGCCTGCCTGCCTGCCCGCCCAGAGCTGTGGGGATGAGTGTCCCCACCCCAGGGCCACTTAGCTGACACCAGCCCCTCAGAGGACCAGTGCGCCCCATCCCAGGGAGGGTTCCTTGGGGACAAGGGTGGTTGGCAGCTCCAAGCCTTTAAACCTGGCTTCTGAAACGATGGCATCAGAGCCCTGGAGAGCCAGCTGGAGACACAGGCGTCTGGCCTTCAGGGGCTTGCTAGGGAACCTGCATGCCTAGTAAGCGCCACAGGTGACTCTGATGCAGGCGCCACAGCCACACTTGAAGAAACACAGCTCTTGGGTTTTTAGTCCTGCTGTGTGTTGGGAAGACATCAGGCCTGAAAGCTGAGGGCATAACTGACCATTTTTTGGAAACCCTCTCCTCCCTCCTCCACACCTTGAGTGATGACCACACCAATCACTGTATTTTATAGCTTTTTTTTTCATGTAGGTTTTTAGTTAAAACATCTCCTGCCTAAAATGCATTGAATATTTTAAGATAACAGATATACTGGCTGGAGGTTTGTTTAACACTATCTATATTTAAGCTTATACAAAATGGGCAAAATATAGAATATTTGTGATTGGAAGCAGTCACCTGGGGTTTCTGGGGGTGGACAGTTCCTCGCCACCCAGCAGCACCCTGGGACTGCGGCCTTTCCCAGCTTTATTGAAGCAGAATGGTGGAACTTGTGCCGGAGGTACACTGCTGAAGGTGCGTGGCGGTGGACCAGCCAGCTGCTGTCCATGTGCAGAGCAAGGCTGCACCTGCTGCCCTTCGATCCTTCCACACATGGCCAGGACACTGCCACAATCCTCGGGGTGTGGTCAAGGGGCACTCAGAGACACCTGCACTAGAAATTGCATTGACATTGTGAGCTGGCTCAGAAGACAAACCAATTAAGATGTAGATAGAAATTAATTTAAGGTCTTTTCTTAAAAAAAAAATCCACCTCATTTTCAGTTAACATGTGCCATTAAATAGATAACATCCTGTGGATTTAGGGATATTTTCCAGCCAGAATGGATCCAGAAGAATTGAATGGTGCTTAAATTGAGAAATAATAATAAATATATCTATATAGAATAGACATATCCCACTGTATATTAATTGAGGTTACAGAAAGTTCTTTATATAAAACTTATTTAAATTTTTCATATTTCATCTTTGAAAAAGTCTGAGAAAAATCCATAATATTTTCTGGTATGAAAGTTTGACAGTATTAATATTTTTTTTATATTTTCTTAAATCATTAAACCATTTTAATATATGTTAACTACTAATAAATGGTTTATTCTTTCTAACTCCATATAAGCTTTTCCAGCAAAGATTGTAATAACACATTTATGTTCTCGTTTTTCTACAGATATAAGTAAATTTATATATAAAAATACCAAAAAGAGGCTGGGCGTGGTGGCTCACGCCTGTAATCCCAGCACTTTGGGAGGCCGAGGCAGGTGGATCACCTAAGGTCAGGAGTTCGAGACCAGCCTGGCCAATATGGTGAAACCCCATCTCTACTAAAAATACAAAAATTAGCCGGGTGTGGTGGCGTGCGCCTGTAGTCCCAGCTACTCGGGAGGCTGAAGCAGAAGAATCGCTTGAACCCGGGAGGCGGAGGTTACAGTGAGCTGAGATTGTGCCACTGCACTCCAGCCTGGGTGACAGAGTGAGATTCCGTCTCAACAAGAAAAAAAAAAAAGAATATATATATATGTATGTATGTATGTATGTAAACACACACACTAATTTGAGAGGACCCGTAGGGTGTCTGAGCCCAGCCACCTGAGTTTTTAGTACTGTGTTGTCAGGCTCTTCCCAGGCCTCAGGTGTTGTCTTTTGTGCTGTGTGGGGATGCATTGCTGCCTGTATTTATGATCTTTTGCCGTGGTTCTGAGCATTCACCTCACCATGTTTACAAAGAACTGTTTTGTATATAGACATTTTCAGGCACGTGCTTTGCACCAACCCTGCGTGGCTCTTGTCTGTGTTAGCTGTCACGGTGTGCACACTAATCTCTGTTAAAGTTGTCTATGGCTGTTCTACTTGTAAGATAGTTTTCTATTTCCTTCAGTAATGTGTCCACAGTACCCTGTATTTCGAGTTCCATTATACTGAAGTACTCATGTTTTAATAGTGCCTCTCCAAAGGCCTCACCTTGGACAGAGGTCAATCCTTGATGCTCCAGCACAGGTGACGTCACTAATTGTCACTTTCCAGTTTGTTTTTCTCTATTAAGGAAGACATTTTCTAATTGCATCTCCATGGGCTGTGAGACTGTGTGAAGCCGTTTGTGTGGTCTCCATGTAGGTGCTGTGTTCCCGGCACCGCCTTGCTCTGAACACTGGTAATTCCAGGTGCTGCGCTTGGCAGAGGGGTCTCGCCAAAGCGCATGTGTGTGCATGTGTGAACGTGTGTGTCCTTTGCATGGTTGGGCGTGGGTGCCTTGCTAGGGCATCAGCAGGACATTGTGTGTATAGTTACAATGCTTCCAAACTGGAACTCTACATTTTGTATCTTTTAAAGCTCCTATAAGTAAAATAACTATTGGCTTTATTAAAAATATACATTTAATAATACTTTGTATCCTTGTTTAAAATGAACTGCAGAGGACATTATGTCAAAAGCCCTGCCTGACTCATTGCTTTGAAAAGCTGCATACTGAGTTGGTTTTTAGGTCAGCCTGTCCTCTGATTCTAGCAAGGGGAAGACCACTTGGGATATTACGGTGAGCTGAAGTGGATGGGCAGGAGGGAGAACAAGCAGCTACGCCTCCCCTATTGGCTTCCCTAAGGCCCAAGCTGGTTTAGGCCCCTGTGCAGGGGGAGCCAGTGCAGTAGTGAAGGAGACGTCCTCTGCAAGGGTGCAAGCTCTCTGGGTTGGGGTCTACCAACACCCATGTTCCACCAAATGTGGATGCTGTGACTTGCCCAGCCAGCTTGTCCAATGACGAGACCCAAGAATGAGGGCTTGTTTTACCCTCTTCCCAAACCAGGGACCCAATCTATGGCAGAGATACTGTGCCTTACAGGGATAAGAAGGACCTGTCTCTGCCGGCCGCAGTGGCTCACACCTGTAATCCCAGAACTGTAGGTGGCTGAGGCAGGTGGACCACAAGGCCGGGAGATCGAGACCATCCTGGCCAACATGGTGAAACCCCATCTCTACTAAGAATACAAAAATTAGTCGGGCATGGTGGCGTGTGCCTGTAATCCCAGCTACTCAGGAGGCTTAGGCAGAAGAATCGCTTGAACCAGGAAGTCAGAGGTTGCAGTGAGCCGAGATCGCACCACTGCACTCCAGCCTGGCGACAGAACGATGGGGCTGTCTCCAAAAAAAAAAAAAAGCCAGGCACTGTGGCTCACGCCTATAATCCCACCACTTTGAGAGGCTGAGACAGTAGATCATGAGGTCAGGAGTTCAAGACCAGCCTGCCCAACATGGCGAAACCCCATCTCTACTAAAAATACAAAAAATTAGGTGGTATGGTCGCAGGTACCTGTAATCCCAGCTGCTTGGAAGGCTGAGGCAGGAGAACTGCTTGCACCCGGGAGGCAGAGGTTGCAGTGAGCCAAGACTGCTCCACTGCACTCCAGCCTGGGCAACAGAGTGAGACTCTGTCTCAAAAAAGAAAAAGAAAAAAAGAAAAAAACAAAAACAGGACCTGTCTCACTGGATGATGCCATCGTGTTAAGCAGAAGAAAGATAGTATCATGAGACCCACAAATGGAGGGCAGGTCACAGGAGCATTTCAGCTCATTTTCATTTACAGAAAGACAGCACCTCAGTGGAACCTTTTTTGACGACCTGAAGAAAATGGAGTAATGTGGGCATTAATATATAAGCTGCTGGTGTAGGAACCACTCTTCTTTCTGCCAAGGTGCCCTGAAGTTGAGCATGGGGACCAAGTCCCAGAGCCTTCCAAATGCACCTCAGGACAAAGTTGCTCGGTAACGGCCATGTTGCCTGAGAGTGCTCAAGAATACACTGGAAGTTCATATTAAAAAGCTAGCAGGGGCTGGGTGTGCTGGCTCACGCCTGTAATCCCAGCAATTTGGGAGGCTGACCTGGGAGGATTGCTTGAGGCCAGGAGTTCAAGACCAGCCTGGGCAACATAGTGAGACCCCATCTCTTTAAAAAAGCCCATATTTTATTCCAGAGTGTTCCCATTTAACACAAGCACCCAGTTCTCTTGACTAGTTCTGATTCACAGCAGTGCTGGAGGCCAGAGGGCAGAAGTCCCGCAGCTCTGGCTGTGTGCAAATGAGTGGGGAGGGAAGCTGAGCAGATGCTACACCTGAGCTACTACTGCAAGGGCTTCACAGGCCTTGGCCCATCTGAGAAATGGGGGAGGATGCGCAGGCATCTTGAGGTACTTGGGAGGCTTGTGACCTTCCTCTCCCACCTGGGGGCTCCTTGGATAGGGGGCTTCCAGTTTGGAGGCTGAGATGCTGCATGCCAACCATGCGGCTGTGAGGGGATGGCCTTTTGTGCACTGTGTGGCCACTGCTGTGACCTGCCTCCTGTTGTGGAGACAGGAAATAAACCTTCCCAATGATCAGCTTCTCTACTGCCCAAAAGCATGTATGTGGACAGCATGACTGGCTACCTCCCAGCGACAGGTACCCAGGAGTCTGAGGCACCTCCAAGGGTAGACTCTGGAAATAACACATGCACCTAGCCTTACAGCACAGGGGTGAGCTCCTGGGCCCAGGCCTGTGTGTGTCAGTGAGGGGACTGGATGTGGCTTGTACTGGAATATTGACTTGGAGATGTGGGCCTAGGTGAGGGAGAAGGATTGTTTCAGGCGTGTCACATTCATTTCAACATTCACGAATGTCATATAAGGGCTAGGCCCTTGCTAGGAGCCAGGACTGCAAAGATACAGTCCCTGCCTTTAAAACTCAGTATTTTAGGGGAGACAACCCATCTTTCCCATCCTTGATAAGAGAACCACCATCCACCAGCAACCCAGTTGCTCAGGCTGAAATCCCAGAAGATATTCTTCGTTCTTTTATTTCCTCATTCAACTAATCAGCAAGTCCTATAAGTGTATTCCCAAGCACACTCAAATTCCACCATGTTCTGGCCAGGCGCGGTGGCTCACGCCTGTAATCCCAGCACTTTGGGAAGCTGAGGCGGGCGGATCACCCGCGGTCAGGAGTTCGAGACTAGCCTGACCAACATGGTGAAAACCCATCTCTACTAAAAAATACAAAAATTAGCTGGGCATGGTGGCAGGTGCCTATAATCCCAGAGAATCGCTTGAACCTGGGAGGCGGAAGTTGCAGTGAGTTGAGATCTCACCATTGCACTCCACCCTGGGGGACAGAGCAAGACTCCGTCTCAAAAACAAAAAAATTCCACCATGTTCTTACATCTCCACTGCCATCTACCTGGACTTCACCTGGCTCCTGCCTCTCCCCCCACAGCCTCAGGGTTTCCCATGCACCCTCCCCTACTTCCAAGTAGCCTTGCCGTGTGTCCTCCAACTTGCCTGTTGCTCCCAAGGCTGCTTGGGCCTCTCCATCGGTTTTCTGGGGTCAGAGCCCATCTTCCAGCCTGTCTTCGTTTCTCATGATAGCACTCAGCACTCTTCTGGAATTTTGTGTTTGCATTTGTGTCTCACTGGAATGAAGGCCCCATGAGAGCAAGGAGCGAGTCTTGTTCATGGCCACATGTGCAAGGTGCAGGACAGCTCCTGTGACCACCACAGTGCAACTTGAGACAGATGAAAGGACGAGTTGCTGGGGCCAGAACTTACGAATTCTAATACTGAGCAAAAAGACAGAACTAGAGGCCGGGTGCGGTGGCTCACGCCTGTAATCCCAGCACTGTGGGAGGATCACTTGAGCCCAGGAGTTCAAGGCTGCAGTGAGTCGAGATCTTGACACTGCACTCCAGCCTGGGTAATATAGCGAGACTGTCTCTAAAAACGAAAAACAAAAACAACCAGACGAAAACATTCTCGCGTTGGGCTAAAAGAATACTATTAAATACATCATCTGGGCTGTTCCAGGACTGGGAGGGGATTAGCACTACGGTGGAGCTGCGGATAGGCCCAAGCAGGCCTCAAATAAATGTAAAGCTTTTTATTCTCGTGGAAACAGCTATGTACAATGGGGAAAATGTTTTTAAGCATCTAGCAAAGGATTCACGGGGCTCTGGTAATGAAGCCCCGAAACGACAAGACTGGATCGCGCAGGGTAGGGCCAACACCAGGGACAAACCCCCGGCCTCTTGGGGGCGCGGTGAGTAGGTGGCCTCTCCAAGCACCACTCCCGATGTGCGCATGAGCGCAGCCGCCCCTACGCAGCGCGTGCGCACGTGCACTCACCACGTCCATCCCAGACGTGCGGACCCGGGTGTCTGCAAGGTTCAGTCTCCACACCCCAGCGCCCGACCCTGCGCGGGGACATGCGCACAAGCGCGCGTCCTGACCACCCGGACGTGCTGGCCCACACGCACACGCGTGCGCATTACCCCCGCCCCATCCGCGCCTGCGCTCAACCCCGCCTACACCTGCTCCGTGGCCTCCCCGGAGGCGATGAGCCAACCCCGGTAGCTCCAGAGGCGTGGTCCCCTCGCCTTCGCCGGTCAACATGACTCAGCATCCTCGGTGGGCTCGCCTCCTCCCCCGGAACAGCTGTCTAAAATCCATGGGCGTGGAAACGCCACGCCACGCCCCGCTCCCGACTTCTTCAGCTCAGGCCCCAGAACTGACCACCCCACCAGTCCTCTGCCCCAGTCCCTCTGCCTTCACTCCCATGGCCACCTGTGCTCCAGGGCCTGCCTGACCCCTGTCCAGCGGCCCTGAAGTAAGGTCTGTGATGTCTAAATGCCGATACCTCAGTTTCCCCATCTTTAGAACGGGGCTCTTGTTTGGAACTGTGCCCGCCACAGCCTGCAGTAAGTGCTAGCTTCATCAATACTCAGTGGCAGTCAATTGCTTTTCCAGGGCTGCCTTATGCTTGAAATTAAATCTTTGCTATCCAGAGTTAGGACTGTCCCCGGACTTCCTAACTTGCCTCTGCTGTCAGGTGTACCCTCTGGTCCGCTCCTCTCTCAGGGCCACATCATCTTGCTGGGGGCACGTGAAGGTGTCCGGCTCTGCAGCATGTTCTCTTGGAATTTCTGGGCTAGGTTTCCTTTCGATTCTCCTTGGTCAGTCCCTGGCCTGGGGGCATGACCCCTCCCAGCTTCACTACCCCCCAGGATCCTGGGGATTCTGAGCCCTAAGCTCTGCGATCGGCAGGACTTGGCTCAGCATATGGTAGTGATTGTACTGATGGTGATAGACAACAGAATATAAAATGACCTTATGGCCAGGCACAGTGACGCATACCTGTAATCCCAACAGTTTGGGAGGCTGAGGCAGGAAGATCTCTTGAAGCCAGGAATTTGAGACCAGCCTGGGCAACACAGTGCAACTCAGTCTCTACAAATAATAATAATAAGAAAATTAGCCGGGACGGGGTGGTCATGCCTGTAGTTCTAGCTACTCAGGAGACCGAGGTGAGAGAATCGCTTGAGCCCAGAGTTCAAGGCTGCAGTGAGCTATGGTCATGCCACCGCACTCCAGCCTGGGTGACAGAGCGAGACACTGTTTCAACTAATAAGACATAACTGGGATGATGAGGAGTGGAGAAAGGGATTGCCTGCTCCTCCACTTTCCCTCCACCTTTTTCCTAGGACTGAAGAGGAACTGGCAGGAGCACAGGTCTCAGGAAGGAACCAGGCAGCCTGGGTTGATTCTCTAGTTAAGAGCAGAGTGGCTTGTTTCATATTTCTTTCTTTCTATTTTTTTGGAGACAGGGTGTCACTCTGTGACCCAGGCCGGAGTGCAGTGGCATGATCTTGGCTCGCTGCAACCTCTGCCACCCGGGTTCAAGTGATTCTCCTGCCTCAGCCTCCCCAGTAACTGGGATTACAGGTGTCCGCCACCACGCCTGGCTAATTTTTGTAATTTTAGTAGAGACAGGGTTTCACCATGGTGGCCAGACTGGTCTCAAACTCCTGGCTTCAAGTGATCCACCTGCCTCGGCCTCCCAAAGTGTTGGGATTACAGGTGTGAGTCACTGCACCCGGCCTTGTTTCACATTTCTTTCTTTCCTTTTTTTTTGAGACAGAGTCTCGCTCTGTCGCCCAGGCTGGAGTGCAGTGGCATGATTCAGCTCACTGTAAGCTCTGCCTCCTGGGTTCACTCCATTCTCTTGCCTCAGCCTCTCAAGTAGCTGGGATTACAGGTGCCCGCCACCACGTCCAGCTAATTTTTTTGTATTTTTAGTAGAGACGGGGGTTTCACCATGTTGCTCAGGCTGGTCTCGAACTCCTGAACTCGTGATCCACCCACCTCAGCCTCCAAAAGTACTGGGATTACAGGCGTGAGCCACCGTGCCCGGCCTCATTTCACATTTCTTAACCTCTCTGTTAAATGGGGAGGACAACAGGGTATCCTTCATAGGACTGCCATGAGGGATACATGGAAAGGATTTAGCATGGAGCTGTGCACGTAGTAAACCTGGCTGGAGTAGTGGCCGTGTTGGTAGTTTTGTAGTATGATGATGAATGGCTTTGGATTAGTACTTTCTAATCCAAAATGGCTTTGGATTAGACTTTTCTTCTTACTTTTCTGTGCTTTCTCCCTGTAGCCACTGTGATTTATGGCCCACCAGATAGGAACCTAGTTTCCTGCTAACATAGAAAATCCAGGCTGGGCGCGGTGTTGCATGCCTGTAATCCCAGCACTTTGGGAAGCCGAGGTGGGTGGATTACCTTAGGTCAGGAGTTCGAGACTACCCTGGCCAACATGGTGAAACCCCATCTCTACTAAAAATACAAAAATTAGGCCGGGTGCAGTGGCTCACGCCTGTAATCCCAGCACTTTGGGAGGCTGAGGCAGACGGATCACGAGGTCAGGAGATCGAGACCATCCTGGTCAACACAGTGAAACCCCAACTCTACTAAAAATACAAAAATTAGCTGGACGTAGTGTTGCATGCCTGTAATCTCAGCTACTCGGGAGGCTGAAGCAGGAGAATTGCTTGAACCAGGGAGTCGGAGGTTGCAGTGAGCCGAGATGGTGCCACTGCACTCTGGCCTGGTGATAGAGGGAGACTCCATCTCAAAAAAAAAAAAAAAAAAAAAAAATTAGCCTGGTGAGGTGGCGGGTGCCTGTAACCCCAGCTACTAGGGAGGCTGAGGCAAGAGAATTGCTTGAACCTGGGAGGTGGAGGTTGCAGGGAAGCAGAGGTTGCAGTGAGCCAACATCGTGCCATTGCACTCTAGCCTGGGCAACAAGAGTGAAACTTCATCTCAAAAAAAAAGAAGAAAAAAAGAAAATCCATGTAACTGGAGTTTCAAAGTAAATGTGAAATCTGGAATAGTTGAAGCTTCTGGGAATCACAGAGGCCAAGTTGCAGAGGTGTACATTATGGAAGATTAAAAGGCAGGGGAAACCTTTGAAATGGCAATCATCAGAGGCCTCACCTCCTGCCTCTTTCGCAATACCCAAAGCTGTTTCTAGGGTTCCTGGTGGTCGGGAGAGGACACTGGACAAGACTGTGGCAGTGGAAAGGTGAACACCCGTAACATCTTTGGAAAGACTTGGAGTTGTGAATGACAACTGAACTCCAAACAGACACTAAAGGGAATCGTTGGTTTACATTCTAGCTGCAGGTAGAGGTGGCCTGGCCCCAGGAACCTGGGCACTGTGAGATTCACTCTGACATCTCTGTGGGGATCATTCTCTTCGTTATTTTCCTCAAGACCAGGGGCTAGAGCTCAGGTCTGTCCTTTCTGACAGGCAGCTTAACACCATAAAAAGCAGAGACTTTCTGCTGCTGGCTGCAGGGCCCTGGAAAAGGACCCTGTTTAGCTGGCATAAGTTATGTGCTCATCTCTGATGGATTCAGGCAGGGGTAGAAACACGGGTGGGAGAGGATGGTTTTAGACAAAGAACAACAGCCGTCCATCTGGTCACCAAAATAACCTACTAGAAAAAGGCAGTCTCAGTTTGCAGGTGCAGTGCTGCATGCCTGTAATCCCAGCACTTTGGGAAGCCAAGGCAGGCAGATCACTTGCACCCAAGGATTCGAGACTAGCCTGAGCAACATGATGAAACCTCGTCTGTACAAAAAATAACAAAGCTTGTCTCTACAAGGAAAAAATTAGCTGGGCATGGTGGTGCACACCTGTAGTCCTGGCTACTCAGAAGGGTGAGTTGAAAAGATCGCTTGAGCCTGGGAGGCAGAGGCTGTAGTGAGACAAGATCGTGTCACTGCACTCCAACCTGGGTGTGACAGAGTGAGACCCTGTCTCAAAAAAAAAAAAAGAAGGAGGAGTCAGAGGGAGTCAGTGGTTACTATTGGGCTAGAGTCATCTGAGGAATCACAGGGTAAGTGATAATGGGGCAGTGGCTACTGAGACTCGCCTTCCCATTGGTTGAGGTTTTGTTCTGAAACAGAGGATTTGGGGTGGGAATTCTCTTCTGTGTAGATGAGTAACTGGCTTAGAAAACCCTGATTGGAGTGTTTCTCAGAACCCCCGTAGAGGCCAGGCGCAGTGGCTCATGCCTGTAATCCCAGCACTTTGGGAGGCTGAGGCAGGCGGATAATGAGGTCAAGAGATTGAGACCATCCTGGCCAACATGGTGAAACTCCATCTCTACTAAAAATACAAAAATTAGTTGGGTGTGGTGGCGTGCGCCTGTAGTCCCAGCTACTCAGGAGGCTGAGGCAGGAGAATCGCTTGAACCAGGGAGGTGGAGGTTGCAGTGAGCTGAGATCACGCCACTGCACTCCAGCCTGGTGACAGAGCGAGACTCCATCTCAAACAAACAAACAAACAAAAAAAGAACTCCAGTAGAACAGATACTGTTCAGCACTACCAGGGTTGTGCTAGGTGTGGAAGCTCAGTGAAATCTTAAGAGTTGACAGTTCTTAGAAAAGGGCCATGTGGACAGGGCTGTTCCCTGGAAAGTCCTGTGACCCCTCAGTGACCACTTATTTCTTTTGTTGTCAGCCTTTCCCTATTTTCTTTTCTTTTCTTTTCTTTTTTTTAAGACAAGGTGTTGCTGTGTCACCCAAGCTGGAGTACAGTGGTGGTAATCACGGCAGCCTCTAACTCCTGGACTCAAGTGATCCTCCTGCCTTGGCCTCCCGAGTAGCTGGGACTCTGCAGATATGCACCACCACATGCCCCGCTAATTTATTTTTAGTATTTTAGAAGCAGTGTTTTGCTGTCTTGCCCAGGCTCGGCTTGAACTCCTGGCGTCAAGCTATCCCACCTCCCAAAGTGCTGGGATTATAGGCAGGAGTGCCCAGCCCCAGAGTTCTTACAATGACTTACAAGGTCTTACGTGATCTTGTTGCCTCCCTTTTGCTCTCTGACCTCATCTTTTTTTTTTTTTTTGAGATGGAGTCTCACTCTGCCACCCAGGCTGGAGTACAGTGGCTCACTGCAGTCTTCACCTCCCAGGTTCAAGTGATTATCCTGCCTCAGCCTCCCGAGTTAGCTGGGAATACAGGCACGTGTCACCAGGCCCGGCTAATTTTTGCATTTTTTTTTTCAGTAGAGATGAGGTTTCACCAGGTTGGCCAGTCTGGTCTGGAACTCCTGGCCTCACATGATCCGCCTGCCTCGGCCTCCCAAAGTGATGAGATTACAGGCGTGAGCCACCGCGCCCGGCCTAGTCACTTTTTTCTTAATTGCAACCCCGATTCTCAGCACCCTTTTCATCTTGGTTTTCCTCAATAGCCCTTACCACCAGCAGACACACATCATCTGTTGTACTTGCTTATTTGGCACATATGTATCCACAGCGCCTAGAACACTGCCTGTAACGTGGAAGGTGTTCGATCTATAGAGTTTTGTCGAATGAATGAATGAAGCCGACTAGTGCACAGGGAGTGCAGCGGCGCGATGGTAGCTCTCTGCAGCCTCCAACACCTGGGCTCCAGTGATCCCCGGGCTCTGCCCACCCTCCCCACTGCCACTTCCGGGCAGAGGCCAGCAAAGCGGCGGCGCAAGAGGTAGGGAGAGAGGAGCTGAGGCCCCAGATCAGCGGCCGCGGGCAAGGTCGCTCAGCGGGCACCCGGCCTGGGTATCGGGGCGCGGGTCGGGGGCGGGGCCGGGGCTCAGGGGTGGGGCCGGGCCGGGCCGGGCCGGGCGCCTGCGCCATAAAGGCCGCCGCGCGCCCACGCGCCTCGCTTGCTGCGCGCTGCCGGCGCTCCTTCCTCCTCGGCTCGCGTCTCACTCAGTGTACCTTCTAGTCCCGCCATGGCCGCTCTCACCCGGGACCCCCAGTTCCAGAAGCTGCAGCAATGGTACCGCGAGCACCGCTCCGAGCTGAACCTGCGCCGCCTCTTCGATGCCAACAAGGACCGCTTCAACCACTTCAGGTGCGGGCGGGCCGGAGGCGGGGGCTGCCACGCGCGGCGCCCGGAACCGGGCACGCGGGCCTGGGGTCTGGAGGCGGGGGCAGCGGTGCCCGGGGACCCCAGTCCCCGACCTCCAGGCCACGGACTGGGGCCCAGGCCGAGTCCGCACTTCGTCCTTGGAGTCTCCTTGGAGTGCGTTCCTGGGGGCTTGCAGCCTCGCCGGGAGTCTCGGCCCCGGGTCTGCTTCGTTACGAGGAAAAACGGGCCCCTCCGTGGGGACATT
The DNA here is from genome assembly GCF_000001405.40 of Homo sapiens. NCBI lineage: Eukaryota > Metazoa > Chordata > Mammalia > Primates > Hominidae > Homo > Homo sapiens. The sequence goes on from NC_000019.10 coordinate 34,365,651, forward strand.
TCCCCTCCTCCTCCCCGTGCAGCTCTGGCCATTTGAGCAGGGGCTCCTTTCGCAGTTGTGAAGAGAGGCCTTGGCTGACGCAGCAAGCGGGAAAGGGCTGTCCCTTTCCATCCGCTCCTGGCCACATGAGCTTGGGAGCGTCTGCAGGGCGGGCAGCCCGGGCGGGGGTGTTTGAGGGAGCTGGGTGGAAGGATGGAGACGTCGGGCGTGATTCCTGCAGAAGACACCTGTGCACGACCGGGAAGTGGGAAGGAGTGTTTGAGCAAATCATGGGCGGGAGTGCGGCCAAGGGAGCTCTGATCACTGATACTGGTGGAGGCGGGGGAGGGGAGCGACTGTGGCTCCGGGCTAGACGTCCCGATGGCCATCCCTGTCATCTGGATGGGTGCCTGAGTAACTTACGGCAGAAAGTGGAAGCCCTGGGAAGGGGTGGTCCCCCACTTCAGTCCGGGCTCCTCATCCAGGGTCTGCCTGCATCTACGGTCTGTGAGGATGGCTTCTTTCTCTGGGCTGCTGTTGCAGATCATCCTGGTGGGCCAGCAGGTGACAGACACCACCACTGTGCTGGGTGGCCGCGGCCCTTGTGGGGCGTGGGTCAGGGAGGATGTTTCTTCTGGGAACAGCTCCTGCTTAGGGCATGGCTCCCCGCTAGGGAGACCAGGGTGTGGTCAGCAGCATCTCCATCTTTCTGCAGCTTGACCCTCAACACCAACCATGGGCATATCCTGGTGGATTACTCCAAGAACCTGGTGACGGAGGACGTGATGCGGATGCTGGTGGACTTGGTAATGTTCTGCTTGGGGAGGCATAACTGGTAACCGACAGAGTGGTGGGTGAGCTGGGCTCCTGGGAGTCCCCAGGACCTTGAGTATCTTGAGTTCTTCCTCTCATTAGACCTCAGTCACCTCCTCTGTGCTGGTGAGGCACCTGTCCCTGGCTTAGGTTCTAAGCAGCATCCCAGGGACCCCAGTGTCTGATGTCTGAGTAGACCCTTCCCAGACAGCAGGGGAGGGAACCAGACAGCAGCCGTCTGTCTGTCTCATTGGGGACAGCACCAAGCCTTGTGTTTGGGGGCTGACACTTGGGGTGGCCAGTGTGGGTGGGACCAGGCCTCAGTATCGTCTCTTCCTAGGCCAAGTCCAGGGGCGTGGAGGCCGCCCGGGAGCGGATGTTCAATGGTGAGAAGATCAACTACACCGAGGTGAGCAGGCCCCACATACCCTCTGGGGCCTCCTTCCTTCCCTTTGGGGTTTATCTGACTGTTAGCCGCATCACCCTGTGTCTTCACCCCTTCTCTTGGGCAATGCTTTTGCTTAATGAGGGGCCTGAAGGCCTTTTTCCTCCTGCTTGTAGCAGGGCTTTGGGGTGTGCCTTCCACAAGATTGGTTTGGTGAGCTCCTTGGAATGGTTCCCAGTGTCTGCCTGGGAGGAGCATATCTCATACCCACAGGGAGAGTTTCTCAAGGCTGACATTTTCTTGGAGAAGTTAACTCTAATATATCCTCAATGCAAGTTTTAGTAGCGACAAGAAGAATCTTAGATCACCAAAGACTTCAGCCTACTCAAGCAGTAGGAGTCAATAGGAAGCAGTGGTGAGGCCAGGCCTGGGGGCCCCTGTTCCTGACTCAGTATGGGAGCCCAGCCTGGAGGTATAATGGACACTGAGCACCCAGACTCTGTCCTCATGATGTCATTATCCTCCTCTTACATGTGAGGAGTCTGAGGTTCAGAGGTCACATCACTTATCTAAGATGTCATAGCTGTAAGAGGCAGAATGGAGATTCACACTCAACCTGTCTTGCATTGTGGGTCTAAGCTGAGAGAGGATGCAATCAAGGAAGGCTTTCTGGAGGAGTGCATTTGCCAATAAAATGTGGCGCAGGAGTGGGGTCTGGCAGGGTGAGGGTGGGGTGGCATGAAGCCCTCCACCTTAGCAAGCCTCTCACTGGGTCGGAATCCCAAGATGATCCTTTTCCTGCCCACCTGGGGTCGTTAGACCTTCCCTCAAGGACTCCTCTGCTGACTTCAGGCCATTTCACTCACGTGGCTGGGCCAGCCGCCTGGCACCCGTCACAGACTTCAAGTCTGGTTTGGTTCCTGGCAGTTGGTAGTTATCGGGCTGCTTGGTGAGGGAAGCTTGAGTTGCATGCCTTGCTGCAAATCCAAGGAGCTGAGGACACTGCCTAAAACGTGCCAGCAAACACCATGGACACACATTGGGAGGATGAGGTTACTTCAGGCTTCATGAGCACTCATCTTCGGAAAGCGTTTATTTATTTATTTATTTTGAGATGGAGTCTTGCTCTGTCGCCCAGGCTGGAGTGCAGTGGTGCGATCTTGGCTCACTGCAACCTCTGTCTAATGGGTTCAGGCGATTCTCTGCCTCAGATTCCTGAGTAGCTGGAACTACAGGTGTGTGCCACCCCCACCTGGCTGATTTTTGTATTTTTAGTAGAGACAGGATGTCACCATGTTGGCCAGGCTGGTCTCGAATTCATGACCTCAAGTTATCCACCTGCCATGGCCTCCCAGAGTTCCGGGATTACAGGCGTGAGCCATGGCGCCCGGCCTCTGAAAGCATTTATTGCTTGTTTCTGACATGTATTGTTGCCATTCTCTGCCTTTGCTCACTGTTCCTCTTTTCTCTCACTGTTCATGCCCTGAGCATCTCTGGCAGGCCTTCGGGGCCTGTCCTAGGCATATATGGGTCCCCTCCTCTCCTCCTGACTGTCTGCAGCACATAAGTCCTTGGGGAGCTCCTACTCCTCTAAGCATACAGTGGGTTCTTGGAACAAGGTTATGGTGCTAACAGAGACCTCAGGGCCTGCCTGTCTAGTGGATAGAGGGCCGAGCTATGGCACCATGCCCAGCTGGGAGCATGGCTGCCTGGGGTTGGGGGGGGCAGTCTTTATATCCTGACCGTAATCCCCAGGGTCGAGCCGTGCTGCACGTGGCTCTGCGGAACCGGTCAAACACACCCATCCTGGTAGACGGCAAGGATGTGATGCCAGAGGTCAACAAGGTTCTGGACAAGATGAAGTCTTTCTGCCAGGTAAGTGGCTACTGGGCCGGACTCACCCTTGGCCGTGTGTGTGAGTTATTTGGGAATCTGGGAGCCCTAAGGGGCAGCTCTTCCCTCTTCTTGTAGGCAGGACTCAGGTTCTCACTGCAGCTTAAGGGAGGGGTTGCCTGTGTGATCGCTGACCCTGGAGTCTCTGCTGAGGCCTGAATTTCTCCTGGCTCTGCTCTGAAGGAATCTGCTGCTGGCAGAAGTGGGGCCAGTTTCTTTCCTGAATTGTAGACACCTATGGACTCATGGTGACAAACCACAGAGGCTTCAAATGAAAAGTGGGGCCCCTGAGAGACAGGACAGTCAGGAAAGGAAGGAGCTTTTTCTTTTTTCTTTTTTTTTTTTTGAGATGGAGTCTCACTCTCTCGCCCAGAGTGGACTGCAGTCGTGCTATCTCAGCTCACTGCAACTTCCGCCTCCTGGATTCAAGCTATTCTCCTACCTCAGCCTCCCGAGTAGCTGGAATTACAATTATGCGCCACCCTGCTCAGCTAATTTTTGTATTTTTAGTAGAGACGGGATTTCACCATGTTGGCCAGGCTGGTCTCAAACCCCTGACCTCAGGTGATCTGCCTGCCTCACCTGGGATTACAGGCATGAGCCACTGCGCCTGGCCGGAAGGAGCTTTTTCTAATCTCTTTTGTCATACGCCCTTATCACCCAGTCTAGAAACAGATAAAACATTGTAAAATTTCCTCAACCCTGGCTGGGCGCGATGGCTCATGCCTGTGATTCCTGAACTTTGAGAGGCCGGGGTGGGTGGATCACTTGAGGTAAGGAGTTCGAGACCAGCCTGGCCATCATGGTGAAACCCCATCTCCACTAAAAATACAAAAATTAGCCAGTTTTGGTGACATACGCCTGCAATCCCAGCTACTTGGGAGACTGAGGCAGGAGAATCGCTTGAACCCGTGCGGCAGAGGTTGCAGTGAGCTGCGATTGCGCCACTGCACTCCAGCCTGGGCGACAGAGGGAGACTCTGTCAAAAAAAAAAAAAAATTTCCTCATCCCCATTCCCAGCTAACCCTCCAGAAGCAGCCTTTGTAAAGTTTCCTGTAGCCAGGCGCAGCAGCTCATACCTCTATTCCCAACTATTCAGGAGGCTGAGGTGGGAGGATGGCTTGAGCCTGGGAAGTTGAGGCTGCAGTGAGCCATGGTGACACCACTGCACTGCAGCCTGGGCGACAGCAAGATCGTGTCTCTAAATAAATTTAAAAAATAGAAAAGTTTTCCTGTGAAGTCTTCCAGAAAGTTCCTGTGCACATACACATCTGTCATCTCCTCTTTGAAACACGTACACATGTGCACATGCACACAGGTTGGTTTTCTCCCTGCTCCTCTGAAGCTTATTTCCACCTGGAAGTATGTAAGCAGTGTCCGTGTGTCAGTGACAGTGCATGTAACATGCCTTCTTTTCCTTGTGTGTAGGGTGGTAGGGGTTGCCTCAGAGACCAGCTAAGTTTCCCCACATCAAGCACTTGCCTCAGTGTCTACCCTAGCGGTGATTCTGCAGGGGTGGGTTGGCAGACATCCTCACGTCTGGAGAACGAGGGTGATGCCGGTGTGCCTGTGTGGGCTGTGCATGCTACGAGGGTGATCGTCCAAACTCTTGTCAGCTGTGATCATTTGCTGCTTGTCCTAGGAGCAGTGGCCTCCATGTGTGGCTGGTCAGAGTCCAGTTACTTTGGCCAAGAGCCACTTTCAGACCTGAAAATGGGCTGGGTGCAGTGGCTCACGCCTGTAATCCCAGCACTCTGGGAGGCTGAGGCAGGTGGATCATGTGAGGTCGGGAGTTTGAGATCAGCCTGATCAACATGGTGAAACGCCGTCTGTACTAAAAATACAAAAAAATTACCTGGGCGGGCATGGTGGCGAGCACCTGTAATATCAGCTACTGGGGAGGCTGAGGCAGGAGAATCTCTTGAACCCGGGAGGCAGAGGTTGCAGTGAGCCAAGATCACGCTACTGCACTCCAGCCTGGGTGACAGAGTGAGGCTCTGTCTCAAAAAAAAAAAACCAACAAAAAAACCAACCCATCTCTGGAAAAAATAAATAAATCAGCTAGGTGTGGTGGTGTATCCCAGCTACTTGGGAGGCTGGGGTGGGAGGATTGCTTGAGCCCGGGAGGTTGAGTCTGTACTGAGCTGAGATTGTGCCACTGTCCTCCAGCTCAGGTGACAGAGTGAGACGCCTCCAGGGCAAGGAAGTTGTGGGGTCCTGATGGGAATCTGGATTTCCTGAATGTCACTTAGGGTGATCAGTCCATGTGATGGTCTTTGGGTGTGTGGCGGGGCCTTTCCAGCCATCTGCTGTGAGTGGCAGAGCTGAAGTGCATTAAAAGCCTAGTGCTGTGTGATCAGTCTGGGTGTGCTCAGCCATGCCACATGGCGAGGATGGCACTGCACCGTCTGGGGTGCTGTTTCCAGGAAAGCCTTCCCTTAAAGCTGGCCACTGGAGTACCTGACTCAGGCTGATAAGGTATTTATAGTTCAAAAAAAGTTGCTGAATGGCAGTAATCCCCTGGTGAGGAACATTCCCCATGGCTGTGCTCTCCAAAGTTTGCCAAGATTGGGTGAAGACGTTCACTGTGACCTTGATTGTAGTGGCAAAACCTGAAACCAAGCTGTACTCATTTGTCAGGGGACTTACAAAGTAGAGTCAGCACATATTCATATACTGTCATCCTGGGCACCAATAGGGATTAGGGAGCTATAGTTGGATTGATCTGCCATGCTGTTCAGGATGGACTGGGAAGTTGAAAAAGGAAGTTGCAGAATTGGTGGGTATGGTAAAGACTCATTTGGTCAAATGAAGGCTGGGTGTAATTGTAATAAAGATAGACACATTTGGCTTGGTGCAGTGGCTCACACCTGTAATCCCAGCACCTTGGGAGGCCGAGGTGGGTGGATCACGAGGTCAGGAGTTCAAGACAAGCCTGGCCAACATAATGAAACCCCATCTCTACTAAAAAAAAATACAAAAAAGTTAGCCTGGCATGGTGGTGCATGCCTGTAGTCCCAGCTACTCGGGAGGCTGAGGCAGGAGAATCACTTGAACCCCAGAGGTGGAGGTTGCAGTGAGCCAAGATCACGCCACTGCACTCCAGCTTGGGCAACAGAGTGAGACTTTGTCTCAAAAAGAAAAAAAAAAAGACACATTTTTCCTCTGGGATGCTTCATTATAACAAACCTTTGACAGTCGGGAAAGGAGACTTGCTTTTTTTTTTTTGAGACAGAGTCTTACTCTGTTGCCCAGGCTGGAGTGCAATGGCGAGTTCTCGGCTCACTGCAACCTCCGCCTCCCAGGTTCAAGCAATTCTCCTGCCTCAGCCTCCTGAGTAGCTGGGATTACAGGCATCCGCCACCACACCCAGCTAATTTTTGTATTTTTAGTAGAGATGAGGTTTCACCATGTTGGTCAGGCTGGTCTCGAACTCCTGACCTCAGGTGATCCACCCACCTTGGCCTCCCAGAGTCCTGGGATTACAGGCATGAGCCACCACACCCAGCCAAGACTTGCTTTTTCTAACCTCTTTTGTCACACGCCTGTGAGGGAGGGTTGAGAAGTTGAACAACTTATTTTATTTCTTTCTGTATTGATGGAAATTTTCCCATGGCAGTTTATTTAAAGAAAAAGTAGGGCCAGGCACAGTTGCTCACATCTGTAATCCCAGCACTTTGGGAGGCAGAGGCAAGAGGATTGCTTGAGGCCAGGAGTATAATACCAGCCTGGGCAACATAACAAGACCCTGCCTTTAACAAAAATTTAAAAATTAGCCAGCTGTGGTGGTGTGTACCTATAGTCCTGGCTGCTTAGGAGGCTGAGGCGGGAGAATTGCTTGAGCCCAGGAATTTGAAGCTGCAGTGAGCTATGATCATACTCCTACATTCCAGGTCGAGCAACAGAGCGAGACCCTGTCGTTAAAACAAAACTAAAAAATACCCAGCAAGGTGCAGTGGCTCTTGTATAATCCCAGCATTTTGGAAGGGTGAATCGGATCACTGCAGGCCAGGAGTTCAAGACTAGCTTGGGCAACCTAGACCCTGTCTCTTTTTTGTTTGTTTGTTTTTTGAGACAGAGTCTCTCTCTTTCACCCAGGCTGGAGTGCAATGGCCTGATCTCGGTTCACTGCAACCTCCGCCTCCCAGGTTCAAGCGATTCTCCTGCCTCAGCCTCCCGAGTAGCTGGGATTACAGGTACCTGCCACCACACCCAGCTAATTTTTGTGTTTTTAGTAGAGATGGAGTTTCACCATGTTGGCTAGGCTGGTCTCGAACTCCTGACTTCATAATCTGTCCACCTCAGCCTCCCAAAGTGCTGGGATTATAGGCGTGAGCCACCGTGCCCAGCCTATTTTTTTTTTTTAATTAAAAAATAATTTATAGTCTGGGTGCTGTGGCTCACACCTGTAGTCCTAGCACTTTGGGAGGCCGAGGTGGGCGGATCACTTCAGGTCAGGAGTTTGAGACCAGCCTGGCCTACATGGCAAAACCCGTCTCTACTAAAAATACAAACAAAATTAGCCAGGAGTAGTGGCAGGCGCCCATAATTCCAGCTACTCAGGAGACTGAGGCAGCAGTATCATTTGAACCCATGAGGTGGAGGTTACTGAGAGCTGAGATGGCGCCACTGCACTCCAGCCTGGGTGACAGAGCGAGACTCTGTCTCAAAAAAAAAAAAAAAATTTATAACTGGGCATGGTGGTGCATGCCGGTAGTCCCAGTTACTTGGGAGGCTGAGGCAGGAGAATCGCTTGAACCCGGGAGGTGGAGGTTTCAGTAAGCTGAGATAGCACCACTGCATGCCAGCCTGGGTGACAGAGCAAGATTCCATCTCCAAAAAAAAAAAAAAAAAAATTAAAAGAAAATTGCTGGATCTTATTAGTGTATAGTAATTTTTTATTGATGTGTGGGAAATTATTCCAAAATTTAGCAACTAGAAGCAACAATCACCGTCTCTTTATGTGGGGAATTTGCAGTGGCTGTGTTTGGTGTAGTGGCTCTGATATTCTAAGGTTGCAGTCAAGATGTTGGCTAAGGATGTGGTCATTTGAAGGCTTCATGGGGGTTGGAGGGTCTGCTTTGAAGATGGCTCACTAGCAGTGCTGCCTTTGGGAGGCACAGACAGTTCGAGTGTCCTCATGACAAGGCAGCTTATTTCTCCCAGAGTGAGTGATCCAATAGAGAGTAAGGCAGATGCCTGGAGGTCTTTTGTGACCTAATATCAGGATTCACATTCTTTCTTTTTTTTATTTTTATTTTTTTGAGACAGAGTTTCACTCTTGTCACCCAGGCCAGAGTACAATGGCGTGATCTTGGCTCACTGCAACCTCCGGTCCCCGGCTCAAGCGATTCTCCTGCCTTAGCCTCCTGAGTAGCTGGGATTACAGGTGCCCGCCACCATGCCCGCCTTTTTTTTTTTTTTTTTTTTTTTAAATTTTTTTAGTAGAGATGGGGTTTCACCATTTTGGCCAGGCTGGTCTTGAACTCCTGATCTCAAGTGATCCGCCTGCCTTGCCCTCCCAAAATGCTGGGATTACAGGGTGAACCACCACGCCCGGCTACACTCTTTGATTTCTATAATACCCCGTTGGTGTTACAGATCAGCTCTGGTCATCATGGGAAGGGACTGCATCAGTGGGTTAATGCCAGGAGACAAGGACCACTGGTCACCATCTTAGAAGGTGGGGGACTATCATAGTCCCGCTTCTGGCGCCTAGTGATTGATTTTGTTCCTTCCACACACAGATACCCCACTCACTTTCTCCTAAGTCCATATTCTGTTACAGTATTAGAAGTCTGTTAGAAGTCTAGAACCTCATTTTGTCAAGTACAGGTGTAGTAGTACCTGCATTTCCTTTAGTACAGTTCCTTTCAATCTGAAGACATGAGAATTTAAAGAGACAAATTACCCCTCACACACCCAGCATACAATGGTGAGGTGGGCATGGGATGACTGGTATGTATGGGATAATTATTTCTTTTCTTTTCTTTCTTTTTTCTTTTTTTCTTTGTTTTTTTTTTTTTTGAGGTAGGGTCTCACACTGTCGCCCAGGCTGGAGTGCAGTGGTGCAGTCACTGCTCACTGCAGCCTCGAACTCCTGGGCTCAAGCAATTCCCCACCTCAACCTTCTAAGTTGCTGGGACTACAGGCACATGTCACCATGCCTGGCTACTTTTTTATTTTTTGTAGAGATGACGTCTTGCTATGTTGCCCAGGCTAGTTTTAAACTCTTGGCCTCAAGTGATCCTCCTGCCTCAGTTTCCCAGTAAGTGCTGGGATTATAGGCATGAGCCACTGAGTCCGGCCTGCATATTTAGGTTTTTATTATGACCACACTGTACTTCTGATACCAAAATCTGTATTAGTTATCTATCATTGTATAACAAATGACATCAAAACTTGGGTTAAAACAGCAATACACTTTTTTTTTTTTTTTTAAGACGGAGTCTTGCTCTGTCGCCCAGGCTAGAGTGCAATGGCGTGATCTCCACTCACTGCAACCTCTGCCTCCTGGATTTAAGCAATTCTCCTGCCTCAGCCTCCCGAGTAGCTGAGATTACAGGCACACGCCACCATGCCTGGATAATTTTTGTATTTTTTTTTTTTAGCAGAGACGGGGTTTCACCATGTTGACTAGGCTGGTCTCGAACTCCTGACCTTGTGATCTGCCTGCCTTGGTCTCCCAAAGTGCCAGGATTACAGGTGTGAGCCACCATGCCCGGCCTAGCAGTAAACTTTTATTACCTCTCACAGTGTCTGTGGGTCAGAAGTTTGGGAGCGGCTTAGCTGGTTGGTCTTGGTTTGGGGATCTCTCATAAGGCTGTAGTCAACATGTTGGCCAGCGCCCCAGTTATCGGAAGTTTTGATGGGTTTGGAGGACCCCCCTCTAAAGTGTCCCATACACAGGAAGCGAGTTGGCTGTGACTTTTGGAAAAAGGCCTTAGTTCGCTGCCGCGTGGGCTTCTTTATGAAACTGTTTGAATGTCTTCACAACATGATAGACAGCTTCCCCAAAGCGAGTCATCCAAGAGAGCAAAGCAGAAACTGCACGTTCTCTGAACTCACTTCTGAAGTCACATTTCACCCCTTTTTGCAGTCTCTGGATGGGTGCATAGGTCACCCCTCCCAGCACAGGCGGAAGCTATGCAGAGGCATGAATTCCAGGAAGCAAGGATCACTGGTGTCTGATTGGAGACTGGCTGCGGGTCTGATACTCCTTTCCCCAGCATAGCCCAGTCACAGTTTTCAACATTTCACATCTCTTGGTCTCTGGCATAGCAGATTCTGCCGAGTTATCCCTGGTTTTGCAAATTCTGACAGTGTCGCTGTAAGGTAGGGATGTCTCACTGTTGTAACCAGGAAAGAGTCTAGTTGGTGGTGAGTGTGGCAGGGACCAGTGTGGTCTCCAGAGACTCCTATGCCTTGTGTAGTGGCTCACGCCTGTAATCCCAACACTTTGGGAGGTCAAGATGGGAGGATTATTTGAGGCCAGGAGTTAGAGACCAGGCTGGGCAACGTAGCAAGACGCTGTCTCTACAAAAAATAAAATAGGCTTTGCGTGGTGGCTCATGCCTGTAATCCAAGCGCTTTGGGAGGCCGAGGCAGGTGGATCACCTGAGGTCAGGAGTTTGAGACCAGCGTGGCCAACACGGCGAAACCCCATCTCTACTGGAAATACTAAAAATTAGCTGGGCAGGGTGGCAGGTGCCTGTAATCCCAGCTACTTGGGAGGCTGAGGCAGGAGAATTGCTTGAACCCTGGAGCCTGGAGGCGGAGGCTGCAGTGAGCTGAGATCGTGCCGTTGTACTCCAGCCTGGGCGACGGAGTGAGACCCTGTCTCAAAAAAAAAAAAAAAAAGGCTAAAGCAGAGCATTTTGTTCTGTTTTTGGAGTCAGGGTCTTCCTCTGTCACCTAGGCTGGAGGTGCAGTGTTGCGATCTTGGCTTGCTGCAGCCTCAACTTCCTGGACTCAAGCAATCCTCCTGTCTCAGCCTTGAGCCACCCTGCCTGGCCCCTAAGGCACAGTTTTAAAAATAAGTAAATAGCGAGGCGCGGTGGCTCACACCTGTAATTCCAGCACTTTGGGAGGCCGAGCTGGGCAGATCACTTGAGGCCAGTAATTCGAGACCAGCCTGGCCAACATGGCAAAACCTCGTCCCTACTAAAAATACAAAAAAATTAGCTAGGCATGCTGGTGGCGCAGGCTTGTAGTCCCAGCTACTCAGGAGACTGAGGCATGAGAATTGTTAGAACCCAGAAAGTGGAGACTCTGTCTCAAAAAAAAAATTAAAAATAAATAGCTGGGTGCGGTGGCTCAAGCCAGTAATCCCAGCACTTTGGGAGGCTGAGGCGGGCAGATCACAGGGTCAGGAGATCGAGACCATCCTGGCTAACACGGTGAAACCCTGTCTCTACTAAAAATACAAAAAACTAGCTGGGTGTGGTGGCGGGCGCCTGTAGTCCCAGCTACTCAGGAGGCTGAGGCAGGAGAATGACGTGAACCTGGGAGGCAGAGATTGCAGGGAGCCGAGATCATGCCACTGCACTCCAGCCTGGGCAACAGAGCAAGGCTTCATCTCAAAAAAAAAAAAAAAAAAAAAAAAAAAAAAAAAAAATATATATATATATATATATATGGTAAATTAAAAACAAAAAAATAGAGGCACCTGCGAGGGCCTGAAAGCTGGGACTGAGGTACCAGGACACGGCAGTAATGATGTTTTTGAGCAGCGGATTATGCCTGGGGGTTTGGGCTGATGGCATCTTCGCCCCTGTGCCAGCGTGTCCGGAGCGGTGACTGGAAGGGGTACACAGGCAAGACCATCACGGACGTCATCAACATTGGCATTGGCGGCTCCGACCTGGTGAGGAGAAAACTGCCTTGGGGTAGGGTGGGAGTCTGGGCACTGTTGGTCCCACTCAGGTCTTTACTTTCTCCAGGGATGGGACCTGGCTGTCTCCACTTTTCGTGGGCCCTGAATTCTTATTCTCTGATGCTATGTCTCCCCGCAGGGACCCCTCATGGTGACTGAAGCCCTTAAGCCATACTCTTCAGGAGGTCCCCGCGTCTGGTATGTCTCCAACATTGATGGAACTCACATTGCCAAAACCCTGGCCCAGCTGAACCCCGAGTCCTCCCTGTTCATCATTGCCTCCAAGGTATGAGTGCCGAAAACTGCCCGGCCCCTGGCCCTGTGTGTGTTGGGGTGGGGAGGGACAGCTGTCTTGCCATCCCCCTGGCCATTGGTCCCTTTTGGTGGGTTCCGAGTGAACCATGGTTTGTGGATCAGGTCAGTACAGCTGCCCTAGACTGTTTCCATGCCTAGCAGCAAATAAGGTTGACTGATGAAATCCTGAACACATCAGTTTGAACCTTTGTGTCCTGACCACACCCGCTCGCCTTGCGGCATCTCTGCTCAGCCTGGGACTGCTCGCCACTTTCTTACAAACCTGTCCTTTATGCCTGCTCCTTTTCTTGTTGTTGTTTTTGAGACAGAGTCTGGCTCTGTCACCCAGGCTGGAGTGTAGTGGCGTGATCTCGGCTCACTGCAATCTCCGTCTCCCAGGTTTCAAGCGATTCTCCTGCCTCAGCCTCCCAAGTAGCTGGGACTAGGCACACACCACCACGCCTGGCTAATTTTATTATTTATTTATTTATTATTATTATTTTTTAGTAGAGATGGGCTTTTGCCATGTTGGCCATGCTGGTCTTGAACTCCTGACCTCAGGTGATGCACCCCCCCTTGGCCTCCCAAAGTGCTGGGATTACAGTCTTGAGCCGCCATGCCCAGCCATGCTTGCTCCTTTCTGATCCCAGAGCCATGCCCTGATAATAGAGGGGTTTTGTTTGTTTTTATTTATGTTCTATTTACTCACATGAATGTACATAAAATATGAAGAATTCCATCTGAATTCTGAGATACCTTCCAGCCTGGGCCGAAGAGAGCCTCAGGTTGACTGCAGCCCCTCAGGGGAGAAGCTGCGGCCTTTGACCTGCAGGCTTAGGGTTGGGGGGTGTGTTTACCGTCCCCCCTCCTCTGGTTTTAAAGAGCTGGAATCTCAGGAGGTTATGTGGCGTCACTGTCACTGACCTGCAAATACTGCTCCATGGGACAGCTGGGCATTGCCTTGGCCTCTACTGCTGAACCCTGGCTCAAGGCCTGCACCCACCCCTAAGCTCGGGCGCCCACTGCTGTTCTCTTTGGTTGCAGACCTTTACTACCCAGGAGACCATCACGAATGCAGAGACGGCGAAGGAGTGGTTTCTCCAGGCGGCCAAGGATGTGAGTGGGCTATAGGGCCTTCCTCGTGGTTAGCCTCTGGGCTGGGAAGAGCAGGGTGGGCCCCTGAGTGACCAAGTCTGGCCGTGTTTCTCCTGAAGTTGGAAGTGAAGGCGGCCTTGCCGGTGCCTGCCTTTGCTAGATGAGATGATTGTTCATCTTGGCTTTGTCAGACCCAGCCTTGCAGATGTGACAGAACCTGCTCTCGCTGGCTGACAGCCCTTGCATGGCCCTTTCTCTGCAGGCCCTTGGCGCTGCAGGAACTCTTGGCCACACCTATTTTATAGGGGAGGGACGTCCCTGAGCCCCGTATGCTTGTAAGATGGGATGAGCAGGCGGCCTGTGACCCGTCTGCTTTCTTGACCTTGACCTCGATGTGGGCCTTCTCCAACAGTCTCAGAACCAAGGACTGGGAATCTCAGTCCCATGCAGGGCCTTGGTTCCTCTAGTGATGGGAAGTGACTACCCTTTGTCTCCCTGGGCTGGCTGTGGTAACTTGGCTCTGTCTCTTGTAGCCTTCTGCAGTGGCGAAGCACTTTGTTGCCCTGTCTACTAACACAGTAAGTGCCCCCGTGGTCCCCTGTACTGCCTTCCTGGGAGTGCCCAGCATGTCCAGGTCATGGCCTCTCAGAGACGCGGTTCGTAGGTCTGGTGGATCTTGGCTTGGCTGATGGTATGGAAGGTTTGGTTGCCTGTGGGCTGCAAGCCTTCCTTGCCTTTTCCGCATTTACCCATTCAACCTCTGCAGCTTTGAGGAGGGAGGCTTGGAGTCAGTGGGATCACGATAACCCCTTCTTCCGTCTCCCAGGCCTGACTGATACACAGAACCCTTCATACACATGACCTTCCTAGGCCTTTGTGCCCAGCATCTCCCCAAATGTGACATGCTAGGTAGGGGTAGAGGATGCATTCCATTTTTCACTTAAGGACATAAAGCCCCAATGAAGGGAGGTGACATTTTGCCCCCTACTTAGTGTGTGTGGTTTTGTTTTTTTTTTTTTTTTTTTTTTTTTTAAGACAGTCTCACTCTGTTGCCCAGGCTGGAGTGCAGTGGCGTGATCTTGGCTCACTGCAACCTCTGCCTTCCAGGTTCAAGCGATTCTCCTGCCTTAGCCTCCCGAGTAGCTGGGATTACAGGTGCACGCCACCATGCCCAGCTATTTTCGTATTTTTAGTAGAGACGGGGTTTCACCACGTTGGCCAGGCTGGTCTCTGACTCCTGACCTTAAGTGATCTGCCCACCTCAGCCTCCCAAAGTGCTGGGATTACAGGTGTGTGCCACCATGTCCAGCTTATTTTTTGAGACAAGGTCACTCTGTCACTCAGGCTAGAGTGCAGTGGTACGATCTTGGCTCACTGCAACCTCTGCCTTCTGGGTTCAAGTAATTTTTATGCCTCAGCCTGCTGATTCTGGGATTACAGGCGCCCACTACCACGTCCAGGTAATTTTTGTATTTTTGGTAGAGACAGGTTTTCTCCATGGTGGCCAGGCTGGTCTCGAATTCTTGACCTCAAGTGATCTGCCCACCTCGGCCTACCAAAGTGTTGGGATTATAGGCATGAGCCACTGTACCCGGCCCACTTAGTGACTGTATGAGTAGGTGATGCCAGGATTAGAACCTGGGTCTCCTGTCTCCAAGTTCTCACAGTCTGCCTGGCCTCGAGGTTGTGCAGGCTCAGCAGGGCATGACAGAGTGAGGGATGCTCCAGGAGTGACAGCAGCAGTCAGCCAGTGGGCACTGTGCTGTGTCAGAGCTGGGGACTACACCCACATCTCCCTCCCACCCCCTCCACCATCATCCCCACATCTCTGCCTCCAGTGCCTACCCAGCTGCAGCAGGACGCCATAAGGCTGGCTAACCATAGCACTGTTGCCTGCCTGCAACTGACTGGTCAGTAGGGCTTCTCCTCCTATGTGGAATAGGTAAGGAATTGCTGGCCCTGTCTGCCCTGGGGACCAGAATACCTGATGGCTCCTCAGAGCTTCCTGGTGCAGTCACCCTCCCACACATGGGAAGGGCTGGGTGGCTGTTCAGCCTGTGTTTGTTTGCCTGGCCTGGTAGGTGGCCCCTGCCCACACTTGGGTCCCAGTCCTAGGTTCGGTTCCCAGATGTCCAGGGGTATCATGCTCTGGTGTCCCAGGCAGGCCTGGGTGAGAGCTGTTGCAGAGCAGTGTGTGGGCCAGGTCCTCACACGGGGTTACAGCTGCCCTCAGCAGGGGGCTTTGCAGGCACAACGTCACTGGCGTGCTGGTCATGGACTGATCTGGTGTCCAGCTTGGGGTGGGCAGATCCTGGGCCCTGCCCTCGACTCACAGGCTGCTCCAGCCCTGCCCCATCCCTGGCTCTGGGGAAGGTGAGGCTCAGCTCACGGAGCACAGCTCCCTGCCTCCCGGAGCTCCTGTTCCCATCCCGCTAGCAAATGCTTCTTTGCATTTCTCTCCCTTTGTTTTTTTTTTTGTAGACCAAAGTGAAGGAGTTTGGAATTGACCCTCAAAACATGTTCGAGTTCTGGGATGTAAGTACAAGCACTTCTGCACTGGGTGAATTAAGTGTCCTTTGCCAAGTCATGGCTGTTGAGAGGCCCATGAGGTCAGGTCAGTGTTTATTGAGTACCTGCTGCATACCTAGCTTGGGGAAAGGTAGAGAGGCCCTCAGAGAGGCTTGGAGGGCAAGAGCAACCCAGGCAGGATGAGGGCTCCACTTCCACCTGAGGGCGGGCTGAGCTTGCAGGGCCACATGACACTCCCTTGGGTGCCTGCCTGCAACACCCACTGTGGGGTAACCCGAGTCCCCCTTGCCACGCTCACAGAGTTGAGGTTGTGAGTTATTCTCAGTGATGACCTTTCTCTGAACTGCAGCCACCATCTGTAAAGGCCAAGGGCAGGGTGAGGCATGAGGTATGACCGGGTAGGCCTGGAAAGGAGCAACAGGAGCTGCAGGAGGAGCTGGGGGGGTGGCGTAGAGGAGGCGCCAGGCTGGGGCAGCTTGCAGAGCAAACCCTGCCTTGAGTGACAGGGCTGCCGACCCCTCTGTAGCAACAGGTGGTCCATGGGACCACCTCTGCTGGAGCCGAGCAGTGAGCCACAGCTTTCCTTGTGCACTTGCCTGAGCTCAGCAGTGGTGTGAGGAGGGCTCTGACTGTGAAGCCCAGGGTGCAGGGGTGCAGTGCAGGGTGTGATGCAGGCACTGTGAATGCTGTGGGCATGGCCGGGCTTACGTGCAGGGCTCTAACGCTGTGGCAGGCGCAGCAGAGAGGGCATTGCCCATTTGGTGGTTTTCCCACCTGGGGCTGTCTCCAGGCATTTGGACCAGAGGCCCTTTGCTTGGTGATGGCATCCACAGACATAACCTCATTCCTTTGAAAGCTCTAAAGGCCTTTTACTACCAGGGTCTGGGAGAGAATGAAGCCCTAATCCCTTAAGCCATCCACTGTGTATAATGAGTTAACTTCTTTCTAGAATGAGACTAGTTACATACCATCCTTGGAAGAATTGACGAGAATCACTCAAGTCATTTTCTGCATCCTGTGGCTCAGATGCGGAACACTGGTCAAGAGAGACTGTGCGGCTTCTAATAAATGTTGCATGGCTGATAATGGAGGGCAGGCACCTTCCACCTCCTCCTTGGGATCTGGAGCCTGAGCAGGTGGTGGGCAGGGATGTGTGGGTGCTGCTGCCAGCCAAGGAGCCAAGCAGATCGGGGTGTCCTTGCTTGTCACCACCCAGCATGTAGAGATGAGTTAGGGTGTGGCTTAAGGAGAGGATGGGTCTGGCCTCCCAGGTAAGGCCTAGGAATGATAGCTGGACACAGGAACATGGGGCCAGGGCTGGCTGGTGAGACCTAAGTGGAGGCCTCCTGGGCCAGGCTAGACAGCCCACAACGGCTGGAGGAGGGACCTGCCTGAGTTACTAGAGTGTATCCTGCTGAATCAAGAAGGTGATATCTGAAGAACCCAGGGATAGGAGCAGGCGAAGTTCCTGCAGGTGGGGTCTCGGGTGAGCTACAGCCATCAGCTCAGGCCTAGGGATGCAGTGCCGGCCCTCAGGTGAGATCAGAAGAGTCCCGTCTGGTAGGGGTATGTAGAAGAGGTAATTCTTGGTCCGCCAGGGCCAGTTTTGCGGCAGCCATGGGTGTCGGGATCAGGCAGGGGTGTGGTGGGAAACCATGGGGTCTCTCAGGGCTCGGCCAGGGTCAGCGCACGCCACAGGGCCAGTTTTGGCTGGAGAGGCCTGAAGCAGAGCCAGAGCAGGTCCAGGTGAGTTCTGAAGAGGAGCCAGGACAGGAGAGGGACCCATAGGTCTGTGAATTCCAGAGGAGAGGCAGGTATTTAGAGGTGGTTCTGTCAGGTGAAGTCTGAGGAGCCAAAGCTATGTATGTGCATATGTCAGCCGGGCTCTGTGGGAGGTGGTGTAGACCTATGGCATGGGACAGGTGTGCACGCTGGGATCTCTGGCCGGTTCCGAAAAGTGAGGATCAGGTAGTGGGTGGCTGATTGCACAAGTTTAGAACCCAGGATTAGGGACACACAGGTCAGCACCTGCTTCTCAGCATCCTGACTGGGTGTGATGGGCAGAGCTCAGGGCGTCAGAGGCCTCTGAGAATTTGTGACTGAAGTCCAAGTCTGTGGCATCAGGGTCTGCAGAGCCCAGATGCGGGAGAGGTAGGAATGTACCTGGTGATATGAGGCAAGGACAGGGGAGCTGGGGCAGGTGAGGCAGGCAGGTGGCATGAGGAGCTGTGCTGGGTGGGTGCGGTCTGAGTGGCTCAGGTTGGGTAAAGGGCCAGAGACCTGGGTCTACAGGGCAGACATCAAGGCTGAGCCAGTCAGACAGTGTTTGTCAACACTGGGCTCTCACCAGGCTCCCTCAGGCCGAGGTCAGCAGCCAGGGATCTGTCATGTGTGAGGAAAGTGTCTGTTCAGGTTAGGTGTGTATAATGCAGCCTTTCAGAGCCGCGTCTGTCTGAGGTCCTAGGAGCTGGAATCAGACAGGTTTGTATGGCTGGGTTTCTAGGGGAGGCCTGAGGAGCCAAGACTGTACTCAGGTAGGCAGAACTGGACCAGTCTGGTAAGGACGTTGGAGCTAAAGATAGGCAGACAGGTCGAGCTGGGTCTGACAAGTGAGGGCTGAAAATCTGTGATTGGGTCCAGGTTGGAGCTGTGTCCTTGGGCGATGTCTGAGCAGCTCTGGTGGGTGAGCCTGGGTCCCCTGGGAAGAGACCAGACAAAGGGATGGGGTCAGACAAAGGGATGACGAACCGCATCCATCAGAAAGGTGGATGAAGCCTGGGTCTGGTCGAGGTACGTAGAGCAGATCTAGCAGGCGAGGTTTCAGGGGTTAAGGTGAGACACAGGTATGTATTTTTGGGTCTCACAGGTTAAGGTCTGAGCCACTGAGGTCAGGCTCTGGTTTGTATCCCAAGACCGAGAAGCTGTGTTAAGCATGGTGGGTAGAGTTTGTCAGGTGACATCTATGAAACCAGGAGCATGCAAAGATAGGTTGACCGGAACAGCCATGGTCAAACCAATTAAACTGTCCTGCAGTTGAGGTCAGGCACAGGTAGAACGGATCTATCAGGTGAGGCCCAAGGAGTCCGGATTAGGCTCATCTAGAAAGACCTGGATGTGGTAGATGACCTCTGAGGATATGAAGTGAAGGCAGGTGGATAGAGCCAGGTCTCTCAGGAGGTCTGAGGAGCTGGGATCTGGCACAGTGAGCAGGTCTGGATTTCCCAGGTGGTGTCAAGACAGATGGGTAGGCCAGGCACAGTGGCTCACACCTATAATCCCAGCAATTTGGAAGGCCAAGGCAGGCAGATCAGTTGAAGTCAAGAGCTCGAGACCAGCCTGGCCAGCATAGCGAAACCCCGTCTCTACTAAAACTACAAAAATTAGCCAGGCATGGTGGTGCATGCCTACAGTCCTAGCTACTTGGGAGGCTGAGGCACCAGAATTGCTTGAACTGGGGAGGCAGAGTGAGCCAAGATGGTGCTACTGCACTCCAGCCTGGGTGACAGTGAGACTATCTCCAAAAAAAAAAAAAAAAAAAAGCGGGGGTTGGGTGTGGTGGCTCATGCCTGTAATCCCAGCACTTTGGGAGGCCAAGGTGGGTGGATCATCTGAGGTCAGGAGTTCAAGACCAGCCTGGCCAACATGGTGACGGGGTGAAACCCCATTTCTACTAAAAAATACAAAAATTAGCTGGGTGTGGTGGCACACGCCTGTAATCCCAGCTACTCAGGAGGCTGAGGCAGGAGAATTGCTTGAACCCGGGAGGTGGGGTTTGCAGTGAGCCGAGATCATGCCACTGCACTTCAACTTGGGCAACAAGAGTGAAACTTTGTCTCAAACAAAAAACAAAAAAAAAAAAAAAAGAAAAAAGATGGGTGGGTAGAAGTTCTTCTCCTGGGTGAGGTTGAGGAGCTGTGGCCAGGTACAGGTATGTAGGTATGTGGAATTGAGTTTCTTGGGTGAGGTCTTTGGAGCCTGGCCCAGGTACATCTTCGGGTCTATCAGGTCTGAAGAACGGGAGTTAAACACAGGTGTGTAGAACAGGGTTTGGCAGGTAAGGTCTTTGGAGCCAGGATCAGGGCAGCTTCACAAAGCTGAGTGTGTTCATGAGACCTAAAAAGTCATAGTCAAGCCCAGGTAAGAAGAACCAAGTGTGTTGGATGAGGTGTAAGCAGCTGAGGTGTGAAGTAGAGGTAGGCAGAGCTGGCCCACAAGGTACAAGCTCAGGAACCCTCATCACATGCAGGTAGGGGGTGCTGGTCCACCAGGCACAAGCCCAGGAGCCAGCATTGAGCACAGGTAGGCAGACTTGGCCCACCAAGTATGATCTGAAGAGCCAACATCAGGCTC
Source organism: Homo sapiens (assembly GCF_000001405.40). Taxonomy (NCBI): domain Eukaryota; kingdom Metazoa; phylum Chordata; class Mammalia; order Primates; family Hominidae; genus Homo; species Homo sapiens. Next base: position 34,385,864 of record NC_000019.10, read on the forward strand.
AGGTAGGTAGATCTGGCATGCCAGGTGTACTCCAAAGAGCCAGAGTCAAACACAGGTAGGTAGAGATAGTCTTTCAGGTGTGGTTTAAGGAGCCAAGGTCAACTACAGGTAGGTAGAGCTGGCCCACTGGGTGTGGTTTGAGGAGCCAGGGTAAGCACAGGTAGGCAAAGCTGGCCCACCAGGTATGGTCTGAGGAGCCAGGGTCAGACTCAGGTAGGTAGAGCTGCCTGCCAGGTATGGTCTGAAGAGCCAGGATCAAGTACAGGTAGGTAGTCTGGGTCACTAGGTGTGGTCTGAGAACCCAGCGAAAAGCTCAGGTAGGTAGAGATAGCCTTTCAGGTGTGGTCTGAGAACCCAGGGTCAAGCACAGGTATGTAGAGATAGCCTTTCAGGTGTGGTCTGAGAACCCAGGTTCAAGCACAGGTAGGTAGAGATAGCCTTTCACGTGTGGTCTGAGAACCCAGGTTCAAGCACAGGTAGGTAGAGATAGCCTTTCAGGTGTGGTCTGAGAACCCAGGGTCAAGCACAGGTAGGCAGAGCTGGCCCACCATGTGTGGTCTGAGGAGCCAGGGTCAGGCAGGTAGACAAAACTGGTCTGCCAGGAGTAGTCTCTTGAAGGAGAGCTGAGGAGTTAGGTTGAATGCAGGTAGATAGAGTTGGCTCTTTCAGGAGTTGGATTCAGGCACAGGAATGTGCCCCTGGGTGTTTGAGGTGAAGCCTGAAGAACCAGAGTTGAGCCTAGGTGTATAGAGCGGCCTCCCAGGTCAACCCCATAGCATGGGGGTCTCTACAGGCAGGCAGAACATTGTGGGTTTCCTAGGAGGTCTGTGGCCCCTAAGTTAGACGTGGGTAGGTAGATGTATCTCTCTCAAGCAAGGACTTTGTAGCTAGAGAGACATACAGCTGGGGTCTTGCAGGTGAGGTCATTGGTGCGTGGTTCTGGCTTAGTTGTGCTGACTCAGTCTTAGGCCTGGGGACAGTGGGTTAGTCACAAGTTGGTAGAACTACGCATCTCAGCTGGGGAGCACAGGTAGGCAGAGATGTTCCATTTGATGAGGTCTGAGGCTCCTCAGTGAGCTCATTGGTGCTGACGTTAAGCAGAGATTGGCAGCATTGGATCTGTCTGTGAGACATGAAAAGCCAAGCCAGACACAGGATGTGGACTGCCGAGGCCAGGCTCACATAAATAAAGCTGGACCCTGGGAGGCTGTAAGGAATCTGAGTTGGGCTTAGGCAAGGGAACCGGGTCTGTCAGTCAAGGTGTGAGGGGTCAGGTTATGTGAAGCCTGGTCTATCAGCTGAGATGTCTGGAACCCATCTTTGACAGGTATATAACTCTGTAGCCTGAGGCACTGGAGTTGGACACAAATAGGCAGAACTAGGTCTCCCAGGTGAAACCATTGCATCGATGCTCAGTGCTGGTATGTTTATCTGGTGTTGTCAGTGAGTCTGCCGATGCAGGCTCAGTGCTGGTATGTTTACCTGATTATGTCAGTGAGTCTGTGGATCCAGGCTCAGTGCTGGTATATTTACTTGGTTGTGTCAGTGAGTCTACGGATCCAGGCTCAATGGTGGTATGTTTACCTGGTGTTGTCGTGAGTCTGTGGATCCAGGCTCAGTGCTGGCATGTTGACCTGGTGTTGTCAGTGAGTCTGTGGATCCAGGGTCAGTGCTGGTATGTTTAGCTGACATTGGCAGTGAGTCCATGGATCCAGGCTCAGTGCTGGTATGTTGACCTGGTGTTGTCAGTGAGTCTGTGGATCCAGGCTCAGTGCTGGTATGTTGACCTAGCATTGGCACTGAGTCTGTGGATTCAGGCTCAGTGCTGGTATGTTGACCTGACATTAGCAGTGAGTCTGTGGATCCAGGCTCAGTTCCACAGAGGTTGTATAAACATGGTCTCAGGTGGGTTCTTGACACCTGGGTTCAAGCACAAAAGTACTGCTGGGCTTGTTAGGTGAAGTGGGTGGGGTCTAGCACAGGAATGCATAATGGTGAGGCTGGCCAGGCCTGGGGAAGGTGGGTCAGACACAGGTGAGACCTTCGGTGGTAGGGTCAGACACAATTAGGTGAGTAGTGTGGGCTCTTATATCAAGGGAAAGCCGTAGTCATTGTAGGTGTTTGTACCTGGGTCTGCCTGGTGATGTCTAGGGAACCCTAAAGATCAGCTGGGACAGGTATCTGTTCTCAGCACCCTGGTCAGGTATGATAGACAGAGCTCAGGGTAATACAGAGGGCTGAGGATCTGTAACCAGTCCATGGTGTTGGTCTGCATCCAAGATGGCATTGTGCTCCAGTTGACACAGGGTCTGAGTTAAAAGTGAGGAAAGTTGCCAGGCGCAGTGGCTCACGCCTGTCATCCCAGCACTTTGGGAGGCCGAGGTGGGTGGATCACTTGAGGTCAGGAGTTTGAGACCAGTCTGGTCAACACGGTGAAACCCCATCTCCTAAAAATACAAAAATTAGCCATGCATGGTGGCACATGTCTGTAATCCCAGTTACTCAGGAGGCTGAGGCAGGAGAATTGCTTGAACCTGGCAGGCAGAGGTTGCAGTGAGCTGAGATCATGCCACTACACTCAGGCCTGGGCGACAGAGTGAGAGACCCTGTCTCAAAAAAAAAGAAAGTGAGTAAAGTGAGGAAAAAGGTAGATGATGGTTAGATAAGGTGAGATCTGGGGCACTGGGGCAGGTTAGGCCCAGGACATTGAACTGACTGAGGAGCTGCATCTATAATGTATGGTCTCAGAGGCCACTGCACTTAAAGGTGAGGTCTAGAGACCCATGTCTGCAGATTGAGGGTTCGGAGGCTCAGGTCAGACACTGCTTGGCATTGCTGGGCTGTCACAAAACTGGGATCTGAGGACCTGTTCTCGGCCAAGGTGAGCAGCCTGGACTCTGTCAGCCAGAGGGCTGGCTGTGTGCTGAAGTTTAGTTTCTAGAGCTGAGTCTGGGCTGGGTGTGGTGGCTCATGGCTGTAATCCCTGAGCTTCGGGAGGCTGAGATGGGAGGCTGAGGCCAGGTGTTCAAAACCTGCCTGGACAACAGAGCAAGACCCCATCTCTACAAAAAATTTAAAAAATAGTCAAGCATGGTGGTGTGTGCCTGTAGTCCCAGCTACTGGGGAGGCTGAGATGGGAGGATCACTTGAGCCCAGGAGTTTGAGGCTGCGGTGAGCTGTGATCATGCCACTGCACTCCACCTGGGCAACAGAGCAAGACCCTGTCTCTTAAAAAAAAAAGAAAAAAATAGAACTGCATCTGTTAGATGAGATGTGAGAGCCTATGTCAAGCATGATGTAGTCTGTAGGACTGCGTCTGTCAGGTAAGGTTCCCGGAAACCCAGAGCCTTTCCAAGTGAGTGGCCCCACCGGTCATCTCATTGCCCAAGCCAGAAACCTCTCGGCCACACTGGAGAGCTCCCAGAATGAGTCCTCTGCACTCCCCAGTCCATCTCCGGGGCTTCAAAGTGGCTTGTTTGCTTCTGTCCTTGTCTTAGCCGCAGACTGTTCTCAGTCCTCCCACCGTGCCTCTCAGCTTCCACCCTGCGGTCCCCACCCCTTCCTTTATCCTCTGGAAGGTGCTATGCTTCCCCCTGCCTCAGTGGGCTTCCAGGAGAGAATTAAGCCCTCACAGCCCAAGGCATCTACTGGATGTAATAAGTGGGCACCTCTCCTTCGTGTCTAGAAGGTTACTAGTCTTGGACCATCCTTGGGAGAACTGAGAAGTCACTCAGATCATTTTCTGTGGGCCTTAATTCTGTCACGCTTGAGAAAGACTGCTTTGGCCACGGGACCTTTGCATGTGCTGTTATGGCTGCTGGAATGCTCCCTCAGTGCTTCTCTGGGTCATGCCTGCTCGTTCTTGAGATCAAGGGTCAAGTACCCCTCAGGTTCCTTTTATAAGTGGCCTCAGCACCATGTTCCAATTTCTCCTCAGCACTTGTTTCTCAGTTTCACATTTATTGGCATGATTATTTGATGTACGTCTCTCTCCCACACTCTGTGTCCGTTGCCTGTGCTAGAAATGTGGGAGGTGCTCCATAAACAGCTGTTAGGAAGACATCCGTGAAGTTCTGAGGACTCTGATGGCACCAAGTGGAGCTTGCAGGTGTGGCTTGAGAAGGTGCAGTGTGAATGATAGGCCTAGGTGATAGGCCGAGAAGATCGGTCAAGCCCAGATATGACCCACTGGGCCTGTCAGTGTCCAGGAGGTGGGGTGAGGCACAGGTCTAAGGTTCTGGATCTGTCAGTACCACCTGAGGAGTTGGGAATGGGCACAGGTACAAAGTGATGAGTCTTCATTGTTCAACAAAGAATGGCACAGGTGTGAGGATCTGGGTTTGTCAGTATCTGAGGATGTGGGGCCTGGCACAAGTATGAGGCACTGGGCCACTGTTCAAGCAGGTGGGCTGGGGAACAGAAATGTAGCTGTGGGTTTTTAATATCTGAGGAGACCTAGCCAAGTGTAGCAGAGAGCTGCTGGGTCTTTCATTGTCCAAGGAAGCATACCTGGGCACAAGTATGAGACTGAGAAGGTGGGTCCTGGCACCGGTAAGGGGCTCTGGGTCTGCAAGTGTCTATGGAAGTAGGGCCTGGTACAGGTATGTGGTGCTGGAAGAGGTATCCAAGGAGGTGGGCTAAGTACAGGTATGACATCTGGGTCTTCCAGTGTGTGAGGAGGTAGGATCTGGTACAAGTATGAGGCCCTGGGTCTGCTGGTGTCTGAGGAGATAACAGCAGGTTACAGGTATGAGGCCCTGGGTCTGCTGGTGTCTGAGGAGGTAACATCTAGTACAGGTATGAAATCTGGGTCTTCCTGTGTCTGAGAAGGTAGCACCTGGCACAGGTATGAGGATCTGGGTCTTCCCAATGTTTGAGGAGGTAGCATCTGGCACAGGTATGAGGATATGGGTCTTCCATGTCTGAGGAGGTAGCACCTGGCACAGGTATGAGAATCTGGGTCTTCCAGTGTCTGAGGAGGTAGCACCTGGCACAGGTATGAGTATCTGGGTCTTCCCGTGTCTGAGGAGGTAGCACCTGGCACAGGTATGAGGATCTGGGTCTTCCTGTGTCTGAGGAGGTAGCACCTGGCACAGGTATGAGGATCTGGGTCTTCCCGTGTCTGAGTAGGTAGCACCTGGCACAGGTATGAGGATATGGGTCTTCCATGTCTGAGGAGGTAGCACCTGGCACAGATATGAGGATCTGCGTCTTCCAGTGTTTGAGGAGGTGAGTTTGGACTCAGGTTTGAGGCCCTTGGGCTTCCAGTGCCTGAGGAGATAGCATCTGGCACAGGTATGAAGCCCTGAGTCTTCTAGTGTCTGGGGAAGTGAGGCTGGGTACAAGTATGAGGATCTGTGTCCATCAGTATCTGAGGAGGTGGGATCGGGTCCTGGTATGAGGATCTGGGTCTGTCCATGTCTAAGGAGGTAAGATCTGGCCCTGGTATGAGGATCTAGGACTGTCCATGTCTGAGGAGTTACCATCTGGTACAGGAATGAGGATCTGGGTCTGTCAATATCAGAGGAGGTAGGAATCTGGTACAGGTATGAGGATCTGCGTCTGTCAAAGTCTGAGGAGTTACCATCTGGTACAGGAATGAGGAGATGTGTCTTCCAGTGACTTAGGAGGTACGATCTCTTATAGGTATGAGGATCTGGGTCTGTCAATGTCTGAGGAGGTAGGATCTGGCCCTGGTATGAGAATCCGGGTCTGTCCATGTCTGAGCAGGTAGGATGTGTCCCTGGTATGAGGATCCGGGTCTGTCAATTTCTGAAGAGGTGGGAATTTGGTACATGTATGAGGATCTGGGTCTGTCAGTATCTGAGGAGGTAGGATCTGGTACAGTTGTGAGGATCTGGGTCTTCGGGTGTCTGAGGAGGTGGCATTTGGCACAGGTATGAGAATCTGGATCTTCTAGTGTCTGAGGAGGTGGGATCTGGTATTAATTATGAGAATCTGGTTCTGTCAGTGACTGAGGAGGTAGGATCTGGCATAAGCATGAGGATCTGGGTCTGTCAATGTCTGAGGAGGCAGTATCTGGTACAGGTATGAGGATCTGGGTCTGTCATGTCTGGAGGTAAGATCTGGCATGAGTATGAGGATTTGGTTCTGTTCATGTCTGAGGAGGTAGGATCTGGTGCAGGTATAAGGATCTGGGTCTTTCAATGTCTGAGAAGGTAGGATCTGGTACAGGTGTGAGGATCTGGGTCTGTTAATGTCTGAGGAGGTAGGATCTGGCACTGGTAAGAGGATCTGCATCTGTCAGTTTCTGAGGAGGTAGGATCTGGCCCTAGTAAGAAGATCTCAGTCTGTCAATTTCTGAGGAGGTTGGATCTGGCCCCCTTATGAGGATCTGAGTCTGTCAATATCTGAAGAGGTAGGAATCTGGTACAGGTATGAGGATCTGTGTGTGTGTCAGTGTCTGAGGAATTAGGAATCTGGTACAGGTGTGAGGATCTTCATGTCTCTGTATCTGAGGAAGTAGGATCTGATACAGGTATTAGGATCTGGGTCTATGTCTGAGGAGGTAGCATCTGATACAGGTATGAAGACCTGAGTCTGTCAGTGTCTGAAGTGGTTGGATCTGGCCCTGGTATGAGGATCTGGGTTTGTCAGTATTTGAGGAGGTAGGATCTGTCCCTGGTAGGAGGGTCTGTGTCTTCTAGTGTCTGAAGAAGTAGGATCTGGCCCTGGTATGAGGATCTGGGTCTGTCAGTATCTGAGGAGGTAGGATCTCATACAGGTATGAGGATCTGGGTTTTTCAATGTCTGAGGAGGTAGGATCTGGCACAGGCATGAGCATCTGGGTCTGACCATGTCTAAAGAGTTGAAGCTGTGTGCAGGTATGAGGCCTTGGGTCTGCCAGTGTCTGGGGAGGTGAGGCTGGGCATGGGTGTGAGACCCTGGGTCTGTCCATATCTGAGGAGGTAGGATCTGGTATGAGTATGAGGATCTGGGTGTGTCCGTGTCTGAGGAGGTGGGCCCTGGCACAGGTATGAGGCCTGGGGTCTGTCCGTGTCTGAGGAGGTGGGCCCTGGCGCAGGTATGAGGCCCTGGGTGTGTCCGTGTCTGAGGAGGTGGGCCCTGGCACAGGTATGAGGTCCTGGGTCTGCTGGTGTCTGCAGAGACAGGGCCCGACATCTCAGGGAAGACCACGGTAAGCTCTTCAGTTTGTCTTGTGGCTGTGGTCAGTCATCTGTAGTCTGCCCTGTTGGTCTTCCCATGTGTTGCCAGCACCTGCCTGCTGCCTTGCTTCCTGGAGGTGGGTTGGGCCAGGGCCCTCCGAGACGCCCCTGTGCAAGACCAGGGACAGGGTTTCCGGCAGGAGGTGGGGGGCGGGGTGTGCCGGCCCTCCCTCAGCACCTTGTCCTGTCTCTCCTAGTGGGTGGGAGGACGCTACTCGCTGTGGTCGGCCATCGGACTCTCCATTGCCCTGCACGTGGGTGAGTGTGTTTCTGTGTCTTGCAGCCCCTGTGGGAGACAGTGTTGCAGTCTAAGGTCGGGGTAGGGGGCTTGTGTCCCTGAACATCATGCTGTCCTCACAGGCTGCTGGCCTCTCTGCAGCTGGCTGGGATATTTATTTCATGTCCAGAAGGAAGGTCTGGGTTTTTTTGCGTGTGCAAGTTGGCCCCCGTCTTTGCCCCTCACAACTGCAGTCCTGTTTCTCTCCTATCCTAGGCAGAGTCAGATCCCTGCACTCAGGGCCACCTCTCACTGGAGGGGCTTTGTCTAGGTCCGAGTCCTCCCATGTCGTATCTTCTGGCTCTCCATGCAGCCTTCCTTCGTTGCAGAAGGAGCTGTGCCCACTGCCCACAGGACGCAGGGTGTGGCCACTTCTGTTGACTCTGCTTTTGTGTCACAGGTTTTGACAACTTCGAGCAGCTGCTCTCGGGGGCTCACTGGATGGTGAGTGCTGAGGCTGGTTCTCTGCCAAGTGCTGGCCAGAGGCGCGTGTGTTGGTCCTGGTCCCCCGCTTTCTCCCCCACTGTCCTGTCCCTCCCCTCCCCGTGCAGCTGCTCAGCTCCCACTCATCCTGCTCCTGTTTCAGGACCAGCACTTCCGCACGACGCCCCTGGAGAAGAACGCCCCCGTCTTGCTGGCCCTGCTGGGTATCTGGTACATCAACTGCTTTGGGTGTGAGACACACGCCATGCTGCCCTATGACCAGTACCTGCACCGCTTTGCTGCGTACTTCCAGCAGGTACCAGCTGCCAAGCCAGGCCTTGGAGTCAGCAAGATTTGTGGGGGGTCTGGGAGGTCTAGGAACCTGGGTTTCAGCTCCTCCAGGAGCTCTTTGCCCCATTGCCCTTGGGCCTGGCCAAGGTCCATCTGTGCTCCTTGTCTCAGGATGAATCTTTGTAACTGAGGTTGGTTCCATTTGAGTGTCATCTGAGTTTGATCACCATGGGAGGGGCATGACTGGTGATCATGGTGCCCTGGCTAGGGAGGTCCTGGCTTGACTCAGGGGATGTTTCTCAGCTGGGGTCACTTCTTTCTTGCACATCACTATGCATGCCTACCATAGTGTCTGAGGACGTAGGATCTAGCCCTGGTATGAGGCCCTAGGTCTGTTAGTATCTGGGGAGGAAGGATCTGGTACAGGTATGAGGACCTGGGTCTGTCCATGTCTGAGGAGGTGGGATTTGGCCATAGGGTGGGGCTGCAAGCTGGAATCCCTTATAGCCTGCACTGCCTTTATCCCTCCAGAAAAGCAAGTGTGTATCTAGTCTGTGGTGGCCTCTTTGGACTACATGGCCCTCTTCTCCCTTGGGATCTCCAGAGCCCCCCGAGAGGCTTAGCAGGCCCTCTCCTAGTCACATTATGTCCCAGAAAGCTTTTCCACACCTGTCCCTGCTTTTTTTTTTTTGAACAGATTCTCACTCTGTTTCCCAGGCAGGAGTGCAGTGGCGCGATCTCGGCTCATTGCAACCTCCGCTTCCTGAGTTCAAGCAATTCCTGTGCCTCAGCCTCCCGAGTAGCTGGGATTGCAGGCATGCACCACCTTGCCTGGCTAATTTTTGTATTTTTAGTGGAAACGGGGTTTCACTATGTTGCCCAGGCTGGTTTCGAACTCCTGGCCTCAAGCGATCCACCTGCCTTGGCCTCCCAAAGTGCTGGGATTACAGGCATGAGCCACCATGCCCAACCCTATCCTTGCTTTTGTTTAGTACAAAGCCAGTCCCTGTCCAGCAGCTCTTGAGTTGCTCTGGGCAGGTACAGAAGGCTTCACCAACACCTGGAAGCAAATCCTGTGACTGAAGGAGAGGCCAAGGTTCCCCAAATCCCAGCTGCCTTGGTGAGGGTTGCCATGACCAGGGCCCAGGTGGGTACCCAAAGCCTAGCATTTAGTTGTGGTGACAGCCCTCAAAGGCTGTACTCTTAGCCAGGCATGGTGGCTGATGCCTGCAATCCCAGCACCTTGGGAGGCAGAGGCTGGGGGGAATTGCTTGAGCCCAGGAGTTCAAGACCAGCCTGGGCAACGTAGTGAGGCCCGGTCTCTACAAAAAAAACCCACAAAAACTAACAGTAGCCAGGCATGGTGGTGCGGCACCTATAGTCCCAGCTACTTGGGAGGCTGAGGCAAGAGGCTTGCTTGAGCCCAAGAGGTCGAGGCTTCAGTGAGCAATGATTCTACCACTGTACTCCAGCCTGAGTGACAGAGTGAGACTCTGTCTCTTTGGGAAAAAAAGAAGCTGTGCACTCTGGACCCCAGCCTGCTCTCCCTTAAGAAATGAGCTGATTTTGTGACCGATTTTGTCTTTAGGGAGGTCCTTGCCTGACCTCCAGACCCACCTTTTCCTGGGCATGAGTCCTTCCTGCACAGTGGCTTAAGCAGGAAAGGTTGGGAGGCTGTGTCCTCACTGGTGTGGGGAGGAAGGGGATCGTGCCTGTGGACACGTGTGCAGGTCCACCTCACGGTGTCAGGGCAGGGTGGGTCTGCCTGGAGCATCTGGGCAGGACTTTGGCATGGTGCAGGAAGGAGCAGGATTTGCGTACAGTGTGTGAAGGATCAAGACTTGCAGGAAGAGGGTTGGGTTTTTTTTCTTTCTTTTCCTTTCTTTTCCTTTTTTTTTTTTTTTCTTTTTTTTTGAGTTGGAGTTTTGCTCTTGTTGCCCAGTCTGGAGTGCAGTGGCATGATCTCGGCTCACCACAACCTCCGCCTCCCGGGTTCAAGCGATTCTCCTGCCTCAGCCTCCCAAGCAGCTGGGATTACAGGCATGCGCCATCACACCTGGCTAATTTTGTATTTTTAGTAGAGACAGGGTTTCTCCATGTTAATCAGGCTGGTCTCAAACTTCCAACCTCAGGTGATCCGCCTGCCTTGGCCTCCCAAAGTGCTGGAATTACAGGCTTGAGCCACTGCGCTCAGCCTCTTTCTTTCTTTTTAAATGTTCTTTCATTTTGCCAAGAACTGGGTTTCTGTTCCTTTTCCAGGGCGACATGGAGTCCAATGGGAAATACATCACCAAATCTGGAACCCGTGTGGACCACCAGACAGGCCCCATTGTGTGGGGGGAGCCAGGGACCAATGGCCAGCATGCTTTTTACCAGCTCATCCACCAAGGTAGGCCCCTGTGGCCTGGGAAGGGTGATGTTGGGGGAGGGAAAGGATCTTCCAGAAGAGATATCTCACTTAGGTCAGTGCCCTCCTCTAGGCCATATGGCTAGCTCCCATGGGCTGGGGTCATGTGGGTGACCACAGTGCCCTTCACAGGCACCAAGATGATACCCTGTGACTTCCTCATCCCGGTCCAGACCCAGCACCCCATACGGAAGGGTCTGCATCACAAGGTAAGAGCCCCCATCTGGCCCCATCTGGGGGGTCTGGCTCACATTGCACCCAGACCTCTGAAAACCTGGTGCATTGGTTGGCAATCACGTTAGTTTTCTATTCCTGCCGTAACAAATGATAACAAACATGGAGGCTTAAAACAACACTCTTCTTTTGTGGGGTGGGGAGGGGGGACAGAGTCTTGCTCTGTCGCCCAGGCTGGAGTGCAGTGGCACGATCTTGGCTCACTGCAACCTTCCCCTCCCGGCCTCAAGTGATTCTTATGCCTCAGCCTCCCAAGTAGCTGGGACTACTGGCACTCACCACCATGGCCAGCTAATTTTTGTAGTTTTGGTAAAGGGGGGGTTTCACTATGTTGGCCAGGCTGGTCTTGAACTCATGACCTCAAGTAATCTACCTGCCTCGGCCTCCCTAAGTGCTGGGATTATAGGCATGAGCCACCTTCCTGGGCTATCTGAAGAGTTTCTGAAGCTCAAATATCCAGCAGGCCCTGATGTGTCTCTGCTTAGAGTCTTGCAGGCTGAAATCAAGGTGTCATCAGGACTGTGTTTCTTTCTGGAGACCTTAGGGGAAAAGCCTTTGACCTGCTTGTCAGGTGGTTGGCAGAATTCATTTCTCTATGGTTGTGGAACTGAAGTCCAGCTTCCTTGCTGTGGGCTGAAGGTCGTTCTCAGATTCTCAGAGGTCACCTGCATCCTCTAGCTTGTGGGCCTCTTCACTGCAGAACCAGCAATGGCAGGTTAAATCCTTCTCTGAAGCTTTGATTCTGTCTTGCCACTTCTGTTGCATCTCTCTGACTTGTTTACCTTCCTCTTCTACATTTTGCTTTTGTTCCCTAAGTGACAGTGTCATGCTGTGTTGTCTAGGCTGGACTTACAGTGGCATGATCACAGTTCACTGTATTCTCAACGTCCCAGGCTCAAGCAGTCTTCCTGCCTCGGCCCCTCAAATAGCTGAGACTTACAGGCACTAACAGGCACTTACAGGCACTTACAGGCACTAACAGCCTGGCTAACTGTTAAACTTTTTGTAGAGGCCAGATTTCACTATGTTGCCTAGGCTGGTCTCCAACTCCTGGGCTCAAGTGATTCTCCTGCCTCGGCCTCCCAAAGTTTTGGGATTACAGGCATGAGCTACCGTGCCTGGCCCTCTTTTACTTTTAAGGGCCAGTGTGATTAGATTGGGGCTACTAGATAATCCAGGAAAATCTCCCCTTTTGTTTATTTTATTTATTTATTTTATTTTAGAGATAGCATGTCACTCTGTTGCTGAGGCTGGAGTGCACTGGCCCAATCATAGCTCACTACAGCCTTGAACTCCTGGGCTCAAGCAATCCTTTTATCTCAGCCTCCTGAGTAGCTGGGACCACAGATGTACAACATGCCTGGCTAAGTTTTTTTTTTTTTTTAAAGAGACAGAGTCTTGCTCTGTTGCCCAGGCTGGGGTGCAGTGGCACAATCAGGCTCTCTGCAGCCTCACCCTCCTGGGCTCAAGCAATCCTCCTACCTCAGCCTCCTGAGTAGCTGGGAACAGGCACACGCCACCACACCCAGCTGATTTTTTTATTTTTATTTTTTGTAGAGATGGAGTCTCAGTATGTTGCCCAAGCTGCCCTCGAACTCCTTCAGAGAATTTACTGTGCTTTGTCTCAGGTGTGCAGAGCAGCACAGGGTTACGGTAGCACAATCTTGGGAGTCAGTGAGCTGGATTGAATTCTGATTGTTCCTGTCTATAGTTCTGTGATCCAGCACTGTGGACTTGTGGAACCCAAGGCTCTACTAGAACAGGGCGATGATGCCTTTCCTCCTTAGGATCTTAGTATTATTTTTTTTTCGAGACACCGTTTCACTTTGTTGCCCCGGCTGGAGTGCAGTAGTGTGACCTTGACTCACTGCAACCTCAGCCTCCTGGGTTCAAGTGATTCTCGTGCTTAAGCCTCCGGAGTAGCTGGAATTACAGTTGCACACCACCACGCCCAGCTACCTTCTTAGGATCTTAAAAGATAGATGTTGGTAAAATTGTGAGCAGGACCCCTAGCAAGTGGTGTGTAGTTCTTTTTTTTTTTTTGAGATGGAGTCTAGGTCTGTCGCCCAGGCTGGAGTGCAGTGGCGTGATCTTGGCTCACTGCACCCTCTGCCTCCCAGGTTCAGGTGATTCTCCTGCCTCAGCCTCCTGCCTGATGACAGGCATGCGCCACCATGCCCAGCTAAATTTTTTTTTGGTATTTTTAGTAGAGACGGGTTTCACCATGTTGGTCAGGCTGGTCTCGAGCTCCTGACCTCGTGGTCCATCCGCCTCGGCCTCCCAAAGTGTCGGGATTACAGGCGTGAGCCACCGCGCCTGGCCACTGGTGTGTAGTTCTTAAAGAGCAGTTATCACTGTTCCCTGCCTTGTGGTGTCATCGGATGTGTCCCCCTCGCTCCAACTGAGCTGTACAGCGAGTGACCCAGGCTGGGACTGACCCCTGCTGAGAAGTACCAGGCGGTCTTGTCCCTCTGCCTGAAGCCCAGACAGTGCTCTCAAGCATAACTGATGTCTCGCTCATCAGATCCTCCTGGCCAACTTCTTGGCCCAGACAGAGGCCCTGATGAGGGGAAAATCGACGGAGGAGGCCCGAAAGGAGCTCCAGGCTGCGGGCAAGAGTCCAGAGGACCTTGAGAGGCTGCTGCCACATAAGGTCAGCACTTCTGCATTTGGCTTTGGGGTGCATGCTGGAGTTGGAGGTGTGAAGCTATGGCACCAGGCAGGGGCTTGGGGCGTGCCTGGCTTGTCCTACAGAATGGGAGGGCCTGTCCTCACAGACCTGCACGTCTCAGCCTCTGGGGCAGGGTGTGCTTCCCTTCAAGGGGTTTAGGGATCAGGACTCTCTTGGAGACATTCCTTGGTGTTTTCTGCAGGTCTTTGAAGGAAATCGCCCAACCAACTCTATTGTGTTCACCAAGCTCACACCATTCATGCTTGGAGCCTTGGTCGGTGAGTGAGTAGGGGAAAGGTCCTGGCTTGGGGTAGGTTGGAATGGGCTTGTGGAGCCCTGATGTGCCCTGTCTGTCACTTCTGCAGCCATGTATGAGCACAAGATCTTCGTTCAGGGCATCATCTGGGACATCAACAGCTTTGACCAGTGGGGGTGAGTTGCTCACTTAGGGGAGGGCCGGGAATACCTTTGTGTCGGCTCAGGGATTTCAGTAGCAACGTTAGAGCCTTCCTCATACCACTCTTCCCTTCCCTTCCCTTCTTGGCAGAGTGGAGCTGGGAAAGCAGCTGGCTAAGAAAATAGAGCCTGAGCTTGATGGCAGTGCTCAAGTGACCTCTCACGACGCTTCTACCAATGGGCTCATCAACTTCATCAAGCAGCAGCGCGAGGCCAGAGTCCAATAAACTCGTGCTCATCTGCAGCCTCCTCTGTGACTCCCCTTTCTCTTCTCGTCCCTCCTCCCCGGAGCCGGCACTGCATGTTCCTGGACACCACCCAGAGCACCCTCTGGTTGTGGGCTTGGACCACGAGCCCTTAGCAGGGAAGGCTGGTCTCCCCCAGCCTAACCCCCAGCCCCTCCATGTCTATGCTCCCTCTGTGTTAGAATTGGCTGAAGTGTTTTTGTGCAGCTGACTTTTCTGACCCATGTTCACGTTGTTCACATCCCATGTAGAAAAATAAAGATGCCACGGAGGAGGTTGTAGGCTCAGCCTCTGATTTTTTTTTTCCTGTGATGGTGCTTTATGTAGCAGAGGGCAGGAGCGCTCAGCAGGACGCAGGCTGTGCCTCTGCGGACACTTAACACTAAGTGGTGAGCGGGTCTAGAGTGGAGCAAGGTGCCCTGAGAAGACAATAGTGGGGTGGGGGCACAATCAGTCAGGACGGCAACTTGGCCTGTGTCACCAAATCCCAAGACTGTTTTCCACTCCTCACCTCTGTGACTGCAGAAATTGGATACTCTGTTCACTCGATGGTTCTAAAAACTGCATTGAGATTATGTTTGTTTCGGGTGAATTCCTGGACAAGACCGAGGATGACTGCCATCTCCTGGCAAGACGCTCAGGTAGTTCTTTTGCTTTAAAAGGCAGATATTGAAAACTGGAATTTTTTTTTTTTGAGTCTCGCTCTGTCACCCAGACTGGAGTGCAGTGGTGCAATCTCGGCTCACTGCAACCTCCGCCTCCCGGGTTCAAGCTATTCTCCTGCCTCAGCCTCCCGAGTAGCTGGGATTACACGGCGCACACCACCATACCCAGCTAATTTTTGTATTTTTAGTAGTGAAGGGGTTTTACCATGTTGGGCAGGCTGGTCTTGAACTCCTGACCTCAGGTGATCTGCCCGCCTCAGCCTCCCACAGTGCTGGGATTACAGGTATGAGCCACCACGCCCGGCCCATTTTTTTTTTTTTTTTGACAACTTTTTTTTTTTTTTGAGACAGGGTCTTGTTCCATTGCCCAGACTGGAGTGCAGTGGCATGATCACAGCTCACTGCAGCCAGTAATCCTCTTGCCTCAGCCTCCCAAGTAGTTGAGACTACAGGTTGTACCACTATGCCCTGCTAGTTTTTTCATTTTTTGTAGAGAGACGGGTCTTTTTTTTTTTTGAGACGGAGTCTCGCTCTGTCGCCCAAGCTGGAGTGCAGTAGCACGGTCTCAGCTCATTGCAAGCTCCGCCTCCCAGGTTCACGCCATTCTCCTGCCTCAGACTCCTGTGTAGCTGGGAGTACAGGCACCTGCCACCATGCCCGGCTAATTTTTTATATATTTTTTTAGCAGAGACAGTGTCTCACTGTGTTAGTCAGGATGGTCTCGATCTCCTGACCTCGTGATCCGCCCGCCTCAGCCTCCCAAAGTGCTGGGATTACAGGCGTGAGCCACCGCGCCCAGCAAGGCGGGTCTTGCTGTGTTTCCCAGACTAGACTGGTCTTGAATTCCAGGGCTCAAGAGATCTCCCACCTCAGCCTCCCACAGTGCTGGGATTACAGGCGTGAGCCGCCACACCCAGCCTATTCAAAATTTTTTTTTCTTAGAGACAGGGTCTTTGTTGCCCAGGCTGGACTGCAGTGATACAATCATAGCTGACTGAAGCCTCAAATTCCCAGGCTAAGGTGATCTTCTCACCTCAGCCTTCCAAGTAGCTGGGTCCGCAGATGCATGCCAGTACACCCAGCTCATTTAAAAAAAAATTTTTTTCTTTTTTGAGAGTCTTGCTTTGTTGCCCAGGCTGGAGTGCAGTGGTGTGATCTCGGCTCACTGCAAGCTCCACCTCCCGGCTTCACGCCATTCTCCTGCCTCAGCCTCCCGAGTAGCTGGGACTACAGGTGCCCGCCACCACACCCGGCTAATTTTTTGTATTTTTAGTAGAGACGGGGTTTCACCGTGTTAGCCAGGATGGTCTTGATCTCCTGACCTCATGATCCGCCTGCTTTGGCCTCCCAAAGTGCTGGGATTACAGGCGTGAGTCACCGCGCCCGGCTCATTTTAAAATTTTTGTAGATCAGTGTACTGTTGTAAAAAAAAAAAAATAAGAAAAATAAAAAATAAATTTTTGTAGTGATAGGATCCCACTGAGGCCAGAGAATAGGGTCTGGAGACAAAGGAGCATTCACTTCAGCCTCTGACTGGTGGCAGGCCAAGTCTTTATTTACATAGGGTGTAACCAAATAGGAAACCTCTAAAGGGTACTTAAACCCCAGATTTTCTACACAGGGCACTTGCTTGAGCCTCATCCCGCTTTCTGGAATGTACTTTTGCTTCAATAAATCTGTGCTTTTGTTCCTTCTTTTGTTGCTTTGTGTGTTTTGTCCACCTCTTTGTTCAATATTCCAAGAACCTGGACGACTTGTAGTCAAGATCCTCCCCTGGTAATACTACTGTGTTGCCCAGGCTTATCTTCAACTCCTGGGCTTAAGAGATCCTCCTGCCTTGGCCTCCGAAAGTGTTGGGATTACAGGCGCAAGCCACTGTGCCCAGCATCACAGGGCCTTTTAAAGCTATCAGGATGAAGTGTGGTAAAAAAAGGAGTAAATGGGTTTCATCTCCAGATCCTTGCTGGGCTAGAGCCAAACCTCACAAAGGCTGGTGCTTCCTCCTTTGAGGTGTAAATCCTTGAAAACATTCATTTCTTTTGCATACCACGTTATGAATCCTAAAATAATGTTTTTGCAGCCTGCATTTTTAAAAAGTCAGGTTTATTGGGGTGTGATTTACATATAGTAAGATTCACCTTTCTTTGGTATACAGTTATGAGTTTTCACAAGTGTATATACAGTCTTAGAACCATTACAGATGAGATATACAGCATTTTCCTCACCCTCAAAAGTTCCTGACACTTGTGGTCCAGTCCTACTCCCTCATCCCAACTCCTGACTACCATTGAACTGATTTTTTTCCCTCCGAAGTTCTGCGTTTACCAGAATGGCGCCTTTTGTGTCTGGCTTCTTCCCATGATGCTTTTGAAATTCACCCATGTTGTGCTGCAGGAATTGAAAAAACTGTATTGTGTGGCTGGGCGCGGTGGCTCACACCTGTAATACTAACACTTTGGGAGGCCGAGGTGGGCAGATCACTTGATTTCAGGAGCTCGAAACCAGCCTGGCCAACATGGTGAAACCCCGTCTCTACTAAAAATACAAAAAAGGCCGGGCATGGTGGCTCACGCCTGTAATCCCAGCACTTTGGGAGGCCAAGGTGGGCGGATCACCTGAGGTTGGGAGTTCGAGACCAGCCTGACCAACATGGAGAAACCCCATCTCTATTAAAAATACAAAATTAGCCAGGCATGGTGGCACATGCCTGTAATCTCAGCTACTCGGGAGGCTAAGGCAGAAGAATCGCTTGAACCTGGGAGGCAGAGGTTGCAGTGAGCTGGGATCACGCCAGTGCACTCCAGCCTGGGCGACAAGAGCGAAACTCCGTCTAAAAAAAAAAAAAAAAAAAAAGCCGGGCGCCGGGCGTGGTGGTGGGCGTCTGTAACCCCAGCTACTGGGTGGGGCTGAGGCAGGAGAATCACTTGAACCTGGGAGGCTGAGATGCAGTGAGATGGCGCCACTGCACTTCAGCCTGGGCGACCCAGCAAGACTCTGTCTCAAAAACAAAACAAAACAAAACAAAAATAAAAACTGAAAAATCTCAAACATATAAAACCCAAATAGAATAAATCTCCATGTGCCTGGCACCAAATTTCAACAATTATCAACTCATGGTCAATCTTACTGTATTTACACCCCACCACCTTAATTATGTAGTAGCAAATCGGAGGTATTTCATCTATAAGCATTTTGGTGTGTTTCTCTAAAAATTAAAAACTTTAACTTTTTAAAAAACTTTATTGTTCTTGTTAATGACTGATAATACCATTATCCCACCTAAAATTTTTATTTTCCGGGAAGGCTTTTTTCTGGTGGCTCACACCTGTAATCGCAACACTTTGGGAGGCGGAGGCGGGAGGATCGCTTGAACCCCAGGAGTTCAAGACCAGTGTGGGCAATATAGCAAGTCCTCGTCTCAGGAAAAAAAGGAAAAAAGAAAGTTAGCTTTTTGGCAAAACTACTTCCTAGTAGATGGTGTGTACTTCCTATCACAGCGCATTAAGGGGCACATAATGCCTGGGACTCCGGGATTTCGAGCCCCTGACGCCAGCGGCGCCTCTGTGGCTCTGGGACCTGAGCGCACGCGCCTTAAAGCCACGCCTCCGCATCGGATCCTAGTAAGGGAGCGGGGTTATCATTTTAGCGTAGCGTTGCGCGTGCGCAGAGAGGCCGCCGTAGTTTGCGTTTTCACCTGGTCGCCCGGCGGCCATGGCGGCCGTTCTGAAGCCGGTGCTGCTGGGCCTTCGAGATGCGCCGGTGCACGGCAGCCCCACAGGGCCGGGTGCCTGGACTGCTAGCAAGCTGGGCGGCATTCCGGTGAGGGCGGGTGCCGGAGCTGGGGTCGATGGGTGCTGCTGAAGGGTGCGGAGGGAGTGGGCGAGGTCCTGGGGGGAGTCGGGGTCTGAGCGCCTCCTCTGTCCCCTCAGGATGCTCTGCCCACCGTGGCTGCGCCCAGGCCCGTGTGTCAGCGCTGCGGGCAGCCGCTCGCTCTGGTCGTGCAGGTGTATTGCCCGCTGGAAGGCTCCCCGTTTCACCGTCTGCTGCACGTGTTCGCGTGCGCCTGCCCCGGCTGTAGCACCGGCGGTGCGCGCAGGTAGGCGGGGAAGTCCCAGAGCTGCTCCAGGGGTGTCCTTTCCAGCGGGCTGGGGCGGGCCGGCGGGCTGGAGTCGGGGTGCAGCCCTCACGGCCCTTTGTCTTCACCCCGAAGCTGGAAGGTGTTCCGCTCCCAGTGCCTGCAGGTGCCAGAGAGAGAGGCGCAGGACGCTCAGGTAAAGGTTGTGATTGGCATGTTATTGTTTTTCTGTCATTTGAGGATATTTTCCAGAGAATAGTTTGGGGCAGACTTTAAAGCCGTGTTCTTTGAAGTACACTGGAGTGTTTTTTGCTTTTCTGAAGAACCATAAAATGCTATTTTCGTAAAGTTTTTTTTTTTTTTTTTTTTTGAGACGGAGTTTCGCTCTGTCGCCCAGGCTGGAGTGCAATGGCGCGATCTCGGCTCACCGCAACCTCCGCCTCCCAGGTTCAAGCGATTCTCCTGCCTCAGCCTCCCTAGTAGCTGGGATTACAGGCATATGCCACCACGCCCGGCTAATTTTGTATTTTTAATAGAGACGGGGTTTCGCCATGGTGGTCAGGCTGGTCTCGAACTGCCGACCTCAGGTGATCCACCCGCCTCGGCCTCCCAAAGTGCTGGGATTACAGGCATGAGCCACCGCGCCCGGCCTTTCTTAAGGTTTTGTGAGAGTTTTTTTTTTCTTCTATTTTACTTTATTTTTATTTTCTAACTCCTTTGTTAAAAGGAGATGGAGGCCCAGCATGGTGGCTCACGCCTGTGATCCCACCGTTTTTTGAGAGGCTGAAGTGGGAGGATTGCTTGAGCTCAGAAGTTGGAGACCAGGCTGGGCGCGGTGGCTTACGCCTGTAATCCCAGCACTTTGGGAGGCCGAGGCGGGCGGATCTCCTGAGGTCAGAAGTTCGAGACCAGCCTGGCCAACATGGCGAAACCCCGTCTCTATTAAAAACAAAAACAAAAAATTAGCCGGGCATGGTGGCAGACACCTGTAATCCCAGCTACAAGGGAGGTTGAGGCAGGAGAATCGCTTGAACCCGGGAGACAGAGATTGCAGTGAGCTGAGATCATGCCACTGCACTCCAGCGTGGGTGACAGACTCCGTAAAAACAAAACAAAACAAAACAAAAGAAAAAAAAAACGTTGGGAGAGCAGTCTGGGCAACATAGCAAAACATCGTCTCTATAAAAAGTAAACAAATTAGCCAGGCATGATGGCCACGCAACTGTAGTGCCAGCTACTCAGGAGGCTGAGGTAGGAGGATTGCTTGAGTCTAGGAGGTTGAGGCTGCAGTGACCTACACTTGTGCCACTGCACTCCGGCCTGGGCCACAAAGCCAGACCCTGTCCCCTGCCAAAAAAACAAAAGGGAGATGGAGACTTCCTCCTGGATTTCTTCAACTTTTTTTTTTAACTGTAAATTGACAGTTTATAATAATGTATAAATTTATGAGGTATAAAGTGATGGCTATGATTCATGAATATCATGTGGAATAATTAAATGAAGCTAGTTAATGCATTCATCACCTCAAATACTTAACATCTTGTGAGAACATTTGAAATTTCCTCTAGCAATTTGGAGATACACAATACTCTTATTTTTTTTTTTTTTTGAGACGGAGTCTTGCTCTGTTGCCCAGGCTGGAGTGCAGTGGCGCCGTCTCTGCTCACTGCAAGCTCCACCTCCTGGGTTCACACCATTCTGCCTCAGCCTCCAGAGTAGCTGGGACCACAGGCGCCCGCCACCACGGCCAGCTAATTTTTTCATTTTTTTAAATTTTTAGTAGAGACAGGGTTTCACCATGTTAGCCAGGATGGTATTGATCTCGTGACCTTGTCATCCACCCACCTCGGCCTCCCAAAGTGCTGGGATTACAGGCTTGAGCCCCTGTGCCCAGCCACAATACTCTATTATTAACTATATTCATGCTGTGCAGTAGAACTTAAAAAAAACCCACATTCCTCCTGAATAACTGAGGTTTTGTATTCTTTGACCGTCATCTCCTTATTCTTCCCGCTCCAGGTTTCTTTCTTCCTTTTTTTTTTTTTTTTTTTTTTTGAGACCGAGTTTCGCTCTTGTTGCCCATGCTGGAGTGCAATGGCACAATCTCAGCTCACTGCAACCTCCACCTCCCGGATGCAAGCGCTTATCCTGCCTGCCTCAGCCTCCCTAGTAGCTGGGATTACAGGCACTCGCCACCACGCCCAGCTAATTTTTATATTTTTAGTAGAGAAAGGGTTTCACCATGTTGGCCAGGCTGGTCTTGAACTCCTGACCTCAGGCAACCCACCCGCCTCGGCCTCCCAAAGTGCTGGGATTACAGGCGTGAGCCACCATGCCCGGCTCACTCCAGATTTTTTTTTTTCTTTGAGATGGAGTTTCGCTTTGTTGCCAGGCCGGAGTGCAGTAGCACAATCTTGGCTCACTGCAGCCTCCGCCTCCCAGGTTCGAGCAATTCTCCTGCCTCAGCCTCCTGAGTACCTGGGACTACAGGCACACACCACCATGCCCAGCTAATTTTTGTATTTTTAGTAGAGATGGGGTTTCACCGTGTAGCCAGGATGGTGTCGATCTCTTTACCTCGTGATCCACCCGCCTTGGCTTCCTGAGGTGCTGGGATTACAGGCGTGAGCCACCACACCTGGCCACTCCAGATTTCTTTAACCACCACTCTACTCTCTACTTCTTTGAGGTTGTTTTAGATTCCACATATAAGTGAATACATGCAGCATTTGTCTTTGTGTCTGGCTTATTTCCCTTAGCAAAATGTTCTCCAGTTCCATCCATGTTGTCACAAATGACAGAATTTCCTTTTTTTTTTTAAGGGTGAAAAATATTCCATTGTATATATAGTAGTTTTTTTAAACTTACACTGAAGGTCTTGAGACACACAGTTTACTGATTTTCCTGTTTGGGAATATATATGGGTGTGTACATATATGTGGTTGTATGTGATAATGTATACGTGTCTTTATAGTAAATATACTTTATGAGAGCTATATATGTATTAACACATTTCATAAGATGAAATCTGAATTTATTGAAAAGGCAGGCAAGTTGGTAGCTGCAGAACACAATTTAGCCTCCCTTTGACTGTAAATGTGTCTTTATATATACACTGAGTTTGTTTGTTTGTTTGTTTGTTTTTTGAGATGGGGTTGCATTCTGGTCACCCAGGCTGGAGTGCAGTGGCATGATCTCTGCCTCTTGGGCCCAAGCCATTCTCCCACGTCAGCCTCCTGAGTAGATGGGATTACAGGCACGTGCCACCATGCCCAGCTGATTTTCATATTTTTTGTATAGATGGGATTTTGTCATGTTGCCCAGGCTGTTCTTGAACTCCTGGACTCAAACAGTCCGCCCACCTCAACCTCCCAAAATGCTGGGATTACAGGCGTGAGACACTGGGCCCGGCCTGCACCCAGTTCTTGATGTTTGCTAGGCATAGTATTAGCAGTACTTAAATAAAAAGTTGAAGACAGTGGTGTTTGCCTATATTTGTCAGGGTTCAGGTGCAGATAATTAGAAAAGTGCTGTTGCTTTTTCTTTTTTTTTTTGAGACCGAGTGTCGCTCTGTCACCCAGGCTGGAGTGCAGTGGTGTGATCTTGGCTCACTGCAACCTCCGCCTCCCGGGTTCAAGCGATTCTCCTGCCTCAGCCTCCTGAGTAGCTGGATTACGGGCACGTGCCACCATGCCTGGCTTTTAAGCTGAGACAGACTTAACACAGGAGTGAGGTTTTTAGTAAGTGGATAGGCTGAAGGAGGAGGCTCCAGGAATGCCCTCCAGAATCACACCTCAGAACTGGCCGTGAAGGAGCTGCTATGCCACCTCTCCTGCTGTCAGGAAGCTTAGGTGTGATCTGGTGAACTAGAGGCTGTCTTTGCCACCGAACCGTTGGCTCCAAAGCCTTGTTCTGTCTGTGTCTACACAATGGCTACCTTTTGCTATGTGGTCTTTCTTTCTACTTCACTCTGTCTCAAGTTCATGTTTCTCTCTAGTAGACCTGATTAGCAGACCCCTAATCATATCTGAAACCCTAGCTGCTAAGGGGTCTGGGAAAGGTAGTTCTTTCTTTTCAGTTCCTGCAATACATGAAGCACAACAGAAAGATATTGGAACGGATGGTTGAATAACCCCTGTACTATATCTGTCACACTCACCCCAAAAAGGAAAGACAAGTATTTTAAGTCACCTCCAACGTGCTTTTGAGTACATAGGGTCTAGAAAGTTTGATTGGAGTGTACCAGAGGGGAAGGGGATGGTGTGAAGGCTCCCTCTGGAAGGCGCGGCGGTGGGTGGCTGGAGCCGAAGGATTAGAATAAACCTCCCAAATGTGCTCGGACCTCATTCACTGAGTATTTTTCCAGAAACAGGGAAACAGCCTTGCAGCTGAGGACTGGTGTGAAGGTGCTGATGACTGGGGAAGTGATACTGAGGAGGGGCCTTCACCACAGTTTACCTTGGATTTTGGGAATGATGCCAGCAGTGCCAAAGACGTAGACTGGACTGCTCGGCTCCAAGACCTCCGCCTGCAGGATGCTGTCCTGGGTGCTGCCCATCCTGTGCCTCCTGGGCTGCCGCTCTTCCTGCCCTACTACATCTGTGTTGCAGATGAGGATGATTACAGGGACTTTGTCAACCTGGATCATGCCCACAGCCTTCTGAGGGACTATCAGCAGAGAGAAGGCATTGCCATGGATCAGTTGCTTTCCCAAAGGTGAGGATGTGTGCTGCTGAGGTTGAGAGGTGACTGGATTGGGAAGCAGCCACAAGAGTTACCCTTCAGTTTCACCACAGGACCTGGGGAAACTTTCAGGCAGAACTTGTATGTAGGACCTTTTTGCTTCACTTCCTTATCAGCCAACTTGAGTTAGCTTGAAAACCCTGCTCTATTTATAATTGCCGTTAAGAAAGTGAAGATGAACAAACAGAAGTTAGAGATGGCAAGTATTTATAGAAGACGCGTTCACTGACTCTTAAATTTTCTTTTATATTTCTAATATGTCTTTATAGCAGAGACAGGCAAGTTAGAAAACTACCATTTGATCTGGGATAATAAGATTGGGGTGAAAAAATGGAAAAAGGAAAAGAAAAACGCCATTTGTTTATTGACTCTTGGCTGTGGCTCCAGAACTGGCCCAGGACCTCAGAGATGCTTTCAGATCCTCAATTCTGTAAAATGAGAGTGATGGTGATATCTCTGTTCTCTGTTTCATCCCATGATTTTTTGAGAGTTAAGCGAGAGGGTAGATCTTGAAAGGCTTTATAAACCAAAGCTCTCTAAAGAGGTAAGAATGATCATTTTTGCTTATTGATTGACTGAGAGAGACAGGGTCTCACTCTGTCACCCACGCTGGAGTGAATTGGTGTGATCAAAGCTCATGCAGCCTTGAACTCCTGGGCTCAGGCAATCTATCTTAGTTTCCCAAGTAGCTGGGAGTACAGGTGCACACCACCATGTCTGACCAATTAAAATTTTTTGAGTTTCGCTGTTGTTACCCAGGCTGGAGTGCAATGGCACGATCTCGGCTCACTGCAACCTCCACCTCTCAGGTTTAAGCAGTTCTCCTACCTCAGCCTCCCAAGTAGCTGGGATTATAGCCATGTGCCACCATGCCCAGCTAATTTTTGTATTTTTAGTAGAGATGGGGTTTCACTATGTTGGTCAGGCTGGTCTCGAACTCCTGACCTCAGGTGATCCACCCACCTCAGCCTCCCAAAGTGCTGGGATTACAGGCGTGAGCCATTGTGCCTGGCCTAAAAATTTGTTTTAGCCACTGCACCCAGCATTTTTTACTATTAGAATAAAAAAATTACAATAGAATATTTGGAGAAATGGCCTGGTTCTTTACCAGAACTGTTTCATTTGTAGGCTTTTTCAGAATAATGATGAAGGGGAATGCATGAAGACATGTTGGTGTTTGAAAATAATCCTTAATAGAATTGATGGTTATAAGGACTTTTTATTTTTTATTTATTTATTTATTTATTTATTTATTTATTTTTGTGTGTGTGTGATATGGGCTCTCTTGCCAGGCTGGAGTGCAGTGGTGCGATCTCGGCTCACTGCAACCTCCCCTTCCTGGGTTCAAGCAATTTTCTTGCCTCAGCCTCCCAAGTAGCTGGGACTACAGGTGCGCGCCACCACACCCAGCTAATTTTTGTATTATTAGTAGAGACGGGGTTTCACCATGTTGACCAGGATAGTCTCAATCTCTTGACCTCGTGATCCACCTGCCTTGGCCTCCCAAAGTGCCGGGATTACAGGTGTGAGCCACCGCGCCCGGCAGGATTTTTTATTTTTTAATTTCTTAAGTTTTTATGTATTTGCTTATTTTTGGTGGGTTTCTTCAGACTAGAGTATTCTTCTTTTTTTTTTTTTTTTTTTTAGAGATGGGATCTTGCTTTGTTTCCCAGGCTGAACTGCAGTGGTGTGGTGTGGTTATGGCCTTTTTTTTTTTTTTTTGAGACAGTCTTGCTCTGTTGCCCAGGTTGGAGTGCAGTGGCACGTTCTCGGCTCACTGCAACCTCTCCCTCGCCGGCTTAAGCAGCTCTCATGTCTCAGCCTCCCGAGTAGCTGGGACCATAGGCGTGCGCCACTTCACCCAGCTAATTTTTGTATTTTCTTTTTAGTAGAGATGGGCTTTTGCCATACTGGCCGGGCTCTTCTTGGAGTTCTGGCCCCACGTGATCCGCCCACCTCGACCTCCCAAAGTGCCGGGATTACAGGTATTAGCCACCACGCCCAGCCTGCTCATGGTTTACTGCAGCCTCAAACTCCTGGCCTCAGGGGATCCTCTGGCCTCAGCTTTCCCCATAGCTGGGACTACAGGTGTGTGCCACCAAACTCAGCTAATTAAAAAAATTTTTGGTTTTTTTGAGACAGAGTCTCACTTTGTCACCCAGGCTGGAGTACAGCGGTGTGATAATGGCTCACTGCAACCTCCAGCTCCCAGTTTCAAATGATCCTCCTGCCTCAGCCTCCCAAGTAGCTGGGATTACAGGTACCCGCCACCACACCCGGTTAATTTTTGTATTTTTAGTAGAGATGGGGCTTCACCATGTTGGCCAGGCTGGTCTCAAACTCCTAACCTCAAGTGACCCACTCTCCTTGGCCTCCCAAAGTGCTGGGATTGCAGGCGTGAGCCACCGCACCCAGATGAAAAATACATATATATATATATATATATAAAATAAATAATAAAATATATATATTAAAAAATATATATGAAAATATATATATTTGAGACAGAATCTCGCTCTGTTGCCAGGCTGGAGTACAGTGGCTCAATCTCAGCTCATTGCAACCTCCACCTCCCAGGTTTAAGCAATTCTCCTCCCTTAGCCTCCTGAATAGCTAGGATTACAAGTGCATACCACCATGCCCAGCTAATTTTTGTATTTTTAGTAGAGACAGGGTTTCACCATGTTGGCCAGGATGGTCTCGATCTTTTGACCTCGTGATCCACCTGCCTCGGCCTTCCAAAGTGTTGAGATTACAGGTGTGAGCCACTGTGCCCTGCGACTTTTTAAATTGTAAATAATTACTCAAGAGTTGAAAATGGCTTGGGAGAAGGGTTGGGCAGGGAACTGCAGAGCTACATGTACACAATTTAAATATCAAAAATATTTACTTGACAGTTTTTGGCTGAGTGCGGTGGCTCACTCCTATAATTCCAGCACTTTGGGAGGCCGAGATGGATCACTTGAGGTCAGGAGTTGGAGACCAGCCTGGCCGACGTGGTGAAACCTTGTCTTTACTAAAAATACAAAAATTAGCTGGACGTGTTGGCGCACACTTGCAATCCCAGCTACTCAGGAGGCTGAGGCAGGAGAATTGCTTGAACCCAGGAGGTGGAGGTTGCAGTGAGCCAAGATTGCACCATTGCACTCCAGCCTGGGTGACAGAGGGAGACTCCCTCTCAAAAAAAAAAAAAAATTACTTGACAGTTTTACAGTTTTTTAACTTTGACAGTTTTTTTTTTTTTTTCTTTTTGAGACAGGGTCTCACACTGTTATCCAGGCTGTAGTGCAATGGTGTGCTCACGGCTCACCACAGCCTTGCCTCTGGAATAGCCGGGACCACAGGTGCATGCCACCATGCCCAGCTAATTTTTGTATTTTTTTGTAGAGACAAGGTTCTGCCAGATTGCCCAGGATGGTTTTGAACTCCTGAGCTCAAGTGATCCGCCTGCCTCGGCCTCCCAAAGTGCTGGGATTACAGGCGTGAGCCCACTGCACTGGCCTGAGAAATTTTTTTTTGAGACGGAGTTTCACTCTTCTTGCCCAGGCTGGAGTGCAATAGCGCAATCTTGGCTCACTGCAACCTCCATCTCCTGGGTTCAAGTGATTCTCCTGCCTCAGCCTCCCAAGGAGCTGGGATTACAGGCGCCCGCCACCACGCCTGGCTAATTTTTTGTACTTTTATTAGAGATGGGGTTTCAAGATGTTGGCCAGGCTGGTTTCAAGCTCCTGACCTCAGGTGATCTGCTCACCTCGGCCTCCCAAAGTGCTGGGATTAAAGGCGTGATTGATTTTTTTTTTTTTTTTTTTTTTGAGATGGAGTCTCATTCTGTCACCAGGCTGGAGTGTAGTGGCATGGCACGATCTCGGCTCACTGCAACTTCCGCTTCCCGGGTTCAAGCGATTTCCTCTGCCTCAGCCTGCTGAGTAGCTGGGACTATAGGCGCAAGCCACCATGCCCAGCCAATTTTTTGCATTTTTTAG
The DNA here is from genome assembly GCF_000001405.40 of Homo sapiens. Taxonomy (NCBI): domain Eukaryota; kingdom Metazoa; phylum Chordata; class Mammalia; order Primates; family Hominidae; genus Homo; species Homo sapiens. The sequence continues at coordinate 34,413,521 of NC_000019.10, forward strand.
TAGAGATGGGGTTTCACCATGTTGGCCAGGATGGTCTCGATCTCCTGACCTTGTGATCTGCCTGCCTCGGCCTCCCAAAGTGCTGAGATTACAGGCGTGAGCCACTGCGCCTGCCCTGATAAAATTTTTTAAAAGAAAATTATCTTGTTTTGTCTTGCAAATGCTGTAATTTTCTGGATATAGACATTCAAAAGTGTTTTCTGCTTCTGTTTTTAGCCTTCCTAATGATGGTGATGAAAAATATGAGAAGACCATAATTAAAAGTGGAGATCAGACGTTTTACAAATTCATGAAGCGAATTGCTGCTTGTCAGGAGCAGATTTTGAGGTAAAAAAAGGCACAGTTCCTTTTATTGTTTTCCTTGATTATAAAGGAATACATATTAGTTTGGAAAACACAGGAAAATATGAGAAAAGCAAAACCTACAGTATTCCCCAAACCAAGAGAGAACCTAATACCTGCTTTATAGGACCTAATACCTACTTTATAGGATGTGTAGGAGGATTCAGTAAGGTAAAGTGCACTCACTTGTCTAACAAATACTTACGAAGTCTATTCTGCATGCCAGTTGCTGGTATTTGTAGGTGCTGCAGATATAGCAAGAAACGGCACAGATGAAGTCCATGTTCTCATAGCCTTTATTATTATTATTATTTAATTTTTTTTTTTCTTTGAGAGGGAGTCGCGCTCTGTCGCCCAGGCTGGAGTGTAGTGGCGTGATCTTGGCTCAATGCAACCTCCACCTCTTGGGTTTAAGCCATTCTCCTGCCTCAGCCTCCCAAGTAGCTGGGATTACAGGTGCCCGCCACCCTGCCCAGCTGATTTTTTTGTATTTTAGTAGAGATGGGGTTTCACCATGTTGGCCAGACTGGTCTCGAACTGCTGGCCTCACGTAATCTGCCCACCTCAGCCTCCCAAAGTTCTGAGATACAAGTGTGAGCCACCATGCCTGGCTTTTTTTTTTTTTTTTTTTTTTTTTTTTGGGGGCAGGGTCTTGCTCTGTTGCTCAGGCTGGAGTGCAGTGGTGTGATCAATCATAGCTCAGTGCACCTTGACCTCCTGGGCTCAAGTGATCCTCCCACTTCAGCCTCCCAAGTAGCTGGGACTACAGGCATGTACCACCATGCCCAACTAATTTTTGTATATTTTTTTAGAAATGGTATTTCACCATGTTGGCCAGGCTGGTTCCAAACTTCTGGGTTCAAGCCATCCACCTGCCTTGGCTTCCCAGAGTTTGTTCTAGGATTACAGGCATGAGCCACTGTGCCTGGACTATTATTATTATTAAAAAAATATTTTTTTAGAGAGAGGGTCTCAGTCTGTTGTCCACCCTGGAGTGCAGTGGCGTGATCATTGCTCACTGTAACAACTACCTCTTGGGCTCAATCGATCCTCCCAAGTAGCTAGAACTACAGGAGTGTGCCACCATGTTTGGCTAATTTTTAAAAAATGTATTTTGTAGAGATGGGATCTGATCATGTTGCCCAGTCTGCTCTCAAACTCCTGGCCTCAAGTGATCCTCCTGCCACGGCCTTCCAAAGTGATGGGATTACCGGCATCAGCCACGACCCTTGGCCCATATATTTATTTTTATTTTTTAATTTATTTTTATTTTTCTGGGATGGAGTCTCGCCCTGCCACCCAGGCTGGAGTGCAGTGACGTGATCCTGGCTCACTGCAATCTCCGCCTCCCAAGTTTAAGAGTCTCCTGCCTCAGCCTCCCGAGTATCTAGGATTACAGCGCCACCACGCCTGACTACTTTTTGTATTTTTAGTGGAGACGGAGTTTTACCATGTTGGTCAGGCTGGTATCGAACTCCTGACTTCAAATGATCTGCCCGCTTCAGCCTCCCAAAGTGCTGGAGTTACAGGCTTGAGCCACTGTGACTAGTGGGGGAGATTAAAAACAAACCTGTATGATTCCCATAAGTGATAAATGAGGAAAAAATAGAGCTATTTTAGGTAGGCTATCAGAAAGGCCTCAGAGGAAATGACATACCCAGCAGGTATAATTTATAAAAATAGCCACATAGTAAAAACAGGTCCAGACAAAGTGGGCAGAATTAGCTCAAATGGTCTTTTTCCCCGATACCTACCACAGTGAATCTAAAAGCTAAAAATCAGGCCAAATAAAATAAATATTAAAAAAGAAATTCCCTTGTATCAGCACTGAACAAAGGAAAAGGGCTTAGTACCATAAAACTCAAAGTGATAGCCCAGGATATAATATCCATAAATGTCTAGTAGAGTTCTTGAGTGTTTAACATATATATTTATTCACTTATGTAACTAAGTTATCTTTGCAGAGAAAGGTACAGAAATTTCCGGCATGGTTAAGTGCAAGTTCTAATTCCACAGGCCTTTTCTCTCACCTGCCTAAAATATACTGATGAGTCCACAAAGAATTTTCTTTTTTCGGAAACGGAATCTGTCTCTGTCCCCCAGGCTGGAGAGCAATGGTACGATCTCAGCTCACTGCAACCTCCATTTTCTGGGTTCAAGCAATTCTCCTGTCTCAGCCTCCTGAGTAGCTGGGACTACAGGCATGTGCCAACATACCCGGCTAATTTTTGTATTTTTATTAGAGATGAGGTTTCACCATGTTGGCCAGGATGGTCTCGAACTCCCGACTTCTGGTGATCCACCCACCTCAGCCTCTGAAAGTGCTGGGATGGCAGGTGTGAGCCACCATGCCCGGCCTAAGAATTTTCAGTTAATAATATTATGTCTGGAAGGAAGCACACAGGAGGAGAGTTTGCATCTCCTAATGTGGAGGATGGTGGACCCAGCTGTTGGCTGAAGAACTGGGTGTGGTGGGGAGGTGGTGTAGGAAAGGACGGGGATTGCCTCTCAGAAGCAACATTCCTTTGTTCCATGAGTCAGAGCAATGATTGGAAAGTTAAGAGCAATTTCGCCTCCATTCGAGTGGGATCTTTCTCAACATACAGCATTTTACACTGTCTCAGAGGAAAAAGCAAAGCCCAGGTATTCTAATAAAGATTGCATCCAGTCCCAGAAGAACTATCTCCTCACCCCAGTTTCCTCTTTTACCACCTACAGAAATGTAGAGGAAATGGACAGTACTCTTAGAGAGAGGAAAACAGGCCTCATATGAGATGGACAGGAAATCAATGAGAACCTCTGCAGACATTTCAGAGCAAATAGATGGTCTTAACTGAGTTGCCCCCTTTAGGTGTGAGCTAGATGAAAAATAGCATGCCACCCAGGTAATCATACTGTGGCAAGAACAGTTAAGGAAATGAAGAGAACATAGAAAAGGCTCAAGAACCAAGTCTGCCAGAAAATATAATCCAGCTGGACTCGGTGGCTCACGCCAGTAATCCCAACACTTTGGGAGGCCGAGGCGGGTGGATCACGAGGTCAGTAGATCGAGACCATTCCAGCCAACATGGTGAAACCCTGTCTCTACTAAAAATACAAAAATTAGCCGGGCGTGGTGGTGGGTGCCTATAGTCCCAGCTGTTCAGGAGACTAAGGCAGGAGAATCGCTTGAACCTGGGAGGTGGAGGTTGCAATCAGCCGAGATCGTGCCACTGCACTCCAGCCTGGGTGACAGAGTGAGACTCTGTCTCAAAAAATAAAATAAAATAAAATATAATCCAAGGAGCACATCAGTCCCAGCAGATGCTTCAAAATGTATAAGAACTTCATAAGAATGGATTCCATAAAACAAGAGCTCAAAGGTGAGAAAATAAAGTAACTATGTATGAATCGGAAATTGAATTGCTAAAGAAACCAAGCCCCATGACATTACATATCTAATACATATAGAATATAAGGAACACTGGCCGGGTGTGGTGGCTTAAGCCTGTAATCCCAGCACTTTGGGAGGCCAAGGCAGGCAGATCACAAAGTCAGGAGTTCCAGATCAGCCTGGCCAATATGGTGAAACCCTGTCTCTACTAAAAATACAAAAATTAGCTGGGTGTGGTGGCGGGTGCCTGTAGTCCCAGCTATTCGGGAGGCTGAGGCAGAAGAATTGCTTGAACCTGGCAGGCGGAGGTTGCAGTCGACCGAGACTGCGCCATTGCACTCCAGCCTGGGCGAGAGAGCAAGGCTTTGTCTCAAAAAAAAAAAGAAAAAAAAAGTTAAGGAACATAATAGACTTGGCTAAAGATCAAAGTACTGGTATAGAGGAAAGACTTGAGCTAATCCAGTGAATGCAGAAGAAAAAGAGAAAGCATTCAGAGAGAAGATGGTATCTTTGAAGGGTTGATAAATATATTTACTATGAGGAGAATTGGTGTCCAAAATAGAGAACGCAATAGATGGATCAGAAACTATTCAAAGATAAAATTGGGAATTTTTCCTTAATGAAATAAGAACTAAATATGCAAATACTAAAATACAGGGAGTATAAGAATAGTTGACATTGAGAAACCTAGCCTGGTGGTGGTTTTAAAAATATCGTCAGTCTTTTAAATGTAGCCATTCTAGTAGGTGGTGGTGGTGGTATTTCCTTGTGGTTTGAATTTGCATTTTCCTAATAACAAATGATGTTGTGCATCTTTCCATATACTCATTTGACATCTGTGTATCTTCTGTAGTGAAGTGTGTCTGTTTACATTTATTTTTCAGCAGCTTTATTGAGATACAATTGACATACAACAGACTGCGTATATTTTTACAGTGTGCACTTTGATAAGTTGACATCCATATACACCCCTGAAATCACAACAGTCAAGACAGTAAACATATTCCTCTCTGCCAGGAGTTTCCTCATACTTCTTCGCAAGTTCTTGCCTACCCTGTCCTGTGCTGCTCCCCTAGTCCCCAGGCAACCGCCAATCATCTTTCTGTTGCACCTTAGTGCATTTCCTGTGAAAGTATATAAGGTCATATGGGATATACTTTTTTTTTTTGGTCTGGTTTTATTCACTTAGAATACTTCAAGATTCATTCTTATTGCATGTATCAATAGTTCATTCCTTTTGACCGCTGTGTCGTATTCCATTGTATGGATGTGCCACTATACATTTACCAGTTGATGGATATTTGGGTTATTTCCAGTGTTTGGCTATTATAAATAAAGCTGCTGTGAACATTTGTTTACATCTCTTTGTAAGACATGTTCTGATTTTGGGGGGGTAGATACCTAGGAATAGAACGGTTGTATTATATGGGATATGCATGTTTAACTTGTTAAGAAACAGGCCAGTTTTCCAAAGTGGTTATGCCATTTCTATTCCCACTAGCAGTTTTTAAGAATTCTACTTCCTGTATATCTTTGCTAATGCTTGGGATGTTCAGTTTTTAATTTTAGCCATTTAAGAAGGTGTGTAGTGGCATTTTATTGTGGCTTTAATTTGCATTTCCCCAAATGGCAAATGATGTTGAGCATCATTTCAAGTGCTTGTTTTCCATCTCTGTATATCATCTTGGATAATGTGTCATTCAAATCTCTCACCATATTGTTTGTGTTACTGAGTTGTAGGAATTCTTCATATGGTCAAGAGTACAAGTCCTTTTTCAATTTAATTTTTTTTAGCACTCAAACAGATTCTGACAGATGGCTTTAAATTTTGATCAAGTTCAACTTAACAGTTATGGTTTTTTTAACACGGAATATGCAGTCCCTTTAATGTAATCATTGGTATTGTTGGGTTAATTGTTTTTTGTTTTTTGTTTTTTTTTTCTTGAGACGGAGTCTTGCTCTGTTGCCCAGGCTGGAGTGCAGTGGCACGATCTTGGCTCACTGCAACCTCTGCCTCCCAGGTTCAACGATTCTCCTGCCTCAGCCTCCTGAGTAGCTGGGATTACTGGTGCGCACCACCATGCCTGGCTAATTTTTTGTAGTAGAGACAGGTTTCGCTATGTTGGCCAGGCTGGTATCAAACTTTTGACCTCAGGTGACCCGCCTGCCTTGGCCTCCCAAAATGCTGGGATTACAGGCATGAGCCACCGCACCCCACCATGTTGGGTTAATTTTATTCTGTTATTGTTTTTTCCTCCATTTCCTTTTTTTTTTTTTTAAAGAGATGGGTGTCTCACTATGTGGCCTAGGCTGGTCTTGAACTCCTGGACTCAAGCAGTTCCCTCACCTCAGCCTCTCAGCTTCTCAAAGTGCTAGGGTTATAGGCATCTGTCACCACACCTGACTTTCCATTTGGTGGGGTTTTTTTGTTTTTGTCTCTGTATTCCTTTTATTTAACCTGCTTGTCAGTGACTTTGAGTATTTTTAGTTTACTATTTTGTTCCTTTTTTGTCTTTTATTTTTAACTCTTTATGTTGCTTTTTTTTTTTTTTTTTTTTTAAGAGATTGGGTCTTGTTCTGTTGCTTGCGTAGGCTGGAATGCAGTGGTGCAGTCATGGCTCACCGCAGCCTCAGACTCCTGAGCTCAAGTGATCCTCCTGCCACACTCTCCAAAGTAGCTGGGACCACAGGCGTGCACCACTATGTCTGGCTAATTTTTGTATTATTACACTATGTCTGGCTAATTTTTGTATTATTATTATTATTCGAGACAGAGTCTTGCTCTATCATCCAGGCTGGAGTGCAGTGGAGCAATCTCAGTTCACTGCAACCTCTGCCTCCCAGGTTTAAGCGATTCTGCAGCCGCGGCCTCAGCCTCCCCCACAGCTGGGATTACAGGCACCTGCCACTACGCCCGGCTAATTTTTGTAGTTTTAGTGGAGATGGGGTTTCACCATGTTGGCCAAGCTGATCTCGAACTCCTGTCCTCGAGTGATTCACCCGCCTCAGCCTCCCAAAGTGCTGAGATTACAGGCCTGAGCCACGGTACCCGGCCTACCTTGTCCACTAGGTTTTTTTTTTGGTTTTTTTTTTTTACATATTCATTACTGGTATTTTAAAGTTTTTGTCTGATAAATTTATCATCTTGTCCATGGGTCTCCTTGCATTAACTTTCTTTATGGGGTAAATTTTCCTGCTTCTTTGCATGTTTAGTAACTTTTAAAATGATTTACCAGAAATTACATATCGAACAACAGTAATATTGAAGTGAGCTGGATGTGGTGGCTCACACCTGTAATCACAGCACTTTGGGAGGCTGAGGTGGGAGGATCACTTGAGGCCAGGAGTTTGAGACCAGTCTGGGCATTATAGCAAGACCCTGTCTCTACAAATTTTTTTTTTAAAAACTAGCTGGGTATGGTGATGCGCCTCTGTGTTCCCAGCTACTCAGGAGGCTGAGGTAAGAGGATTGCTTGAGCCCAGGGGGTCAAGGCTGCAGTGAGCTGTGATTGTGCCACTGCACTCCAGCCTGGGCAACAGAAAAAGGCTTTATCTAAAAAAAAAAAAAAAAAACCCAAAAACTGAAGTGAATGTTTCCTCCCTCTAAGGCAGAGGTCCCCAACCTTTTTGGCATCAGGGACTGGTTCATGGAAGGCAATTTTTTCACAGACTGAGGTGGGGGATGTGGGGCATGGTTTTGGGATGAAACTGTTCACCTCAGATCATAAGGCTTTAGATTCTCAGAAGGAGCACACAACCTAGATCCCTTGCATGTGCAGTTCACAATAGGATTTGCGCTCCTATGAGAATCTAATGCTGCTGATACGACGGGAGGTGGAGATCAGGTGGTAATGCTCGCTTGGCTGTTGCTCACCTCCTGCTGCATGGCCCTATTCCTAATAGGCTACCAACCAGTACTGGTCCATGGCCTGGGGGTCCATGGCCTGGGGGTTGGGGACTTCTTCTCTAAGGCATGCCCTTTCCTCTGTAAGGCCAGTGATGTGGAGGGCTGATTCCATTTAATCTGCAGTGGAGCTGAGTCTGGACTTTGTTGCAGCTTTACCTAGATTCAGTTGAACATTGACTTTAGTGCCTTTGAGACTTTGAATCGAACACTGACAAGATTTCCAGATATCTTGCTATGCTTTACAGCCATGGTGCTAGGTTTTTGGGCCTCTGGGAGATTTCTGCAAGAAACAAAGAAAGGTTGCAAAGCATGGCCTTAGATGCTAGAATGCGACTTGTGTGGCTCTGATTCGGGGTTCTTTGTTTCCTTGTCCTAGGTATTCCTGGAGTGGAGAGCCACTCTTTTTGACCTGCCCTACATCAGAAGTCACCGAGCTCCCAGCCTGCAGCCAGTGTGGAGGCCAAAGGATATTTGAGTTTCAGCTTATGCCAGCACTGGTCAGCATGCTCAAGAGTGCTAATTTAGGTGAGAAGCCCTTTATTAATTTGAGTTTGTGGATTTCTGGCATTATTTTTAAATAAATGAAAAACCTTTTGTTTACTTATAAAATATCATAAGCAAATTACAGAAAATTTGGGAATTAAAAAATTATTTTAAGAAATTTAGGCCAGGTGTGGTGGCTCATGCCTGTAATCCCAGCACTTTGGGAGGCCAAGGCGGGTGGATCACAAGGTCAGGAGATCGAGGCCATCCTGGCCAATGTGGTGAAACCCTGTCTCTACTATAATATAAAAAATTAGCTGGGCGTGGTGGCACGTGCCTGTAGTCCCAGCTCCTTGGGAGGTTGAGGCAGGGAATCGCTTGAACCCAGGAGGTAGAGGTTGCAGTGAGCCAAGATCGCACCACTCTACTCCAGCCTGGCGACAGAGTGAGGAGACTCTGTCTCAAAAAAAAAAAAAGAAATTTATAATCCAGCCAGTCTTTTTTTTTTTTTTTTAATATTTATTGATTGATTTATTTATTGAGATGGAGTCTCTCTCTGTCGCCCAGGCTGGAGTGCAGTGGCACGTTCTTGGCTCACTGCAACCTCCAGCTCCCGGGGTCTAGCAATTCCCCTCCCTCAGCCTCCCTAGTAGCTGGGATTACAGGTGCCCGCCACCACGCCCGGCTAGTTTTTGTATTTTTAGTAGTGATAGGGTTTCACTGTGTTGGCCAGGATGGAATTTTTGTATTTTTTGTAGAGACAAGGTTGCGTCATGTTGCCCAGGCTGGTCTCGAACTCCTAGACTCAAGCGATCCTCCCGCCTTGGCCTCCCAAAGTGATTACAAGCATGAACCATGCCTGGCCAGAAATTAAAACTATTATCAATGTTAATAACCATTATTCCAACAATCATTTTTGACATAAAGACAAATAGCAAGTCAGATGAATGTATGGATGGCTAGACGAAAATAATTTTCCTAAAATAGGAAAATTCACTAATATGGTAATTAAAAGTCTTAGAACAAATTTTTGTACAAATTAACAGAAGGAATGTTAAGTATAAGTGAAGCAGTTACTGGATTTTTTTTTTTTTCCTTCTTTTTTCTTGAGACGGAGTCTTGCTCTGTCGCCCAGGCTGGAGTGCAGTGGCATAATCTCAGCTCACTGCAAGCTCCGCCTCCCGGGTTCATGCCATTCTCCTGCCTCAGCCTCCCAAGGAGCTGGGACTACAGGCGCCCGCAACCAAGCCCAGCTAATTTTTTTTTGTATTTTTAGTAGAGACGGGGTTTCACTGTGTTAGCCAGGATGGTGTTGATCTCCTGACCTTGTGATCCGCCCACCTCAGCCTCCCAAAGTGCTGGGATTACAGGCGTGAGCTGCCACGCCTGGCCTGGACTTTTGGTAATAGGTTCTTTACCTAAGAGGCCCAAGTTTCTGAAAGGTGCTTCTGCTATTAACAGAAAATAACATTCTTTCTGTGTTTCAGTTTTAGATAGTATGCATCTGGCTCCTTACCATAGTAGATAAGGAAATTTATACCCTATTCCTACCTTGAAATATTTCAGTATCTTTTTTGTTTTTTGAGACGGAGTTTCACCCAGGTTGGAGTGCAATGGTGCTATCTCGGCTCACTGCAACCTCTGCCTCCCAGGTTCAAGTGATTCTCCTGCCTCAGCCTCCTGAGTAGCTGGGATTACAGGTGCCCACCACCACACCCAGCTAATTTTTTATATTTTTGGTAGAAACAGGTTTCACTGTTGTTGGCCAGGCTGGTCTCAAACTCCTGACCTCAAGCTCCCGACCTGCCTCGGCATCCCAAAGTGCTTGGATTATAGGCATGAGCCACCGTGCCTGGACCCAGTATCTTTTTTTTTTTTTTTTTTTTTGAGATGGAGCCTCACTCTGTCGCCCAGCCTGGAGTACAGTGGCACTATCTCGGCTCATTGCAACCTCTGCCTCCCAGGTTCAAGCGATTCTCCTGCCTCAGCCTCTTGAGTAGCTGGGATTACAGGCGCCCACCACCACGCCCTGCTAATGTTGTATTTTTAATAGAGACGGGGTTTCGCCATGTTGGCTGGTCTTGAACTCCTGACCTCAAGTGATCCGTCCACCTCGACCTCCCAAAGTGCTGGGATTTACAGGCATGAGCCACCGCGCCTGGCCAGTATCATAATTATCACAGCTATTTGGATAGCCTTAGTTCTATGTGTAAATGGATTCAGTGTTTATCACCACTCTTAGAGTGAGCTTTTTTATTCCTGTTTTATTTTGATTCTTTTTGCAGTAGCTGGATTTTCTCAAGTAATAGCTTTAAGGAGGGCTCAGAGGTATCTTGCTTCAGATTGTGCATGGTAATGTGGCTTCATATTTGAGGGGCAACCCATGTATAAAATTTTTAAATCCCACTTTCTCTTTTCAGAACCTTGTATAGACCCCTGTGTTGTCTTCTGACAGTGAAAGCCCTGCCAGCCCTTTGCCCTGGTGCCTCCTGTCATTTCTTGGTGGTTCAGTCTCACTGGGAAATATATTTTTCTGGAAGGGCTTATGGGCATTCTAGTCTCTGAGATTTTTCACTCATATAGAAATGTCTTTTGCATGGAATGTAGCTTTGTAGAGGTATGAGGGTGGTCTGATTTTTTCCCCCTTTGTGACTAACATTTTTGCCACAATACTGTTAGCAGCGGTGAATCTGTAGGGGTCTGTAGCAACCTCAGTTCTTGCCTCCTCCGAAGAAAGAATTTGACCGAGGCACATAAGACAGAGGAGAGACCGAAGCAAATTTTAGAGCAGGAGTGAAAACTTACTAAAAAGTTTTAGAGCAAGAACGAAAGGAAGTAAATATAGTTGGAAGAGGGCCAAGCAGGCAACCTGAGAGATTCAAGTGTCCATTTGACCTTTGACTTGGGGTTTTATACTTCCTGGGTCTTGGGTTACTTCTCTTGTTTCTTCCCTTGGGGTGGGCTGTCCACATGCATAGTGGCCCTCCAGCACTTGGGAGAGGCCGCATGCGCAGTGTGTTTACTGGAGTTGTAGACTTGCTCACTTGAGGCGCTTTTCCCTTACCAGTCAGATGCTCCTAGAGGAATGTCATATACCAGTTAAACTCTGCCATTTTTTCATTTTTTTTTTTTTTTTTGAGACAGAGTCTCACTCTGTTGCCCAGGCTGGAGTGCAGTGGCACAATCTCTTCTCACTGCAACCTGTGCCTCCCAGGTTCAAGCAATTCTCCTGCCTCAGCCTCCCAAGTAGCTGGGATTACAGGTGCCTACCACCACGCCCAGCTAATTTTTTGTATTGTTAGTAGAGACGGGGTTTCACCATGTTGGCCAGGCTGGTCTTGAACTCCTGACCTCAGGTGATCCATATACCACAGCCTCCCAATGTGCTGGGATTACAAGCATGAGCCAATGTGCTGTGCCCAGCCAATGCATACATTTTTAAACAATGTATTTCTCCTTTGCTGCTGCAAATCATTGCCTACGTCATCCTCTTGACTCCTGCTTTTCTGTTCTAATATCAGGAGTTCTTATTGCTTATGTTTTCTTGGTATCTTTTTTTAATGGCTTTATTCATTGATAATTTTCTGTAAACTCTTAGGGTTTATTTTATATTTTTTGCCTGAATCCTTATCCTTTCTCGGCAGTAGTGTGTCCTATGATATATATTTCTCTCTTCTTTTTTTTTTTTTTTTTAAGACAGGGTCTCGCTCTATCACCCGGGCCAGAGTACGGTGGTGCAATCATAGCTTATTGCAGCCTTTATCTCCTGGGCTCAAGTGATCCTTCTGCCTTAGTCTCCTCTGAGTAGCTGGGACTACAGGTGTGCACCGTTACACCCAGTGAATTTTTTTTTTTTTAGTAAAGTCTCACTGTGTTGCCCAGGCTATATGAGATATATATATATTTTGTTTGTTTGTTTGTTTGTTTTGTTTTTTGTAGAGACAGGTGTCTCACTATGTTGCCTAGGCTGGGCTCAAGCTGTCCTTCCCCGTCGGCCTCCCAAAGTGCAGGGATCACAGTTGTGAGCCACCGCACCTAGCCAAAAGCTATGTATATCACATGAACCATGTAGATTAATATAGATTTTCAACATCAGATAGCTAGACAGTTATAATGAACACTTGCTGAAATTTTTGTTTATTTTTAAAGTATATTTTCCTGCCACTTTAAATTAATTTTGCTTTTTTGTTATCAATATTCACTTATTATAGGATAGACTGTGATTCTGTTATAGCTGAAAGCAGTAAGCACTGTTTTTGCTTTACCTAATTACTTTTTCAGCTTATAAGGTAAAATCATTCCTTTTAGTAACATCAGTCTCATAACTCTTTTTGCTGGAAGCCTGAATATGTGGTATTTTTCAGGTCTTTCTGTGGAATTTGGAACAATTCTAGTTTACACATGTGAGAAGAGTTGCTGGCCCCCAAATCATCAGACTCCCATGGAAGAATTTTGTATTATACAAGAAGACCCAGATGAATTATTGTTTAAGTAGAGCATTTCCTTTTATTAATATAAATTAAAACAAATGTTTACATCCAAATATGTTTGTATGTACCTTATTTTAACTCACAAGTTATTAACCTCTGTTTTTCTGAGTTGCCTTTTTGCCTTTGGGTGCTGGTGCCGGGGCCGGGGCCGGGCCAGGACCTCCTGACTGTGGGTTGGTCTGCCCTTCCAGGGTCCAGGGCCAGCTGTCACAGTGGCAGCTAGGAAGGTAGCTCCTCTCTAGTCCAGAGGGCTGGTGTTGTCTGCACAGCCGTTCTGGTGGGCATTCTAGGGGGGAGGAGAGCAGCGAAAGAGCCAAGAGCAGTGGTCAGCCTCTTGTGTACACCTCTGACACGTGCACTCCAGTGCTTCCTATGCTGTTTCTGGCACCTGATCAAGCCACTGAACCTGCTCTAGCTGCTGGAGGTTTTTGCTCTGTGACCCTGGCTGTTTAGACCTGCCCATGTTCATCAGCCCAGGTCCCCGCCCTCACCCACTCCCATCTTCTGCTCCTGCAGTATCCCAGGAAGGGGTCTTTACTCCGTTCTGGAGACTGTCCCTTTATCCAGCTGCCTTCCAGTCTTCCCCTTTCTTTATTTTTAACATGATCAACCCCTTCCCTTCAGCCCCATAACAGCAGTATAAAAACACTCCCAGCCATGTTCAGACATGCTCTGCCTACGTAGATGAGGATAATGAGGCCTAGGTGATCATGGGGTGGGCTTGTTTCTTGCATTTAACATTATATTTGGAGCATTTTCCCATTAATATTTTTCCCACAACATAATTTATAATTGCTCTATTTTTTAAATATACATCAAAAGCTTTATACAATTTTTAGCCACTTGTATTTTCCAATTTTTATTCCCATGATGGCCATCCCTGTAACTAAATTTATATATATTTTAAATCAATGATAACTGCTACAGGACAGTTTCCTAGAATTGGAATGAATGAGTCAAAAGTTGTGCACAATTTTAGGGTTTTTTTTTCTTTTTTTTCGAGACAGGGTCTTGCTCTGTCTCTCAGGCTGGAGTGCAGTGGTAAGGGCATAGCTCACTGCAGCCTCGACCTCTCAGGCTTAAGTGATCCTCCTGCCTCAGCCTCCTGAGTAGCTGGGACTACAGGTGCAAGCCACCACGCCCTCTAGAGAAGCTTTGCTTTGGAATCTTTACCTGGAGTGTGTTGGAGTGCTTGTTTCCCAATCCCTTGATAAGTGTTACTTATTTTTTCTTTCTACCAGTTTAGTAGGTGAAAAACTTTTTTTTTTTTTTGAGACAGAGTCTCGCTGTATTGCTCAGGCTGGAGTGCAGTGGTGCAACCTCCGCCTCCTGGGTTCAAGCAATTCTCCTGCCTCAGCCTCCTGAGTAGCTGGGGCTACAGGCTTGTGCCACCACCCCCAGCTGTTTCGGTGTTTTTTTTTGTTTGTTTGTTTGTTTGTTTTTTTGAGACGGAGTCTGTTGCCCAGGCTGGAGTGCAGTGGCGCGATCTCGGCTCACTGCAACCTCTGCCTCCTGGGTTCAAACGATTCTCCTGCCTCAGCCTCCCGAGTAGCTGGGATTACAGGCGCACGCCACCACGCCCGGCTAATTTTTGTATTTTTAGTAGAGATGGGGGTTTCACCATGTTAGTCAGGCTGGTTTCAGAACTCCTGACCTCGTGATCCACCCGCCTCGGCCTCCCAAAGTGCTGGGATTACAGGCGTAAGCCACCGCGCCCGGCAGGTGAAAATCTTACCATTTTGCATGGTTTACATTTTTTTCTTTTTTGAGACGGAGTCTTGCTCTGTTACCCAGCCTGGAGTGAAGTGGTGCGATCTTGGTTCACTGCAACCTCCACCTCCAGGGTTCAAGCGATTCTTTTATGGTTTACATTTTAATACGCTTATTGATCATATTGTCCAATTTTTTGTGAGTTTCCTGTTCACATCCTTTGCCTATATTTTTTTGGGGGTGACACTTGTTAATTTGTAAGAGCTCTTTACGTATAGGGACATCAGTTTTCTAACCTGTAAGGAAGTCTTGGCTGGGAGTTGAAACCCCAGGCTAGAAGGCGACCCTTAGACTTTTTAGGTCTGATGGCGGGCCTATGCTGGTGTGGGAATAACACCGCCGGTCTCAGCTGGAGGTCGCCAGCCCTTTGCAAGAGCCTGCCGGTCCCCGCGGGCTGCAGCACACCCCGGCGCGATGTGCCCTGCCTGTGTCTGCCGGAGGCTGTAGTGCGCAGGAGCGGAAACCAGGCCGCCCTTCCCCCACCCGCTTCCGGCCGCGGCTCGGTTCTCCCGCCTCCGCCTCCGCCGCGGCTCGTGGTTGTCCCGCCATGGCACTGTCGCGGGGGCTGCCCCGGGAGCTGGCTGAGGCGGTGGCCGGGGGCCGGGTGCTGGTGGTGGGGGCGGGCGGCATCGGCTGCGAGCTCCTCAAGAATCTCGTGCTCACCGGTTTCTCCCACATCGACCTGGTGAGGGCCGGGCGCGCGCGCGTGAATGGCGGGCTGTGGTGCGGGGGCTGGGATTCGGGGGTTCCGGGGCTCCAGGGGCTCTGAGGCTCAGGGCCCGGAGCCCGGGACCGGAGTTGCGGAGCGGGGGCAGGCTGAGAGGCTCGGGTTGTGCCCCCCCCGCGGGAGGAGACTGTTCTTTGGGCACGGGGCGGGCCTCCGCTCGCTGGGCCGGCTCCGGACGCCGAGGAGGCCGCGGGCCCCCGCCTCCCCGGCAGCGCCAATGTGTGGCGCTTCGTGGGCGTGAAGCCGCCTCTTATCCTCCCTTCAAAACAAATTCCCGGCTGTTAGGAGATGCGGGAGAGGATTGAGTCCCTCGCGGATGTTGTGACTTTAATTTTGAGGTCCCTGTCGTAACTCCGAAGTAACGACGCGGGGCGGAGGATGGCAATGATAGCGACCAACGCGTCCCGAGCGCTGGTCACGAGCGGGTTTACACACGGAACGCGCACCATCTTCATACCACCCGAGGAGTGCAAACGCTATTTCCACCCTGCTTTATTTTTAACAGATGAGGAAAGGGAGACGCAATGGGGTTGAGTAACTTACCCTGGGTCACGGAGCGAGTGGCAGGGCTCCCGCAGGCTGCGTGACTGTCATTGCTCTCACAGTAGACGGTACACTCGCTTGTTTCATTAAAGACGTTAGGACTGTGCCTTTTGCATTGGTGTACGTTGACAAGCCAGTGCTATTTTGAATCGTTATTTCTACTAATGCAAACTTTTTAGAGATTGGAGATGTTACTGGCCCTTCGGTGTGAGTTTAAAGTGTCTTAAGGGCTAGTGGAAACATGGAATGAACAAAAAAGTACGGGTGGCCGACTGAGTCATTGTTTCTTTCCTTTATGTATTATATATTTAAGCAAAAATTAGATAAAACTTAAAACATGATACTTTTTTAACCATGTGTAAAAGTTTCCTTTCACAGTTCTCAGGTTAATAGTAAATGAAATTGTGTATGGATGAAGGCTTGAATTAAGGGAGGCAGCAAAAATTCAATAAACGTTTGCCATGTATCATTTAAGAAAAAGAACAGAACCTGGGCAACATAGAGAAACCCCGTCTCTACAAAAAAAGAAAATTAGCGGGGCGTGGTGGTGTGCGCCTGTGGTCCCAGCTACCCGGGAGGCTGTGTCAGGAGGATCGCTTGAGCCTGGGAGGTCGAGGCTGCAGTGAGCTGTGTTTGCACCACTGCACTCCAGCCTGGGCAACAGAGGGAGACCCTGTCTCAAAAAACAAAGAAAAAGAACAGGGCATAGTTAAATTTAATATTTTGTACTTGAAAGAGTAATTCGATTGAAAGAGAAATACTTTAGTATTTTTTGAGACAGGGTCTGGCCCTGTCACCCTGGCTAGAGTGCAGTGGCCCGATCTCGGCTCACTGCAACCTCCGCCTCCCAGGCTCCAGTGATCCTCCACCTCAGCCTCCCGAGTAGCTGTGACTACAGGCATGTGCCACCTAATTTTATTTTTTCTATTTCTTGTAGCCACCAGGGTCTCACTATTTTGCTTAGGCTGGTCTTGAAGGTCTGGGCTCAAGCGATTCTCTCACTTTGTCCTCCCAAAGTGTTGGGATTACAGGTATGAGCCACCACTCCCGGTGTAGAGAAATATGTTAATATATTTTCAGTTAGTGTTTACCTCGACAGCACATATAGTTTTAATGAATTCACATATTTTTATGGCATCCAGGGAGTTTCCTGAAATATTTTCCAGGATGATTAAACAAACAAAATATACCATTCTTTCAAAGTATTTTTGAGAAGTTTATCTCTGACATTAAATCTAGATTCTTACATGCATTAAATTATTCTTTATCAGTTTAACAATTTTGGTATGGCGATTCGAAAAACGCTTTCTCCACTAATGTAGCAGATATCAAAAGTTCTGGATTACAGGTGCTGAGAGTAGTGATACAGCTCAAACATACGTAAACGTTTGTCATTTATCTGGGGTTTATGCATTTGTAGATTGATCTGGATACTATTGATGTAAGCAACCTCAACAGACAGTTTTTGTTTCAAAAGAAACATGTTGGAAGATCAAAGGCACAGGTAACTATATTTCTCATACCATTTCTATAACTTGATGGAGCTTCTATTTGTGATACCAGATTAATCCTGCCTGTCATATAGGAGGGAAAAAATGGGTGAAGCTCTCATTTCAGCTGAGAGATTGTGAAGGATAAAGATATATCAAGTAAAGGACTAAAGATTAAGCCCTCCTTTTTTGTTCTAAAAAGGAAATAATCCCGTGATGGTGTAACTTTCATGGCCTCTTTATATTTAAGTTTCTGATGCTTTGCTTAGGATGCACCTTGTGTTCCTACACCCCCTAGAGGTTGACTACTGCTATGTTTGGGGGCTAGAGGAGCGTTATGCTGCTGTCCTAGTTGAAACAAGACAGTTCCCCCGATCTTTGTTTAGTTTTTTTAGTGTTCCTTGGTGATTCAGAGTCTTAAAACATCTTTTCCCTTTGCCTGTCTCCCAACCTGTTTGGCAAACCCCCACTTGTTTCTCTTTTTCTTTCATATTTTGGCTTCCTCCTCCAGGAGTACTTTCCTAAACCTTTTAGACTAAGTCAGGTTGGTTTTTCTCTCATAACAACCTTTACTTTACTTTTCCTATCATTTTCTTTTCTTTTTTTTTTTTTTTTTTTTTTTTAGAGATAGGGTCTCACTCTGTCGCCCCAGGCTGGAGTGGAGTGATGCGGTCATGGCTTACTGCAGCCTAGAACTCCTGGCCTCAAGGGATCCTCCTACACTGGCCTCCCAAGTGCTGGGATTACAGGCATGAGCCACCATGCCTGGCCTTTTCCTGTCATTCTCATGGCATTTATCAGAGTCTGTAGTTGAACTTAATCTGGATTGTTATTTGATTAATGTCTCTCTTGCTTGACATGTACGTTGTATAGTTCCTGGTACATGCAAGATGCTCAGTAAATACTTGTTAAGTGAATGAATGAATGACACTTGGTTACTTCATGTTGTATTTTTGCTGAAGCTTGCCATTCATGTAGAAGTGTGTTTGGTGGTACGTGGGTCAGGGGGGGCTCTCCGGTTATTTTATAAGTATAAAAGTATAATTTTATAAGTGTAGCTTAACCCTAATGCAATTTTCTCACATTTTTGGACTTCTTTGGTGTTTAATATAAATAAGGTACTATGTAAGTAGATAACAGCATTGTGGCTTCCAGAAGCAGATTTCAGATAGGAACAGAAATATTGTAGTAATTCAGTGTTGTTTATTTTTCCAGGTTGCCAAGGAAAGTGTACTGCAGTTTTACCCGAAAGCTAATATCGTTGCCTACCATGACAGCATCATGAAGTATGCTATAGTGATTACATTGCAAAGTTGTATAAGGGTTTTGTAAGCCAAATATATAAGCTCAAAGTCATTCAGCTTTTTTAAAAAAAATGATTTTTCTAGAATTATTAAACAGTGGTGGTTTCTGCTTACAGAGTGGCATTCTTTTTACCAGTTCATAAATACATGGTTTGAATGATTTAGAATGGTGAGATAGTTTAATACTTTTAATAAATAAGTTACTTGGAAATTTATAAAGACCTTATATGCTTGCCTTAAGTAAGAAGATATTTTAAACTATGAAATATCCTTATTTATGATGATTCAGACTTTTCTAAAGTGTTTGCCTTTTTTTGTTTAAAAGTTTCCCTCCCAAAATAATCTGTAGTATGACTCTGACTTCTGTAATATAACACTTGGAATTGTGGTAGGGCAGTAGTATTGACAGTACATAAATATATTTATCTCAGTAAAGATAGAGTAAATATATAATTTTGGAGGAGTTGGAGCAAAGGAACTGTGGGCCGAAATTGTCCTTTATCTATGGTGGTTTAGCTTGCAAGTAAATAGTGTTAAAAATAGTCCTTGTTTGAGGTACTGGAATTGAGGTACTTAACACTTTCTCAGGGCATTTGTATCTCCGGATTGTGTTTTTTTTGTGTGTGAGATAGGGTTTTGCGCTTATTGCCCAGGCTGGAGTACAGTGGCATGATCTTGGCTCACTGCAACCTCCGCCTCCTGGGTTCAAGCGATTCTCCTGTCTCAGCCTCCTGAGTAGTTGGGATTACAGGCGCACGCCACCACACTCAGCTAATTTTTGTATTTTAGTAGGCGGGGTTTCATCATGTTGGCCAGGCTGGTCTCAAACTCCCGACCTCAGGTGATCCACCCGCCTTGGCCTCCCAAAGTGCAGGGATTACAGGCGTGAGCCACTGCACCCGGCCTGTATCTCCGGCTTGTTTTTTAGTTTTTTACTCTGTGAACCTGCCTGTAGCC
This sequence comes from Homo sapiens, assembly GCF_000001405.40. Lineage (NCBI taxonomy): Eukaryota > Metazoa > Chordata > Mammalia > Primates > Hominidae > Homo > Homo sapiens. The sequence continues at coordinate 34,432,907 of NC_000019.10, forward strand.
CTATAACCTCCTTACCCTGTGTTGCTTTCCCAGTGCTGCTAAAAACAGAGACCCTAGGGGCCTGAACCCTGCCTGATCCTGATCATGTGAGGTGAAGTCAGAGGCCAGGCAGATCCTGGGAATGTGTTCTTTATGCGTTCCCAGGCACTTGCTGCCCAAAGAAGGCCTAGTGGGACTAGTGAAGTCATGCCATCTTTCTGCCAGTTTGAGATCTTTCTCTTGTGCCCTAGCTGGCCAAAAAGGATAGGAATTTGAAGGAAATAATTTCTTTAAAATCTGCTTATGTTTGGAAAGAGTCAAACCTTACTATCTATATGACATATAATCCTGATATCAGTTTTGTTTACAGTTACTATGTTTTTTTCAGAACTGTTTATTATACTGCAAAGATCATGTGGAAGGCTAGTTATTTTGGTGACCTTTTTTTATTTTGTTTTGTAGCCCTGACTATAATGTGGAATTTTTCCGACAGTTTATACTGGTTATGAATGCTTTAGATAACAGAGGTGAGGTTATTTTAATACTTTTAATTTCTCAGTATTTCCTCTCTCCCATATCAAATTTGTTTACAAATTTAATATTTATTAGACTATTGTGATTTAGAACTTAAAAGACTTAAGAGAAATGATCGAGTTTAAAGCATGCCCATTGATTGCAGTTTTATATAGAAATGACTTATTCCAGGCGGGAATTTAGCTATCATATTCTCTGCATTTCTACCAAAAGGTATAAATAGAAGTGAAGTGAAAAGCTCTCAAAAAGTGTGACTGTGGCTCAGCACAGTGGCTCACGCCTGTAATCCCAGCACTTTGAGAGACCAAGGCAGGAGGATCACTTGAGGTCAGGAGTTCGAGACCAACCTAGTCAACATGGTGAAACCGTCTCTACCAAAAAACACAAAAATTAGCCGGTGTGGTGGCATGTGCCTGTAGTCCCAGCTTCTCCGGAGGCTGAGGTGGGAGAATCGCTTGAAGCCAGGAGGCAGAGGTTGCAGTGAGCCTAGATCACACCACTACACTCCAGCCTTGGTGACAGAGTGCGACCCTGTCTCAAAAAAAGAAAAAGTGTGACTGGAGGGTGGGGTGGGGGATGCTTGAGTGATATTCTTTGTCTGTAATTACTTCCACATGTAAAAGTATATCTACTAAGTGAGTTTACAACAAGTTGGGCCAGAAATATCTAAATAAAAAACACAAGGAAAAGTCAAAATTACGTTTATTTTTTAAGGCTTGGGGGGTCTCACTGTTGCCCAGACTAGAGTGCACTGGTGTGATCATAACTCACTGAAGCCTTCAAATGGGCTCAGGTGATACTCTTACCTCAACCTCTGCAGTAGCTACTCTGCAGACAGGTACCACCATACCCGGCTAATTTTTTTATGTTTATTTTTGTAGGGATGAAGTCTTGCTTTGTTGCCCAGGCTGGCCTCGAACTCCTGGCTTCAAGCAGTCCTCCCACCTCAGCCTCCCAGAATGCTGAGATTATGGGCATGAGCCAGTGCTCCTGGCGTGAAATTACTCTCTTAACCTGACTCATCTTTTTTCCCTAGCCTTAAACTACTTTAATAGTTCCAAGTTGATATTCCACATTCTGCCTTCATTTCTATCATGTATTATCTGCTAGTTATATTAGAATAGTGGTGAGTTTAGGAACACCTTGAAACAGTGTTTTGTGTAAGGTACAGCAATAGAAGAGAAATATGGCACGTTGGATTTTTAAGATTATGTGTTTCTGTGGGTACTTCTCCTGGAGTAAATTTGTGATATAAATTCTATTTGATATTTTGCTAAGTGAATGTCTCTTAAATGTCTGTAATTAACAGTTGTATTATTCTGGCCATAGCTATAAGAAAATTGTACAAAAAATGAAGCCAGTAAGATAGTTTTGAGTCTGTGTCATCCTAATTAAAGATAACTAATTTTTTTTTTCCCAAAAACTCATACTGTTTGTTTTACTTCCAGCTGCCCGAAACCATGTTAATAGAATGTGCCTGGCAGCTGATGTTCCTCTTATTGAAAGTGGAACAGCTGGGTATCTTGGACAAGTAACTACTATCAAAAAGGTAAAGAAAAGTTTTATTTTTTTAACTTCCCAAATATTTATTTGAGACCTTGGAGCAGGAGGAAATAAACTTTGTATTTATATAAAATGAACAGGTGAACATCCAAAATGTAAGGACTTTTATGCTTATATAAAACTTAAAATGCGGGGCCAGGTGCAGTGGCTCATACCTGTAATCCCAGCACTTCGGGAGGCCGAGGTGGGCGGATCACCTGAGGTCAGGAGTTTGAGACCAGCCTGGCAAGCATGGTGAAACCCCATCTCTACTAAAAATACAAAAATTAGCTGGACATGGTGGCCGGCGCCTGTAATCCCAGCTACTTGGGAGGCTGAGCCAGGCGAATCACTTGAACCTGAGAGGCAGAGGTTGCAGTAAGCTGAGATTGCACCACTGCCCTCCAGCCTGGGCTACAGATCAAGCCTCTGTCTCAAAAAACAAACTTAAAATGCTATAAACGTGCTCAAAAGACTATGGGCAAGGAAATCTTTCAGCTCTGCCATTTTGTTTCATTTGACTTTTGTATTAAAATCCTTAGAGTGGTAAGCATGATATACCAGGCATCAAAAATTTCTTTGTGTCGGCTGCGTGCAGTGGCTCATGCCTGTAATCCCAGCACTTTGGGAGGCTGAGGTAGGCAGATGACTTGAGGTCAGGAGTTCGAGACCAGCCTCTCCAATGTAGTGAAACCACGTCTCTACAAAAAATACAAAAATTAGCTGGGTGTGGAGGCGTGTACCTGTAATCCCAGCTAGTTGGGAGACTGAAGCATGAGAATTGCTTGAACCTCGGAGGTGGAGGTTACAGTGAGCCAAGATGGCACCACACTCCAGCCTGGGCAACAGAGTGAGACTCCATCTCAAAAAAAAAAAGCCAGGCGTGATGGCTCATGCCTGTAATCCCAGCACTTTTTGGGAACCCGAAGCGAGCGGATCACCTGAGGTCAGGATTTTGAGACCAGCCTGTCCAACATGGTGAAACCCTGTCTCTACTAAAAATACAAAAATCAGCGGGCGTGGTGGTGTGCACCTGTAATCCCAGCTACTTGGGAGGCTGAGGCAGGAGAATCCCTTGAACCGGGGAAGCGGAGGTTGCGGTGAGCTGAGATCACGCCATTGCACTCCAGCCTGGGCAACGAGCGAAACTCTGTCTCAAAAAAAAAAAAACCAAAAAATTCTGTTGTCTAAGAGTCTGGGCTTATAATGTGGAAGGGAACTTTGAAAACTTTTTAGGGGTGTATTTGTGAAGTACTTCAAACATTTAAATACAACTAGAGAATAATAGAACAAAATACCTGTGTGCTCATACCTCAGTTTTGTTTTGGTTTATTTATTTATTTGTTTATTTTTTTGAGACAGAATTTCGCTCTTGTTGCCCAGGCTGCAGTGCAGTGGCGCGATCTCAGCTCGCCGCAACCTCCGTCTCCCTGGTTCAAGCGATTCTCCTGCCTCAGTCTCCCGAGTAGCTGGGATTACAGGCGTGCGCCACCACGCCTGGCTAATTTTGTATTTTTAGTAGAGACGGGGTTTCTCTATGTTGGTCAGGCTGGTCTTCAACTCCTGACCTCAGGTGATCCACCTGCCTCGGCCTCCCAAAGTGCTGGGATTATAGGTGTGAGCCGCCATGCCTGGCACATATCTCAGTTTTTAAAACCTCAACACGGCTTCATTTGCTATTCAGATATTTTTTCTTTCAGTTCTTTTAAGAAGTTAAATATTGTAGTTACATTTGAAGAGTCGTTTTCCATGTTTTGAAACTATAGAAAGAGAATTATAATGTACTTAACATTTGCTGGTTGCGTCTAATTTTTTTTGGCAGCTTATTCATGTTAGAAATTGTGTCTTTGTTTCTTTTAACTGTTAAATGTTATTCTTGGAACCTTATTGAATACCATTCTACAAAAGACTGTTGTGTATGTCAGTGCGTATTAAGTTGTTGAATAAGTGGAGGCCTTCAGTATCTGTTGACAGATCAAGACGGAAGTTCTCTGTCTGCATTGCAGTATGAGTCTCATGACTGCTTGCCATGTGGCTACCCTCAAGAAAGCATATTGGAAGGCTGAGGGCATCAGAAATGGTGTTTCAGAGAAAACTCTAAATCTGCTGCAATTTATATTAAAACAGTATTTGAGAGTTTTGATTCTTGAACAATTAGCCTGGCTAATTTTTGCATTTTTGGTAGAGATGAGGTTTTGCCATGTTAGCCAGGCTGGTCTCAAACTCCTGACCTCAGGTGATCCGCCTGCCTTGGCCTCCCAAAGTGCTGGGATTACAGGTATGAGCCACCACGCCCGGCCAGACATTGCTTTTTATATCCTTGTTACTGTGATTCTGACACACCACTGTGTATTAAGACTGAAGGTGGCTGGGCATGGTGGCTTACGCCTGTAATCCCAGCACTTTGGGAGGCCAAGGCGGGCGGATCACCTGAGGTAAGGAGTTCGAGACCAGCCTGGCCAACATGGTGAAACCCCATCTCTACTAAAAATACAAAATTTAGCTGGGTGTGGTGGCACGCACCTGTAATCCCAGCTACTTGGGAGGCTGAGGCAAAAGAATCACTTGAACCCGGGAGGCAGAGGTTGTGGTGAGCCTAGATCACGCCATTGCACTCCAACCTGGGCAACGAGCGAAATTCCGTCTCAGACAAAAAGAAAAAAAGAAGAGACTGAGGTTAGGAATATCTGAGATAATGAAAGATGATTCATTTGATAGTTTTGAAAAGTTGTCTCAGGTGTCATGTACTTCTTCCAAGGCATAAATTCCTTAAATTGTAATTTTAAACTTGAATGTGTATCAATAAAATGGGCTGGGCGCAGTGGCTCACGCCTGTAATCCCAGCACTTTTGGGAAGCCAAGGCGGGCGAATCACATGAAGTCAGGAGTTCAAGACCAAGCTGGCCAACATGGAAAAACCCCGTCTCTACTAAAAATATGAAAATTAGCTGGGAGTGGTGGGAGATGCCTGTAATCCCAGCTCTTTGGGAGCCTGAGGCAGGAGAATTGCTTGAACCTGGGAGGCGGAGATTGCAGCCAAGATTATGCCACTGTACTCCAGCCAGGGTGACAGAGCAAGACTCCGTCTCCCCACCGCCAAAAAGAAACGTATATCAATAAAATGAAGAGTATTTGGTTTAGTAACACCTAAGATTTTTCTGTGTAGGGAGATATATCTTGAAATTAATCTTGTAGTTTACTTAATTTCAGGAGATTATAAGGATATGGCTGTATTCCCCAGACCCACTTAGTTTTGCTCAAAAAAAAAAAAAAAACACATATAAGAAAATGGCTGCGAATAATATTTAGATAACATTTACAACTTTGAGAAATAATTTCTTGGAAAGCTGCTGTTTGTCTTTCCAGTAGTTTTTCTGTTTAGTGTGATCAAGGTAAACTCATATTTGACACTCAGGTGTAGTAATTTTTATTTGGGCTTGTAAGTCATGTTCACTGAACCAGGAGTCGGCGTCCTGGCACAGCCTTAGCTATGACTGGTAGATTCAGTTAGCTTTTGTGTTAGTTTATCATAAAGTAAGCATTTTGGAGTCACTAATATTTTAAAATTTCCTTGACAACGTAAAACGTAGTTGGAATATAGATGAATGAAGTGTTTATATTACCTTATAATGTTGAGAAACTGCCATCATGGAGTAAATTTTTCTCATATCCTGACTTCATAGGGTGTGACCGAGTGTTATGAGTGTCATCCTAAGCCGACCCAGAGAACCTTTCCTGGCTGTACAATTCGTAACACACCTTCAGAACCTATACATTGCATCGTTTGGGCAAAGTACTTGTTCAAGTAAGAGTGTATATTTCTTGGCATGCTTTTCGGTACTGATGATGGAAAATGGAGTCATTTTTATTTAATTACCTTGAAGAGATTGAACTCAGGATGTTTAAATATGGTGAAGGGATGCTTTAGTAGCTTTCTTGCAGTATTTCTTAGGTTAAATGTAGCTGGCCGGGTGCGGTGGCTCACACCTGTAATCCCGGCACTTTGGGAAACTGAGGTGGTCGGATCACCTGAGCGCAGGAGTTTGAGACCAGCGTGGCCAGCATGGTGAAACACATCTCTACTAAAAATACAAAAATTAGTTGGCCGTGATGGCGAGTGCCTGTAATCCCAGCTACTCGGGAGGCTGAGGCAAGAGAATTGCTTGAACCCAGGAGGTGGAGGTTGGAGTGAGCCGAGATCGCGCCACTGCACTCCAGCTTGGCAACAGAGTGAGAATTTGTCTCAAAAAAAAAAAAAAAAAATGTGGCCATGACTGTTCAGGAAACTTAGTCTTATATTGGAGACAGCCATGTAACTAAGCGATAAAAATCTTTATATTTGGAAATGTGAACATTTACTTACAAATAACCCATTGGTTATAAAAGAAATCACAATGGAAGTTAAAAATACTCTGTACTGATAATGATGAAAATGCTATACCAGAATGTATTGAATGTGGTGGTTGGCAAAAAGTTACAGATTTACATACATGAAGAAAGGCTGAACATTAATTACTAAATCTTTACTAAGAATCCAATTTAAGTTAGAAAATGAACCACAGAATACACTTTAAGAAATGAGAATGGTGTGGGCATGGTGGCTCATGCCTCTAATCCCAGCACTGTGGGAGGGTGAGATGGGAGGATCCCTTGAGCCCAGGAGTTTGAGACCAGCCTGGGAAACATGGCAAAACCGTGTCTCTACAAAAAATAGAAAAATGAGCCAGGTGTACCTGTACTCCCAGCTACTTGGGAGGCCGAGGTAGGAGGATCAGTTGAGCCTGGGAGGTTGAGGCTGCAGTGAACCGAGATAGTGCCACTGCACTCCAGCCTGGGTGATAGTGAGATCCTGTCTTAAAATGAAGAAAGAAAGAAAAAAAGAATGAGAAGGAAGGATATTAATTGAAGTAAGAGCACATTTGATTACAAAATAGAAGAGGAGTAAGTGAGAACTAAACGGGGAATACAGATAGCAGAGATTAAATAGGCTATAAGAAAAAAAAGGGATGATAATAAGACCATGGTAGTACATAAAAAATTTAAATGATCTGGGTAAATACATTTTTAAAAACTTACTAAGTGCCCAGTGCGGTGGCTCAGGCCTGCAATCCCAGCACTTTGGGAGGCTGAGGTGGGTGGGTCACTTGAGGCCAGGAGTTTGAGAACAGCCTGGCCAACATGGCGAAACCCCGTCTCTACTATAAATACAAAAATTAACCAGGCGTGGTGGTGGGCATCTGTAGTCCCAGCTACTTGGGAGACTGAGCCATGAGAATCACTTGAACCCAGTGGGTGGAGATTGGGCCACTGCACTCCAGCCTGGGGGACAGCATGAGATGATGTTTCAAAAAAAAAAAAAAAATGAAAGGAAAATAGAATGCCTGAATTTAGCAGTATACCTTAGAGCAATGTAAGTAGTTTAAATTATTCTAAATAATGCACCGAACCTATGTTATTTTTACAGATTCATTTCACAAAACTTGCAAGGAGTATATTGTAATATTAGCTAAACTCTCCCTGAGAAATTTTTAAAAGGGAATACTACTTAGCTTGTGTTATTAGGCTAGCAATGTCTTTGATAGCAAAACCTGTCAAGGCCATTATGGCATAAGAAACAATTGCTAGTCAGTCTCACACCTAAATAATAGATGCAAAAATCCTATGTAAAATATTAGCATATCCTGGGAATGGGCGCAGTGTATCATGCCTGTAATCTCAGCACTTGGAAGCTGAAGCGGGTGGATCACCTGAGGTCAGGAGTTCAAGACCAACTTGGCCAATATGGCGAAATCCTGTCTCTATTAAAAATACAAAATTAGCCGGACATGGTGGTGGGCGCCTATAATCCCAGCTACTTGGGAGGCTGAGGCAGGAGAATTGCTTGAACCCGGGAGGTGGAGGCTGCAGTGAGCCGAGATCGCTCTGCTGCGCTCCAGCCTGGGCAACAGAGCAAGACTCCATCTCAAAAAAAAAAAAAAAAAAATTACCATATGGATCTAGAATCATATAAAATAAAAAGTGTGTCTTGACCACGTGTCTATTCAGGAATACAAGCATGGTTTAAACTAGAAAATCTGTAAATGTCATTCACTCATTAGGAAATTAAAGATAAACTATATAGTTTTCATAGATACAGAGAAAGCATTTGGTAAAATTTAGCAAATGGCCTTTCATGATGAAAGTTTCTACTAAAACAGAATAAAAACTTACTAGGCCGGGCGAGGTGGCTCACGCCTGTAATCCCAGCACTTTGGGAGGCTGAGGCGAGCGGATCACGAGGTCAGGAGATCGAGACCATCCTGGCTAACACGGTGAAACCCCATCTCTACTACAAATAAAAAAAATTAGCCGGATGTGGTGGTGGGTGCCTGTAGTCCCAGCTGCTCAGGAGGCTGAGGCAGGAGAATGGCGTGAACCCGGGAGGCGGAGGTTGCAGTGAGCTGAGATTGCACCACTGCACTCCAGCCTGGGCGACAGAGCGATACTCCGTCTCAAAAAAATAAAAAATAAATAAATAGATAAAATTAAAAATAAAAAAACTTCTTACTAAAATGAGAATGTTCTCAACCCGATAAAGGGTATTTTGTAGAAACCTTCAGCAAACATTGTCTTTAATTTTTGCACTCAGAAAAGTATACATAACAGTGTCAACTTGATAAATGTTCACAAAAACTACACTTGGAAGCTTTATTTATTTGGCAAACATTTTTTTTCTTTGGGAGGCTGAGGTGGGTGAATCACTTGAGGCCAGGAGTTTGAGAACTGCCTGGGCAACATGGCGAAACCCTGTCTCTACTAAAAATACAAAAATTAGTGGGGTGTGGTGGCACACGCCTGTAGTCCCACCTACTCGGGAGGCTGAGCCATGAGAGCCGCTTGAACCTGGGAGGCGGAGGTTGAAGTGAATGGAGATCATGCTACTGCACTCCAACCTGGGGGACAGAGCGAGACTGTGTCTCAGAAAAAGACAAAAAAAAAAAAAAGATAATGTGGCCAGGTGCAGTGACACACACCTGTAATCCCGGCTCTTTAGGAGGCCAAGGCAGGAGGATTGCTTGAGCCCAGCAGTTTGAGAGCAGTGTGGGCAACATAGTGAAACCCCATCACTACAAAAAATTTAAAAATTAGCAAGGCATGGTGGCACATGCCTGTGGTCCCAGCTACTTGGGAGGCTGAGGTGAGAGGATCACTTGAGCCTAGGAGGTCGAGGCTGCAGTGAGCTGTGATCACACCACTGCACACTAGCCTTGGGGACAGTAAGACCCTGTCACACACACAAAAAAGATAATCTGGCAAAATTAATATGAGCAGCATTTTTCACTCGAAGGGAAACCTAAATAAGCAATAAGCAAGTTATGTTTTAATCATAAGACTTACTTGGAAAATTAAGTATAAGACCATAGTAAGCTACAGATGCTTCTCAGATACTTCCCGATAAACTCATCATAAATAAAAAATACCATTAAGTAAAAAATGATGCTTTTTTTGTTGTTGTTTTTTTGAGATGGAGTTTCGCTCTTGTTGCCCAGGCTGGAGTGCAGTGCAACTGCAATCTCTGCCTCCTGGGTTCAAGCGATTCTCCTGCTCAGCCTCTCGAGTGGCTGGGATTACAGGCGTCTGCCACCACGCCCAGCTAATATTTGTATTTTAGTAGATACAGGGTTTCACCTTGTTGGCCAGGCTGGTCTCAAACTCCTGACTTCGGTTGATCCACCCGCCTCGGCCTCCCAAAGTGTTGGGATTACACATGTGAGCCACCACGCCCAGCCAAAAATGCATTTTAATATAACCTCAATAAACCTGTTGTAAAGGTGAAAAATCATTGGTGGACCATTTTAAATTAGCGGCTGTCTACTATTTTGCACTCACTAGTTGGCAAAGCGTTAATTTTAGGAAGTGTTAACATGCCATTGTTGGGAGTGACTATCAGAGCTTTGAAATTATAGTTGGGTGGGGGGTTGTACAAAGGATTTCTGTAAGATAACTTTCATTAATCATATACTTGAGGAAATACTGGAAACTTTTATATCCATGAGTTATTAAACAGTTTTTAGGATAACTTTATTAATAAAAGAGAATCTCAGCTTAATACTTTCAAATTGTTTGTTAACACTCTGTTCAGCAGTAAAGAGCCATTCTACCATGAAAAAAAGTTAATCTTGTTCATTGCTGAATTTCTATCCCCTAGATGGGGACTCTGCACCTGAGGTATATAATAATGTTTGTTGAACAGGTAGCTGCAGGTGTAAACACAAACATTATTCTGGTGTTAGAATGTTATCCAGGTTGTAAGTGAAAACCACTCACCTGTTTCTTGAGCAGAGGTTTTAACATTGAAATGTGCAGAGCCTCGCTGATAGGAATGGATGTAGGTCTGCTAAAATTTAACCTTGCTTACATTGCTGTTGAAATTGGGATGCAAGCTGTCCAAGCACATTGTGTTAAACTTTTAAGTTTATAGTCATTTATCCGTTATTCACTTTTTTTTTTTTTTTTTTGAGACGGAGTCTTGCTCTGTTGCCCAGGCCGGAGTGCAGTTGTGCAGTCTCGGCTCACTGCAACCTCCATCTCCTGGGTTCAAGCGATTCTCCTGCCTCAGCTTCCCGAGTAGCTGGGATTACAGGCGTGCGCTACCACGCCTGGCTAATTTTTATATTTTTGGTAGAGACGAGGTTTCACCATGTTGGTCAGGCTGGTCTCGAACTCCTGACTTTGTGATCTGCCTGCCTCAGCCTCCCAAAATGTTGGGATTAAAGGTGTGAGCCACTGCGCCCAGCCAGTTGTTCAGTCTTTATCTCTGCTAAATATTTGGAATATTCTAAATTACATGTTTGTTTAGAATGCTTTGTTATACAGAAGTATTTACTATTCTTAAATTATAGCCAGTTGTTTGGGGAAGAAGATGCTGATCAAGAAGTATCTCCTGACAGAGCTGACCCTGAAGCTGCCTGTGAGTAAATTATTTGGCATATGTTTTATCAGATACTATTATCTTTATTTTGTTGATTTAATTTTGGTAGCTTAAGGGAAAAAAATTGCTATATGTGCTAGGTAATGTGTGTTTAACATGTGTTTTTTTTTTGTTTTTTTTTTTTTTTTTTTTTTTTGTCTCAGAGGTGGAGTTTCTCTCTTATTGCCCAGGCTGGAGTACAATGGTATAATCTCGGCTCACTGCAACCTCCGCCTTCTGGGTTCAAATGATTCTCCTGCCTCAGGCTCCTGAGTAGCTGGGATTACAGGCACCTGCCACCGCGCCCAGCTAATTTTTGTATATTTAGTAGAGACAGGGTTTCACCATGTTAGCCAGGCTGGTCTCGAACTCTTGACCTGAGGTGATCCACCCGCCTTGGCCTCCCAAAGTGCTGGGACAGGCGTAAGCAACCGTGCCTATCCAAAACAATGTTTTACAAAAAAAATATGATTCCGTTTTACTGATGAGGAAATCAAGGTTAAGAGAAATTTCACAAGTCTAGTAAATAGAGCTGCGAGTTGTTCCTAGATCTCATGACTGGTCTGTGCTTTGAACTGTTATATGTGTAGCTTTCAGAAACTAAGTTACAACAGGCCAGGCAAGGTGGCTCACGCCCGTAGTCCCAGCATTTTGGGAGGCTGAAGCAGCTGGATTGCATGAGGTCAGGAGTTTGAGACCAGCCTGGCCAACATGGCAAAACCCTGTCTCTACAAAAAATATAAAAATTAGCCAGGCATGGTGGTGCATACCTGTAGTCCCAACTACTTGTGAGGTTGAGACGGGAAGATGGCTTGAGCCCAAGAGGTAGAAGCTACAGTGAGCCGAGATCTTAACACTGCACTCCAGCCTGGGCAACAGAGTGAGACTTTGTCTCCAAAAACAAGAAAGAAAGAAACTGGGATACAAAAAGATGCTGATGAATGTGTTATTTTCTTATTCCTTGAACTCAGAATGTGTTGCATTTGGGGATTTCCATGAGTGACTTTCTTTTTATTCCCAAAGGTGAGTGAAAAGAGTTCAGTTCTACATTTATTACGGTTGAAAATAAAATAATGATCGTTTTATAGGGGAACCAACGGAAGCCGAAGCCAGAGCTAGAGCATCTAATGAAGATGGTGACATTAAACGTATTTCTACTAAGGAATGGGCTAAATCAACTGGATATGATCCAGTTAAACTTTTTACCAAGGTTAGATTTACTTTTTTTATAATCATGGATAGATGTATTGTTGTGCATAGATGTATTGTTCTAGTTCTGCTTGTTTTAAAATAGTCCATAAAATTGAATTAAGCTTCTATGTATATGCCTTGTGATGTCCTAATAAAATGATTGATGCAGTCAGGATATGCAAGTTTTAAAATGTTACCATCTACACTAAATCTATCAGTATAACATCTAAATAGGAGGTAAAATGAGAGGTGGCTTGTATACCTTCTTGGTTGTCTTTCCTTCTCTCACTTTTTACAGAACTTCTTCGTTTTCCTGCTGCTTCTCATCTTCACTTTTTTTTTTTTTTTTTTTTTGAGATGGAGTCTCACTCTTGTCGCCCAGGCTGGAGTGCAGTGGCACGATCTCGGCTCACTGCAGCCCCGCCTCCTGGGTTCAAGTGATTCTCCTGCCTCAGCCTTCCGAGTAGCTGGGATTACAGGTGTGTACCATCAGGCCTGGCTAATTTTGTATTTTTAGTAGAAGCGGGGTCTCACCATGTTGGCCAGGTAGGTCATGAACTCCTGACTGCAAGTGATCTGCCCACCTTGGCTTCCCAAAGTGATGGGATTATAGGCGTGAGCCACTGCTCCTGGCTTCATGTTCACTTTTATTTCTTGCTCATATCTGCTATTAGCAGTTTGACTGACATGTGTCCTAAATTGCCCTTGAACCCCATAAGCCCCTTTTTCTTGGTGAAATCCCTCTTCATCAGTAGTATATACTATTTGCCTGTTAAATATTTCTAGAGAAATCTGTGAAATTGTTTTTATTGGGTCTACCTAATTATTGTTCATCTAGACCCGTAGGTCCGTGTTTTAAAAGTTTTTTTGTTCTGTCTTGACTCCCTAGCAAGTTGTACGTGTGTGGGGTTTTTTTGACTCTTTTTTTCCTTTTTGTGGAGAATGGGGTCTCACCATGTTGCCCAGGCAGATCTCAAACTCCTGGTTTCAAGTCTCAAACTCCTGGGTTCAAGCGATCCTCCAGCCTCTGCCTCCCTAAGTGCTGGGATTACAGGCATGAACCACTGAGCCTAGCCCCTAGCAAGTTTATCACAGAGCTTAAAACTTTCTCAGCTCTTATCAAACTGCCTCAGTATTCTTGCAACTCTCACTAAGCAGATGACCTTAAGGATATAATAACAGGTTTGAAACCATTGGACATAATTTACCTGTTGAGAGACTGTTCCACATAACCGAAAACTCTTTTTCTTTCTGCTGGAGAGAATCCACTTTCGGTAAAGGCTAACTTTTGCATGTGGTGTTTTGCTTTCCTTTTGTACCATTCTTCAGACAGGATTTTCGTCTCTGTCCTGTGTCTCGGATCTTTTTTTTCTTGGTTTCTTTTGTCTGCTTTCCAACACGCACAGGTTCTGCTGTCTTAATCAAATGACATACTGCTCTCCCCAGCTTGTATTTCGTCTTATTTCCTCAGTGGTAACAGATGTCACATGTTGACTTTTTTTTTTCTTTCTTTTTTTTTTTTTTTGAGAGAGAATCCTGCTCTGTCGCCCAGGCTAGAGTGCAGTGGCATGATCTCAGCTTGCTGCAACCTCTGCCTCCTGGTTCAGGCTATTCTCCTGCCTCAGCCTCCTGAGTAGCTGGGATTACAGGTCCGCCACTATGCCTGGCTAATTTTTGTATTTTTAGTAGATAGGGGGTTTCACCATATTGGCCAGGCTGGTCTCGAACTCCTACCTCAGGTGATCTGCCTGCCTCGGCCTCCCAAAGTGCTGGGATTACAGGCATGAGCCGTCGTGCCCAGCCCACAGGTTGACTTTCTTATCCCTATTGCATTTATTTCCTCACTACAGCCCTTTTCTAAAACATGGTTGTATTAGGGTTCTCTAGAGGGACAGAGCTAATAGGATAGATATATACAAAGGGGAGTTGATAGAGTATTAATTCACACGATCACAAGGCCCAACAATAGGCCCATCTGCAAGCTGAGGAGCAAGGAGAGCCAGTCTGAGTCTCAAAACTGGAGAATTTGGAGTCTGATGTTTGAGGGCAGGAAGCATCCAACATGGGAGAAAGATGTAGGCTGGGAGGCTAGGCCAGTCTAGTCTTTTCATGTTTTTCTGGCTGCTGTATATTCTGGCCTCAATGGCAGCTGATTAGATGGTGCCCACCCAGATTAAGAGAGGGTTTGCTTTTCCCAGTCCACTGACTCAAATATTAATGTCTTTTGGCAACACCCTCACACACACACCCAAGACCAGTACTTTGCATCTTTCAATCCAATCAAGTTGACACTCAGTATTAAGCATCATAATGGTTTTTATTTTGATTATACTTAAGATGCCGTAAACTTCGATATGGTCAACAGCAGTATCTTCCAAACCAGTATCCTTATTTCCATTCCAATCTGAGCAAGACTTGAAAGCCAGAAAAATCTGAAGTGCATCTCCAATCTGTTATTTAGCAGATAATTTTAAACATCTGCTGTGTGCCAGACACCTCTTTAAGTACAGGGGATTTAGTTGTGAACAAGACAGAAGACAGAGTCCTTGCTCTTTAGAGGGAGTTCACAGTCTAGATGAGAAGTCAAACTTTGAACAATAAATTTCAGCTTCAGAGTCTTAATGACATTAAGTTCAGATGCTTTGCAGCCCTTGAATAATAAGTTTCATCTAAAGGACTCATCTCCTGGCCTGCATACCCATTTCAGATGTTGTTAGGGAGAGGCTTCAGAAGAGGCTTTCTAGAGCAGGTGACATTTAAGCCCAAGGCTTGAAAGAATAAGAGTCAGAATAGGGTACAGTATGTACAAGGAAACTCTGAATAGGGTACAGTATGTACAAGGAAACTCTCAGTTGGAAAACTGACATAAATCCCATTAAGGGGGAGAGTGGAAAAAGATGACTGGAGAGAGAAGTTGAGGTCAGATCAGGCAGACTTTCTAGGCCTTCTTAAGGATGTTATAGCAAGACAGTGGGAATCCATTGAAAGGTGGTCTTACAGGATCACTATAAGGGGATAGAGGGGATGCACATACTACCCTAGGATCTGATATTCATATTATAACCAATCTGGGACAGTGCCCCTGGAGTTGTGCAGTGCCAGAATAATCTGGAGTACAGCCATCTGTACTCCCACTGGAACATGGAGGAGTAGACTAAACAGGACTTTGCATGTATATGGTGAAGATCAGTGGAATAAAAAATGGTACCTGGCTGGGCACTGTGGCTTACACTTGTAATCCTAGCACTTTGGAAGGCTGAGGCGGGAGGATCACTTGAGGCCAGGAGCACAAGACCAGCCTGGGCAATATAGCAAGACCCCATCTCTAAAAACGAAAAAAAAATAGCCAGCCATGGTGGCCTGAGCCTGCGGTCCCCAGCTACTCAGGAGGCTGGGACAGGAATATCACTTGAGCCCAAGAGGTTGAGACTTCAGTGAGCTATGGTCACACCACTGCACTTCAGCCTGGGCAGGTCAAAGAACAGAGGTGCTGTTCTCCGATATAAGTGAGCTGGGAGGCAGATGTGTGTAGAGGGGTTGGGGGAGGGTAGGAGAAGGTGATAATAATCAATTTTGAACTCATTTGAGATTCTTTTGGAACATTAGAGAAGTGGTTTTGTAGATAAGTAGAGAGGTTTCAACTAGGGATATGGTTGGGATTCCTAGGTTTATAGATGTGGTTAACTACTGGAAATGGACATGATACACCACAGAGGACAGAATGAAAAGATGGTTCAGTACAGAAATCTGAGGGGCTCCTGATATTTAGTAATAGTTGAATAGAAGAGATGGAGCTTAGGCTTAGAAAACTGTTGGTTCAAGCCTTCAAGATCCTCTACAAAATGTTTCCAGCCACATTTGTTACCCAAGTCATAGTGGATTCATCTCCTTGCCTTTGTACCCATTTCACATGTTGCTGTCATAAGGAGACTCTTTCCTTATTTCTTAGATAAAATATAAATCTTTTTTTTTTTTTTTTTTTTTTTGAGACTGAGTCTCACTCTGTTGCCAGGCTGGAGTGCAGTGGTGCGATCTCAGCTGACTGCACTCTCCGCCTCCCAGGTTCAAGCGATTCTCCTGCCTCAGCCTCCCGAGTAGCTGGGATTACAGGCACGCGCCACGACGCCCAGCTGATTTTTGTATTTTTAGTAGAGATGGGGTTTCACCATGTTGGCCAGGATGGTCTCGATCTCTTGACTTCGTGATCCACCTACCTTGGTCTCCCAAAGTGCTGGATTACAGGTGTGAGCCACCACGCCTGGCCAGAAATCCTTACTCAAGGCTTTGTGATATTCACACTAAATTGTATTCTGATTATTTGTATGTTTGGCTTATTCTCTATAAAGATTAAGGATGCTCAGTTAGTATTGATGGATTAAGTATATTTTGATAGAAATGGCTGTGATTTTTAAATATAGCCAAATTTCTGTTCTTACCTGGTACCAGCAATAAATGTGTTGAATAAATTAATCAACAATAGAAAATGCAGATAAGGAAAAAGAAAAAAATATTAAAATCACTTGAAGTTCTAACACATCTTTTCATATGATAGTTTCTCAATCTACTTGTAATGTTTTTGTTTTTGTAATAATTGTGTGGGGGTTTTTACATTTTATTTTTGTTCATGTTTCTGTGGGTTATTTTTGGAGGGGAGGGCACATTTTAAAGATATCGCAGTTCAGAAGTTCTGTTGTGAAGCACTTTAGTTTAAAAATCTGTATACTTTGTGTGCATGTCCCCATGAGCTTGGAGGCATTGCTGACTGGCATCCCTAGGCTCAGTGATTGTCTGTAGTTGTACATTTATTTACAACTACATAATGTACATTTATTTGTATGATTGTGCTTCAGACTGATCTTTGGAGCTAAATTTAGGGAAGCTTTTGGAGAGGTGACTTAGGAAGGCAGGGGCAGTCGGCAGTTCAGGGCTCCTTTACTCTGCATTCCTCAGAGCACTTCTGCATTTCGCTGTTTTCAATGTAGAGATTCTGTTAGAACTTCCTTTTACAAATGTTTTTCCTTTTGAAAATTGTTATGCTGCTGGTATATGACATGTATCTTTAAATCAGATTTCATAGTGTAATATAGATCAGCAATGACGTTTTCTTGTATCTTATCAATTAGGGATTATGGGGTTCATGGGATCTGTCTTTCTTTTGTAAGCTTTTTAAAGATGACATCAGGTATCTGTTGACAATGGACAAACTATGGCGGAAAAGGAAACCTCCAGTTCCGTTGGACTGGGCTGAAGTACAAAGTCAAGGTAAAGAATACATTTTAGTCTTGGAACACCTAAGCTGGAAATATCCTCGCGTAAAGTCTTTGTATAGCCCTGTTGTTGCTTGAAAATGATATGTCTTCATATATTCAAACAGTGCAAAAAAATATGAAGAACAAAAGTCACTGAAGTCCCACACTTCAGAAATAGCCACTAATAACATTTTCAGGAGTGTTCTGGTGGTCCGCCCTATGTACACAGATGCAGGCATTCGTTATACACTGCGTAAATGGAATCATACTATTGATAAACTCTCACTTGCTTTTGTCAGTCAGTATAGTTAACTAGTCTCTTATTAACATGTAGTGTTTTTGTATTTTCCCTGAAATAAAGTTTTGAAATTGCTATATATTTATGTATATCTTTTTTTTTTTTTTTTTTTTTTTTGAGACCGTGTCTCGCTCTGTTGCCAAGGCTGGAGCGCAGTGGCACGATCTCAGCTCACCGCAACCTGGGTTCAAGCGATTCTCCCGCCTCAGCCTCCCGAGTAGCTGGGATAACAGGTGTGAGCCACTGCGCCTAGCCTATTTATGTACACCTTTGTACCCTTGTGATTATCTCTTTAAGATTTAATCTAGAAACACATTTTTAATGTAAAATTTTTTTAATGTTTAGAAATGAAAAGTTTTTTGAGGCATAGTCTTGCTATGTTGCCCAGATTAGAGTGCAGTGGCTGTTCACAGGCTGTCATAGCACAAGGCATCCCTGGACTCCTGGGCTCAAGCCATCCTCCTCCCTCAGTCTCCTGAGTAGCTGGGACTGTATGCAACTGTGCCCAGCATATTTTAAAATTTTAAATGTAGGAAAACTATTGTAGTGGCTGCTTTCTCATCCCACTCCCCTTTAACACTCCTTGTCTCTCCTTTATCTGAACTGTATTAGGATTAATTTATGCACAGCAGTATAGCACCCATTGAAACTTAAAAGATCCCGGGAGACTTGGGATATCATTTTGGAGCAGTTCTCAACAATCAGGGATAGTTATCAAACAGATTTAATTATGACTCTAGTAGTGTCCGCTTACTGAGTTCTCATTCTCACTAGGTGCTGGGCCTAATGCTTATTTATCATCTTATCTACATTATATCTTCAAATCTCCCAGTAATCCTATGAGGTACTGAGGTGGTCTTGTACCTTTCCTATCTCAGGTTTAACAGTTTTTTTTTTTTTTTTTTTTTTTTTTTTTGAGACAGAGTCTTGCTCTGTCGCCCAGGCTGGAGTGCAGTGGCGCGATCTTGGCTCACTGCAAGCTCCGCCTCCCGGGTTCGCGCCATTCTCCTGCCTCAGCCTCCTGAGTAGCTGGGACTACAGGCGCCCGCCACCATGCCTGCATATTTTTTGTATTTTTAGTAGAGACGGGGTTTCACCATGTTAGCCAGGATGGTCTCGATCTCCTGACCTCATGATCCGTCTGCCTCGGCCTCCCAAAGTGCTGGGATTACAGGCGTGAGCCACCGTGCCTGGCCCCATGATAATTATTTTAATGGAATTTATTTCATATTTGATTTCTTAATGGTCGGGGATTGAACTTGTTAAACAGAGCACAGTAGAGGAATGATGTTAATTAGTGAAATTTCTAATATATATATTTTTTTCTTTAGGAGAAGAAACGAATGCATCAGATCAACAGAATGAACCCCAGTTAGGCCTGAAAGACCAGCAGGTTCTAGATGTAAAGAGCTATGCACGTCTTTTTTCAAAGAGCATCGAGACTTTGAGAGTTCATTTAGCAGAAAAGGGGGATGGAGCTGAGCTCATATGGGATAAGGTTCGTTTTGACAATGTGTGGCAAGTACTTACATGTCAAAAGTGTGTTTTAGTTCTTGAGATGTAATAGAAGCTAGTCATTTTTTGAATATTTACTAGATTTTGAGGAAATATATTGATTTGGCTTGGATATTTTCAGCTCTAATTGCTGTATGGAGCTGAATTTTCTGTACATGAATTCAAGCAATATCATAAAACTTCATTTGGGATTCTAGTGATGTGTTCAGGGTTTATAATTATGTTGACTAGAAAAATAACGTGAATATATTAAAGTGAAATGTTTCTTGTGTAGAGTAGATGTATTCATAGAAGTCATAAAATCATTTGGAGAAAACATCTCATTGGCCTGATTTGCCCTTGAAAATAGTAAGATTGTCTTTGAATTGAAATAGTTATTACTATTTCAGAGGTCTGAAAGACAGAGCTCTTGATACAAAAATGAGATGTAATTATTCTTAGAAGTTAAAATCATATTTAATAGTACTCTGCAGTTATGTCATCTTTTGAGATTTGATATTATGAACTAATTTTACTTAATTTTAATTGTAATCAGTATTTTCTATGGCTAAAAGTGTTTTATCTCATGAAGCTTGTATGTTCCTGTGGTGTTGAAGATTAGTCATGGGTCTTAAGGCATAAAGGCCAATTTTAGAAACCTAAGAAAAATTTGTGTGTACATATTTTGAAACTTTGGTTGAATCAGACATCTAAATACACTAAAATGAAGCTAGTATATTTAGATTCTTGGGATTCTTATAAACATTAGTCTCTTGGGTTTTGTGATATTTAAAGGGTAACTTTTCATATTTTCATTGTTATTGTTATGCTAGTGATTTGGGAAGTTTGATTAGTGCACAGAGGCTAAATAAAGAGCCCTTGGAATGGGAATTGTTATCCTCTTGAGTAAAGTCCACATGTAATGGGTGTGATAAGACAGCTGCTTAGGGAAGACACTGTGTTGAGTATTCAGTATTCTTAGTCCTCACCACACCTTATGAGATGGGGATATAATTTCCCCTATTTAATAGATTAAGAGATTTTGACTCAAGGAATTTGACTTGCCTGAGGATTCACAGCCAGCCAATAAATACATAAAGAACTATGCTCTCAGTATTTTTTCTTCTGTTCTGTGATGCCTCTGAATTTTAGACCAGGGTGATATCTTCTCAGTTCAAAGCAGGAAGCCTTGCTGAAATCTAGAGACTAGGATATAGTCTCAGGAAAAATACAAATCGTAACAGGAAAAACTTGGATTGTATTGCCTTATTTGAAGAAACAGCATATGTGAGAGAGTGGTGCATATGAAGAGAGTTTGGCAAAGGGGAGTGAAAAAGAGTCATCCAGGTTTTTCTGAAGTGTTAATGAAACAGCTTTTTTTTTTTTTTTTTTTTAATTGAGACAGGGTCTCACTCTGTCACCAAGGCTGGAGTGCAGTGGCATGATCTTGGCTTACTGCAGCCTCTGCGTCCCGGGTTCAAGTGATCCCGCCACCTCAGGCTCCCGAGTACCTGGGACGACTTTAGGTGTGCGCCACCATGCCTGGCTAATTTTTTGTGTTTTTGGTGGAGATGGGGTTTTGCCACGTTGCCCGGGCTGGTCACAAACTCCTGAGCTCAGGCAATCTGCTTGCCTCAACCTACTAAATTGCTTGAGACTACAGGCATGAGCCACCATGCCCAGCCTAAAACAGTTTTCTTAAATTGCTCGTCTTTTGGCCTGGATTCTGTGTTTGTCCAGCAACCTTCTCTTTACTGATGAATGGAACCAGGAAAGGGTTGCCATTGTCAGTGAGTGGAATTGAGATTCCGGTGTATACAACTGAGTCTCCGGTGCCTTTGTTTAGGCTGGAGTGAGTTCCTAGAAGCTGGTGATTCTTGGTGTTCTTGTCAGACTCATTACTGGACCAGAGGAGCTGATGATGAGACCCCACCCCCTACTTAACCCACCTCCATGCTACTGTGAGGTCCTAGCTGACTGGTCTTTCCCTCAGCAACCTCTTGTTCTAGTCGAAAGTCTATAGTATTATAAACACGTGAAAGTATTGTTCTGAAAGTAATGCTTCAAAATAGTCAATTTGTGGAGAAACTTGTTAAATTGTTTAAATTATTGGCAGGATGACCCATCTGCAATGGATTTTGTCACCTCTGCTGCAAACCTCAGGATGCATATTTTCAGTATGAATATGAAGAGTAGATTTGATATCAAATGTAAGTTATTTGTACTAAAGTTGTATCACTAAAACCTTGAAGTTGTTTTTTAAACAGTGAAACATACTCATCCTTTTTTTTTTTTCCCAGCAATGGCAGGGAACATTATTCCTGCTATTGCTACTACTAATGCAGTAATTGCTGGGTTGATAGTATTGGAAGGATTGAAGATTTTATCAGGAAAAATAGACCAGTGCAGAACAGTGAGTATTTCTGTTTGCATTTTTATGCAACCCCCCTTAAAAAAATCATTAATTAAAAGTACATTAAACAGATAATTTTTAAAATGAAAACAATAAAATTGGTTTAAAGCAATGGAAAAGTAATTTTTCTGGTTACCAAGTGAGTGTGTGTTTAAGCTTCCTGGAAATTGCAACAAAAAGGAAAAATTAAGAAGTTGCTTTTGCTTTTAACATTTCCAATTTTACTGAATTCTTCGAAGAATTCATTGTGCGGTCCTTATACTAAGAAGATGTTTCAACTGTTTTTCAATTCTGAGAGTGCTATATGGGTTTTAAAATTTGCTTGGTCATTTTATAGTCCCCTGTTCAGTCATTCTCCTATTGAGTCATTCTTTTCAATTTTATTGTATAGTTTTTGATAATGTTAATGTCTGAGATCTTTATGGGTGAGTCTGCTGTCATTTCTGCTATTTCTCGTAGTGATTTGCTTGTATGGTTTATGATTTTTTAAAAACTGAATGTGTATTAGAATTGTGTCTGGTAATTCTTTAGGGACCCATTGTAGATGTATTTCTTCAAAGAGCATTTGTGGTTATTATATTTGGGTGCTTGGGGCACTGCCAATACAGGACCACTTTTAAATTAGGATTTTCAATACCTATGTATTCAGACCACAAACCTGCACGTGCCCTATGTTATTGTCATGAATTATATGGGAAGATACTCCTCCCCCTCCACTAAGCACCAAGTTTAAGATCATTTTTATGGAGAAAGTATTTTTCTCCTCTCTTTTCAGGTCCTTGCTTTGTGTAAGGGTCTCCTGTTTTAAGAGTTCCTACCTTAGTGGTGGGTGGGGTAGGTGTATCTCTTAAGGCTAACACTACTTGGATGTTCTCTTTGGATTCCTTCCTTCGATGTTGTGTCTGCAGACACTTCGCTTTCTTACCAGCTCAAGAAGGCTTCCTAGGAAATACTAGCCAATACTTTGACTGTTGTTTAGGTTCTCCTTTTTATCATTGAAATAAAAAGACCTGTTTACCTTCAGAAATTTCAAAAAATATCTAGTTTGCAATGGTACTGTTATTTTGCAGTGTCATTGATGCACACTTACTTTTTTTTATCTTTTGAGACGGAGTCTAGCTCTGTTGCCCAGGCTGGAGTGCAGTGGCACAATCTTGGCTCACTGCAACCTCCACCTCCCAGGATCAAGCGATTCTCCTGTCTCAGCCTCCTCAGTAGCTAGGATTACAGGTGCATGCCACCATGCCGGCTAATTTTTGTATTTTTAGTAGAGACGGGTTTCACTATGTTGGTTAGGCTGGTCTCGAACTCCTGACCTCATGATCCGCCCACCTCGGCCTCCCAAAGTGCTGGGATTACAGGCATACAGGCATGAGCCACTGCGCCCGGCCTTTTTTTTTTAAACTGATGGGGTCTTGCTATGTTGTCCGGGTTGGTCCTGAACTCCTGGGCTCAAGCAGTCCTCCCACCTTGGCCCCCCAAAGTGCTGGGATTACAGGTGTGAGCCACTGCACTTGGCCCGATGCGCTCTTTTTTTCCTTTTCTTTTTCTTTTTTTTTTTTTTTTTTGAGGTGGAATCTTGCTCTCACCCAGGCTGGAGTACAGTGGAGTACAGTGATGTGATCTCGGCTCACTGCAACCTCCACCTGCTGGGTTCTAGCGATTCTCCTGCCTCAGCCTCTCAAGTAGCTGGGATTACTGGCACATGCCACCACACCTGGCTAATTTTTGTATTATTAGTAGAGACGGTGTTTCACCTGTTGCCCAGATTGGTCTCAAACTCCTGGCCTGAAGTGATCCGCCCTTCTCAGCCTCCCAGAGTACTGGGATTTCAGGCGTGAGCTATTGCGCCCAGCCTCGATGCACTCTTAAAATATTTTATTTTCATGAAATTTCAGTTTGAAGGAACAGAATCAAATTGCCCAGTCTGCCATCTTGATTTAGTTTTCTATTTAAACTTTTATTGTATATGTTATATTTTTAATTTCTAAGAACTTTATTTTTTGGTATCTTTTTTTTGAGATGGAGTCTTGCTCTGTCACCCAGGCTAGAGTGCAGTGGCGCGATCTCAGCTCACTGCAACCTCCACCTCCCAAGTAGAAGTGATTCTCCTGCCTCAGCCTCCCCAGTAGCTGGGATTACAGGCGGGTGCCACCACGCCTGGCTAATTTTTGTAGTTTTAGGAGAGACAGGGTTTTACCATGTTAGCCAGGCTGGTCATGAACTCCTGACCTCAGGTGATCTGCCCACCTTGGCCTCCCAAAGTGCTAGAATTACAGGAGTGAGCCACCGTTCCTGGCCGATACCCAGTTTTTAAATTATTTAAAAAAAATTTTTTATAGCAGCCTGAAGCTGTAGTATCCCTTTGAGCTCACCAACAGTACTAATTACTGAACTTATTAAAATGTCTGTTATTTCCCATCACATCCTTCCGGTTTCTTTGCCTGCTTAGCTCCATGCCACTCTTGGACTATTAATAGTAATATATCTGGCCGGGCACGATGGCTCACACGTGTAATCCCAGCTCTTTGGGAGGCCGAGGCAGGCAGATCACCTGAGATTGGAAGTTCGAGACTAGCCTGACTAACGTGGAGAAACCTGGTCTCTACTAAAAAAAAAAAAAATATATATATATATATATATATATATATATATATAAAATTAGCTGGGCATGGTGGTGCATGTTTGTAATCCCAGCTACTCAGGAGGCTGAGGCAGGAGAATCACTTGAACCTGGGAGGCGGAAGTTGCATTAAGCCGAGATCGCGCCATTGCACTCCAGCCTGGCAACAAGAGCGAAACTCTGCCTCAAGAAAAAATATAGTAATATATCTGGATTTCATTTTTTTACATTTGCAAATGAATTCCAGCCTGGATTAATGTTAGCCCAGGTATTAATAGTGGTAGCAATTGCTTTTATTATTGTCAGTTTCCCTTAGCACACTTACCTTCCCGGTGAAGCCCAAAATCAAACAAATCTTTCTCCCTCTGTAGCCTGCTTGGCCTGGGCAGTTTGCTTCTAGCCCTTCCACCTACCAGTATTCATTGTACGGAGAAGCTATTTTACAGAGGACGGCTTTAGTGTCTCTTGAGGGATTTAGTTCTGTATTCTCAGGGGAATCCGTAGAGTACTCCTTTAGAATTCATTCCTCTTAGCAGACTCAACACTACATTGTAGTCACAAGATAAAGGTTTGTGTCTCAGCTTCTTGTCTTCTGACATTTGTTGTTTCTGTTGGATCTTGCTAGTGTTTTCTAAACTTTAGTAGAAGCAGGAGCTTGGAGCTTTTCTTAATTTCAGTGTAATTTGTATATTTGCCTTGGTTCTTAATTATTTTTTTGTTTAGTATTAGAGAAATGGTAAATAGGTACATATACTGCCAGAAATACATTTTTTTCCCTCATTATATAAATGTTATTCTAATCAGAAAATTTGGGAAGGCAGTGATGTTGATTCTAGACAACTGTGAAAGGCACTATCGTTAACTGGAGAAATTAATGTGTTGGTCTTGTCAGGAGATTGCTTGCTTGATAAGAATAGCCTCAGGGAGGGACACCAGCTGCTGATACAATGATGGCACCACAGATTAACATGCCTGTGCCCTTACTCTTGCCAAATCAGGTTGCAGAAGAACGCGGAGTCTTATATAATACAAGGAGATGTCTTTTCAGCAAGCCTAGCTAGCCTAGCCTTTAGCTGATTAGAAAAGAAGGTTGAGGCCGGGCGCGGTGGCTCACGCCTGTAATCCCAGCACTTTGGGAGGCCGAGGCGGGCGGATCACGAGGTCAGGAGATCGAGACCATCCTGGCTAACACGGTGAAACCCCGTCTCTACTAAAAAAAAAATACAAAAAATTAGCCGGGCGAGGTGGCGGGCGCCTGTAGTCCCAGCTACTCGGGAGGCTGAGGCAGGAGAATGGCGTGAACCCCAGGGGGCGGAGCCTGCAGTGAGCCGAGATTGCGCCACTGCACTCCAGCCTGGGCGACAGCAAGACTCCGTCTCAAAAAAAAAAAAAAAAAAAAAAAAAAAAAAAAAAGAAGGTTGAAAAACCAGGTTCCTAAAAAGGTCATGATTTTCCTGATCCATTTTGCCATCTGGACGGGAATTTTTAAGTCATTTTTTATTGGATATCTGGTAAACGAGATTTTAGATTGTATGGCGTATAAAATTACAGCACGTTTCCGATTTCTGCCTGTTATTTCTCCTCCAAAGATTTTTTTGAATAAACAACCAAACCCAAGAAAGAAGCTTCTTGTGCCTTGTGCACTGGATCCTCCCAACCCCAATTGTTATGTATGTGCCAGCAAGCCAGAGGTGACTGTGCGGCTGAATGTCCATAAAGTGACTGTTCTCACCTTACAAGACAAGGTCAGTGCAAGGCCTGGGTCTCTTTTCCTTTTGCTTTTACAGTATTACTGTGATGACAAACAAACACTAGCTGCTGATTCTGAAAAGGTCCAACTGCAGAGATGTGTGGCTGTGATTTCCTGGGTTATTTTGCCTTCTGGATTCCTGCAGGCTTTTCTGTCTGTGGTTCCAGAATAAGTGCCTCACATTCCCAGAATGGAGTAGGAGTATTTGACTGGAATCTGCAGCACAGTGGTGGCACAGTATCACAGCAAGCAGAGGACTTCTTTGCTCTTTGCTTCCCAGGCAGTGGGTAAATTCTGTATTTTTTGACAAATAACAGGTATCCTTGAATGGTCCTCACTGTGGCAGTGAGCAGATAAGTATTTGCATGCAGTGCAAAGTTTGCATTTCCAGTAGAGCAAAGCCCCAGTTACCAGCTTTGTATTAAAGGGTATAAGTAACTTGCAGAGTTTTGGTTTCTCTGCGTGTTGGACAGTGCCCACTCCCAGCAAATTAGGGGGCTTTTGTTATTTCTGAGGTCTGAGTTGAGGCTAAGTGGTGGTACACACTTATCTAATATGACCTGATTCTGATATGGTAAGTTAGTCCCTGAGGACATAGGGCATTTGCACACCTGGATTCACCTCTGGAGCTGAAGCGAGGGAAGAAATGGGGGTTTAGGACATGGTCTGGTCCTTAAGTTCCTGTTAAATTGGCTAGATTTGTGTATTAGGGGAGATTTTCTTTTTTTATGACCCAAAAGTGTCACTTTCCACTTTGGGATCACTTCCTATTGTTCTCTGGTTGTGACCATCATAATGCTACATATTTACATGCCTCTTGAGAGAGGAGGAAGTGGCCCTTCTCAAATAGCAGTGCTGCCTGATAGGGAATGGCCTTTCTTCCAGAAACTGGTTAGGCAGGACGGATTGATTTGAGCTTATGTTTTGGTCAAGGAAGTGGCAGGTACAGCAGCGGGTGGTTGCCCCAGTTTCTTTTCTAGGAAATAATTATCTTTGGTATCTCCTGATTCTTGAGCTTCAAGGTTATTCCTCTATTTGTAGGATTCTTAGACCTATAGAGAGTTCCTCCTTTTTTCCTTCTTTCTTTTTTAGGAGCTGGTAGGATTTAACAGAATATTATCACTTCTCTAAATGCATGGAACGGGGAGACTTATCTGAGAGTCAGGTTAATGAGAACTGATTCCATCTATGAAACCCCTGCCATTACAGGGTTGGCACAGAGACTGAAATGAAATATGTCAAGTGTGTAGCTCACTACCTAACCTGCAGGGAAAGACAAAGTAGCAAGAGCCAGCCAGGGAGTTCCTAGTCCCCTGTTGAGATGAAGTTGGATCTGATCTGCATCAGTGGTCAGATGTGGGGATGGAACTCAGGTGAATCCCCACGGCTTTCCTGCTTGCTCTAAGGGATCTTGAAGAGTGACTTCGCCGGTTTCCAATAAATAGAAGGGGAAAGTAAGAGCCTTTATAGAAGTCTAGGATTTCTTATGATCTTTAATTACCTACGTTAATATTTTGAATCCTTTTTTTTTTTTTTGTAGATAGTGAAAGAAAAATTTGCTATGGTAGCACCAGATGTCCAAATTGAAGATGGGAAAGGAACAATCCTAATATCTTCCGAAGAGGGAGAGACGGAAGGTATCATACATTGTATTTATTCATTCCTCTCATTGAGGAGACTGCTTGAAGAGTGCACATTAGTTGATTCATTTACTGTATGTGATACTCAGTATTGCAGAGAGTGGCAGTGTTTGGTCATGAAGGTGCTCTTTCAAGGTGACATTGCTGGGGGTCATCACACTTCCATGTTTGGGAACTCCATGTCAGACATTTTCAGGGACTGCAGTGCTCTTGTCCACTTCCAAGGAACCTCCTTGCCGATATCATGGATCCTGGGAGCTAACCTTGTGATGAGAAGACTATTCTGTCTGTCAGATCACAGTGGGTAGGGTTCTAAGGCATTTGGAGATTTTTCTCCAAGAGTGGGGAAGCCTTGGTAGCCTGTTCCTACTATATAGCAGAAAGATTATTGAAATTCAGTGCCCGGTTTTGGCTTTCTGATCTTTCCTTTCAAAAGTTCAAGCAGTTCATCCCTTTTGCTAACACATTTGCTATACAAGGTACAATACATTTGATTCTGTTGAAGCTTTCATAGTAAGGATTGCATCGTAGTTATTCCTCCTTCAGACTGTACTCGTTGATCCTATACCTCCTTGGTCACTTTTGCAGCTCATTTCTTGAGTTGCTGTTCTCGTTTTTTCCATGTCCCAGTTTTTGCCAGTGTACTGTTATTTTCGAAGG
Organism: Homo sapiens; assembly: GCF_000001405.40. NCBI lineage: Eukaryota > Metazoa > Chordata > Mammalia > Primates > Hominidae > Homo > Homo sapiens. Next base: position 34,461,230 of record NC_000019.10, read on the forward strand.
TTTCTAGGCCCTGTGTTTCCCTGTATATTGACTTAATTCATACCTATTTGTCCATTGGTCATTTATTCATACTTTGTGAGGTCCTGATGGCGATTCAGATGTTAAGCCTTCTTTAAATTCAGGTTTAGTGTCAAGGTTCTTCTTGGTTGTAGTTGCTTGTTGAGAAATTTTTTGGGCTATTAGGTCATGTGTAATTGGAGGCCATGTTTTGGCTGTGTGGTGCTCTATTTTAGGAGTCTACTTGAGTATTCAAGCCTCATTCTAGCCAGCTGACTTTTAAAAAAATGTTTGTTTGTGATTATATGCTGTCCCTTAGTTGTAGCCAGCTCTTTCAAATGCTAGCTTAAAAATGGAAACTGGTCAGGAATTTCAGTGGCTTCAGCGTGACCCTTCTGTACGGAATACATGTGGTATGGAGGGTGAGACAGCACTTACCAGAATATGTGTGGAGTCCTGTATGACAGGCATAGTTTTGGGTATTCATAAGTCAAGGATGAATAAGACAACAGACCTTGGCTTGAAGTGCCTTGCAGCCTGGAAGAAGGGAGATTGTCAACAGCTGGATTGAGCATCGTCCAAGGAAAACTAGAAAGAGTGTGTACACAGTATGAATCTAAGGAAAGTATATTCAGCTTTGTGAAACGGAGGGGGAGTAATAGGAGAGGGAGTACTCTTGGGTCAGTTTTTGAAGTAGTAGTGAGGACTCCCTGGACAAAGAAGAGAGCATTTAGACAGAATGAACATCTGTCTACAAAGGTGTGAACTTGTGAAACAACCTAAACTGCCTTGGGAGTGGCCCATTATTTGGTTTCGCTGGAAGTTGGGGTGCTGAGGGGTTGGCAGCAGTGGTGAGGTTGAAGTCTTTCTTGTCACATGTGCAGTGTGTGTCTTCCTCCTCTCCCTTGACCCCTACCCTCCAGAGGAAGGGGCAGTATTTCACTGCCACCTGCCACCAGGGTTTAAACAGGGGAGTAGCAGGGAGCTATTAGGGAGGAGGGGATTGAGGGATTTTTACTAAGGCAGAGGCAGGTGATAGATTTGAGATTTGCAAAGTCAGAACTTGGAGCCCAGTTGAGGAATAGCATTACAATGTTAGCAGCGTTGTTAGGCGAGCACAAGACTTCACAGGTGATGCTAGTTCACCAAAATGTGAACCCACATTAACTGGTTTTCCTTTTGAATGTGATGGTTCCAAGAGGTTTGCAGTCAGTGGAGATGTGTGAAAGGGCTTGGAGGTGGAAATCTGGGTAAGAATGCCAAGGGCATTCCTGGTAGATTAAAATGGTAAAGCAAGCAACAGATCTGGAAAAGAACTAGGAGAAACTGTTAGTATTTTCTGGGTGTCAACGTAGGGAAAGGCGTTCTAAGCGTTTTCCTTATAAATAATGAAAAAATGTTAAAAAGCCAAAAAAAAAGTGGGGGGAGACTGAAAATTGAGATTATATAGAAAATTGGGCTTGGTGCACTGGCTCACACCTCTAATCCTAGCACTTTGAGGGGCCGAGGCGGGCAGATCACTTGAGGCCAGGAGTTTGAGACCAGCCTGGCCAACATGGCAAAACCTCATCTCTTGTAAAAATACAAAAATTAGGCCGGGCGTTGTAGCTGTAATGCCAGCACTTTGGGAGGCCGAGGTGGGTGGATCACCTGAGGTCAGGAGTTGGAGACCAGCTTGGCCAATATGGCAAAACCCTGTCTCTACTAAAAATACAAAAATTAGCCAGGCATGGTGGAGGGGGTGCATTTAATCCCAGCTATTCGGGAGGCTAAGGCAGGAGAATCGCCTGAACCTGGGAGGTGGAGGTTGCAGTGAGCCAAGATGGTGCCACTGCACTCCAGCCTGGACAACAGAGTGAGACTCTGTCTCAAAAAAAAAAAAAAGAAAGAAAATTAGTTAGGCATGGTGGTGCACACCTGTAGTCCCAGCTATTCTGGAGGCTGAGGTAGGAAGACTGCTCAAGTCTGGGATGCACTCTGGCCTGTGTGACACGGTGAGACCCTGTCTTTAAAAAAAATTGATTTGAATGGGGAAAAGTTTTCAGAATTTCTCAGTTTGGTCCCCCTGAAGTAGTTTCGGTAGTTAAGTGTTTTAAGACTGAATTCCCAGCGTTTTAATGTTTTAGGGTACTAGGGCCTCCATAACAAATACCACAACCCAGGTGGCTTAAACAACAGAAATTTATATTCTCACAGTTCTGGAGGCTGGAACACCAAGATGAAGGTGCTGGCAGGTTTGTTTTATTTTAAAACCTCTCTCCTTTGCTTGCAGATAGCTGCCTTTCTGTTGTGTCACATAGCCTTTCCTCTAGGGGTGCACATCCCTGATGTCTCTGTCCAGATTTTGGGATTGATTGATTGATTGATTGATTGACTGGAGACAGAGTCCTAAAAATTTTTTTTGCTGCTCTGTTGCCTAGCAGGCTGGAGTGCAGTGGTACAGTCACACGCCTCACTGTGTAACTCCTGGGCTTCAGGAATCAATCCTTCCCTGGCCTCCCAAAGTGCTGAGATTATAGATGTGAGCTACTGTGCCTGCCTTCCTCCTCCTATAAGGACATCAGTCAGATCAGATTAGAGCCCACCCTACTTGCCCCATTTAAATTTAATCATTCCTTTAAAAAGTCTTATCTCCAAATACAATCAGATTCTGAGATACTGGGGATTAGGGTTTCAACCTTTGGATTTTGGTGAACGGGACACAAATCAGCCCATAACAGAGGTTTAGCTTTTTAAAAAATCAACCTGACTGCTCTATGAAGATGTAACTGAAGTATCTAAATTATTCACGTTTCCTAGCTAATAATCACAAGAAGTTGTCAGAATTTGGAATTAGAAATGGCAGCCGGCTTCAAGCAGATGACTTCCTCCAGGACTATACTTTATTGATCAACATCCTTCATAGGTAAGAGCTATTAGTATTTTAATTGTAAGAAATTATTTGAATATATAAACTTTAGACAAAATGAAGGAAAAGTGTTTTCTTATCCTTAAACCCTGCTGTTCATTTGAAACTGTATAGTATATTTGGTTGAGTTGGTCACTGAGTTCCGTGATGTTTGACCTACAGAAAAATTTGAGGATTCAGAAATTGGCGGGGTGTGGCGGATCACCTGAGGTCAGGAGTTCGAGACCAACCTGGCCAACACGGTGAAACCCCGTCTCTGCTAAAAATGCAAAAATTAGCCGGGCATAGTGGCAGGCGCCTGTAGTCCCAGCTACTTGGGAGGCTAAGGTAGGAGAATCCCTTGAACCCGAGAGGTGGAGGTTGCAGTCAGCCGGGATCGCGCCATTGCACTCCAACCTGGGAGACAGAGTGAGACTCCAACTTAAAAAAAAAAAAAAGAAAACCAGAAATAAAAGAAATAAGCAAAAAATGTTTTAAGAGTAACTGTCATCAGTGGTGGCTTATCAGAAAGACCTAGAGTCCAGGTGTTTGAACAGTTTAAACAGAGGCAAATTCATTGTAGTAATTAAACTGGAATAAAATTATTAATTATTTTTCAAGGTTCTCTAGAAAAAAATATTTCTTCCATAAAACAAATCATTTCGTTTGTGATTTTGTGGCAATAACAAAAGAATATTGGGAATTGTCTGTACTGGCTGGGCATGGTGGCTCACACCTGTAATCCCAGCATTTTGGGAGGTCGAGGCGGGTGGATCACCTGAGATCAGGAGTTTGAGACCAGCCTGGCCAAAGGCTGGTGGTGGCGCATGCCTGTAATCCCAGAAACTTAGGAGGCAGAGGTTGCAGTGAGCCAAGATTGCGTCATTGCACTCCAGGCTGGGTGACAAGAGCAAAACTCCATCTCAAAAAAAAAGGAATTGTCTGTACAGATTCCTGAGTCTATAGCACAGTTAAGATAGACATGGCCCCCTATTCTGATATATTCATGTGTTGACCAGGGTGCATTTTTGTTCATGCTCATTGACATGGTGGAACTGTGCCTGACTTGAGATTTATGGGTAGCATCTAACAAACATAAAGGGTTTAGTGGTGCTGCCACCTGCGTCCAGTTATTTTGTCAATATTTTCATGAGTATACAAACATGCATAGTGTTGGTGTGGTTATTTGGAGAGAACTACATTTCATACTTTGTTTATAAAAAGCATAAAATGACAGGAAGGAGGCCAGGTGCGATGGCTCATGTCTGTGATCCCAGCACTTTGGGAGGCTGAGGCGGGTGGATCACGAGGTCAGGAGTTCAAGACCAGCCTGACCAACATGGTGAAACCCCGTCTCTACTAAAAATACAAAAATTAGCTGGGTGTGGTGGCATGTGCCTGCAGTCCCAGCTACTCAGGAGGCTGAGGCGGGAGAATTGTTTGAACCGGGGAGCCGAGTTTGCAGTGAGCCGAGATTGCGCCATTGCACTCCAGCCTGGGCGACAGAGGGGGACTCCATGTCAGAAAAAAAAAAAAAAATGACAGGAAGGACTGAATGTGAGTTATTAGTAAGTAGTGTATTTCACAGTTAGATAATGGAGTCAAAGTGGTCCTGCTTCAGTTGGACACTAGATATAAGTGGCATGCTTGTTTTCACTTGTGAAAGAAAAGACAGTGGAAGGACATGTACAATAAAGTGGAAATACCACAAGGTATCTAAAAGAGGAGGCATAATTAGGGTTTTTAATCATATTTTTTAGCTCTCTGGGAACAGAACCCCACCCCTTAAAACGTGTGTCTTTTGTTTGACTTAAATGTTTCTGATGTTTTTGGGAGTTCATGTACAGAAGCATGGTGTAGCTTGTAAAGATGGGGGGACCCAGAAATCATGTAGTTCTGCCCATAAGACACCACATTACTATAGTTAAGATCACATTGTAGGCCAGGCGTGACGGCTCACACCTGTAATCCCAGCACTTTGGGAGGCTGAGGCGGGCGGATCACAGGCTCAGGGGTTCAAAACCAGCCTAGCCAATATGGTGAAACCCTGTCTCTACTAAAAATACAAAAAAATTAGCCAGGTGTGGTGGCGCGCCTATAGTCCCAGCTGCTTGGGAGGCTGAGGCAGAAGAATAGCTTGAAAACCTGGGAGGTAGAGGTTGCAGTGAACCGAGATCACGCTACTGCACTCTAGCCTGGGTGACAGAGTGAGACTCCGTCTCGAAAAAAAGAAAAAGATCACATTGTAAGTAGAGGATGTAGAAATCTTTTTTTGGCATTGTAGCTAAAGAAATAATGTCCAAGAGTTGCTTTAGGCCACCAAGCTTTGGACCCAGTTTTATGCTTCAGCAATAAAAGTTATTTACTGTTTTAAAGAAACAAAAAACCAAAACCTTGCCCTGATTTGAAAGTGCATGTAGAGTTTTTGATTATCACAGAAATTTGTTGTGTACCGTCTTTTTTATTATAAGTTCAGTGCTTTGAAAATTAGAATCCAAGGTGGGTATGGTTGGCTCACGCCTGTAATCCCAGCACTTTAGGAGACCAAGGTGGGAGGATGGCTTGAGCCCAAGATTTCAAGACCAGCCTGGGCAACATTATGAGACCCTATCTCTCATTTTTTTTTAAATAAAAATTAAAAAAAAAATTAGAATCCACATATTTGGTGTATACATAGTGTATGCTTTGAGGAACAACAGGATTTCTCTGGTGCTCCTTTGCTTTCTAAATAGTCATAGCAGTGACCTGTGTGATTCTCCTACAGTGAAGACCTAGGAAAGGACGTTGAATTTGAAGTTGTTGGTGATGCCCCGGAAAAAGTGGGGCCCAAACAAGCTGAAGATGCTGCCAAAAGCATAACCAATGGCAGTGATGATGGAGCTCAGCCCTCCACCTCCACAGGTGAGTATGGCCCCAGCCAGCAGGTTGTTAAATACCCACAAAGCAGAAGTAAAAACAAACTGATTATTAGGAACATTGACCATAAATCCATAAAACTACTAGAGGTGTGTATTGGTTTGGTATTGATTGTTGTAATGGAGCTTTGAATTTATGAACCATGAAGACATTTAAGGCTGGGTGTGGTGGCTTACACCTGTAATCCCAGCACTTTGAGAGGCCAAGATGGGAGTATTACTTGAGGCCAGGAGTTGGAGAACAGCCTGGGCAACACAATGAGAGACCCCCATCTCTACAAAGAAAAAAAAAAATTAACCACGCATGGTAGCGTGTACCTGTAGTCTCCGCTACTCAGGAGGCTGAAGTGGTTCACTTGAACCCAGGAGTTCGACACTGCAGTGAGCCATGATTGCACCACTGCACTGCAGCCTGGGCAACAGCAAGACCATGTCTCAAAAAAAAAAAAAAAAAAGTCATTTAAGGCCTGGCATGGTGGCTCACACCTGTAACCCCAACGCTTTGGGAGGCCGAGGCGGGCAGATCGCCTGAGCTCAGGAGTTTGACACTAACCTGGGCAACACAGGGAAATCCCATCTGTACTAAAAATACAAAAAATTAGCTGGGCGTGGCAGCATGCGTCTGTAGTCCCAGCTACTCGGGAGGCTGAGGCAGGAGGCGGAGGTTGCAGTGAGCTGGGATCGCGCCACTGCACTCCATCCAGCCTGGGTGACAGAGCGAGGCTTCCGGCTCCAAACAAACAAGTCATTTAAGACTGGGGGAAATTCTTATGGAAATTTCTTACAGAAAATAAGAACACTTTGTTATTTTTTGTTAATTGGTTTTTAACAGTTTGAAATGATAGTTTACTAGTGTGCAAAGTCAGCCTATGTAGTAGCAGGTTGGGGTTTTGTATGCTTGTTTTAAGGAGCAATAAATCCATGCATCTGACTATTTTGAGTGAACAGGTGCTTGTTAAGTATGGAATTTAGGCATGTTAGAGTTTCCTTGTCACCAGTATGACTTGGGTATAGTCCTTTCCCCTGGATTTTCAGTGCTGGTGCTTGGTATTTTTCCAAATAACTGATTGTTTACTGTATTCTGATTTGAATATTTACTCCTCTCCCTTTCTTCCTTTAGTTAGGAAACTAAAGGTTACCAGATTTTGACTTCTTTGTTTTCATTTCTTTGACCCTATGTCTGTGGCATTCTTTGGAATATGTTTACTCTTGGCTCTAATGTTCTCTTGAGAATTTTGGAGACGAACATTCAGATTATGGCCTGGGTCATTGGTTCATAACCTGTTTTTTCCCCCCTCACTGAAATTAGAAAGGTCCGTCATCTTCCTTTGAGGAAGAGACTATCTGGTAGATTTTCCAAAATCATAATTTGAAATGTACATTTATTGATTCTCTACTGTGGGTAGGTTTCCAAGGTTACAGCCATGAGTAAGATAGGTATTCTGCCTTTGATTTTGTTGGACGAGGAGATAAAACCACCTTTAGTATCAGTTCTGCATTGGGGATGGTTCCTGGCTTCATCCTCTGCTACTATGTAAGCTTGGGAAGTCATTCACTGAGTTTCCTTTCCTGGAAAGCAGATACTCATGTGATCTTCTTTATAGGGTTGTGATGATTAAATGAGTTGTCATATGCACAGTGCTCAGAACAGTTCCTGGCACATTGTAAGTGCTGTATTGTTGTTGCTATTGTTACCACTACTACCATTATTAGAATATGTACCCTCTGCTTTTCTATTGGAGAATGTGGAGGTAGAATCAAGGATGTGTAATGAGTACTTTGAGTTACATAATGCTTGTCACAATTTTTTGTTTTGATTAGAAAATAAATAGGTTCTTATATAAAACATTTAAAACAGTATGGAAATACGTAATGTGTAAAGTGAAAATGCAGCCATTCTTAAGTCTGGTGTGTATTAGAAGAGTCAGCTTTCAATTATAGAAAATACAGGTGAGCACAGGTAACTCCCACGCTTTTACCCATTTTCTTTTTCCCTTTTTTCTGAAATAAGCTCAAGAGCAAGATGACGTTCTCATAGTTGATTCAGATGAAGAAGATTCTTCAAATAATGCCGACGTCAGTGAAGAAGAGAGAAGCCGCAAGAGGAAATTAGATGAGAAAGAGAATCTCAGTGCAAAGAGGTCACGTATAGAACAGAAGGAAGAGCTTGATGATGTCATAGCATTAGATTGAACAGAAATGCCTCTAAACAGAACCCTCTTACTATTTAGTTTATCTGGGCAGAACCAGATTGTTATGTCCTTTGTTCCAAAGGGAAAAAATTGACAGCAGTGACTTGAAAATGATTCTGCTCCCTTTGAAAGCATTCATTTTGCTAGAACTGTTAGACACATTGCAGTATGCTGTATTGAAAGTAGGAATATAGTTTTAAAAACCCTTTGAACAAAGTGTGTGCATAACCAGTCATGAGATAAAACAACACAATGCATGTTGCCTTTTTAATGTAAATACCCGTAGGTATCATTAATAGTTTCAAAATATTGTGGTTTAGTAAAGTTGATACCTGGTTATAAATATTATGCCTTTATTTTTGGCTAGAAGAAGAATTATTTTTAGCCTAGATCTAACCATTTTCATACTCTTAACTGATTGAAACAGATTCAAAGAAGTATCGAGTGCTATGCATTGAAACTTGTTTTTAAATGTTAGATGGCACTATGTATATTAATGTAAAACAATGTTAATTTACTCAAGTTTTCAGTTTGTACCGCCTGGTATGTCTGTGTAAGAAGCCAATTTTTGTGTATTGTTACAGTTTCAGGTTATTTATATTCGATGTTTTGTAAAACTCAAATAACGACTATACTTATGGACCAAATAAATGGCATCTGCATTCTTGTTACACATGCCTGCACAGTTCCTGTTTCTGCTGCCTTATATCTACTGCAGGAATGTCAAATTCTTTTCATTAAAAAAAGAACTCGGTCGGGCACGGTGGCTCATGCCTGTAATCCCAGCACTTTGGAAGGCTGAGGCAGGTGGATCACCTGAGGTCAGTAGTTCAAGACCAACCTGGTCAACATGGTGAAACCCCATCTCTACTAAAAAAAAAAAAAAAAATTAGCCGGGCCTGGTGGCAGGCACCTGTAATTCCAGCTACTCAGGAGGCTAAGGCAGCAGAATTGCTTGAACCCGGGAGGCAGAGGTTGCAGTGAGCCAAGATTGTGCTATTGCTACTCCAGCCAGGGCGATGAGTGAAACTCCATCTCAAAAAAGGTTCAGAAGATCTCCACTGTTTGCCAAAGACGAGTACTTTCTTTTCTTTATTCTTGGAGACTTCACATGTAGGAAGAGTACTTTCTAAAATAAAGCTCTTCCTGCGTGTGGTGGTGGTGCACATCTGTGTTCCAGCTACTCAGGAGGCTGAGGCAGGAGGATGGCTGGAGCCCAGAAGTTCAAGGCCAGCCTGGGTAACATAGCAAGACCCTGTCTCTAAAAAATAAGTAAATAAAATAAAGCTTTTAATGGCAGTGGGTTTTTTGTTCGTTTTTGAGATGAAGCCTCACACTGTCATCTGGCCTGGAGTGCAGTGGCGCGATCCTGGCTCACTGCAGCCTCCGCCTTCCAGGTGCAAGCGATTCTCCTGTCTCAGCCTCCCCTGTAGCTGGGATTACAGGCGCCCTCCACCACGCTCAGCTAATTTTTTGTATTTTTAGTAGAGATGGGGTTTCACTATGTTGGCCAGGCTGGTCTGGAACTCCTGACCTCGTGATCCACCTGCCTCAGCCTCCCAAAGTGCTGGGATTACAGGCGTGAGCCACTGCGCCTGGCCTAATGGCAGTGTTTTTAAAATTTGGATTGTCAGCAGTTGGCCTTTGTTGAGAAAATGTGTGACTTTGCCCAAGCCCAGTAACTTGGAGCCTTGAATTTGAGATGCTGGAAAGGGAGTCCTTCCTCCTTTCTGCAGTGTTTGTCTGGGTTGTCCCCTAGTTTACCAAAGTCCATTTTGAATGTACCATCCCCAGCCCAACTCCAGCCTACAGATAGTGCCAGACCGCCAGTAGGTGGAGTAGCACTGTCTTCCTGGTCCCGGACCTCAGAGGGCTTTGCCTGTTAGGGTACTCTTATCACTCAGAGATGGGCCTTGAGTTTTCAGAGAACAGAAAGCCATTAAGCTGTTTCCCCTATTGTATTCATGTGCCCTTTGTGTTTCTGGCAATAATTTATTTTATATTTCAACTAAATTTTAAATTTCTAATTCATGTATTGTTCCTTGTGTAATTTGTACTGTACCATTCAGCTTATTAACCATTACTCCTTGTTTTCCACCATTTGTAAATTCAGCATGTAATCAGAGCTTTCAGAAAAACCATGTAGAAGACTGGGTGTGGTGGCTCACACCCATAAGCCTTGCACTTTGAGAGGCTGAGGCAGGAGGATCGTTTGAGCCCAGGAGTTTGAGACCAGCCTGAGCAACATGGCAAAACCCCATCTCTACAAAAAATACAAAAAGTAGCTGAGCCTGGTGGCACTTGCCTGTAGCCCCAGCTATTCGGGAGGCTGATGGAGGAGGATCGCTTGAGCCTGGGAGGCGGGGTGTGCAGTGAGCCAAGATTGTACCACTGTACTTCAGACTGGGTGACAGAATGAGACCCTGTCTCTGAAAAGAAAAAAAAAGTCATGTTGACTAAGACTCAGCCTTCTGGAGCCCCAGAGTGGAGTGACTTTCACCTGTGAGCTTCATCTGCCTTTAGGTTTTTAGAAGGTGTTTAATTTTCCTCCAGAAAATAATTTGAAACTTAACTATGTAATATAAAATGAAATATCTTAGGATGCCGTCTCACTCTTCAAACTTTTTATTCTGAAAAGCTCTCTAGAAATTTGATTTTGAAATTCTGTCCATTCTTACACATCATCCTGCCTGCCTTTATTTTTGCAGTGGTGCCGTCATAGGTCACTGCAGCCTTGACCTCCTGGCTTCAAGCAATTCTCCCTCCCCAGCCTCCTAAGTCCCTGGAACTACAGGAGCTCACCACCATGCCCAGCTAATTTTTAAAACTTCTTTTGTGGAGACGGTCTCACGTTGCCCAGGCTTGTCTCCAACTCCTGGCCTCAAGCGATCCTCCCACCTTGGCCTTGCCAAGTACTGGGATTATAGGCCCTGAGCCGCGTGCCCTGTCCTCACCCTGCTTTGTAGACACAGTTAACAATGTGTTCCCGATATTTTGTGTATGTTCTTTTGTTCTTTCCTATTTGAATGTATAGTGCATGATGATAAGTGCCAGTTAGGTCTGCGGAGTTGTTTCTAATTTGGCAGACCAGTGTTTTTCATCTTTGCATTAACTATTACTACCTTTTTCAGCAGGTTTGTTAGGAAGGCAGGTCTGACTACTAGTTGCAGGGATCCTGTACAACTAGACAGTGTACCAAAGCAAATCCAAGCTTTCCCTAGGTGCCTAGAGGGTGGAGACACTTCAGATCTTGTGTTGTATTCATGGTTTTTCCATGTAAATTGTCTCACCAGCTGGGAGCTGGGAGTAGGGCTTGCAAAGGGAGTTTCCTCAACAGCTTCTTTCCACCTCCAGCCTGAAATATGGTGTTGACAAACTGTCTTCCAGCCTCACTTGGAACAGTGTGGTGACAAGTTTACCTAGAGAATCCATTGTCCTGAAGACTACTGGCTGCTCAGCATGTGCCATGAGAGGTTCCAACATTTTAACCCATTAATGAGATAACTGACCAGGCAAAGATCACTGGATGCCAAAACCTTTCAGGTAAAAGGCTGCTGAGGAACAGAATTTTAGCACAACACTCAAATGTTGCTGCACAGGTCACTTGCAAAAGGAAAACATCAATCTTTACTTATTTTAGAGAGGGGCGTCTCGCTTTGTCCCCCAGGCCGGAGTGCAGTGATGTGATCACAGCTCACTGCAGCCTCGACTTCTCAGGCTCAAGTGATCTTCCCACCTCAGCACCCCTGAGTAGCTGGGACTGCAGATGTGAGCCACCACGCCTAATTTGGAAAACACCAATCTTCACAATTGACAGATCTGACTGCCGCCACCATAATCAAGTGATCAAACCTAGTGTCACTTATGGGACGGCCTGATGTTTCTGTGCTTCCTAAGATGATACCAAGAACACAGCAGTATCTCACCAAGAAATTGTTGACTGGAATCTAACCAAGCATCTAGACCTCCAGCTGACAGGAAATGGAGAGGGGGTAGAGGCACAAGTTAACATTTAGAAACAATCAGGTGAGCAGAATATCTGTGATATTCCGTAACTGCCAGGGCTCTTCAGTAAGTGTCATTTCAAAAAAGGAAGGAGTAGGCATTCTGGGGTTAAAAGACATTTAAGAGACAACCCAATACAATGTATGAATAATTTTTTTTGCATCCTAGTTCAACAAAAATGACTATAACAATTCTTGTAACAATTGGAAATTTGAAAATGAAACGAATATAGGTAATATAGAATTGTTTTCTTCAGTACGATAATGTGATTGTAATTATGTTCTTTTTAGTGTATTATGGGCAAATCTTCAATACCAGCAACTTTTTTTTTTTTTGAGACGTACTTGCTCTGGTGCCCAGGCTGGAGTAAAGTGGTATAATCATAGCTCATTGCAGCCTCAAACTCCTGGGCTCGAGCGATCCTCCTCCCTCAGCCTCCCACGTAGCTGGGACTGCAGGTGTTACGCCACCACGCCTGGCTAATTTTTTCAATTTTTTGTAGAAGGGGTTTTGCTCTGTTGCCCAGGCTGGTCTGAAAGTCCTGGGCTAAAGCGATCTTCCCTCCTTGGCCTCCCCCAAAGTGCTGGGATTACAGTTGTGAGCCACTGCACCTTTCTCAGGCTATATGGGGAGGAAAACAGCAAAATTAACATTTATTGAACCTAGGTACTGTGTGTGTTTCATTGTACCATTCAGCTTTGAAAACTTTCATAATAGAAGTGAATATATGTATATATATGCACACACGCACAAATGCATATATACATACACAGGCAGTCTATTTTCCTTTTGTGCCTATTTGACTTTTCCAAGTTTTATATTGAGTATGTCCTATGATTAAAGTCAGAAAGGCAATAAAGGTTATTAAACATATAAGGTGGAAAGAGAAAGTGTTAGTGGGATTCTGGGCTCAACACTGTTGAAGTCAGCTTTACCCATCCTTCTTGTTGCTAGGCTGTGACTTAGGAAGGATTCTCTTTCATTTGAGCCTCCAGAGAACTAAGCCAGGTGGTTCCCACTAGATGAATGGCCCACTCAGAGGCTGCCAGACAGCATTTAGTTGATAATAGATGTTCCTGAAAATTGTCCATCAGTGGCATACATGTCTGACGTGGACTTGGCCTACACCCAAGGAACATGGCCAAATGTAAGCCACTTACCAGCCTTTTGTAATATACAAAAACCAAAAATGTGGGCCAGGTGAGGTGGCCCATGCCTGTAATCCCAGCACTTTGGGAGGCTGAGGCAGATAGATCGCTTGAGGCCAGGAGTTCGAGACCAGTCTGGCCAACATGATGAAACCCCATCTCTACTAAAAAAATAGAAAAATTAGCTGGGTGTGGTGGTGCACACCTGTAATCCCAGCTACTTGGGAGGCTGAGGCATGTGAGTTGCTTGAACCCGGGAGGCAGAGGTTGCAGTCAGCTGAGATGGTGTCATTGTGCTCCAGCCTGGGTGACAGAGTGAGACTGTCTCAAAAAAAAATAAATACATGAATAAATAAATAAAATAAAAATGTGAAAAGTAAAGAAAACCCAAAAAGATCAGAGAAGAAAAAATGTCAGCAGATGTTTCTAGTCATTGTGACATGTAGAGGTAGGGAGGACCTCCTGTTTCTTTGCATTTTAAAGCAATATTCCTGAGGTCCATTTGACCATTTTGAGGGAGGATATATTTAGAGAAGTATTTTTATTTCACACTGGGAGCACATTATTTGCATTGTGCTCACAGAAGGAACATTTTCTTTTTCCTGCATCCAATTCAAAACACATTGCATCCAAAAGCTTATTTGAAAAATTTTAGAACTCAAACTAAAAAAATTAAAAATCAACAGTTGAACTACGGGGCTACAACGCCACTGTGTAGTTTGGCTATGTTTTGAAGACAATTATCTCCTGGTAAAGTAACATTTTAGGAAGTTTTGCTAAATGTCTCTGACTCATGCCAGTTTTAAAAATTTTAAGTCTAGCAACAAGTGATGACTCACAGATTGGGAAAGATTCTGAGCAAAAGCTTTACCAGAACGTACAGCGTCTGAGAAGGTCCTCAGGCTTTGCACTTTAGAGTCTTTCAATGGTTTACTTTGATTCTCAGATCAACCAGTCTCAGGAAATTTAGGCACTGTGCAGACGATGTCATTCAGCCATTCTGTCAACACAAATTGCAGTGCTGCACTCGGTGGAAAACGTTACCACTGTTGCCAGCCTGGGTGGAAACCTTTGAAAGCACAATGAACTAAAGACTGGCGTGAATGAAAACCCAACTCCTCATGTCATTTTGACAGCAGTAGGTGGTGAGTTGGAGATCTGAGCACCCACACCCTGTGTGCTGCCACACTGAGAGGCAGATGTCCCAGTTGGTTATAGCAGCAGCTTCCGGGAGGTTTGGAAGTCATAAACACCAACCTCATACTGAAAAGCCTAATGCCAGGTTGGGCATGGTGGCTCATGCCTGTAATCCTAGCACCTTGGGAGGCTGAGGCAGGAGGATCATCTGAGCCCAGGAGTTCAAGACCAGCCTGGGCAACATAGTGAGACCCTATCACTACAATAAATAAAAAATTAGCCAGGCATGGTGGCATGTGTCTGTGGTCCCAGCTACTTGAGAGGCTCAGGTGGGAGGATCACTTAAGCCAGGAAGTTGAGGCTGAGGTGTGATCACAGCACTGCAGCCTGGCCAAGAGAGTGAGACCCTGTCTCAAAAAATAATAATACCAAAAGCTCCATTAATCTGGGCATCCCCAAATAGGTCCTCCCCATTGAGCTGTAGATTGGCTGGGGTTTTTTACCATGGTACAAAGTTAGGGCAGAAATTCCCATTCCTGCGTGCATGGTAAGGCTTCAAGACAAGAAAAGAGGGCCTTTGCCAGATGCAGTGGTTTGTACCTGGAATCCCAGCACTTGGGGAGGTCAAGGCAGGAGGATTGCTTGAGTCCAGGAATTTGGGCAACATGGTGAAACCTCACTCTACGAAAAACAACAACAACAACAACAAAAATTAGTTTGGCATGGTGGCATGCGCCTATAGTCCTAGCTAACCTGGAGGCTGAGGTGGGAGGATCACTGGAGACCAGGAGCTCGAAGCTGCAGGGAGCTGAGCCATGATCGCATCACTGCACTCCAGCCTGGATGACAGGGTGGGATCATGTTACAGACACACACACACACCAAACAAACAGCAACAACAAAAAACAAAAACCCCCATGGAAACAGGAAGGAAGCAAGCTGCAAGTATCATGTCTTAGCCTTAATTCTTAGATTGGTTCCCCAATCTATCCATGGCTTCAGTGATCAATGCTTTGAATCTTCTTGCATCCTCAGGCCTAAAGGGGATAACAGGACCAGGAGAGATTGAAGTTAGGCTCAATCTGGCAGAAAGAGTGGGGCCTCAGAGAAGAGGGGTTGAAAAAATTCCCTTGGGTGCCCAGCCTGGTATTATATTTTTGAGTATGAGGTTGGTTTCTATGACTCTTAGAGCTCCTGGAAGCTGCCTCTCAGCGTGGCAGCACACAGGATGGGTGCTCAGAGAAGAGGGGATGGAAAAAGCCCTCCCAGTGGATAGGACAGAACGTGCATCTTGAGCCTGGTGCTGTGTGTGGGAGGAGTGGCCCCCAGGAGCTGAGCTGGAAAGGTGTGTGTGCTTCAGGTGAGAGACTGGTGCTGGAAATTCGACAAGGGTAAAAACTGTCATAGGCTAAGGAGAAAGAAGTGTGGGTCCCAGAAACTTCCTGTGGAGTTTGGCTGCCATTCCCCTTCCCTCATAACCCGTTATCCAGTCACAGCTGATTGATAAGTGGCCTAGGACTCCATGAGAAAACCCCTGAATTCTGTCAATACCTGGGGTCCATACAGTACAGACAATTAAGGAGGTCTAATGGAAGCTAGATTACAAGGAGGGGCATGAGGGGCTCCTTAAAAAATCACCATTGTAGGCTGGGCTTGGTGGCTCACGCCTGTAATCCCAGCACTCTGGGAGGCCGAGGCGGGTGGATCACCTGAGGTCAGGAGTTTGAGACCAGCCTGGCCAACATGGTGAAACCCCGTCTCTCCAAAAAAAAAAAAAAAAAAAAAAAAAAAAAATATATATATATATATATATATAGACACACACACACACACACATACATATACATATATATACACATATATATACATACATATATATACACACACATACATATATATACACACACATACACACACACACACACGTGCACACACAAAAGTTAGCCAGGCATGGTGGTGGATGCCTGTAATTCCAGCTACTTGGGAGGCTGAGGCAGGAGAATGGCTTGAACCTGGGAGGCGGAGGTTGCAGTGGTTGCGGTGAGCCGATATCACGCCATTGCACTCCAGCCTAGGCAACAAGAATGAAACTCCGTCTCAAAACAAAAAACAAACAAAAAATCACCATGGCGTGGACAGAGTCTGGGTAGGGTCAGCTCCTGGGTTCTGGGAAGATGATGATGATGATGGTTCAGGACATGGTGCAAGACTAGATTGAACATGTCCTGTTCTGGCCTCCAAGTGTGTCTTTGCTTAACAAAGGGAAGACCAGTTAACTTGAGAGGATGATAAACTGGAAGCCACAGTGTAGTGAAACCCCTCCTTTGGAACAGTGGGACTCAGGCAGCGGTGTGTGGAGCCAGCTTATCCCAGCTTGCAAGAACTGGTTATACCCATTTCTTTCCAGCTCAGTTCAGTGGCCCCATCTTTATAGCTTGAAATTGGCCATGCTGGGAGTATTTATACCATGGTAATTGGCAAATGCTACACATCAGGGCTCCTGATTTATACAAATTCCTCCCCAGAGAGCTGGTTGTTAGACATTTACCAGCACACCACTGGACTCAGGAGGAAAATGCCCAGAGAGAGGTGAACACAAAGAACATTCCTGCAACAGGGGAGGACAGAGGGGGAATCAGTGGGGGCTGGACATTGAGTCCATGGACAGTGCTTTAAATCCCTTGAGAGAGCCCCATCCCCATCCTTCTCCTGGACTGTGCATCTCAGACAGAAGGAGCCAGTCTGTTGAGATCACTCAATACCCCTGGAGTGAGGAGATAGAAGATGGGGTCAGGGGGACATTTGGGTAATGTAGAGATGAGACCCCACAATTCTGCAGACTACTTCAAATCCACCTAACATCACAATAGTCTGATTCCCAAGCCATTCATTAAATCTTTTGAATATAACTGCTTAATGTATTTCCCACTTCAAGGATGTACTTAAACTATTCTAATGGTAAATATCAAACATTTTAGGTTGTTTCTGGGTTTTGTAGTTGTCATTTATTACTAGTAGAGCAAGTAATAGGTTTTAGCTGACCCTGGATGTGAATATAGTTTAAATCTTGAAAGCTCTAAGTGGGCAGGTGGGGAAAGAACAGTTGTTATTATTATTATTATTATTATTATTATTATTATTATTATTATTATTATTCTGGAGGCAGGGTATTGCTGTGTCACCCAGGCTGGAATGCAGTGGTGTCATCTTGGCTCACTGCAACCTCTGCCTCCTGGGTTCAAGCGATTCTTGTGCCTCAGCCTCCCAAGTAGCTGGGATTACAGGCGTGCACGACTACACCCAGCTAATTTTTGTATTTGTATTTTAATAGAGACAGGGTTTCGCTATGTTGGCCAGGCTGGTCTCAAACTCCTGAGCTCAAGTGATCCGCCCGTCTCAGCCTCCCAGTGTTCTGGGATTACAGGAGTGAGCCACCGTGCCCAGCCAGAACAGTTATTAAATACTTGACTTTATTGTTTTTGTAGAGACAGGGTCTTGCTCTGTCACCCAGGCTAGAGTGTGGTGGCACAGTTATAGCTCACTGTAACCTCAGACTCCTGGGCTCAAGTAATCCTCCCGCCTCTGTCTCCCGAACAGCTGAACTACAAGTGCCCGTCACCGCGCCAGTTTAATTTTTTGTTTTTTATTGTAGAGATGAATCTCGTTCTGTTGTCTAGGCTGAAGTGCAGTGGTGCCCTCACTGCTCACTGTAGCCTTGACCTCCTGGGCTCAAGCATCCTCCCGCCTTAGATTCCCAAAATACCTGGGACTACAGGCATGTGCCACCATTGGCAGCTAATTTTTAATGTTTTGTAGGGATGGAATCTCACTATGTTTCCCAGACTGGTCTTGAACTCTTGGCCTTAAGCAATCCTCCCATACTGGCCTCTCAAAGCACTGGGATTACATCACACTCAGCCCAACAGCTGCCTTTAAATGCAGAGAGCTCCCTTTGAGCATCTTTTCAGAAGGCTGGAGATCCTAGGACAGAATAGATCAGGGGTCCCCAACCCCTGGGCCACAGACCAGTATACCACCGCCTGTTAGGAACTGGGCCACACAGCAGGAGGTGAGCAGAGGCGAGGGAGCATTACCACCTGAGTCCCACCACGATTCTCACAGAAGCACGAAGCCTATTGTGAACTGCGCATGCGAAGGACCTAGGCTGTGTGCTCCTTATGAGAATCTAATGCCTGATGATCTGTCACTGTCTCCCATCACCCCCAGATGGGACCGTCTAGTTGCAGGAAAACAAGCACAGGGCTCCCACTCTTTCTATGGTATAGTGAGTTGTATAATTATTTCATTATATATTACAATGTAATAATAATAGAAATAAAGTGCACAATAAATATAATGCCCTTGAATCATCCTGAAGCCATTCCCACCCTCCCCATCCCTGTCTGTGGAAAAATTGTCTTCCACAAAACCAGTCCCTGGTGCCAAAAAGGTTGGGGACCGCTGTAGATTACCTAAATGATGTTGGGATTATACGACACGGTTGTGATTGGATTATTGTCTGCATTTTTGATAACTTCCCTTGAATAGATGTTTAGCAGCAGTATTACTGCTTCTAAGTTTCGTGTTCGTTTGTGCGGATGTTGACACCGCCAAACTGCTCTTCCCAAAAGGATATCCCAATTTGCACTCATACCAGTAGCATATGTGCAACTGTTTCACCACAGTCCTGCCAATATTGTAATTTTTAAATAGTAGATAATGCAGTCCATGAAATGTGATATGACTGAACTGGCTTTTCCTTTCTCATTTGAAAGGTAGACCATTTTTCATGTCCTGGCTTCCCTGGGTATTTGCTCTCCCAAATGCTGGCTTCTAGACCCCGCACGGAGTCTCATGCCTGTAATCTCAGCGTTTTGTGTGGTGGTGTGCGCCTGTACTCCTACGTACTCAGGAGTCCGAGGTGGGAGGATTGCTTGAGCCCAGGAGGTTGAGACTCTGGGGTGTGTGTGATCACTGTGAGCTGTGATCACACCACTGTACTCCAGCCTGGGGGACAGAGCGACACCTTGTCTGAAAAAAACAAAACAGCGCAACTCCCCCACCCTCCGCGCACACGAAATGCTTGCTTCCACTTCCCCTACCCTGGTGGGGCAGGGGCTGGAACTCCGCAGGCTATGGGAAGGTGCTGGGGTTAGCGGCCCCAGCGGGTGCTCAGTGGTGTTGAGGCCACACTGCCCTGGGCGGTCTGGCCGGGACAGTTCCCGTGCGGGCTCCCTGCGCGCTGAGCCACTGTAGGCGCCTTCCCGAAAATCTCTGAGCAGAGAGGGCCTGGAAAACAGTACTCTCTCACGCAACACTTTTCTTGGATCCATCAGGCCCTGACAGATAACGGTTTGGTTTTCTTCCCTATAGCCGTGTGACTTGTACAAGGGATTTTAGTTGTGTCCTTGGGCACGAAGCCCTAGTCACCTCTCGATTCCCCACCTATGTGGCCCCTATGGCCCCGCTGGTTCCAGGACCTCCCCTCGAAGCCTCACCCACCACCCTGGATGCAGGTGCTGGAAAAGGGAGGAGTCCCCATATTTCACGGGGACTGCCTGTGATGGCCACAGGGGAGGCTCGCCGCCCACCGGCTCTGAGCCTGAGGCCTGCTTCTAGCCTGGCCTTGGGGGCCTGGGCGAAGCGACCCAGCGCGAGGACCAGTCCCCAACCAACCCGCTCCTAGTTCTGGGCGCCTTCCCCAGCAGTCAGATGGGGGCTTCAGAGGCCGGTGCGCGGCCACATGGCCCCGGGCCAGGCAGGGGGTCGTGGGGACGCATCTGCGCTAGGCGCACAGTATTCCTGGGCGCGGGACGGGCGAAGCGCCGTGGGTTCCAAGCTGAGCTGGGTCGGCCCTGCAGCGCCGGAGAGCAAGGCGGCGCAGGGAAGGGAGATGGGGCGGGATGTGGGGAAAGCTGTCGACTGCTTGGATCTCTCCGGCCCGGATGGCGCCAGCTGCCTCCAGCTCAGCCTGCGGAAATCCGAGCTCTTCCCAGCGGCCCGACGGCCCGGGCGCCCCGCAGACCCTGGGCTCTCCCCGCGGTGCCTCCGCCGCCCGCCCCTGCGTCCTGGCCCGGCCTCCACGCCCCTCCGAGGTCCCGGCGCAGCGCGGCCGCCGCCACTCCCCCCACATTCCAGAGGCCGCAGCGCCGTCTCCTTCCTCGCATTCCTGCCCCCGCAAAGGAGTCCCTCCGCCCCGCGCGAGGCCGCGGCGAGGAGGGGGCGCGGCCCGGCGCCTGGGAGCTTACATTCCTCCGCCGCGCGCGCCGCCGAGCAGGGCGCCGCGTCCCCCGGCCCGCGCGTGGCCGCCGGAACGACCCCGGCCCGGCGCCGGCCCCGCCCCGCCCCGCGCCCAGGGGTCCCGGGGCGGGCTCCGGGCTTCGGGCGGACGATGCGGCGGCCCGGCCGGAGCGGCGGCGGGAAGCGGAGGCGGAGGTGACGCGCCAGGGCCGGCGGGCCGGGCCATGCAGCGCTCCAGGGCGGGCGCGGACGAGGCGGCCCTACTCCTGGCCGGGCTGGCCCTGCGGGAGCTGGAGCCCGGGTGCGGCTCTCCCGGTCGGGGGCGGCGGGGGCCGCGGCCTGGGCCTGGAGACGAGGCGGCGCCCGCGCTGGGCCGCAGAGGGAAGGGCAGCGGCGGCCCCGAGGCCGGGGCGGACGGACTGAGCCGCGGGGAGCGGGGTCCCCGGCGCGCGGCGGTTCCGGAGCTCAGCGCGCAGCCTGCGGGCAGCCCACGGGCCAGCCTGGCGGGGTCCGACGGCGGCGGCGGTGGCGGCAGCGCCCGATCCAGCGGCATCAGCCTGGGCTACGACCAGCGCCACGGCAGCCCGCGCTCCGGTCGCTCGGACCCGCGTCCCGGTCCCGGGCCGCCTTCGGTGGGCAGCGCCCGCTCCAGCGTTTCCAGCCTCGGCTCCCGGGGCTCGGCCGGCGCCTACGCTGACTTCCTCCCGCCCGGCGCCTGCCCCGCGCCCGCTCGCTCCCCGGAGCCTGCGGGGCCGGCTCCCTTCCCGCTGCCTGCACTCCCGCTGCCCCCTGGCCGGGAGGGCGGCCCAAGCGCGGCCGAGCGGCGGCTGGAGGCGCTCACCCGGGAGCTGGAGCGGGCGCTCGAGGCGCGCACGGCGCGGGACTACTTCGGTGAGCTCGCTCGGCCCGGCAGTTCCCTGCGCGCATGGCTGGGGTCCGGGGTTCCGAGACTGCCTCGGGTAGGCGGCCGGATCAGCGGAGGAGAGCACGGGGCTGGCTGGGGGTGCAGCAGTGCACGGGGTTGGGACGAGGAAGGTGCATCCCCTGGGGACTGGGGAGCGCAAAGGGTGAGTGAGTGCGCCTGGATCCCCAGCAGCGGCTTCACCCCTGCCTCTGGGTCCCCCGACACACGAGGGGTTCTGGCCGAGTGAGTTGATGTGCGGTTCCTAACTTAACAGGCAAGTCAGGTTCATGGGCACACTGAGCCATTTTCTGATAATTTTTTCTTCTTTCTTCTTTTTTTTTTTTCTTTCTTCTTTTTTTTTTTTTTTTGAGACAGGGTCTTCCTCTGTCGCCGAGACTGGAGTGCAGCGGCGCGTCCTCGGCTTACTGTAGCCGTCGCCTCTCAAGCTGAAGCGATCCTCTCGCCTCAGCCTCCCGAGAAGCTGGGACTACAGGTGCACACCACCATGCCCAGCTTTTCTTCTTCTTACTTTTTTTTTTTTTTTTTTTTTGTAGAGACAGAGTCTCCCTATGTTGCCCAGGCTGGTCTTAAACTCCTGGGCTCAAGCGATCCGCCCTCCTCGGCCTCCCAAGGTGCTAGGATTACAGGCTTGAGCCAGTGCGCCCGGCCTGATCTTTTCTTCTTTGCGTTTGGTGCTCTCATTCTATCTGATCCTTTCATGCTTCGTGATGAGCAGAAAGGGGTGCTTCCCCGTCTGCCCCGCCACGGTATGGGTGTGGACAGCAACCGGGAGATGGAGTGGCCCAGGTACCACCGGATACCGCCTGACCCAGGCTTTGGTGATGGTAGCGGCTGGAGAGGGAGACTGTGTGAGGGAAGAAAAGCCCACTTTGCGGGAGAGGGGAACCGTGCCAGTCACACGGGGCTGCCCTCGCCCGGACTGTGCTGTGGACATAGGATGTTTCCTAAAGGAATCCTGCTGCAGGTGCATCTGCAAAGCCCAGCAGCCTCACAGCCTCCACTTCCCAGTGTGGCCCAGGCCCCCTGATCTCTAGTTCTTGGGACAGCTCTTGGGGTGAGATTGTGAGCGGGGCAGAGGTATACTGTGGGGCCTGGGGCGAGAACTTCCCAACCCGCCTTCTGTATTAAGCACCTGGCTTTGGTGGATGGATGGTCACCATGCCTGGGACCGTGGCTGTCCTGGGGTTTGTGTCTTTGAGCGTTCAATGGTGTCAGCAGCTCACGGCTGCCCTGAACTGGATCTTTTTTTTTTTTTTTTTTTTTTTTTTTTGAGACGGAATCTCGCTCTGTCGCCAGGCTGGAGTGCAGTGGCGTGATCTTGGCTCACTGCAACCTCCGACTCCCTGGTTCAAGCGATTCTCCTGCCTCAGCCTCCCCAGTAGCTGGGATTACAGGCATGCGCCACCACGCCCAGCTAATTTTTGTATTTTTAGTAGAGGCGGGGTTTCACCATGTTGGCCAGGATGGTCTTGATCTCCTGACCTCATGATCCGCCTGCCTCAGCCTCCCAAAATGTTGGGATTACAGGCGTGAGCCACCGTGCCCGGCCCTGAACTGGATCTTGAGGGGTGAGGAGTCTGTCAGTGAGGGGCCAGGTGGGGGCATTCCAGAGAGAGGGAAGAATGAGCAGAGGAGGCCAGGCGGGATGAGAGATTGCCCCGCTCTTCCCCCTGGGGTTGCAGCCCAGAGGGCTCAGGTGGTCGAGGGCATATGTGGGCTAAGAGGAGGTGCGCCTGCTTTGGGATGGAGAGCGCCTCCCATCTGTGAGGTCATGGTGAGACTCTGTGGCTGGGCAGGTCTCGTGGCGCCTGTTGGATGGCCTGGGAGCAGGGAGATGTGCCAGGAGCTGTCATCTCCCGTGTCAGGCAGGTGCCAGGAAGAGAGGCTGGGGCTGAGTTTTGAAGGGCATGCTTTCCAGTGCCCTCTGCAGGGGAGAGTGCCCATTTCCCGGCCCCTGTGTACTGCAGAGCCCGGGGGAGGGGGGTGTTCTGTAGACACCCCTGAATCTTTATATGATATAGGGGTGGCTGAGGTCCCAGGCAGGTAATGTGGAGATGATACAAGAAGGTAGGGTGTGGTGGCACATTTTTTTTCTGAGGAGCTGCTAGGCCGGGTGCGGTGGCTCACACCTGTAATCCCAGCACTTTGGGAGGCTGAGGTGGGAGGAGCACTTGAACCCAGGAGTTCCAGGCTGCAACGAGCTATGATCGTGCCACTGCACTCTGGCCTGGATGACAGAGTGAGATCCTGTCTTTTCTTTAAAAAAAAAAAAAAAAAAAAGCTGCTCAGATCGGGCTGTTGTAGCGCCCTGAGAGTGTTAGAGGAGTGATGATAGACCTTTTTTATTTTGTTTTCAAGAAAAACTAGAAATTGAGATTCAGTAATACTTTCCTGATTTTGTTTACTTTATTTTTTTAAACTTTTTTGAGACGGAGTCTTGCTCTGTCGCCCAGGCTGGAGTGCAATGGTGCGATCTCAGCTCACTGCAGCCTCCACCTCCGGGTTCAAGTGATTCTCCTGGCTCAGCCTCCCCAGTAGCTGGGATTACAGGTGCGTACCGCCATGCCCGGCTAATTTTTGTATTTTTAGTAGAGATGAGGTTTCACCATGTTGGCCAGGCTTGTCTCGAGTTTCTGACCTCAGGTGATCCACCTGCCTCGGCCTCTCAAAGTGCTGGGATTACAGGTGTGAGCCACCATGCCCGGCCCACTTTCCTGATTTTAAAAAATATGGGCAACTATTTGTTTGAACTATATGGTTCTGATGATATTTGACTTTGTTGAGCTACAAAAGTGGCAGTTTCATAGAGTTCAACCAGAATAATACAGCATTTTACAAAAGAAAATCTGCAGGTAGCATAAGCTCGAGTGATCTCTGATAAACCTCGTCCTCAGAGTGTGGCTTTTTTGTTTTAAATTAATTTTTTTTTTTTTTTAGAGACAGGGTCTCACCCTCTCACCTAGGCTGGAGTGCAGTGGTGAGATCAGCGCTCATTGCAGCCTTGAACTCCTGGGCTTAAGCAATCCTCCTGCTTCAGCCTCCTGAGTAGCTGAGACCACAGGTGTGCATCACCATGCTCGGCTACATTTTTTTATGTTTTGTAGACCTGAGATCTTGCTTTGTTGTCCAGGCTGGTCTTGAACTTCTGGATTCAGGCGATCCTCCCTCTTTGGCTTCCCAGTGTTGGGATTACAGGCGGGAGCCACTACGCCTGGCCAGAGCTTTTTTTCTCTCTGTCCAACCCCTCATCTCTTCCTGTCCTTGGCCCTGGTACCAGCTGACCTCTTGGTTGCTCTCTGCCATTCACTGATGTCTTTGGAACTTTCCCCTCTCCCCTCCCCAAGTTCCGCTGCCATTAGCCAGCCAACAGCCTTGGGCTTCCGGAACCTTTTCAACTTTGGTGACCTCCTTGCCTTCTCTTCAGCCACCCACTCCCAGGGCCACACCGTTTTCCCTTCACTCTAGCAGTCCTTAGTGGTAACTCCAGTCTGCTTCTCAGCAGTTCCTCTCATTCCTGTAATCGCCGTCTGCCCAGCAGAACCCCGACTCTGAGCCCATGCTTTGACCCCCTCTGCGGCCACTATACCAGGCTGGGAAGGGCTCTGAGGAACCCCTCAGGACTGTGGGAGGTTTGTCATCCTCACCACGCAGGTCTTCCTGTCACCACTGACACCCTAAGCCTTTGTCAGTTTGTTTTTTTTTTTTTTTTGAGACAGAGTTTTGCTCTTGTTGCCCAGGGTAGAGTTCAATGGTGAGATCTCAGCTCACCGCAACCTCCGCCTCCCAGGTTCAAGTGATTCTCCTGGCTCAGCCTTCCAAGTAGCTGGGATTAGAGGTGCCCACCACCACACCTGGCTAATATTTTGTATTTTTGGTAGAGACAGGGTTTCACTGTGTTAACCAGGATGGTCTCATCTCCTGACCTCGTGATCTGCCCACCTTGGCCTCCCAAAGTGCTGGGATTACAGGCGTGAGCCACCGCGCCTGGCCGCCTTTGTCAGTTTCCTCTCTTATTCTCTCAACAACCTTCCTCCCTCCTGGGACCCCTACCTTTGCTTCTGACTTCCCTTGGAATCTTGAGGTCAGCAGTTGTAGTCTGTCTTCACCACCGTCCTGCCCCTTCCCTGTAGGTGCTCCAGTCCATGTGGGTCTGACTCTCCTGCCGTCTGAGAGGACAAGGGTCCTTCCATCACCAACCTCCACCTCCTGCACCTTCAGTTCTCCTCTTTTCATTGGCCCCTTCCCTTTGTTTCTTTTTAATTTTTTTTTTTTAGAGACAGGATCTAGCTCTGTTGCCAGGCTGGAGTGCAGTGGTGCGATCACAGCTCACTGCAGCCTGAACTCCTGGCCTCAAGTGATCCTCCTGTCTCAGACTCCCAAAGTGCTGAGATTACAGGCATGAGCCACCAAGCCCAGTCCCTGCCTGCTTTTTTTTTTTTTTTTTTTTGAGACGGAGTCTTGCTCCGTCACCCAGGCTGGAGTGCAGTGGTGTGATCTCGGCTCACTGCAACCTCCGCCTCCCAGATGCAAGCGATTCTCCCACCTCAGCCTCCCAAGCAACTGGGATTAGTGTCCACCACCACGCCCGGCTAATTTTTATATTTTTAGTAGAGATGAGGTTTCACCATGTTGGCCAGGCTGGTCTCAAACTCCTGGCCTCAAGTGATCAACCCTCCTCGGCCTCCGAAAGTGTTGGGATTACAGGCGTGAGCCACTGCGCCTGGCCCCTGCCTGGTTCTGAAGGCATCTGAACTGGCTTTCTCTGCCCAGTGGTAAAGTGAGGCATGGGAGGCCCTGGGCAGAGCAGGGGGTACCCAGGAAAGCAGGAAGGGAGATGAAGACCCAGAAAGCTGGGTGCAGGCTGCATCCTAGAAACCAGAGAGGAAGAGGTGGGCCACCCGATAGCAAGATCAGAATGGAAAGTCCATAGATGGGGACGGCTAGGAGATGACCAAGTGTGGGCCATGTTCTCTTTGTTGACTGAGGAAAGGCGGGGAATGGGGCGGCTGGTGGAGGAGGGAGAGGAGGTTATTTAAGGAGAGAGATGAAAGGAGAAAGCAAGAAGGTCGGGGGAGGGCAGCATGGCCTGGAGCTGGCAGAAGATTTACGGTCCAGAGGGCAGGTGGAGGCCATCTTCATGCCCTGTGTGGCATGGGAGGCCCTGGGTGACCCTGTAAAGGGGACACGAGATGTATGGGCTACTTGCCTACTGTCTGGGTTTCCAGGAGGGCTGGCCAGGGAGTGCCCTGAGGCTAGAGCCAGGCTTGGCCCTGGCGTTGCTGGTCACCCCTCTCCTTTCCACCTTCCCCGCTGCATGCTGAGTACACAGGTGTGGTCCCTGATTCCATCCACTGATCATAGGCACCTGCACAGCAGCGACCCTCATGTCTGTCTGCTTCCTTTTTTTTTTTTTTCTTTGAGACGGAGTCTTACTCTGTCGGCCAGGCTGGAGTGCAGTGGCGGGATCTTAGCTCACTGCAACCTCCGCCCCCCAGGTTCAAGTGATTCTGCTGCCTCAGCCTCCCAAGTAGCTGGAATTACAGGTGCCTGCCACCTCGCCTGGCTAATTTTTGTATCTTTAGTAGAGATGGTGTTTCACTATCATGGCCAGGCTGGTCTTGAACTCCTGACCTCCTGATCCACCCACCTCGGCCTCCCAAAGTGCTGAGATTACAGGCGTGAGCCATTGTGCCTGGCCTCTTCTTTTTTTGGAGACATCTCACTCTGTTACCCAGGCCGGAGTGCAGTGACATGATCATAGCTCATTGCAGCCTCAAACTCCCAGGCTTAAGTGATCCTCCTGCCTCAGACTCCTGAGTAACTGGGACCACAGGTGCATGCCACCATGCCTGGATATTTTTAAAAATTTTTGTAGAGATGAGGGTCTCGCTGTGTTTCCCAGGCTAGTCTGGAACTCTTCGGCTCAAGTGATCCTCCCACTTCGGCCTCCCAAAGTGCTGGGATTACAGGCATGAGCCACTGCACCCAGCCCGCTTCCTTATTTCCTTCAGGCCTTTGCTCAAGTATCACCTGGTGAGTGAGGCTTCTGTGAATACCTGGTTTAAAAATCACACATCCTTGGCCGGGCATAGCAGTACCTGCCTGTGGACCCAGCTTCTTGGGAGGCCGAGGTGGGAGGATTGCTTGAGCCCAGGATGTCAAGGCTGCAGTGAGCTATGATTACACCACTGGACTCCAGCCTGGGCAACAGAGCGAGACTCTCCTAAAAAAAAAAAAAAAGGCCGGGAGCAGTGGCTCACACCTGTAATCCCAGCACTTTGGGAGGCCAAAGTGGGTGAATCACCTGAGGTCAGGAATCCATGACCAGCCTGGCCAACATGGTGAAACCCTATCTCTACTAAAAATACAAAAAATTAGCCAGGTGTGGTGGCACATGCCTGTAATCCCAGCTACTCGGGAGGCTGAGGCAGGAGAATCTCTTGAACCTGGGTGGTGGAGGTTGCAGTGAGTCGAGATCACGCCACTGCACTCCAACCTGGGCGACAGAGCGAGACTCTATCTAAAAAAAAAAAAAAAAAAAAAAAATCCTGCATCTAACGCCGTAGCACTCGTCTCTGCCTGACGTTATTTGACTGCTGTTCTCTGCCACCTTCCACTCGATGCAAGCTTCTTGAAGGTGGGGACCTGGGTGCATTGCAGACTGAGTGGTGCCTGACCTTAGGGGCATGTGACTCATCTGTGTGCTGACTGACCAAGAGAATAAGTGGACCCTGGCATACAGAGGAGGACAGAGTGGGTACAGAGGAGGACAGAGTGGGTACAGAGGAGGACAGAGTGGCTGCAGAGGGGTGGTGACTGCCCCTGAGTGCCCATGTGGTCTTCATTCTTTGTGTCTGGGTCACAAAACATGTTGAAGAACAGGATTTGGTTCACAAACAGCATGAAGGATTTTCCCTCAGTCCAAGAGCAGGCCATGGATGAAAGGGCTTAAAGCAACTGTCTTGGTATAAAGATACCATGATAGGCTGGGTGTGGTGACTCCACGCCTGTAATTGCAGCACTTGGGGAAGCCCAGGCAGGAGGATTGTTTGAGCCCACCCTGGGCAACTGGGCAACACAGCAATACCCTGTCTCTACAAAAGAAAAAATCAGCCGTGCGTGATGGCATGTGCCAGAAGTCCTAGCTACTTGGGAGGCTGAGGCTGGAGGATCGCTTGAGCCTAGGAGGTTGAGGCTGCAGTGAGCTGTGATTGCACCACTGCACTCCAGCCTGTGGGACAGAGCGAGATCCTGTCTCTCTCCCAAAAAAAACCTAAAAGTGGTTGGGTGCAGTGGCTCATGCCTGTAATGCCAGCACTTTGGGAGGCCAAGGCAGGAGGATCGCTTTAACCCAGGAGTTTGAAACCAGCCTGGGCAACATAGTGAGACTCTGTCCCTATTTATAAATCAAAAACCAAAAGAATCTATCAGAACAGTTGTGATGGACAGCTTTGATTAGCTCCGACTCTGCCCTGGGTGCTCGGCCAAGCCCTTGAATCCTCAGACAGCAGCAGCGGCAATCCCTGGGTCGTGGCCACCCTGATGGTGCCCATGTTGGTCATCAGTAATCGAGTGATGTTGGCCTAGGAAAGTTAGCATCCCCCAGGTCAAGCGGGTGGGCGGTGTCAAGACGGGGAGTCCGTCGGTGTGGCATAGGCTGTGGCGCTAACCCCTGCTCTCTCCTGCCTCTCCTCTCCTAGGCATTTGCATCAAGTGTGGGCTTGGCATCTACGGAGCCCAGCAGGCGTGCCAGGCAATGGGGAGTCTTTATCACACTGACTGCTTCACCTGCGACTCGTGTGGTAGGTAACCTCGTGCCCTGGGTAGCTCTGTGAAGGGGACCTGCCACATCATCCCCATTCCCCTCAAACTGCCTTGCCCCTGAGTCCAGGCAGATGGACCACCTGGCTCTGGCCCAGGCTGGGCTGTGGAGGACTCTGTCTGGGGAGGAGGCATGGGGCCCCTGAGGAGCCTTTTGCTGGCTGTAGGACAGGGCTGCCCCCTGGTCGTCAGCTGTGGATCCTCTGTGCCACGCAGGGCACTAATGCGCTCATGTCACCCAGCTGCCTGGGAGCAGCGTCAGAAGCCCATGAAGGACCTTCTGCCTGTCTGGACATACGACTAATATTTCTTTTTCCTGCTATCTATTTTTGTTGTTGTTGTTGAGACAGAGTCTTAATCTGTTGCCCACGCTGGAGTGCAGTGGAATGATCTCGGCTCACTGCAGCCTCTGCCTCCCGGTTTCAAGAGATTCTCCTGCCTCAGCCTCCCAAGTAGCTGGGATTATAGGCACACGTGCCACCACGCTCGGCTAATTTTTTTTTTTTTTTTAGGTAGAGATGGGGTTTTACCATGTTGGCCAGGCTGGTCTCAAACTCTTGAGCTCAAGTGATCCGCCTGCCTCGGCCTCTCAAAGTGCTGGGAGTACAGGTGTGAGCCACTGCGCCTGGCCTACAATTTATTTTTGATCATAATTTTACACCCAACATAAACTATAAGTGTTATAGTTTAACCTAGACAAAGTTATAAAAAGAAAAAAGGAACTATAATCCAACCACCCTAATAAATATCCACTCTTGGTTTGCCCACTGTTCTTCCAGACCTTGCCTTAATCAGACATCTTTTATGTATTTGCACGTTTTTTAATTTTAATTTTATATTTTTTTTTTGAGACAGTCTCGCTCTATTGCCAGACTGGAGTGTAGTGGTGTGATCTCAGCTCACTGCAACCTCCGTCTCCCTGGTTCAAGCGATTCTTCTGCCTCAGCCTCCCGAGTAGCTGGGATTACAGGCACACGCCACCACTCCCAGCTAATTTTTGTATTTTTTTAGTGAGATGGGATTTCACCATGTGGCCAGGATGGTCTCGATCTCCTGACTTTGTGATCCGCCTGCCTTGGCCTCCCACAGTGCTGGGATTATAGGTGTGAGTCACCTTGCCCGGTAAAATACCCTAGAAACTTCTATCTTGTACCCCCACTTGTTTTTTGAGACAGAGTCTCGCTCTCCCCGAGGCTGGAGTGCAGTGGCGAGATCTCGGCTCACTGCCACCTCCGTGTCCCAGTTTCAAGTGATTCGCCTGCCTCAGCCTCCCGAGTAGCTGGGACTATAGGCGCGCAACACCACGCCCGGCTAATTTTTTGTATTTTTAGTAGAGATGTGGTTTCATAGTGTTAGTCAGGATGGTCTCGATCTCCTGACCTCGTGATCCATCTGCCTTGGCCTCCCAAAGTGCTGGGATTACAGGCGTGAGCCACCGCGCCTGGCCCTATCTTGCCCTTTTTCAGTTGATCCCTGTATGTCCCCCATCACATTTGCCCAACTGGTATTCTGATTTCTACCACTGTAGAAAAGTTTTGTCCATTCTAGAACTTAACATAAATGCATTCCTATAGTGCATACTCTTTAATGGCTGATCTTGTGTTCAATGTCTTTTTTTTTTTTTTTTTTTTTAAGAAGCAGGGTCTTATGTCTTCATCCAGGCTGAAGTGCAGTGGCCCAATCACGGCTCACTGCAGCCTTGACTTCCTGGGCCCAAGTGATCTTCCTGCCTCAGCCCCACAATGAGTAGTGGGACTACAGACACGTACCACCACGACTGGCTAATTTTTTTTTTTTTCCTAGAGACAGGGTCTTGCTATGTTGCCCAGGCTGGTCTTGAACTCCTGGGCTCAAGCGATGCTCCTGCCTCAGCCTCCCAGGAGGCTGGGAGGCTGAGGCAGGAGGATCACTTGAGCTTGGGAGGTTGAGGCTGCAGTGAGCCATGATTGTGCCATTGCACTCCAGCCTAGGTGACAGAGCGAGACCCTGTCTTAAAAAAAAAAATACCAGCCTGGCCAACATAGTGAAGCCCCATCTCTACTAAAAATACAAAAATTAGCCAGGCACCTGTAGTCCCAGCTACTTGGGAGGGTGAGGCAGGAGAATCGCTTGAACCCGGGAGTCAGAGGTTGCAGTGAGCCAAGATCACGCCACTGCACTCCAGCCTGGGCGACACAGTGATACTCTGTATCAAAAAAAAAAAAAAAAAAAGATTCATTCCCGAAAATTTGCTGTGAATTCAACTGATCTTCAAGTGAATGTGTTTATTAACCAACACATGTATTTACATGAGCAAAATATTTATTCATATATTTGTTTTGGCAACCTTTTTAAATAACTCTGTCGACAATGTGTTCTGTTTAATTTTTTTCTGAAATTTTGTTATTATAACAATAACAACATAATATTAAAGGGAAATTTAGAAAACCACCCATAACCCAGTGTCTCATCTGTTGGAGGAGGGTGCTGAGAGCTGGAAGCACGGCTCCATCCCTGGTCCCCAGCGTTCCAGGGACCCCTCTCAACCCTCACCCTTGCAGGGAGACGACTCCGTGGGAAGGCGTTCTACAACGTGGGTGAGAAAGTGTACTGCCAGGAGGACTTCCTGGTGAGTCCAAGCTGTGCCCTGGCAGTGCCAGGGGTGGGAGGTGGGGCAGGGACCCTCATTCTGACTCGAGTGGAGACCTGAGGCCAGGAGGCAGGTGCTAGCTGGGCCGCGAGTGCCCCTTTGTCACACAATGTCCTGGATCCTGTGTCCCCTCCCAGTACTCCGGGTTCCAGCAGACGGCCGACAAATGCAGCGTGTGTGGACATCTCATCATGGAAATGGTGAGCCCCTGCCCCAGCCTCCTGGAGCCCCTCTGACGTGGGTGGAGTCTGAGGACTCTACCGTCTCCCCTGCTCCAGACCTGCCAGGGGTTCAGGGCCAGAGCCTCTCCCAGGGCGGTGCTGAGCCTCCTGCCCGCGCTGACCCCTCAGTGTGCCCCGCCCACAGATCCTGCAGGCCCTGGGCAAGTCCTACCACCCAGGCTGCTTCCGGTGCTCCGTGTGCAATGAGTGCCTGGACGGGGTTCCCTTCACCGTGGACGTGGAGAACAACATCTACTGCGTGCGAGACTATCACACGTGAGTTGCTGGTGCTGTGGAGCAGGCGGGACTCGGGCCGTCCTCCCTGGCTCCTCTGGAAGCATTTTTTTCCTGCTGGACTGACTGCCCTTTGTTCTTGGCCTTTTGCCTTCCGCCTCCCCTTGTACACCTGGGCTTGGGGCAGGCATGTGTCTCTGCCTGCATCCCCTCTCCTGGTGGTCCGGCCACCAGCTGTCTTTTGCCTCTTCTCTCCCTATCGTGGCCTGCATGCTTCTCTACTCCTGGCACAGGGGACCCTCCTGGCTGCAGTACCCACCATCTTTCCCCCTCCTCCCCTCCATCCCCTGCCAGGCCAGGCCTCTTTCAGCTGGGGCAGGGGCTTGGGATCTCTGCAGCCCCCTTCTCCTGCCTGTCTGATCCCTGATCTGTTTCCTCCTACCGTGACTCCAGGTTTATTCCTGGGAGCTCTGGTTCTGAGCAGGGCCTTCCGTGGGATTGGAGTCCTGGGCAGAGGTCCCTGGTACTCAGGGTGAAGCCAGGTCTCACAGTGGTCCTAGCTAGTGGTGTCCCAGACCTGGACATTAAGAACTCACAGGAAACATGGGGGCAGATGGCAGAGCAGAACCTGAAGGCATCCTGGAGGAGGTGATTGGGTGGAGATGAAATGAGCAGTCAGATAAGAGGCCAGGGCCGGGCATGGTGGCTCATGCCTGTAATCCCAGCACTTTGGGAGGTCGAGGTGGGTGGATCGCTTGAACCCAGGAATTTGAGACCAGCCTGGGCAACATAGTGAGACCCCATTTCTATTAAAAAAAAAAAAAGAAGAGGCCAGTACAGGAAGGCATGGCAGAAGCTGTTCCCTGTCTGCCCCGAGGTGTGCACACAGGGAGAGAGGGCCTGATACTTGGGCTACGTCAGTGGGTTCCTGTGGGTGCCCCTGTGCTTGTGCCCTTGGCCTCTGGTCACTCAGCTGATCACTTCTGGTTTCCTTTATTTCTCTAGGGTTTTTGCACCAAAATGCGCCTCCTGTGCCCGTCCTATCCTCCCTGCACAGGTAGGAGCCACTCACCCAGAGATGATCAGGTGCCTGGCCCAGCCGGCTGCTGTCCTGTCTAGCCTGGGTCTAGCCCAGGTCTTGGGCGACAGTGGGAGGGATGAGCAGGTGCTTCTCCGCAGATCTTTCAGGGCTGAGGGATGTGTGTTGTGCTTGTGTACGTGGGGTACAGCTGTCCCCTGGCACAAGGTCGAGGGAAGTGGTGGCCCCTGCCGCTCAGCTGCCCCACTGCCAGCCTCTGCTCCATTCTCCATTGATGGAAGGGCCGTTCCCTGGGTCTTCTCAGCTCTGCAGGCTGAGGTGGGGGTGCTGGGGGAGCAGATGAGAGATGGACGTGGTCTGTGCGGGAGCCACCCATGGGTGCTACAGCTCTCCTGGCCTGGGGTCTTCCCACAGTGCTGGCTCTGTCCCAGGCTGGTGTGCCTGGCAAAGCAGAACTGGCAGTGCCCTTTTGAGACTCCAAGGAAGTGAAAACAGGCCGGGCACAGGGGCCCACGCCTGTAATCCCAGCACTTTGGGAGGCCAAGGTGGGATGATTGCTTGAAGCCAGGAGTTTGAGACCAGCCTGGGCCGCCTAGTGAGACCCCATTTCTACAAAAAAAATAAAAAATTAGCTGGGTGTGGTTGTGCATGCCTGTAGTCCCAGCTACTTGGGAGGCTAAGGCAGGAGGATTGCTTGAGCCCAGGAGTTTGAGGCCGCAGTGAGCTGTGATTGCACCACTGCACTCCAGCATGGGCAACAGAGAGAGACCCTGTCTCTTAAAAAAAAAAAGGATCAGTGAGGTGAAAATAATGTCCACATCCATTGACAAACACGTGACACTCTTGTGGGCCTTTGTGCGTACTGTGGGCTGTGATCGTGGAGGACGCCTAAGGCCCGCATGTGTCTGTGTGTGTGCACCTGCTGGAGCCTGTCCCGCCCCACAGAAGCAGCGTGGCAGTGCTCCCCGGGGCGGGCGTGCACCTCCGCCGGGACAGGAGCGTGGTGTGTGGGAGTGTACACTCACGCAGTTTGCCTCCAGTCCCCACATGCTCATCGTGTGTGAACTCCTTCTCTTCCTCCAGGGCTGCGAGACAACCATCCGTGTGGTGTCCATGGACAGAGACTACCACGTGGCATGTTACCACTGTGAGGTGAGCCTGGGCCCACAGGAGGCTGGCAGCTGGGGCAGGCCTCCTCCCACAGGGCTCTCCTCTCTGGGTGTTCTGTGGGCTTACCTTATCAAAATTTTAGTTTTGCCAGGCTCGGTGGTTCATGCCTGTAATCCCAGCACTTTGGGAGGCTGAGGAGGGTGGATCACCTGAGGTCAGGAGTTCGAGACCAGCCTGGCCAACATGGTGAAACCCCGTCTCTACTAAAAATACAAAAATTAGCCAGGCGTGGTGGCGGGCACCTGTAGTCCCAGCTACTCAGGAGGCTGAGGTAGGAGAATCGCTTGAACCTGGGAGGCAGAGGTTGCAGTGAGCCGAGATTGTGCCATTGCACTCCAGCCTGGGCAACAAGAGTGAGACTCTGTCTCAAAAAAAATTTTTTTTTAAAATTTTTATTTATTAGAGACAAGATCTCACTCTTGCTCAGACTGGAGTGCAGTGGCACGATTATAGCTCACTGGAGCCTCAACCTCCTGGCTCAAGCTATCTTCTTATCTCAACCTCCTGAGTAGCTATCACCACAGGCTCGCGCCGCCACATTCAGCTAATTTTGTTAATTTTAGTAGAGATGGGGTTTCATCATGTTACCCAGGCTGGTCTTGAACTCCTGGGCTCAAGCGATCCACCTGCCTTGGCCTCCCAAAGTGCTGGGACTGCAACGTGAGTCACCGCGCCAGCCTCACCTATTTTATGGCGTCTACCCCATTCTACCTGTCCTTTTCCTGCCCCGCAGAGAGTGCACTGGGGGAGGGAGTGAAGGCAGGTGCTCCCTGAGCAGCTGGAGGAGTCAGGGTTGGGGGCCTGGGTTCACAGAGGTGGGCTGAGTTGAGTGATGGTTAGGCCGTAGAAAGGACTGGATTTGGCAAGTGTCTGGATGTGGGGGGTTGGGGGTTGGGGGTTGGGAGGTGTTCATGAGAACCCCAGCAAAGAGTGAGGGCAGGGGGAAGAGGGGATGGGATGCTCTCATTTTTGGTAGCTGGAGATGTCCAGTAGACCTGTAAGTGGGCGGGGGTTCAGCGACCCTGCCGACAGCTGTGGGAATTTGGGGTCACTGGCGTGTGGCGCTCTCTTCTCTGAATCTTTTTTTTTGTTGAGATGAGTCTCACTCCGTTGCCCAGGCTGCAGTGCAGTGGCACTATCTCAGCTCACTGCAAGCTCCGCCTCCTGGGTTCAAGCAATTCTCCTGCCTCAGCCTCCTGAGTAGCTGGGACTACAGGCACCCACCACCACACCCGGCTAGTTTTTGTGTTTTTAGTAGTGACAGGGTTTCACCATGTTGGCTGGGCTGGTCTCAAACTCCTGACTTCAAGTGATCCACCCGCCTTGGCCTCCCAAAGTGCTAGGATTACAGGCTTGAGCCACCACACCAGGCCTTCTTTTCTGAATCTTGGCCCTGGGAATTCCAGTTGCCTTGGCCTCCCCAGATTCTCAACTCAAGGAGACCACGGGGCTCCCCTGGGCAGCTGGAGCAGTCTCCAGGCAGTCAGTCGGGTGTTGTGGGGTACACTTCTCAGATTTCCCCTCTCTGAGAGATGATGGGCCTCCCTGGTCTGTTGTCCGGGGTCTGAGAGTCACTGTCATCTGTTTAGCCTGTTGCTCTCGTTGTTAAAGGTGGGAGGGGAAATCCAATTTCTCTTCCTCCGTTCTGGCGGGAAGCAAGGGTCCCATGATGGACACAGGGACGGCAGCTGAAGCCAGGGAGCAAGTGAGGTCTTCCAGGATGAGTTGGAAAAGAAGGAGTGGGGGTCAGGATAGCTCAGGGAGCACTGTCATTTAAGGACACACACAGGCGAAGTGGCCACAAAGGGAGACTGAGGAGGCCTGGGCAGGAGAACCAGGAGGCTGCCGGCGACCGCGCCCCAGCAAGAGCAGAGCAAGTGGCGGTGGGGAATCTGCAGTAGCAATCAGGGATCCCTTGGGTGACAAGGTCTCCTGGGTGCAGGCGAGTGGCCCCATGGGAGCACCGATTGTGTCAGGGTACCCAGGAGGGAGGACAAGGAGCAGGGATGGTCTGCAGAGGGGCCAGGGCTCCCCTCCAGCCCTAACAGGACCTCCGCGTCCCTCCACTTGCTGGGCCGTCCTGTGGACTGTGCGGTCCCCTGCAGATTGTCCAGTACCGAGGGCAGCAAAAGGTTGACGCTGAGAGTGAGAGCGGGGCAGGCGGCTGGTGGTGGTGCTGTGCTGCCGCGAGGCTGTTGGATGGGGACTGATACCTCCGGGACCCCGCACTCCTCCCTGGCCTGGTGTGCAGCGGTCGGTAGCAGGGCCCAGCCAGTGGCCTGTGGTGGGACAGACAGGAGACCAGGGAAAGGAGTGATGTGGTGTCACTGCAGCAGCCCAGCTCCCTTCCCTGCGCAGGGCGGGCCAGGTGTTGGTGTCAGGGGCTCTGGGTAACGGGTCAAAGCCGCCAGCATTCCAGCCCCGAGCCCGCAACGGTAAAAACTGCGAGATAGGGTACTTGAAGCCCGCCCCCTGCTTCCCAGGTCCTCTCACCATTGCCTCTTCAGACCACCCGGGGGTGGCATTCATCCCTTCACCCTGCTCCAGGGACCCCTGTGTGGTGGGAACTGGTGGACACTTCCTTCCGGGCCCCCCAGCAGCTTGGAGCACAGGGCCGCTCCCTCCTCCACCCACTTGCTTCACTTTGCCCTCGGGGCTGCCAGGTTGTGGTTGTCTTCACTTTCGTTTCTCCTTGAGTCTCTTCTGCCCAGGCCTGTTCTCTTCCCACCTCCTCATGGAAGGTTCTGCTGTTTGCCGTCTTCTCTTTTCTAGTGATCTGCACCCCCTGGAAGAGGTGGTCTCCTGTTTTGTCTTTAAAAACCATCACGTGACCGGGCGCGGTGGCTCACGCCTGTAATCCCAGCACTTTGGGAGGCCGAGGCGGGCGGATCACGAGGTCAGGAGATCGAGACCATCCTGGCTAACACGGTGAAACCCCGTCTCTGCTAAAGATACAAAAAATTAGCTGGGCGTGGTGGCGGGCGCCTGTAGTCCCAGCTACTCGGGAGGCTGAGGCAGGAGAATGGCGTGAACCCGGGAGGCGGAGCTTGCAGTGAGCTGAGATCATGCCACTGCACTCCAGTCTGGGCGAGACTCTGTCTCAAAAAAAACAAAAACAAAAAACCCCATCACGTTTGGCTGGGTGCGGTGGCTCACGCCTACAATCCCAGCACTTTGGGAGGCCGAGGTGGGAGGATGGTTGTGAAGCCAGGGGTTCAAGATCAGCCTGATCAGCATAGCAAGACGCCATGTCTACAAAATACAAGGGGAAAAAAATTAGCCGGGCATGGTGGCACATGTCTGTAGTCCCAGCTGCTTGGGAGGCTGAGGTGGGAGGACTGCTTGAGCCCAGGAGTTTGAGGCTGCAGTGAGCTGAGATCGCACCACTGCATTCCAGCCTGGGCGACAGAGTGAGACCCTGTCTAATAAACAAAAAACAGGCCAGGCACGGTGGCTCATGCCTGTAATCCCAGCATTTTGGGAGGCCGAGGTGAAGGATCACTTGAGGTCAGGAGTTCTAGACCAGCCTGAGCAACATGAAACCCCATCACTACAAAAAATAAACAAAATTCACAGGGCGTGGCAGGGTGCGCCAGTGGTCCCAGCTACTCAGGAGGCTGAGGTGGGAGGATCACTTGAGCCCTGGAGGTCGAGGCTGCAGTGAACTGGGATCC
Organism: Homo sapiens; assembly: GCF_000001405.40. Classification (NCBI taxonomy): domain Eukaryota; kingdom Metazoa; phylum Chordata; class Mammalia; order Primates; family Hominidae; genus Homo; species Homo sapiens. The sequence continues at coordinate 34,499,464 of NC_000019.10, forward strand.
AGACACTGCATTCCAGCCTGGGTGACAGTGAGAGACCCTGTCTCAAACAACAACAAACGAATAAACAAAAAACACCCAAACCATCAGGTTTTTATGCTGACACCCATGTTGACTGCTCAGCCCTCTCCCCGCAGTCTGACTTATATCCAGTGACTTCCTCTTGGATACCTGAGAGGCAGCTCCAGTCTCCAGTGCTCCACGCCGGGCTTCCCATACCCCCTCTGGCAGAGGAAGAGTCTTTTTTTTTTTTTTTGAGATGGAGTTTCGCTGTTGTCACCCAGGCTGGAATGCAATGGCAGGCTCTCTGCTCTCTGCAACCTCTGCCTCCCGGGTTTAAGTGATTCTCCAGTCTCAGCCTCCCAAGGAGCTGGGATTACAGGCATGTGCCACTATGCCCGGCTAATTTTGTATTTTTAGTAGAGACAGGGTTTCACCATGTTGGCTGGGCTGGTCTCGAACTCCTGACCGAAGCGATGATCCAGCCGCCTCAGCCTCCCAAAGTGCTGGGATTACAGGTGTGAGCCCCTGCGCCCGGCGGAAGAGTCTTCATGTTGTTTTGCGGCACCCTGCAGATCTGCCCCTCCCCTCCGTCCCTCCCCCGTCCCGTGACCTCTGATGTGCGCTTGTCTGCTGACTCTGGGGCTGGGGGCTGTGTTCTTCCCTAGGACTGCGGGCTGCAGCTGAGCGGGGAGGAGGGACGCCGTTGCTATCCCCTGGCGGGCCACCTACTGTGTCGTCGTTGCCACCTGCGGCGCCTCCAACCTGGGCCTCTTCCCTCACCCACTGTGCACGTCACTGAGCTCTGAGCAGGGGAAAACCCGTCCCTGGGCCGGGGTGGGTGTGGGTGTGGAGGGAGGGCCCGCGTGGGTGGCCCTGGTCAGCGTCAGGGGAGCTCCCTCCAATCAGTTTCCCACCGAGCTGCTGTCTGCAGGGGCCGGACCCCCGCGTGGAAGCTTCTATTTATTCACCGTCTGTGCCTGCTCAAGTCACTTCCCTGCGGGCCCTGCCTCCCACCCACCCCATCACCAGCTTTCCACTTGGAGGCCCCCTGTGCCCTGCAGCCTCAGGGTAGGCCGTGGGTCACCAGGCTGGAGAGGGCCCCTGCCTTGGCCAGGGGTGCGAGGTGACCCGGCTGCATTGCTGGGTGGGAGCTGCTGTCTGTTGTTCAGGGGCCTGGCCCCCGCCCTCCCCCCCGACCCCGACCTCGCAAAGCGCACTCCCGGGCAGGGTGTGGTCTGGAAGGCGGGGCTGGCGGGGACATGGGTGTTCCTGCATCTCCTAGCGCAGTTCCTGCTGGTGGGTGGAAGGGTGCCTGGTTTAGGCGGGGTCCCAGGAGGGGGTGAGGGGTGACACCCTTGGGGAGGGGGCCTGCAAAGGGCACTGCCTGTGGCCACGTGGTGTCTGTGGGAATTGGTCCTGGGGACTTTGATGGGTGTTTGCGGCCCCAGTTGCCGCCCTGCTCCCTCTTCCAGGGCTCCTGGCTTGGGCCCCCCGACCCCCCTGCTCAGCTCGGGAAAATCCCCGTGCGGCTCCAGCCCCGGGTCACGCTCAGGAGCGATGAGAGGGGCGCCCTGGCCACGCTTCAGGAAAGCCTGTGTCTGCGCGCGGGGCAAGGGGCTCCACGACAAAAGGACAAGATTTGACTTAAATTAAGTTTTTCCCTTGAGGATATTTTCATTTTCTTTAAAAGAATATAATTTTCTTCTAAGATCTTGGACCAGCCTTGTTATTTTTAAAGCAAATGCCGGCAAACTCACAAGTGTCTAGTTTGTCTGTTACGGAGCTGGTTTTCAGGTGGTAAGAACCTTGTGGTTTCAGGACTTTTGTCCTGAAATTCCTCTAAAACTTCGCCACGCGTGTCCACCTTTCAGACTTTAGGGTAGTGTGGGGTTCCGTGTGTGTCCGGGTGTTAAGGGCGGTCGCCCCATGAAATGCAGTGTGGAGGTCCCTCCGTGCTCCCCGGGACACACTGACGGGAATGTGGGGTCTGGACATGGGAGGCCCTGGTCCTGATGCGGAATCCCCAGGGGTTCAGGGGACATCTGGACTGAAGTCACTCGCCCCTGGGAGAGCCTGGACCCACCTCTTGGCTGCTGCTCTCCCCTTCCTCCCCCACCGTCAGGTGTGAGTTCTGTGAATCACTCGCGGGGCTGGGCTAGGCTCCGGGAACCAGCAGGGCTGTCCAGGCCGAGCCCAAGGGAACAAACACCAGGAGGCGCCCGCAGGGAAGTGGCGGCTTCGGAGTCCAGCAGGGCCGAGGCATGGCGCGGGCGCCACCTGGTGGGCTGAGCCGGCAAGTACAGGGGTGGTCAGGGAGCCTTAGCCAGGGACTTACACAGCGTGGAGAGCGCTGCATCTTAGAGTGGGGCCTTCAGCAGGACCAGGGGCCACTTCTTGGAGGAGGTGATCCCACTGGGGCCAGAGAGTAAAGTCCAGGCGTGGAGGCTCCGGTGCTGGCTCTCTCCTGCTAGCTGAGCTGCTTTTTCTTTTCTTTTCTTTTTTTTTTTTTGAGACGGAGTGTCATTGTGTCACCCAGGCTGGAGTGCAGTGGCACAATCTTGGCTCACTGCAGCCTCCGCCTCCCGGGTTCAAGCAATTCTCCTGCTTTAGTCTCCCGAGTAGCTGGGACTACAGGCGCACGCCACCACGCCCGGCTAATTTTGTATTTTTAGTAGAGATGGGGTTTCACCATGTTGGTCAGGCTGGTCTCCAACTGCTGACCTCAGGGGCGATCCACCCACCTCAGCCTCCCAAAGTGCTGGGATTACAGGTGTGTACCACTGTGCCCGGCTTTTTTTTTTTTTTTTTTTGAGACAGGGTCTCGTTCTGTCGCCCAGGCTGGAGTGCGTTGGCACAATCTGGGCCTACTGCAACCTCTGCCTCCAGGGTTCAAGTAATTCTCATGCCTCAGCCTCCCCAGTAGCTGAGACTACAGGTGTGCCCCATGACGCCCAGCTATTTTTTTTTTTTTTTTTTTTAAAGACAGAGTCTAGCTCTGTCGCCCAGGCTGGAGTGCAGTGGCGTGATCTGGGCTGACTGCAACCTCTGCCTCCCACGTTCAAGCATTCTGCCTCAGCCTTCCAAGTGCTGGGATTACAAGTGTGCGCCACCAGGCCTGGCTAATTTTTGTATTTTTAGTAGAGTCGGGGTTTCACCATGTTGGCCAGACTGGTCTGGAACTCCTGGCCTCAAGCGATCCATCCGCCTTGACCTTCCAAAGTTCTGGGATTACAGGCGTGAGCCACTGTGCCTGGCCTTACTTTTTGTATTTTTAGTTGAGAGGGGGTTTCAGCATGTTGGCCAGGTTGGTGTCAAACTCCTGACCTCAAGCGAGCCCACCTTGGCCTCCCAGAGTGTTGGGATTACAGGCTTGAGCCACCGTGCCTGGCCTGGGCTCCTTTGCCTTCTAACTGGTCAGTTGCAAAGCTGTCCTCTGAACTGTCCTCTCTGCTTCCTCCCTCAAACCTGCTTTGAGCCGGGTTTCTCCTTGTTGCCAACCCGGTCCTTCTCCTCCCCTTCCTTTGCATGTGCCATGGTGGGCCCTGTGCTTATATCCATGGGGTTGCTTCACTGAACCCTGCTCCATCCCGGTCACCATGCACGCTCCTGCCAGCTGGCCTGAGTCATCACAGCTTGGAGTCCCCCCAACCCCACCCAAGTAACACACTTTGTCAAAGGTCGCAGTCAAGGGACTGCATAGGCCCTTGGGGCAGTGGCCTCACCAGGCCACACTCTGCCCTTTCTTTCTGGGCCCCTGGGCCCCGCATTGCCTTCTGTCAGGGCTGGTGGCCACTGCTCCACCTCCTCCCCCGGAGCTGTGCATGGCAGTTCCCTCCGTGGGAGCCACTCTCCCGGGGTTTCTTCCTCTATGAAGAAACCTTGGCCTCTATGAAGTCAGGCCCCAGTTGTGACACCTCACTTGACACCCAGAAGTCTTGGCCTCTGCTCTCCAAGCTCATTTGCCAACAGCAGTATCTCCATTTCATGCCCAGGGGTGACACTGACCCCATGATTATAGAGATGGAGGATGCTGTGTGAGAACTGGGCTGAGCCATGCCAGTGGCCTGTGACCCTCCAGCCCTGGATGCCACCCCCCACCTGCCCAAGGGGACCCCCACTGATGTGGTCTCTGCTGACACCTGTGCCTGTGCCTGGGGTCCCTGTCATCCTTCCCTGGTCTGAGTGGCAAGTCTCCTGCCATCCCTGTCCCCGCTATGCGGTGAGCTCTTCAGCTTGGGCCCGCCTGGTGGCTCACGCTACTCTCCACCGTGCCTGGATTAGGGCGAGTGCTGAGGCTGGAGCTGACCCTGCCCTGGCCTTCAGGGTCTTGGCTTAGTTCCACCTGCACTGGTCCAAGTCCAGCCTGGTTGCCTAGTGAAGGATCCACAGTGGGTACATAAAGGGCCAAGCGCTGTCCACGTGGACACATCCTATGTGGGCGTGAGTGCTCCCTGCAATCCCCAGACAAGCCTGCCTCTCAGCGGGGCTCAGCTCAGAGACATAGACCCTGGAGGGCTGAGTCTGCCTGTGTGCGTGTGTGTGTGCATGTGTGTGTGTGTGAGAGAGAGACAGGGATGGGGGGAGAGTGTGTGTATCAATGAGAGAGACGGAGAAAGTCGTGTGTGAAAGGGATTGAATATTTCAGAAAATGAATGAGAGAGATTGGGAGAGATGGTGGGAGGTGGAGTGGGAGAGAGACCTGTTGTTTAAGAGGGAGACTGAGTGACTCCGAGAATGAGGGGGAAAGATACGGAGACAGGATAAGCTGCAGAGAGAGAGGGAGAGAGGGATTGAACTGGAGCGAGACCAACAGAGCCCTGACGCTGGGATTTGGGAGGATTTGGTGGGTTCTCAGTGACCCCACTGAGGCCTGACCCACCAGTGGAAAAGGCTCACCTCCTGTAAGTGACCACACTGTGGGGTGTAATTGTGTGTTTGTTTGTGTGTGTGTGTGTGTGTCTGTGTGTGTGTTGGCGTCGCCCTGATGGCCTCTTGGAGGGTCCTGGGGTGGGTGGGTCTTGGGCATGGGGTGCCCTCTGCCCTCATTCTTTCTTCATCCGGGCTCCCTGCCCCTGTTGGGGTGGGAAGCACAGATGTCAGCTTGCTGAGCTGCAGGTACCATGACAATCCCAAGTGGAACTGCTCTTGGGGGGCTGTGTGGGGAGGGGCCACTGGGCAGGATTTATGAGACCTGGGCAGAGGTGTGGGGAGCAGTGTGGGCCAGAGGGTGACTGGGGGTTGGGGTGAGTTGGGTAGGGTGCAGCTGTGCTCATCCCTCCCACCCAGCCCCACCCTGAGGCTGGTCTCTAGCTCGTGAGCAGAGGCCGAGAGAAGGCCCTTCCCCATCACGGGGTCCTGTCTCGTCCGGTCTGGCAGCCCTCATCTGGCCAGGAGGCCAGCAAGGACTTCCGGTGCCACACTCGGGAGGGGTGAGGGCTTTGCTGGCTGCAGGGTTAGGAGTAGGCGCAGCCTGTGGGGCCCAGGAGAACCTTGGGGTGGGGATCAAGAACAGGTCTGGGAGAGGGGGGAGCATCAGGGCCACCTGCAGCCTCCACCCAGCCCAGCTCTGGAGGCTTTGCCCCCACCCCGCCCCCATGGTAGGCGTGTTCCCTAGAGGCTGGTGGGGACCTGGGAGAGGGGCATGTGCACACATTTCATGGGGATGATGGGGGACTCTGGGAGCCAGCCTGGGTGGGGGCTCAGAGGTGGGAGGGGCCCTGAGGCCTGAGGTGGTGGAAGGAGCTCACCTATCTCAGGCCCAGGCCCTTGCCAGGTTCCTAGTCCCTGGCCGGATACCCCAGGGTGGCCTGGGATCCTGGAGAGTGCTCAGGAAACTCAGGAGGAGTGTGGACGCGGCTCCTCTCCTTCCACCCACTTCCCTGGCCCTGAGGGCATTGCTGGGCCACCATCCCAGACCTGGGGCATGTGTCACAGGGCTGCCAGGAGGGCATAGGGCCCAAGGATTCCCCAGGGATGCCAGCCCCCCTGTGGGCCCTCAGGACTGGTAGCCCTGGGCCCCCTGGCGCTTTGTAGGGAGGTGCTCAGCAGTGATGGTTGTGTGCCTGTCACACCCACCCACCTGTGCCTCCCCCCACCTGCCACGCCCATTGTCCTACACCCAGCGCACACTCCTCTCCACGCTGCGCACGTGAACCCGCCCGGGTCACACACCTGCCCTGCCATGGTGACAGGACTGTGTGGGATCTCTGCCTCCCTGCCTGAAGTTCCTGCCATTGGGACCTGTCACAGGCACACAGGACACAGCTGGCTCACCCTCTTCTCTGACAGCACCTGGGCCATCCCTGATAGTGATCAGCCCTGCTGAGGAAGGGTTAGGGTGGGCTGCAGGCTGGAGGCCAGGGAGAGGCCCTGGACCGGGCCTGGCATTTACTCACCCTCCTCCCATCCCACACTGTCCCGGAGCCTCCATCTCCACCTGAGCCAGCTGGGTTGATGCGGATTTCCAGGCATCCTCAGCGGGACCCATGGCCTGGGGTCACCACCTTCCTGAGCTGCGTGGATCTCAGCCAGGACTTCTCGTCCCTGAGAACAGATTGGGGCTGGGAGTCCCAGCCCGTCCCTGGACCAGCCCTGCCATCAGCTTGCCCAGCCTAGTTCCCTTTCTCTTCTGCGCTCTGAATGTGCACTCCGCGTGTTCAGATGCTCATGGTTTCTGATGAGAAGTTGGCTGTGTCTCTCACGGAGCCTCTCTCGGAGGTGATGAGTGACTTTTCTCTTGCTGCCGTCAAGATTCCTGGCTGTGGATTGGATGGATGGGAAGCTCTGTCCCTGAACAGCCCTTGTGACTATGGGGCTGTCCTTCCACAGTGTGCACTGAGGGTGCAGGCCAAACCTTTTAAAGAATAAACAGAAAGAAATCGGCTCTTTCACTTCTTGCAAGTTGGTGAAAACAGACTCTTCCAGGGAATTTTAACTTTTTATCATCCTATTTACTCTGGAAAGCCTTGTCTCGTGTTTTAGAGCTTGTAGGGTTTAATAAAACTAGTTAACAGCCAGGCACGGTGGTTCACGCCTGTAATCCCAGCACTTTGGGAGGCCGTGGCGGATAGGTCACTTGAGGTCAGGAGTTCGAGACAATCCTGGCCAACATGGCGAAACCCCGTCTCTACTAAAATTACAAAAACTAGCCAGGTGTGGTGGTGGGCACCTGTAGTCCCAGCTACTGGGGAGGAGGCTGAGGCACGAGAATCGCTTGAACTGGGGAGACTGAGGTTGCAGTGAGCCGAGTTCACACCACTGCACTCCAGCCTGGGTGACAGAGCTAGACGCTATCTCAAAAATAAATAAATAAATAAATAAATAAATAAATAAATGAATATAAATAAAACTGGTTAAAAATTGAGTCTCCCTGAAGTAGGTGCTCTTTCCCGTGAAAACTACTTTTTTGGTTTGGTTTGAAGGTAAGAAAGAGCGGGAGAAACTTTGCTCTTTTCATTTAATAATTGTGTTCAGCCTGGCCGGGCGCGGTGGCTCACGCCTGTAATCCCAGCACTTTGGGAGGCCGAGGTGGGCGGATCACCTGAGGTCGGGAGTTTGAGACCAACCTGACCAATATGGAGAAACCCTGTCTCTACTAAAAATACAAAATTTTTAGCCGGGCATGGTGGCGCATGCCTGTAATCCCAGCTACTCGGGAGGCTGAGGCAGAAGAAGCGCTTGAACCCGGGAGGCGGAGGTTGCAGTCAGCCGAGATCGTGCCATTGCACTCCAGCCTGGGCAACAAGAGTGAACTCCGTCTCAAAAAAAAAAAAAAAAAAAAAAATTGTATTCGGCCTATGATGAAATATTTTATTATTAGATAGCAGTGTCACTAATAAGTTTTAAGTTGTCCAGAGTTAATTGTGAATATCAGAACAGGATTCTTATAACAAAAGCAGTTGTCTTAAGATGAATGGCTCATATTTGGGTGCAGTATTTGATGCCCAAAAGAACAAACATAAACCAAAAAAAAAAAAAAAAAAATTCCAGACTGTCCCCTTTGGATGCCAGTTGAATCTGTGTCTTGTGCCCCCTGAGGGTCTGCCCGGTCACATCCCCTTGTCTTCTCTAGGGTTCACGGGGATCCTTCTCATCCTCTTCTAGGTACCAGGTTCCATTAGTTTTGTCTGTCAGTCTTGTCACCAGGGAGCTGGAGACCTGGAGGGGAGCCCTGATGTCTGGGACAGTGCTTGTCAGTGGATGGGCTTTTGCATAGGGGGATGGGGTAGGGAGTGAGTCATTGCATTATAGACTTGGACTAGGTGGATGCTATTTTTCATGGTGGTGGTGATGGGAGAAGCTGTTGGGTTATTTCACAGAGGAAGCCCGAGCTCCCTGCTGAAGATGATAAATGATGCACAGATTTCAATCCATCCTACGGCTTCAGCCTCCAGTCCTGGTCCCACACATCTCCTGGAGCAGAGCCTGATTCCCAGCCTCTGTAGCTGGTTGAGGAGCAAATAGGTTTCCCTGTCCTGACTCCACCTTGGAGCACCTTCCCTTGAGACCCACCAGGCTCTCTTTCAGTCACAGCATCTTCCTCCTGCTCCATGTGGTTGAAATCTCAGGTCCTCTAAGGATCCCTCCTCATTCTCTGTTAGTGTGAGGTGGGACTTTTTTTTTTGTTTTGAGATGGAGTCTTGCTCTGTCGCCCAGGCTGGAGTTCAGTGGCAGGATTTCAGCTCAGTACAGCCTCGGCCTCCCGGGTTCAAGTGACTCTCCGGCCTCAGCCTCCCAAGTAGCTGGGATTACAGGCACCTGCCATCACTCCCAGCTAATTTTTTATATTTTTAGTGAATACAGGGTTTCATCATGTTGGCCAGGCTGGTCTCTAACTCCTGACCTTAAGTGATCTACCCGCCTCAGCCTCCTAAAGTGCTAGGATTATAGGTGTGAGCCACTGCACCTGGCCTGTGAGGTGGGAAGTTTCAATACTCCCTTAGCCTTGGTTTGGTCACCAGAAGGAGGGGACATGAGTGAAGGTCCCAGTCCACCCTATGCAAGCAGAAGCCTCTTTGGTTTTAGTTTTAAAGGTGCATTGACCCATGTACCTTTGCATGGACATGTTCTTATTTGGGGTTACCTTTGTGTTGACTTTGTGTGGCCAGGACCCTGGAGATGAGGCCAGGATGGCCGACTCCAACCCCTTAGCTGCTTCCTTGCCCTGTATGGAGCAGCTCAGCCTGGGATGCAGGAGCAGCTGTGTCCCTCCGCTCCCGCCAGGCCTCTCCCCCTGCCTTCTGGGACTGGAAGTTCCTAGGAGTCCGGAAGTGCTGAGCTGCAGGAGGCTTCTCATGGCCCCAGGACACACCCATCACCCCATCTATATTGAGATGTTATCTAGAGAGACGCCTGTAGTAAAATCCGCTCTGTGACGGTGGTGTATAAACATTTTCTGTGCAAGGACCTTGCCCTCCTTTTCAAAAAAGTAAGTATGACTCCCACATGAAAATTTTCTTCTACAACACGACATACGTTCATTGTGGTACATTTAGGAAATTTAAATGATTTATTTCTTATAAAACATCATCTGTTTTTCTACTGGACCTGGCTTTTATAAATCATGCGGTGATAAATAATATGGCAGTTAGAGCTGGGTGCACTTGGCTCCTGCCTGTGGTCCCAGCTGGCTGGGAGGCAGAGGCAGGAGGATTGCTTGAGGCCAGGATTCCAGGCTGCAGGGAGCTATGACTGCCAGTGCACTCCAGCCAGGGTAACACAGCGAGACCCTGTGTTAGCCTGTTTTCACGCTGCTGATAAAGACATCCCCAAGACTGGGAAGAAAAAGAGGTTTAATTGGATTTACAGTTCCACATGGCTGGGGAGGCCTCAGCCTCCCACATGGCTGGGGAGGCCTCCCACCAAAAGGCACTTTCATGGTGGCGGCAAGAGAAAAATGACAGAGATGCAAAAGCAGAAACCCCCGATAAAACCATCAGATCTTGTGAGACTTATTCACTACCATGAGAACAGTGTGGGGGAAACTGCCCCCATGATTCAGATTCTCTCCCACTGGGTCCCTCCCACAAAATGTGGGAATTAAGGGAGTACAGTTCAAGATGAGATTTGGGTGGAGACACAGAGCCAAACGATATCATTCTGCCCCTGGCCCCTTCAAATCTCATGTCCTCACATTTCAAAACCAATCATGACTTCCCAACAGTCCCCCAAATTCTTAACTCATTTCAGCATTAACCCAAATCCAGAGTCCAAAGTCTAATCTGAGACAAGGCAAGGCCCTTCCACCTATGAGCCTGTAAAATCAAAAGCAAGTTAGTTACTTCCTAGATACAATGGGGGTACAGGTATTGGGTGAATACGGCCATTCCAAATGGGAGAAATTGGCCAAAACAAAGGGGTTACAGGACCCATGCAAGTCCAAAATCCAGCGGGGCAGTCAAATTTTGAAGCTCCAAAGTGATTTCCTTTGACTCCATGTCTCATATCCAAGTCACAGTGATGCAAGAGGTGTGTTCCCATAGTCGTAGGCAGCTCCACCCCTGTGGCTTTGCAGGGCATAGCTCCCCTGCTGGCTTCTTTCATGGGCTGGCATTGAGTGTCTGCGGCTTTTCCAGGCACCTTGTACAAGCTGTCAGTGTATCTACCATTCTGATGTTTGGAGGATGGTGGCCTTCTTCTTACAGCTCTACTAGGCAGTACCCCAGTAGGGATACTGTGTTTGGGCTCTGACCCCACATTTCCCTTCTGCACTGCCCTAGCAGAGGTTCTCCAAGAGGGCCCCTCCCCTGCAGCAAACTTTTGCCTGGGCATCCAGGCATTTTCATACATCTTCTGAAATCTAGATGGAGGTTCCCAAACCTCAATTCTTGACTTCTGTACACCCGCAGGCTCAACACCACATGGTAGCTGCCAAGGTTGGGGTTTGCACTCTCTGAAACCATGGGCTGAGCTGTACCTTGGCCCCTTTTAGCAATGGCTGGAGTGGCTGGGACACAAGGCAGCAAGTCCTAGGCTGCACACAACATGGGGACTTTGGGTCCAGCCCACAAAACCATTTTTTGCTCCTAGGCTTCTGGGTCTGTGATGGGAAGACCAATGACATGCCCTGGAGACATTTTCCCCATTGTCTTGGGGTTAAACATTCCCCTCCTTGTTACTTATGCAAATTTCTGCAGCCAGCTTGAATTTCTTCTAAAAAAATGGGTGTTTCTTTACTGCATCGTCAGGCTGCAAATTTTCCAATTTTTTATGCTCTGTTTCCCTTTTAAAATGGAATGTTTTTAAACCCAAGTCACCTCTTGAACGCTTTTCTGCTTAGAAATTTCTTCTGCCAGATACCCTAAATTATCTCTCTCAAGTTCAAAGTTCCACAAATCTCTAGGGCAGGGGCAAAATGCCGCCAATCTCTTTGCTTAAACATAACAAGAATCACCTTTGCTCCAGTTCCCAACAAGTTCCTCATCTCCATCTGAGACCACATCAGCCTGGACCTTAGTATTCATATCACTATCAGCATTTTTATCAAATATTAAACAAATTTCTAGGAGGTTCCAAACTTTCCCACATTTTCCTATATTCTTCTGAGCCCTCCAAACTGTTCCAACCTCTGCCTGTTACCCAGTTCCAAAGTTGCTTCCACATTTTCGGGTATGTTTTCAGCAACACCCCACTCCCAGTACCAATTTACTGTATTAGTTTGTTTTCATGCTGCTGATAAAGACATACCTGTGACTGGGAAGAAAAAGAGGTTTAATGGGACTTGTAGCTCCACATGGCTGGGAGGCCTCAGAATCATGGCCTGAGGCAAAAGTTATGTGGTAGCGGCAAGAGAAAATGAAGGGTGCAAAAGCGGAAACCCTCGATAAAACCATGAGATCTCGTGAGACATATTCACTACCATGAGAACAATATGGGGGAAACTGCCCCCATGATTCAAAATATTTCCCATTGGGTCCCTCCCACAACACGTGAGAATTATGGGAGTACAATTCAAGATGAGATTTCGGTGGGGACACAGAGCCAAACCGTATCAGACCCCGTCTCTACAAAAACAAAAACAAAATAAAAAAAAGTAGCTACGTGTTTGGGCCTGGCTTTCATTATTTACCAAGGATCAAGACCTGAACATGAAAATGGCAGGCCAAGGGTTCCTGCCTTTGGATGCACATGGCCACCTTGCCCACTAGAACATCTGTGCCAAGCAGTGTTCCCATCAATCATAGGAAAATACCATTTCCCGCATCCTTACCAACCCTAGGTATTGCCAATAAGAAAACAAAGTCTGTATCAATTTGATGAAAATAATTTGAATGTGTGCATTTGATGAGCTGTGAGAATGAGAATCTTTTGCATGCATTGGCCATGGGCTTCCCTTTTGTGAGTTGCCTGTGAATGTCCTTTTCCCAGTTTACTAGTTTGGGATTGAATATTCTTACACATTTATTTGGTGAAGAACTTTTATTTCAAATTATGAAAGAAAAAAATACTTGCTAGAATTCTGATTTGAAGTGCTTTCAAATTCTGTGTTAATTTGGAGCTGACACCCTTTAATATTGAGTCCTGGCTTTGAGGGTCTGGTGCGTTTCCTCCATTCACTGAAGTTTTATTTTACATCTCTCAGTAAAGCTTTATGGATTAGGGTCTTCAGAAGCCTTACTTGTTTTTCTGGCTCTATTTTCTTGTCCAGAAACTCCACCACTGTGCTAAAGAGACAGTGGTGGAGGTGCTGGGCGTGCTGCTTTTCTCCTGGCTCTAATGGGAAGGCCAAGAGGCAGGTCAGGGTCAGACTCCACCTTGAGTCTGGCATTGGCTGTTGGCATCATGAGGACCCCACGTATTGTACTTTGATAAAGTTAATAAATGGAATTCTCCTTTACCTCAAGAATGCCTTATGTGTTGTGTGTAGCATGCACCTTCTTGTGGAAACAGCTTCACATGTGAGAGCCCTAGCACGCAGGTGATTTCAGGACCACCCCCAGCCCATCCCGTGGCGCAGGATCCAGGCAGCTGCAGTGCAGGCGAGGACCCCTGGCTGGGCGCGGTCCTGTGCGGGTCCCTGTGCGGTGCAGGCGTCCATGCACTCTGAGACTCTCAGCCTGCTCTGTGGCCTGTCACGTTGTGTGTGGGGCAAGACGCTTGGGTGCACATATGTGAGAATGGGACTGTGTGTGTGAGTGGAATGCGCTGTTGGGAGCGTGTGGGGTGTGTGTGTGTGGCACCTGCGGTTGGGGTGTGTGACTGTGTAGGGTGGGGATCTGTGATTATATGAATATGAGGGTGTGATTGTTGCTGGGACTGGGCACGTGGCTGCCTCTGTCTCTGCCTCTGTGTCTGATAGAGACAGGAAGAGATGGGGGAGGCCTGGTGTGGGGGCCCTGCGGGACAGGGCCAGGGGACCCTTCCTCACTTTACGCCATCTGAGGACCCTCCCCAAGGGGAAAAGCCAGCTACAGTGGAAAAGCACTGGCAGAGTGGGCTTCGTCCTGGGGAGAGAGGCTGGGAGACTGCAGCTGAAAGATGTGGGCTCCAGGAGGGCCTCAGGGGGCTGAGCATCAGGGTCAGGGAATAGAGGGCCTGGGAGCAGAGGGCGGCCCTCCCTCCATCTTCCTTCCTTCTCTGGACTTCAGAGCACTGTGTCCCCTTCCCACTTGCACAGCTGCAGGTGGAGCCAGCTGGGGGGCTTTCTAGAGGGAGTGGGGTCCTCTGAGGGCCAAGAGGGCCAGGTCCCTGAGGACCTGAGGCCCCTCTGGGCCTCCCAGGGCTGGGCCTGTGGCTCTGATCTGCTTTGTCCTGGGAGGGACATGCTCAGTGGTGGGGTTTGTGTAGCTGTCACTCACTCACCTGCCTGTGCCCAGCCACTCACCTCTCACTCCCATCAGCCCCACCCAATACACACGTGGTTCCTCAACTACCATGAGGGGAAGTTCCTGCCTGTGTCACACACATCCATCCCACCCACCACACTGCAGGTTACAGGACTGCCCCACAAGTGCCACCATGCCCGCATGAGGTTACCTGGCACACAGGTATCCTCACCTGCATGACATGACCAGATCGTGCACTTTCTATGCCAGGGCCAGGGCCAGGGCAAGCTTGCACCTTCAGCCTTGGGGACACTGGGGGTGGTGGTGGCTGGAGGCCAGGGAAGTCACCAGGCTGGAGACATCATCTACCTCCAGGAGAGGGTTGATATCAGACATCTCCCGTGCACCACTTTAAGCCACCTCAGCCTCACCTGGGAATCTGGCTGCAGGTGAGTCCCAGCAGTGGACCAGCATGGGACCAGCAGTTCCATGAAGCTTTAGACCATCTCTAGGCTTAGGAAGGGGCTCCCTTGTCATCACTTGGTCCGGGCTGCACGTCTTGTGACCAAGGGCTCTGGACGGCAGATGCAGCCAGCCAGAGCGTGGGGCTGAGGGGCCTGGGCACAGGAGGGATGTGAGGGCTTCCCTGCACCCCCATGGCCACCATTTCAGAGGGAGGACAGCAATTGTTTGGGTTTGTCCTGTGAGTGGTGGCAGAGAGCAGGGCCCTGGGCAGGTCCAGGGCCAGACAGGAATCCTGTGCTGCAGCCTCGGGGCCACAAGGGCACAGCATGGGGCCGGTGTGGGGGTGTTCCCTGTGCCAAACACATTGGCAGGAGGTGCCCTGGGGTCAGTGGGTATGTCAGAGCTGTCAGGCCTCTGAGCCCAAGCTAAGCCATCATATCCCCTGTGACCTGCATGTATACATCCAGATGGCCTGAAGTAACTGAAGAATCACAAAAGAAGTGAAAATGGCTTGTTCCTGCCTTAACTGATGGCATTACCTTGTGAAATTTCTTCTCCTGGCTCATCCTGGCTCAAAAGCTCCCCCACTGAGCACCTTGTGACCCCCACCCCTGCCAGCCAGAGGACAACCTCCTTTGACTGTAATTTTCCACTACCTACCCAAGTCCTATAAAACAGCCCCACCCCTATCTCCCTTCGCTGACTCTGTTTTCGGACTCAGCCCGCCTGCACCCAGGTGAAATAAACAGCCTTGTTGCTCACACAAAGCCTGTTTGGTGGTCTCTTCACACGTACGCGCGTGAAATTTGGTGCCGTGACTTGGATGGGGGGACCTCCCTTGGGAGATCAATCCCCTGTCCTCCTGCTCTTTGCTCCATGAGAAAAAGATCCACGTACAATCTCTGGTCCTCAGACCAACCAGCCCAAGGAACATCTCACCAATTTTAAATTGGGTAGGTGGCCTCTCTTTACTCTCTTCTCCAACTTCTCTCACTATCCCTCCACCTCTTTCTCCTTTCAGTCTTGGCGCCACACTTCAATCTCTCCCTTCTCTTAATTTCAGTTCCTTTTCTGATAGAGACAGAGAAGACGCGTATTATCCGTGAGCCCAAAACTCTGGTGCCAGTCAAGGACTCGGGAAAACAGCCTTCCCTTGGTGTTTAATCACTGTGAGGACACCTGCTTGATTATTCACCCACGTTTCAGAGGTGTCTGATCACTGCGGGGACGCCTGCCTTGATCCTTCACCCTTAGTGGCAAGCACCACTTTTTGGGGGGCAAGCAACCCCCCACCCCTTCTCTCCGTGTCTCTACCCTCTCTTTTCTCTCCACTTTCTTGTGGGGAAACACTCCCCACTCCTTCTTCACTTTCCTCTGGGTGGCAAGCATCCCCCACCCCTTCTCTCCCTGTCTCTACCCTCTCTTTTCTCTCCACTTTCCAGGGGGACAAGCACCCCCCTCCCCTTCTCTCCGTGTCTCTACCCTCTCTTTTCTCTGGACTTGCCTCCTTCCCTATAGGCAAACTTCCACCCTCCATTCCTCCTTCTTCTTCCTTAGCCTGTGTTCTCAAGAACTTAAAACCTCTTCAACTCACACCTGACCTAAAGCCTAAATGCCTTATTTTCTTCTGCAATGCCACTTAACCTCAATACAAACTTGACAATGGTTCCAAATAGCCAGAAAATGGCACTTTCGAGTTCTCCATCCTACAAGATCTAGATAATTCTTGTCATAATATGGGCAAATGGTCTGAGGTGCTTGATGTCCAGGCATTCTTTTACACACTGGTCCCTCCCTAGTCTCTGTTCCCAATGCAACTCATCCCAAATCTTCCTTCTTCCCCCCCCCCCCCCCGCCTGTCCCCTCAGTCCCAACCGCAAGTGTTGCTGCGTCTTTCCAATCGTTCTTCTTTACAGACCCATCTGACATCTCCCCTCCTCCCCAGGCTGCTCCTCGCCAGGCCAAGCCAGGTCCCAATTCTTCCTCAGCCTCTGCTCCCCCACCCTATAATCCTTTCATCACCTCCCTTCTTCACACCTGGTCCGGCTTACAGTTTCATTCCACGACTAGCCCTTCCCCACCTGCCCAACAATTTCGTCTTAAAGAGGTAGCTGGAGCTAAAGGCATAGTCAAGGTTAACGCTCCTTTTTCTTTATCCGACCTCTCCCAAATCAGTTAGCGTTTAGGCTCTTTTTCCTCAAATATAAAAACCCAGCCCAGTTCATGGCTTGTCTGGCAGCAACCCTGAGACACTTTACAGCCCTAGATCCTAAAAGGTCAAAAAGCTGTCTTATTCTCAATATACATTTTATTACCTAATCTGCTCCCAACATTAAATAAAACTCCAAAAAT
This sequence comes from Homo sapiens, assembly GCF_000001405.40. Lineage (NCBI taxonomy): Eukaryota > Metazoa > Chordata > Mammalia > Primates > Hominidae > Homo > Homo sapiens. Next base: position 34,516,044 of record NC_000019.10, read on the forward strand.
TAAACTCCAGCCCTCAAACCCCACAACAGGACTTAATTAACCCCACCTTCAAGATGTACAGTAATAGACTAGAGGCAGCCAAGTAGCAACATATTTCTGAGTTGCAATTCCTTGCCTCCACTGTGAGAGAAACCCCAGGCACATCTCCAGCACACAAGAACTCCAAACACCTGAACCACAGTGGCCAGGCGTTCCTTCAGGACTGCCTGCCCCAGGAGCTTGCTTCAAGTGCTGGAAATCTGGCCACTAGGCCAAGGAATGCCTGCAGCCTGGGATTCCTCCTAAGCCATGTCCCATCTGTGTGGGACCCCACTGGAAATCGGACTGTCCAACCCGGCAGCCACTCTCAGAGCCCCTGGAACTCTGGCCCAAGGCTCTCTGACGGACTCCTTCCCAGATCTTCTCGGCTTAGTGGCTGAAGACTGATGCAGCCTGATCACCTTGGAAGCCCCCTGGACGCCGAGCTTCTGGTGACTCTCACAGTGGAGGGTAAGTCCGTCCCCTTCTTAATCAATACAGAGGCTACCCCCTCCACATTACCTTCTTTTCAAGGGCCTGTTTCCTTTGCCTCCATAACTGTTGTGGGTATTGACAGCCAGGATTCTAGACCCCTTAAATCTCCCCCACTCTGGTGCCAACTTGGACAATACTCTTTTATGCACTTCTTTTTAGTTATCCCCACCTGCCTAGTTCCCTTATTAGGTCTAGGCATTTTAACTAAATCATCTGCTTCCCTGACTATTCCTAGGCTACAGCCACACCTCATTGCTGCCCTTTTCCCCAGTTCAAAGCCTCCTTCACATCTTCCCCTTGTATCTCCGCACCTTAATCCACAAGTATAGGACACCTCTACTGCCTCCTTGGTGACTGATCATGCACCCCTTACCATCCCATTAAAACCTAATCACCCTTACCCCACTCAATGCCAATATCCCATCCCACAGCATGCTTTGAAAGGATTAAACCTGTTATCACTCACCTGCTACAGCATAGCCTTTTAAAGCTTATAAACTCTCCTTACAATTCCCCCATTTTACCTGTCCAAAAACTGGAAAAGCCTTACAGGTTAGTTCAGGATCTGCACCTTATTAACCAAATTGTCTTGCCTATCCACCCCATGGTGCCAAAGCCATATACTCTTCTATTCTCAATACCTCCCTCCCCAACCCCTCCATAACCCATTATTCTGTTCCGGATCTCAAACACGCTTTCTTTACTATTCCTTTGCACACTTCATCCCAGCCTCTCTTTGCTTTCACTTGGACTGACCCTGACAACCATCAGCCTCAGCAAATTACCTGGGCTGTACTACTGCAAGCCTTCACAGACAGCCCCCATTACTTCAGTCAAGCCCAAATTTCATCCTCATCTGTAACCTATCTCAGCATAATTCTCATAAAAACACACATGCTCTCCCTGCTGATCATGTCTGGCTAATCTCCCAAACCCCAATCCCTTCTACAAAACAACAACTCCTTTCCTTCCTAGGCATGGTTAGGTACTTCCGCCTTTGGATACCTAGTTTTGCCATCCTCACAAAAGCAAACCTAGCTGACCCCACAGATCCTAACACCTCTCAGCAAGCCAGACTCATTGCCTTAACTCAGGCCCTCACTCTTGCAAAGAGACTTTGCATCAGTATTTATACTGACTGTCAATATGCCTTCCATATCCTGCACCACCATGCTCCTGCTGCAGTTAACTAGCCCAACCTATTCCTTTAATTCAGCCCATCCCTTTGTTTCCCATAAAGGATACTTTTAGTTAATTTAATATCTATAGAAACAATGCTAATGACTCATTTGCTGTTAATCAATACGTGGGTAAATCTCTGTTTGGGGCTCTCAGCTCTGAAGGCTGTGAGACCCCTGATTTCCCACGTCACACCTCTGTATTTCTGTGCGTGTGTCTTTAACTCCTCTAGCACCACTGGGTTAGGGTCTCCCCGACTGAGCTGGTCTCGGCATTGTTCCTAGAGTGTCTTTGCTGGTTTTGGTCCTCTGCATTCCCATATAAGTTTAGAAACAACTTTTTGATTTCAACTTGGAGAGAATTGAAGTTTTGATAGTATTGAGTATTCCTCTCCATAACGCTGGTACATGGTGCCATTTATTTTGGTCTTCCCTATTTTCTCTCTATAACTTTTTACATATATATTTCTATGGTGCTCTTATACATGTAGTAATTGATTTATTCCAAGGCATCTTTTATTTTTAATGCCATTGTAAATGTTACATTCTTTAAAGTGTAAGTTTATAAATGTTTGTGCTGCCATATAGAAGGTTTTAATTATTTTATATTGTTTTGTATTTAACATTCAAAAACTCTTTAGTCTCTGTAGATTCTCTAAGACTATTTATATAAATATATCTAATGCATATTTGTTTCTTCCTCTTCAATCTTCATATATTTTACTGGTCTTGCTTTATTGCATTTGTAGAATCTCTAGCACAATGTTGGATAGCAATGGTGAAGGAAGGCATTTTTATTCTAAACTCAAGAGGAACTTTTTTTGTTTTTGCTCTTGATAGCATTGTGTTTTATATAAATTTTTAAATTTCACATAATTTTAGGCTTATAAGAAAGCTGTGCAACATTTTATAAGTATTTCTGGATACCCTTCATCCAGATTCAAAAGGATAGCTTTTGATATTTCACCATTAAATAGAAAGTTTAATATAAGATTTTTTTGTTAGATGCTCTTTATTAGATTAAAGATATATTATTCTAGGCCAGGCATGGTGACTCACGCCTGTAATCCCAGCACTTGGGGAGGCCAAGGCGGGCGGATCACGAGGTCAGGAGATCGAGACCATCCTGGCTAACACGGTGAAACCCCGTCTCTACTAAAAATACAAAAAATTAGCCGGGCATGGTGGCAGGTGCCTGAAGTCCCAGCTACTCGGGAGGCTGAGGCAGGAGAATGGTGTGAACTCAAGAGGTGGAGCTTGCAGTGAGCCGAGATTGCGCCACTGCTCTCCAGCCTGGGTGACAGAGCAAGACTGAGTCTCAAAAAAAAAAAAAAAAGAAAAAAAGATATATTATTCTATTTCTATTTTTAAGAGAATTAAATTTTTTTTTTTTTTTTTTTTTTGAGACAGGGTCTGGCTTTGTCACCTGGGCTGGAGTGCAGTGGTGCAGTCTTGGCTCACTGCAGCCTCAACCTCCAGCACTTAAGTGATCCTCCCACCTTAGCCTCCTGAGTAGCCGGGACTACAGGTGGGCACCACCACACCTAGCTAATTTTAGTAATTTTTGTAGAGGCAGGGTTTCTCCATGTTGCCCAATGTAGTCTCAAACTTCTGGCTCAAGCTATCTGCCCACCCAGCCTCCCAAAGTGCTGGGACTGTAGGTGTGAGCCACTGACCCCTGTGTAAAATAATTTTTTAAATCCAGAAAAGATGAATTTTATAACACATCTCACTTGCATTTAGTGAAATGTCCATGCAATTTTTTTCCCTTAGTTCTGTGAATGTGTTAAATTACATCAAATAATTTTGTAATTTGAAACCTACCTTGCGTTTCTGGTGTAAATTCTCCTTAATCAGCTTATAGTATTCTTTATATGTAATTTCATTCACTTTGCCAATATCTTGCATGGAACATTTTGTCTGTGTCTTCGAGTGGTTGGATTTTGGTGTCAGGATACTAGCTCATTATGAATTGGGGGATGTAGAGGTGATTTCTATTTATTCCAACAGAGCTAGTCTTCTTCTTTTCATAGCCTGCTTTGTACCCTACGACCTGGCATTTTCTGGATGACATCATTGGGCTATGTTGACCTTTGGTTTTCTGTGGGTTGACACATTGGAGATAGGGCAGGACATGGGAGGGAAGACAAGAGTGAGATGGGGGGATTCACTCCCAGCTGCCCTTCTTTGGGGCTACAAGTTGGCCATGGCTGTGTTCCTCTCCTGTGGCCAAAGGTCCTGTGAGCTCACCCTCCCACAAGTACAAGTCTCACTGGATCATAGCAACAGCTCCTTTCCTTGCCTCCCATTAGATATTTCGCTCTTGCTTGCCTTGGGCATTTTGTTATTGGTTTCCCTTAACTTTCCTCACAGCAGAGCCATAAGCCTGTGAACCCAAAAGTATCTGAGACAGGTCTCAATCAATTTAGAAAGTTTATTTTGCCAAGGCTAGGGATGTGTCTATGACACAGCTTCAGGAGGTCCTGAGGACACGTGCACAAGGTGGTCAGAGTACAGCTTGCTTTTATACATTTTAGGGAGATATAATACATCAATCAATGCATGTAAGATTTACATTGCTTTGATCTGGAAGAGCAGAATGACTTGAAGTGGGGTTGGGGGGGCTTCCAGTTCTTAGGTGGGTTTAAAATTTTTCTGATTGGCAGTGGGTTCAAAGAGTGATTGTCAATAGAAAAGAATGTCTGGGTTGTGATAAGGGATGGTGGAGACCAAGGTTTTATCATGCAGATGAAGTGTCCAGGTAGCAGGCTTCAGAAATAATAGATTGTAAATGTTTCTTATCAGACTTAAGGTCTGTGTTGATGTTAAATCCTGGTTGGTTTTTCCTGAATTCCAAAAGGGAGATGGGTATAATGAGGCAGGTTTGACCCCTCCTTCCATTATGACCTGAACTAGTTTTTTAGGTTAGCTTTGGAATGCCCTTGGCCAAGAGGAGGGGTCCGTTCAGATGGTTAGGGGCCTTAGAATTTTATTTTTTGTTTATAGCCATTCATTAAACTCTTGTCACGTATCCTGTGTGAGTGTGCCGTTTCCTTCCTGCAGGGACACTGACTGATATAGGGAATGCACCCTGATAGTTTATGCTTTGGAAGAATTTGTATAAGATTGGAGTGGTGTAAGTGCCTGACAGGTTCTTCCTGCCTGCTGCACAAGCAAATCAATTCATGGAGACCATGGCATTGCAGTGAAGAAAGAGTTTAATTGATGCGAGGCTGGTCAAACCACACCAGTGACAGAGTTATCATCAAGGCAATCTCATCGAAGGCTCAGAGGCCAGGTGTTTTTCAAATATGCTTGGTGGGCAGGGAGCTCGGGTATGAGGAGTGCTGAGTGGTTGGGTTGGAGATGAAATCATAGGAAGTGAAGCTGTCTTTTTGCATGGAGTTACTTCTGGAGGCCACAGGAACAACTGGTGGGTCCAGGAGAAGCCATTGGTGTTAGACATTAAAAAAAAAAAACACCTAAAAAGGCATCTCAAAAGGCCAATCACAGGTTCTACCATAGTGATGGTATCTGCAGGAGTAATTGGGGAAGTTGCATATCTGTGAATTCCAGAATAATTGCTGGCAATTATTTAATATATTACATTTAATTTTTTTATTTTAACAGCTTTGTTAAAGTATAATTGACATATAACAAGTATGTATATCTAAAGTATATAATTTGTAACTTTTGTTTATGTCTGTATCTTGGCCAAATTAAGGCTCCTCTATCCTCCTAGCCTGATGGTCTCTCATTAGCTTTACAAAGACAGTTGAGTTTTGGGGAAGGGCTATTATGATTTAAAGTATGAACTAAATGTTTCTTTTCAATGTTCCTCTTTTCACTAATCTATTAAGTCAATTCTAATTATATTTTAAAATCTTGTATATGTTCATTAAATTAAATTTTTTTGTCATAATACTTTCATTGAATTATAAGTGACATATAACAAGCGTGTATATCTAAAGTATATAATTTGTAACTTTTGACAGTGGTAAAAACCAGAACAACCACCATAATGATCAAAATAATGAACACATCCCTCACCTCCAAATGTTTTGTTGTGCCTGTGTGTAACACCCTCTCTTGTATCTCCTTAACCCCTTCCTCCTCTCTCTTTCTCCTTTTTTTTTTTTTTTTTTTTTTTTTGGAGACAGAGTCTTGCTCTGTCACCTAGGCTGGAGTGCCATAGCACAGTCTTGGCTCACTGCAACTTCTGCCTCCCGGGTTATGAAATTCTCCTGCCTCAGCCTCCCGAGTAGCTGGGATTATAGGCGTGTGCCACCATGCGAGACTAATTTTTGTATTTTTAGTAGAGATGGGGTTTCACCATGTTGGCCAGGCCGGTCTCAAACTCCTGACCACAGATGATCCACCTGCCTTGGCCTCCCAAAGTGCTGGGATTACAGGCATGAGCCACCGTGCCCAGCCAACCCCTTCCTCCTCTCTAGGCAACTGCTGATCAGGTTTATGTCAGTATAGATTAGTTTGCTTTATGTAAATTCAATCATACAGTATGAAATGTTATTGTTTCCTCAAAGAGAAGTCTTTTAGGTTAATCTGTGTCATGTGTATGAATACTTTATATCTTTTTTGAGTGTTAAATTTTAAAAAATTACATATGGCAAAACTCAGTATTTATGATGTACATTTCCATGAGTTTTGACAGCTATGTCTTATGTACGTTTTGTATTGGTGTCTAGAATCTCAAACACTACCATCACAATAGAGATGCTATTTTCTTACTTTCAAACATTTCTTGTGTTGTGCTTTTGTAGTGAAATATTCTCTTCGCCCTTAATCTAATTCTGAGTGGCCACTGGTTTGTTCTTTATTCCAATAACTTTGCCTTTTCTAGAACTGCTTATCAATGCAATAATACAATAAGTAGCTTTTTGTGTCTGGCTTCTTTCAATAATTTTATCATTTACACATTCTAACTAGGATCTTACATTTTTAAAGGTATCATGTATCCTTATGAATATTCATTTTTTCAGATGTTTTAATTACTGGAAATAAGATTACTCATCTTATTTCTTAAAAATCTGGATCTTATGCGCCAATATATTTAATATACATTTTTGTTTAGTTACTAGATGAGATTTGTTTTTCCCCTCCAGCTTTATTGGTATAATTGACAAATAGGAATTGTGTATATATAAAATGCACAAGTAGATACTTTGATATACATTCACATTGTGAAATAATCATCATACTCAAGCTAATGAACATATGCATCATAGATTTAATATCATATTTAGTATCTTAAAATTAAAGAAGTATTGAAGGAAGCCAGACTCGGAAGGCTACATATTGCATGATTTCATTTATAGGCAGTTCCAGAAAAGGCAAAGCTTTTAAAAGATTTTTGAAGTTTCATTTACTCATGGTCAACTGGGGTCTGAAAACAGATGAGGCAGTACAACAAGATATATAAGATATATGAGAGAGAGAGAGAGAAAGAAAGAGAGATAAACCACATTCACACAACTTTTATTACAGCATATTGGTATAAATTTTTATTTTATTATTAGCCTTTGTTGCTAATCTCTTCTTGTGTTTAATTTAGAAATTAAACTTTATCATATGTATGGATGTATCAAAAAAACAGCACGTTGTGTATAAGGTTTGGTACTATGAATGGTTTAAGGTACTCATTGGGGGTCTTGGAATGTATCCCTTGCAGATAATGGGGGGCTACTCTACACTATAGAGTATTATGAATCATGGTCATCATACTGTCCATTAAATCTCCAGAGTTCATTCATCTTGCATAGCTGAAACTTTGTACCCTTGACCAGTAACTTCTCAATCCTCTCTCCTGCTTCTTCTGGGCTCCCTGGAAACCACCATTCTGCTCTCTGATTCTACGAGTTTGAGTATTTTACATACCACATAGAAGTCAGATCATATAGGATTTTTGTCATGAGTCATGAGTATGTGGGTCTGGTGCACAGGTGGTAAAAAGAATTTACTAAGACAGTTGTAGGTAAAGAAAGGCAGATTTATTAGAAAATGTATAAAACTATGTTGCAAGAAAGCAATGGGCAAGTCAGCAAGAGAGGTGCTGACTGCCAGGAGATAAAGGCTTGCTGGGGATTTTATAGGATGGTGCTTGTACTGTGTGCTGGAGAGGGCTATGTGCAGTACTCTATTGCCAAGGTTGCAGTGATCTAACGTGCATTTTCCTATCAATCAGCCGAGGGTCTCATGATAATTCAGGTGCAGGAGGATTTTGAATTATTTGTGCAGGAGGGCTATATGTTCCGGACCGTAAGGAAGGGCAGACTGATAATTTATCTGCTTTCTCTTTTTGCTTTCCCCTGCTCCCACCAGCCTCACTCATTTTCTCTAATTAGTGCCCCATTGATTTGTCTTTCCGTGTCTCCCTTATTTTTCTTAGCATAGTGTCCTCCAGATTCATCCATTTTATTGTAAATGGTAGGGTTTCCTTCTTTTTTTAAAAACTGAACAGTAGTCCATTATATCTTTTGTAGAACGGAAAAATGTATATATCACATTTTCTTCATCCATTCATCCATTAACAGAAAGTTTGATTGTTTCCATATCTTGGTGATTGTGAATAATGCTACAATGAACAGGGGAGTGCAGATGCCTGTTTGAGATACTGATTTTATTTCCATTGATTGTATATTCAAATGTGGGATTGCTGGGTCATATGGTAATTCCAACTCTATGCTGCTTTTCATAGAGGCTGCACAATTTTACGTTTCCAACAACAGTGCACAAGGTTCTCAATTTCTTCACATCATCATGAACGCTTGTTATTTTTTGTCTTTTTGATAGTAGCTATGATAATGGGTGTGAGATGATAGATAGCTCATGGTTTTGGTTTGCATTTTTTCTGATGATCAGTGATGTTGAACACCTTTTCAAGCATCTATTGGCCATTCGTATGTCCTTTTAGGAAAAATATCTATGCATGTCCTTTGTCCATTTTCAATTGGATTGTTTATTTATTTTTTTGCTATTGAGTGTATGAATTAATTACATATTTTGGATATTAACTTCTTATTAAATACATGGTTCTCAAATACTTTCTCTGGTCTGTAGGTTGATGTCTCCAGCTTTGTCTTCTTGGTCAGGATTGGTTTGTCTATTTTGGCTTTTTTTGTGATTCCATAAACACTTTAGAATTGTTTTTTCCTATTTCTGTAGAAAATGCCATTGGGATTTTCCTAGGGATTGGCTTGAATCTGTAGATTCTTTGGTAGTGTGGATACTTTAACATTATTAATTATTCAAATCTGTGAACATAAGAGTTCTTTCCATTTCTCTGTGTCTTCTTTAATTTTCTTCATCAATGTTTTATGGTTTTCAGTGTACAAGTCTTTTACTTCTTTGGCTTAGTTTATCCTAATAATTTTATTCTTTTTGTTGTTATTGCAAATGTAATTGTTGCCATATTTTCCTTATTGGATAGTTCTTTGTTAGTATACAGACATACCTCCGATTTTTGTAGGTTTATTTTGTATTTTGCAACATTACTGAATTTATTAGTTTATAATTATTATTTATTAGTTTATTATTTTAGTTATTATTTATTAGTTTATTTTAGTTATTTATTATTAGTTATTATTTATTAGTTATTATTTGTTAGTTTATTATTAGTAATTATTACTAATAATATATAACTATTATATAATATATAATATAACTATTATAATATTATAACTATATATAATATATAGCTATTATATATATAACTATAATATATAACTATTATAAATAAATAATAACGAATAGTAATTAGTTATTATTAGTTTATTATTAGCAATTATAATTATTAGTTTATTAGTTTATAATTTTATGTGTGCATATTAAGTCTTTAGGGTTTTCTACGTATAACATCATGTAATCGTCTTTTTTTTTTTTTTTTTTTTTGAGACAGGATCTTGCTCTGTCGCTCAGGGTAGAGTGCAGTGGCGTGATCTTGGTCAGCTTCCCAAGTAGCTGGAATTACAGGTGTGCACAATCTCACCTGGATAATTTTTGTATTTTTAGTGGAGACAGGTCTAACCATGTTGGCCAGGCTGGTCTCAAACTCCTGACCTCCAGTGATTCACCTGCCTTGGCCTCCAAAGTGCTGGCATTACAGGCTTGAGCCACCACGCCTGGTCAACATCATGTGATCTTGTAAGAGATACTGTTTTACTTCACTTTTTTCTGATTTAGATGCCTTTTCTTTTCTTGCCGCATTACTCTTGGTAGGACTTACAGTTCCATGTTAAATACAAGTGGTAAGAGTGGGCATTCTTATCTTGTTCCTGATCTTAGAAGAAAGAATTTTAGTTTCTCTTGATTGATTATGATGGTAGCAGTGGGCTTTTTATATATGACCATATTTGTGTTGAGGTAAGTTCCTTCAATACCTATTTTGGTGGTGGTTTTAATATGAATGGACGTTGGGTAATGTCAGGTATTTTTCTGCATCTTTTAAAATGATCCTGTGGTTTTTATTCTTCATTCTGTTAATATGGTGTGCCATGTTGATGGATTTGCATATTTTGAAACATCTTTCATTTCAGGGATAAATTCTACTTGGTCATATTGTGTAATTCTGTTCATGTGTTTGAACTTGGTTTTCTACTATGTTATTGAAGATTTAAAAAATCTATGTTCATTGTGAATATTAGATTGTAGCTTTTTTTCTTTTCTTCTTTTGCTTTTATCATTTTAGATGGACACAATAATAATTGTATATATTTATGGGGTACAGTATGATATTTCAATACATGTATACAATGTGTAATGATCAAAGCAGCCTGATTAGCATATACACCTCAAACATTGATCATTACTTTGCATTGGGAACATGCAGTATCTGCTCTTCTAGGTATTTGAAAATATACAGTAAGCCAGGTGCAGTGGCTCATGCCTGTAATCCCAGCACTTTGGGAGGCTGAGGTGGGAGGATCACGAGGTCAGGAGATCGAGACCATCCTGGCTAACACGGTGAAACCCTGTCTCTACTAAAAATACAAAAAATTAGCAGGGTGTGGTGGCGGGCAACTGTAATCCCAGCTACTCAGGAAGCTGAGGCAGGAGAATGGCATGAACCTGGGAGGCAGAGCTTGCAGTGAGCTGAGATTGTGCCACTGCACTCCAGCCTGGGCGACAGAGCGAGACTTCATCTCAAAAAAAATATATATATATATACAGTAAATTGTGTAATACAGTCACCCTACAATCCTATAGAACACTAGAACTTATTCCTCCTATCTAGCTGCACTTTTGTATCCATCCATCAATCTTTGGCTATATTCCCACCTCCCCCAACTCTTTCTTGCCTCAAGTAACCCTTAGTCTACACTCTCCTTCTATGAGAGCAACTTTTTAACCTTCCACATGTGAGTGAGAACATACAGTATTTATCTTTCTGTGTCTTGGCTTCTTTTGCTTAACACAATGACTCCAAGCTCATTTATGTTGCTGCAAATGACAGCATTTTATTCTTTTTCATAGCTAGATCATATTCCATTGTGTATTTATACCATATGTTCTTCATTTGTTCACATGTTCATGGACACTTAGGTTGATTCCATGTTTTGTCCATTGTGAACAGTGTTGCAATAAACATGAGAGTGCAGATACCTCTTTGATATACTGACTTCCTTTTGTCTGGATGTGTACCCAGTAATGGGATTGCTTGACCATATATGGTAAATCTATTTTTAGTTTTTTGAGGAACCCCCCATAGTGTTTTTCCTCATGGCTGTAATAATTTACGTTCCCACAAACAGCATACAAGAGTTCTCTTTTCTTTGCTTTCTCACTAGCATTTGGTATCTTTTGTCTTTGTCATAGTAGCCATTTTAACTGGGATGAGATGATATCTGAATGTGATTTTGATGTGCATATCCTGTATGATAAGTGATGTTGAGCATTTTAAAAATATTAGTTGGCCATATGTATGTCATCTTTTGAGAGATGTTTATTCAGCTAATTTGTCCATTTCTTTTTCTTTTTTTTTTTTGAGATAGAGTTTCACTCTTGTTGCCCAGGCTGGAGTGCAATGGTGCAATCTTGGCTCACTGCAACCTCTGCCTCCCAGGTTCAAGTGATTCTCCTGCCTCAGCCTCCCGAGTAGCTGGGATTACAGGCACGGGCCACCACGCCCAGCTAATTTTATATTTTTAGTAGAGGCATGGTTTCACCATGTTGGCCAGGCTGGTCTTGAACTCCTGACCTCAGGTGATCCATCCACCTGAGCCTCCCAAAGTGCTGGGATTACAGGCATGAGCCACTGCACCTGGCCAAGTTGTCCATTTTTACATCAGATTATTTGTATTTTTTTTGACATTGAATTGTTCAAGTTTCTCATATATTGTGGATATTAATCCCTTGTTGAATGAATAGTTTGCAGTTTTCTTCCCATTCTGCAAGTTGTCTCTTGTCTCTGTTGATTGTTTTCTTTGCTGTGCAGGAGCTTTTTAGTTTAATGTAATCCAATTAGCCTATTTTTGCTTTTGTTTCCTGTGCTTTCAAGTTCTTCACCACAAAATCTTTGCCCAGATCAATGTCTTGAAGCATTTCCCCTGCTTTCTTCGAGTAGTTCCATAGTTTCAGCTCTTAATTTAAGTCTGTAAGCTATTTTGAGTTGATTTTATTAATATGGTGAGATATAGGGGTCTAGTTTCATTTTTCGGCATACAGATATTTAATGTTCCAGGCATCATTCATTCAAGTTTTTTTTTCTCTTGCCTAATTGCTCTAGCTAGGACTTCCAGTACTATGTCAAATAAAAGTGGTGACAGGCCAGGCACGGTGGCTCATGCCTGTAATCCCAGCACTTTGGGAGGCCAAGGCAGGCAGATCACGATGTTAGGTGATTGAGATCATCCTGGCTAACATGGTGAAACCCCGTCTCTACTAAAAATACAAAAAATTAGCTGGGTGTGGTGGCACATGCCTGTAATCCCAGCTACTCTGGAGGCTGAGGCAGGAGAATCGCTTGAACCCGGGAGGCGGAGGTTGCAGTGCGCCGAGATCGTGCCACTGCACTCCAGCCTGGGTGACAGAGCGAGACTCCATCTCAAAAATAAATAAATAAATAAATAAAAGTGGTGATAATGGACGTTCTTGCCTTGTTTCAAATCAATACATGTAACACATCACATCAACAGAATGAGTACAAGAACCATATGATTATCTCAGTAGGTGCAGAAAAAGCGTGATAAAATTCAACAGCCCTTTATAGTAAAAACTCTTAAGAAGCTGGGTATAGAAGGAATGTAGCCCAGTACAATAAATCAGTGTATGGCAAACCCACAGCCAACATCATAGTGAATAGGGAAAAGTACAAAGCTCTTCCAGGAAATGTAAAGAACCAATAAATGTTCTTGCTGCCTTTGTTGAAAATCAGTTGGTTGTAAATGCTTGGACGTACTTCTGAGTTGTCTATTTAGTTTCACTGGTCTGTGTGTCTGTTTTTATGCCAGTACTATGCTGTTTTGTTTACTCTAACTTTGTAGCCTATTTTTAAGTCAAGTCATGCTATGCCTCCAGCTTTGTTCTTTTTGCTCAGGATTGCTTTGGATGCTCAGAGTCGTTTGTGGTTTCATATAAATTTCAGGATTATTTTTTATATTTCTGTGACAATATCATTGATATTTTGATAGGGATTGCATTGAATCTGCAGATCATTTTTGGCAACATGGTCATTTTCACAATAGTGATCCTTCCAATTATGAGCATGGAATATCTTTTCATGTTTTAGTGTCCTCTTCAATTGGTTTCCTCAGTATTTTATAGTTTTTTTGGTGGAGGTCTTCCACCTCCTTTGTTATAGTTATTCTGAAGCTTTTTTTTTGGTAGCTGTTTTATACGAGATTGCTCTTTAATTTCTTTCTTTTCTAATTTGTTGTTGATGTTCAGGAATGGTACTGGTTTTAGTATGATGATTTTGTATCCTGCACCTTTAATAAATTCATCGGTCAGTTTAAGAGTAGTTTGGTGGTGCTTTTGGGGTTTTCTGTACATAAGATGATGTCCTCTGCAAGCAGAGACAATTTGACATCTTACTTTCCAGTCTGGATGCCCGTTATTTCTTTCTCTTGCCTAATTGCTCTGGCTAGGACTTCCAGCACTACATTGAATAAAAGTGGTAGAAATGGACATTCTTGGCTTGTTCCAGATCTTGGAGGAAGAGCTTTGTACTTTTCGTTATTCACTATGATGTTAGCTGTGTGTTTGCCATACATTGATTTCTTGTGTTGGGCTGCATTCCTTCTATACCCAGTTTGTTAAGAGCTTTTACTATGAAGGGCTGCTGAATTTTATCATGCTTTTTCTGCACCAATCAAGATGATCATATGGTTCTTGTACTCACTCTGTTGATGTGGTGCGTCCCACTTATTGATTTGTGTATCTGGAACCATCCTTGCATCCTGGGTTAAATCCCACTTGGTCATGGGAATGATCACTTTCATGTGCTGCTGAATTTGGTTGGCTAGTATTTTGTGGAGGATGTTGACATCTACATGTATCAGGGATATCGGCCTATAGTTTTCTCTCTCTCTCTCTCTCTTTTTTTTTTGCTGTGTGCTCCTCTGGTTTTGGTATCAGGATAATGCTGGTCTTGCAAAATGAATTTGGAAGTATTCCCTACTCTTCAATTTTCTGGAAGAGTTTGAGAAGAATTACTATTATTTTCTCCTAAATGTTAGGTGGAATTCTGCAGTAAAGCCATTGGCATCTAGGCTTTTCTTTGATAGGACACATTTTATTACAGATTCAATTTGTTTGAGATAGGAGGGCTAGATGGGACTGACTGACTAGTTCTCCTCACAGATCACACATGATTTGGTAAAGTAGTTTCCCTTGAGGGCAGGCTTTTGTTATATAGCACAGGATACTTTGGGCTTACTTCAAAATGCTTGTTTCCTTGGGTGTGTTTCAGAATGATTATTTTCACCCCTCCTCCTGTCTGAAGCATGAGATAATTTTTCTCCAGTCTTCATCATGAGAATCTTGTGTGTCTCCTGGAGGAAAAATCTCATGAAAGTATGGGTGCTGACCCCATTATGAGACTGGGTTCCCAGGTTTTAAGTCTCAAGCTTGTCCACCCTTAGCCTCCGGCAATTTAATTACTGTTCACCTGTCCCTATCAGTTGCTGGTTCCCAAGGCTTCCACTCCTCAAAATCTGATCCTCTATATTTGCTGTCTCTCCAGTTTGGGGGGCATTGCTTTGCCCTATGAACTCAATTCTCTGAAGAATTTAAGAAGGGCTATTGATTTTCAGTTTGTTCAACCTTTTGTTGTTGTGAGGATGGGAGTAACAAGCTCTTTACATGCTGGAATGGAAACCAGAAGTCTAGATCTATATTTTCTATTTCTCGTTATCAAGTTCTCTTTCCCCTATACTTTTGTCAATATCTCCTTTTCATGTGGAAATTTTCAGAAGCTTTCACAAGCCAAGCTGGAGCTTCTATCCCAGGGCTACATAATAGAGTTCAGTTTGTTTATTTATTTATTTTTTTTGTAGAGACAGGATCTCCCTTTTTTGCCCAGGCTGGTCTTGAACTCCAGTCCTAAGGTAATCTGCCCTGGCCTCCCAAAGTGCTGAGATTATAGGCATGAGCCACCATATGTGACCTTTTTTTTGTTTTTAATGCTATCTTGATCTAGTTTTGAAGCCCTGGCAAGAGGCTGGTGAGTTCCCTTTAATGGGCTCTCACATTCTGGGTCACTATGCACAAGCTCTAATCACCCCAGGGCCAGGTACCAGACAGCTAGGGATGACCCCTATTCCCTGAAACCTGTGAAATTGTTCAAACTCATCAATCC
The DNA here is from genome assembly GCF_000001405.40 of Homo sapiens. NCBI lineage: Eukaryota > Metazoa > Chordata > Mammalia > Primates > Hominidae > Homo > Homo sapiens. The sequence continues at coordinate 34,531,548 of NC_000019.10, forward strand.
ACAGGGAGCCTGAAACCTAACTAGCTCCACTAACCCTGCTTGCCATACATAAGCAGCCCTCTACAGTTATTCCTTACTGTTACCCTGTCCCTGGGTGCAACCCCCTGCATACCCTTGCCTGACAGCCTTCTCCCCTTTGGAGCTGTAAGTAACCAAGCGTTCTGCTTTTCATGTGTCTGAGTGTCAGCATGTTATATCCCACCATAAAAAGAACCTTTACATCTTGTAAAACAGGCTGTCCTTTGACTTCAGGATTTTACCCTTCCAAGCCCCTCGAGTTCTGTTTCTAACCAGGTACTTCCTGGGCATCTACCTCCAGCTTAGAGGTGTGGGTTAAGGCTCCCCTAAGGGTTTGTACCTAAAAGTATGAATCAGTTTCCACCATGGTGAATCTGGGCAATTTTATAATAGCTCCAGGCATGGTTCCTACAGAGACTGGAAGACTATACAGTAGTGGCTGGATGCCTGCAACAGTGTACCCTGTAGGGGAGACCCACCCTTCAGTATGCCATAGCTATGACCAATACTGGTTTCCTTATTTATGACCCAACCTGTCCCTAGGGCATGAAGAGGATGCCCCTTTGTTTCCAAGTTGCCTTTTACTCTTGGTATGAAATCCAAACTCCTAGTGTGTCTGGAACGATTCCTTAGGTTCCAACCCTTCCCCTGCCATGATGAATGCTTCTCCAACTATACCCCAAACTACCTCCACCCAACAGATCTCCCTAAAGCCTAGTCCATTGAGCTGCCAGGCCTTTGTTCAGATATCTTCTCTGCCAGGAGCAACCTCCAAGGAATTTGCATTTCTTCCAGGTTTCCAGGTACTGCTGATGTTGCTGGTATGGAGACCACACATTTTAATGTAATAAGTGATTTATTCACTTACTATAAAAATTTACATATTCTCTGAACATTTCCTGTGTTTATGTCTTGGACTTTATTTCATTGCTTCAATTCTCCCAAGCTTTACAACCAGGAAATGGGTTGGTATATTTCATATTAAACTGATTTAAATAACTACAAAATTAGCAAACCAAGGTCAGTGACAGATAATTGCAGATTTTCAGTCACATAAATAATGACTAATTGTCAATGAGTAATTTTGTATAGTACTATTATTTTTACTAAAATAAATTTTTAAGGGAGAAGTAAAGCTGCAAATAATTAAGCAATTTGTTTATACATTGGGATCCACCACCTTCCAGAAAGTCACATTCTTCTCAGTGTAAGTGGTGAGCACTTACACACTTTGTCCTGTCTACCTTTTTCTTGACATGTTCCAATCTTGCCATGTAATTTCCATTGACTTTCTATACTAGTGGGTTCTAATAGAAATAGGTTGTCTCAGCTTCGAGGGAGATTAAGCTTAGCAGGTATGGTTTGAGGCACTCTGAAAATTACCCTGAGAAATACATTAACTTACATGGTTGGGGCCCTCCCTCTTGCCAAACTGCTATTAGAATAAAAGATGAGGCATCTAATTTCCCAATAAAAAGAAAGGCAGTGTATAGGGTTTTTTCATTTCATTTTTTATTGTAATAAAATATGCATAACATAAATGTTACCACTTTATTTTCAAGTGTACAATTCAGGAGCATTACGTACGTTCACAAGCTTGTGGATCCACTAGCATTATCTATTTCCAGAACTTTTCATCATCCCCAACCAAACCTCTGTATCCAATAAACAAAAATTCTCCCTTCCTCTCTGCCTCTAGCCCCTGGTAACCTGTAATTTTTGTCTCTATGAATTTGCCTATTCTAGGATAGACCATATTAGGCCACAAAACAAGTCTTAATAATTTTATTTTTTAAGTACAATTTCCATTTTATTTTTCCCCAGAGAATAGTCTGTCTTCAGTCTTTAAGGACTAAGCTCCTTACATGGGCTTTGGTGGGGGTCATGGGGAAGCACCCGCAGGTCTAAATCGGGGAGGGGGTGTTGGGTCCTTGCGGGCTTCATGAGATCGATTCCTGACTACTTTGCTGTGAATTGCACAACTCACACAGTAATGTAGTTTCACATACAGCTTGGGAAGCACATAGGCATTGAAGGTGCTTGCTTCAGAAATGTCCCTGACTGCCGCGGCCTCCACTATGTTTCAAATGATGAGTTTTTTTCTTTTTTTTTTTGAGACGGAGTTTCGCTCTTGTCACCCAGGCTAGAGTGCAGTGGCACAATCTTGGTTCACTGCAACCTCCGTCTCCCGGGTTCAAGCGATTCTCCTGCCTCAGCCTCCCAAGTAACTGAGATTACAGACTCCTGCCACCACGCCAGGCGAATTTTTTGTATTTTTAGTAAAGATGGGGTTTTACCATGTTGGGCAGGCTGGTCTCGAACCCCTGACCTCGTGATCTGCCCACCTTGGCCTCCCAAAGTGCTGGGATTACAGGCATGAGCCACTGCACCTGGCCCCAGTGACGAGTTTCTTAACGGCTTTGTACTTGGGCATGCATCGGGCACAGTTCATGCAGCAAATAGGCTGCATGTGGCCGCGGCCCTTTTTGGCATGATTGTTGTTCTTTCTTTTCTTTGTCATCTTTGAGGCACAATGACCAGAGAGAGGTAGTCTTAATAACTTTAAAGATTGAAATCATACAGTGTATCTTCTGATCACAATGTAATGAAACACTAGAAACAAATAGCAGACAGAAAACAGTAAAATTCACAAATATATGGCAACTAAATGGCACACTCAAATCACAGATAGGTCAATGAAGAAATCACAAGGTAAATTAGGAAATATCTTGAGGGATATTACACTACCTCATATACTTATCCTTTTTTGTGGTAAGAACACTTAAAATTTACTCTCAGAAATGTTCAAGAATATAATGCATTAACTGTAGTCATCATGTTGTGCAATAGCTCTCTTTTATTTCTCCCATCTAACTGAGGTTGTGTATCCTTTGACCAACTTGGGACCCCTTAGTCCCTATTAACCATCATTTTACTCTCTACTTTCATGAGTTTGACTTTTTTAGATTCCACATATAAGTGAGATTATATGGTATTTGTCTTTCTGTGGTTTATAATTTTTTTATGCATTTGTCTTTTTAAGTTGTGTCAAAAATAAAAACGAGTTACAAAGCAAAATTAAATTATATATATTTACATACATATGTATATATATGTAAATATATAAATGAATATATATAAATATATTCATTTATATATTTATATATTTACATATATATATATATATATATATATATATATATATATATATATATGTATATATATTTACAGGCGTGAACCACTGCACCCGGCCAATAATATTGGTTTTTATATCTGTCCATATACTTACCAGAGAACTTTATTTCTTCACATAGGTTTGAATTACTGTCTAGTGTCTTTTCATTTCAATCTGAATGACCCTTAGTATTTCTCATAGGGTAAGTCTACTGGTAATGAACATTCATGGCTTTTGCTTATCTGATAATGTCTTCATTTTTCCCCACTTTTGCAGGACCATTGTGCTAGACATAGTATTTTTAATTAACAGGTTTTTCCTTATATCACTTTAAATATATCATACCATTTCCTTCTGGAGTGCAGGGTTTCTGCTGAGAAATGACTTGATGATCTTATTGAGGATCCTTTACAGGTGATGTGTTACTTTTCTTTTACTGCTTTCAAGATTCTGTCATTTGGCATTTCACTATTATGTATCTCAGTGGGTTTATCTTACTTGGAGTTCACTAACGTATCGAATCTACACATTCATGTGTTTCCTCAAATTTGAGAAGTTTTCAGTCAACATTTCTTAAAGTAATTCTACTACCTTCTCTCTCTATTTTCCTGGGAATCCCATAATACATATATTGGTCCAGTGATGGTTTCCCATAAGTTCCTTAGGTTTTATTCACTATTCTTCATTCTTTTTACTTTCTATTGCTGAGATCTGATCATTTAAAATGTCTTATCTTCAAGTTGGCTGCTGAAGTCTGCTGTTGAACTCCTAATTTTTTCATCTTGACTAATAGATTAATATATTTTTCAGCTTCACAATATCTGTTTGGTTCCTTTCTATAGTATCTATATCTTTTTGTTGATATTCTCATTTTGTTTTAAATCATTTCCCTGATATCATTTAGTTCTTTGTGTTTCCTTTATGTATCTGAGCCCATTTAATACCGTTAATACAGTTACTTTAATATCTGAGCATATTTAACACAGTTGTCTTTGTCCAGTAAACCCAATGCCTGTCTTCAGAGATGATTTGTGCCACTTTGTATTCATCTTTTGAATGGACAATGTTTTTTCTATTTCTTTGATTGCCTTGTGATTGTTTAAGTGAAAATTGGGCATTTGAAAACAACAGCCACATCTCTCAGTCTTTGTATACTGGGTCTGTTTCAGGAAAGTCCTTTAATAATTAGCTAGGAATGTTCTGTGCCTTGGGATCAGTATGAGGAAAAAGCTTAAGGTTCTTGGGTATTTTCTGAGCATATCTCTTGGTTGGGTCTGTGTGTGTTTTTTTCAATCCCTCTGTATACACAGCTGCTTTTAAATGTCTTATTTTTCCAAAGAGTCTCCCCCTGGGTTGTCTTGGAGACTTAGATGGTGTATACATATCTCCACCTGTATTCTTTTACTCTATGTGTCTACAGGTCTTAGTGTCCTTGCAGCTTTCCCAAGTAGTATTTGATGCTTCTTGCTGTCTGAGATCTGAATTAGGTGAGGTAGAGACCAGTCCTGACTCTGCAAGTCTACCCCCACCACTTCCCATTATTGATGCTACAGATTAGATCTTTATACATTGTGTTCCCAATAACAGGCTAACTATTTTTATGCATTTGTCTTTTCAATCCTGTAGAAGATAAAAAAAAAGTGGAGTTACAAACCAAAACTATAATAGTATTACATTTTATAATTCCTCATGTATTTACCTTTACTAGTGAACTTTACTTTTCCATATGGCTTTGAGTGACAGTCTGGCTTCTTTTAATTTCAACCTGATAGACTTCCTTCAGCATTTTTTTTTCAGGACATGTCTAGTGATAATCAACTGCCTCAGCTTTTGTTTATCTGGGAATATGTGAATTTCTCCCTAATTTTTCAAGAGCATTTTGCTGAATATAAACTCTCTATTGACAGCTTTTTTTCTTCAGCACTTTATGTTTATTGATCAGCTTCCTTCTGGCTTCTAGGGTTTCTGATGAGACCCTGGTTGATAGTCTTGAGGATCCCTTGTATGACAGGAGTTGCTTCTCTTTTGCTATTTTCAAGATTATCTGTCTTTGGCTTTTGACATTTGATTATGTGTCTCAGTATGGGTCTCTTTTCAATTCTCCTACCTAAGAGTTCATTCTGCTTGCTGGATTGCAAATTCATGTCTTTCATCAAATTTGGAGATTTTTCAGCCATTATGTCTTAAAATAGTTTCTCTGCCCCTTTCTCTCTTTTCCCCTTCAAGGATTCCCAAATTGATGTTGTGCTACAGTTCCACTAAGCTCTGTTCACTCTTCTTTTTCATGTTGATAATTTATATTTGTCCTATTTTTAAGTTTGCTGAATCTCTCCTCTAATTGCTTATCTTTTGAATCCCTCTATTGTATTCATATTTTTTGTTTCTGTTACTGTAATTTTTTATCCAGATTTTTTGATTCTTTTAAAAAATCATTTCATCTCATTATTTCTATCCTCAGTTTGCTCATACATCTTTTTCCTTTGTTCATATATTTCTTTAGCTTTTAAAGCATCTTTAAGACAGTTGTCTTTTTATAGTGAGTCTGACATCTGGGCTGCCTCAAGTATGTTTTCTGTCAATTCATTTTGTTCCTTTAATTGGGCCATACTTTTCTGTTTTTTGGCATGCCTTCAGGTTTTTGTTGTTGTTGAATACTGGACATTTGAATCTTACAATATGATATCTCTGGAAATCATATTTCCCCCCTTCCCCTGGATTTGCTGCACTTTTGCCTTTGTTTGTATTATTATGAGATAACTGTGCACCAGAGATCAGCCTAAAATAAAAGCTGAAGAAGGTTTTTTCAGTGCTTGTATCTTTCCATGAGCATGTGAGGCGGCTTTCTGAATTCTTCTGTATATGTAGTTGTTTTTGAATTAAAAAAAATAGGTGCAAGTCTTTAAAATCTCCTGAAAGTCACTTCATCCAGTGGGGGTTGAAACAATGATGACTAGCCTACAAGCCCACAAGCCCACAAGATCAGAAGCACCAATCCACAGTCAGAACACAGAACCATATGGCCTTGTCATTGTCTTGTATCTTGCATCAATTACTTCTGCATATACAGCTTTTTTCCTCTAACACAATTGCAATTTGTTTAAAGACTGACTCCCCCTCAACAGCAAAGAATTAAGCGTCCAGGAAGTGCTCAGTGATATGTGCCTTGATTCTTTCTAGATGTTTACCAACAACTGAGCTCTAATCACATTTGACTGGCCCAAGGCTAACAAGGAAACTTTGACTTTCCAGGCATCGGTGATCTTCAATGACAGGCTGTAACCTCTACTCAGGAAGAGTGAGGGCAGTGGCACCCAGTCCATGGGACTCTGTACTCAGAGATGATGCTGAAGACCTGTAGTCCTCTGGTCTCCATGGGTAAAGCCTCCCCTTTCCTCTATGTGAAGCCTGACAGCCTCCTTCAGTTGGCCTTTTTTCCAGCTCTGTAGGGCACCGTCCTTCCTTCTCACAGACCTGCTGAATTCTCATCTCATCTCCTATCTGGTCTCTTTGTTTCCCCTCAGGTTATTTTGGGCGAGAAACATTCCCTCAAAATGGCTCAGATACTAAAGGATTTGTTGTAAGGAAATGGGTGCATTTTGTAAGAGCTCCCTCAAAAATGTGAAACAGTAAATACATAAGAGCGACAAGTGATTAGATGTGACATCTGAGACCAGAATGATGAAGCAACCATGAGAAGACAATGATGATGAAATCAATAGCTAATACTTATTGAATGCTATTAAGAGGCCAGGCATTGTTGTAAACACTTTGCATCAATTAACTCATCTAATTTTCATAATAATGCTGTGAGATAGCTTTATTACCATTTTATAGATGGAGAAACTGAGGCATGACATAGTGAAGTAGTTTGTCCAAGGTCACACAAAGCCAGTATACATGCAACTTGGATTTAAACCCAGGTAACATGACTCCAAAGCTTAATGCTCTTCACACACACACCTTGGAGCTATTAAAGGGTATGCATTGTTTATCTATTAGGTCCACAGTGGATGCTTAAGAAATGGTTAATAGGTATGACTGAGGAAATAATATGATGTCAGTGACATCGTAACATCATTATGACATCAGCCCAACCTTCTATCATAACAAAGTCATGGTCTCTTATTGCTCTTAAAAGCTTCATATCTTAATTTAAAAATATGGCCTTCTGGCTGGGTGTGGTGGCTCATGCCTGTAATCCCAGCACTTTGGGAGGCCGAGGCGGGCAGATCACTTGAGGTCAGGAGATCAAGATTAGCCTGGCCAACATGGTGAAACCCTGTCTCTACTAAAAATACAAAAAATTAGCTGGGTGTGGTGGCACATGCCTGTAATCCCAGTTACTCAGGAGGCTGAGGTAGGAGAATTGCTTGAACCCGAGAGGTGGAGGTTGCAGTGAGCTGAGATTGCACCATTTCACTCCAGCTTGGGCAACAAGAGTGAAACTCCATCTCAAAAAAAAAAAAAAAAAAAAAAAGATGGCCTTCTTTTTCCTAATTCTGTTATTGTGAAGGCACTTTAATTCCAGAAATGTAAAGCATTATTATGTGTATGCTCATGCTTTTTAAATGACAAAGCACAGGTCTTTGGATGAATCCTGTCATAACAAAGTGACATGGTGGCATAAAACTATGTGTAGTGGAAACAAAAAAAATCTGGGCATTATAGGACTACTTCATCTTTGTGGTACCAGTTCCTTGGGAGAGCTGAAGAAGGACAGAGAATGAGAGAAAAGAAAGCTACTGTCATTATCCCATAAGTATATATGTGGTAGCCAGACTATCCATAATTACAGCAGTTTGATACCACGTCATGCTTCCTTAGTTATATTTACTTTGGAGTCAGAGTGGTGTCCTGCTGCCAGGCTGGAAAGCAGTGGTGTGATGATGCCTCACTGTGACCTTAAACTCCTGTACTCAAGCAATCCCTCCCCACTCAGCCTCCTGAATAGCTAGGACTGCAGGCATATGCCTACACCTGGGTAATTAAAAAATATATATTTTTAGAGATCGAGTCTTGCTATGTTGCCCAGGCTGGTCTTGAACTCCTGGCTTCAAACAATCCTCCTGCCCCAGCCTCCCAAATTTCTGGGATTACAGATATGTTCCATTGCACCTGGCCCTTCCTTACTTATAAGTCTAAGATCCCTCAATGTTTCATAGAATTTCAATATAAATTTCAGGATTAAAATTAAATCAAATGAAAGATAAAATCCCTGCAGAATAGTAAAAATTTACCACCCCATTCCAAACCTACTGTCTCTATTCCAAAGTGCTATTGGAATATGCCTCTATGCTTTTAGCTTTCAGTTAAGGTAGTACATGTATCAGAGGAGATATGTTTTGTTGAAAGTCAGAAACCTTATCACTCATTCCACACCAGAATTATTGTATGTATAACATAATGTTCCTTTTAAAAATAACATATCTTATGATTCTCACCTGCCATAGTGAACAAAATCTGAAGCATAATCCATATCACAGCCCTTCACTTACATCAGTGTCCATACACTCCAAATCAAATTGATCTGCATTACCTTTCTAATCACAAGATAGGATTCTAATCACAGGGCCAGTGAGACCGTTCCATTTCCTTTTTTTTTCTTTTTTTTTTTTTGAGACGGAGTCTCACTCTGTCGCCCAGGCTGGAGCGCGGTGGTGCGATCTCGGCTCACTGCAAGCTCCACCTCCAGTGTTCATGCCATTCTCCTGCCTTAGCCTCCTGAGTAGCTGGGATTACAGGCATGTGCCACCATCCTCAGCTAATTTTGTATTTTTAGTAGAGGCGGGGTTTCTCCATGTTGGCCAGGCTGGTCTCGAACTCCTGACCTCAGGTGATCCACCCGCCTGGGCCTCCCAAAGTGCTGGGATTACAGGCATGAGCCACCACGCCTGGCCCCATTTCTTATCTAGAACTTAGAATATTTGAAGCCATCCTCCCTACTTACAAACCATAACTATCTGTCAAGTTTCAGTGCAGAGAACAAAAACTCTCTTAACTATTTCAAGACATATATTGCAGTAAATCAGTGATTTCAAAATTGGTAGGTGGGCTGTAAAAGTAATGGGAACACTTCTGGACTAGTGATTTCAAGGTAAACTCCTATAACTATGACCCAGAGATGGAGAAATGACAGTTGCTGAAACCAATGATGCTGCCAGCGGCACTACCTCAAAGCCACAGAATCTGAAACTAGACATGGGAACATGGAATCCAGCTGCAGCAAGTATGACAGAACTTGACTATCCACTTTACCTAGAATAACACCCTGTGCACCACATACACACACACACAGGCACACACAGGGATGCACATGGCTACATGAGTAGTACTCATTACATAATTAGTGTTCATCATTTAAGATTCATTTCAAAAATCACATCCAGCTAAGCCTGCTCTGATCTCTTGTAGTATGTTGTTTCTTAGTTATTTTCTCATAGCACTTGTAAAGGATTATTTCAAATTTATTTGCTATCCATTTCTCTTGTCAGATAATGTCTCTGTGAGAAAAAGACCACATTTGTTAATTATTACAATGGTTATCAAAATGTGCTTTCTGGACAAAACAGTGTTACTGTCACCTAAGAATGTGTGAAAAATGCAAATTCAAATCAACTCATACAGAACCTAGAACTGAGGCTAGCTTGAGGCTAAAGCAATCTGTGCTTTAACAAGCCCCCTAGTGATTCTGACACACCACTAAAGCTCAGAACTACTGGATTCCTGTATCCCATTGCTGTGTAATACACACGAGTGATGCTCAGTAAATTTTCTTGAAATGTAGTAAGCCCACTGGAAATGGACTCCGAATAATCCTCACCAAAATACCGCTATTCTTAGTAAAAAGAGCAGGTGTTTTTCTTTAGGTTTGCTTGTCTCCCACTAAAGGCTATACTGAGGCTAATCTTAGTGAAATTTTTTTGCCAGAAATAGTCACAGAGAAAGAGTACGTGAGATACAAAATGATTTTATTAGATACCAAAACCTTTATTCACACCATTTTATTTCTTTTGCAGCTTTAATTTTTAACATTATAACATTTACTGGCTCCTCTGGGTGACTAAATATCTTCACATGCCCACTAGCTAAAAAGAATTTCTAAGTAGAACTCAACTGAAACTGCAAGCTACTGCTCTAAGAAATGCATAATGACATTTATTTGCTCTCCTGTAGAACCCTGTTTACAAATAGCATCACTGCAAAGATTTACACGTAATTCCTAAAACTTTCAGGTTGTTCTTCCATTAATCTTCTGATGTGTAGCAAGATAAACACTCTTAGTGAACACTTGGCTACATCTCTTAAATGAGAGTTCTCTCCAGTTTGAGTTCTTTGTAAAATAAGGGATGCACTTGGAACTGAAGTCTTCCCTCAATTTCTAAATTTTCTACATTCATACAGCTTCTCTCCTGTAGGAGTTTGTAAAAGATTCCTATTGTCTATAGTCTTTCCCACATTTGCTATATGTACAGGGTTTTATCCTAGTGTGAGTATACTTATGTCAATTAAGGGGTTAATACTGACAAAGGCTTTCCCACATTTATGGTCTTCATATGATTTCTCTACAGTATAAACTCTGAAAAATAAAAACATCTGAATCATTGCTGAAAGTCTTCCCATATTCACTACATTCATAAAACTTTTCCCCAGTATAATTTTTTCTGATGTTAAATGAGGATCTATGAATGAACTTTACCATGATAAACACTGCTTCATATACATTCTCTTCTGTAAGATTTCTCACATGTATAGTGATTCATATAGTCTAAAGGCTTTTCCACACTTACCACACTATTGGGTTTCTCTCCATTATGTACTCTTTGATGGGCAGTAAGATTTGAGCCTTTGCTAAAAGCTTTCCCACACTCACTACATTTATATGGCTTTTCTCCAGTATGAATTCTCTGATGTACGGTAAGGTTTGAACTACAGCTGAAGGTCTTCCCACATTTAATACATTCGTAAGGTTTCTCTCCAGTATGAATTCTGTGATGTTGAAGCAGGGATGACCTATGACTAAAGGCTTTCCCACATATATGGCATTCATTAGATAGAAATCACATTTCAATCTAATGTGATTTCTCAAATGCATATTCAGTGATTCAAGCTGGTTGAAGGATTTCCTGCATTTCTGACATTCAAAGGGTTTTTCTTCAGTATGAATACTCTGATGCTGAACAAGAAATGAGAGGCTACTAAAGACTTTCAGACATTTGTTGCATTCATATTGTTTCTCCATAGTGTGAATTCTTTGATGTGGAGTAAGGTGTGAGCTACAGCAGAAAGCTTTCTCACATTCTCTACATTCATAAGGCTTCTCTCCAGTATGGATTTTCTGATGGTGAATGAGAGACGACGTATGAATGAAGGCCTTTCCACATATACGACACTCATAGAGTTTTTCTTGCGTATGAATTCTTAGATGTTCAATAAGATGGGACACACGCCTAAAAGACTTTCCACAGTTCATACATTCATATGGTTTCTCTCCAGTGTGAGTGCTCTGATGGTTAGTAAGTGATGAGCCATGGCTAAAGGCCTTCCCACATTCAATACATTTGTAAGGTTTCTCTCCACTATGGCTTATCTGATGTCGTGTAAGGGATGAGCCGTGGCTAAAAGTCTTCCCACATTCACGACATTCACAGGGCTTCTCTCCTGTATGAATTCTCCAGTGGCGATTGAGGATTGACTGTTTGCCAAAGGCTTTCCCACATTCCCTAGATGTATAGACTTTCTCTATTATAAGTGTGGTGAGGAGAGGTGCTCTGGTTAACGGCTGCTCCACTTTTATTAGAATTCAAGAGTTTCTTTCCACCATTGAGTCTCTCATTTTTTACAACTGACTTTTTTGGTAAATTCTTCTTTAATATATTGTATTTGTGTGAATTCCCTTTAGCAGAATTTTTTTATGGTTCAGAAAGAGTAGACTTTGAATGAAAGGTGATTCTAAATGTGTCATATTTGTAACTGTCCCCAGTGGGGCTTTCTCTAGAGGTGAGAGTTGCTGGTCTGAAATGTTCTACATGAATTCCAGGCTTCCCTTCCAACTTTTCTATGTGTTCCAAATTCTTGGTAGAATTTGAAAATTCATAACTTTGTTTTAAAACTTTTTCTATTGTTACTGTTTGGAGTGAATCTTCCTTATAAATATCCTTCTTTGTTGATAATTCCTTGTTTTCCCATCTTGATTCCCAACCTGAAATATATAAAGAAAGCAAAGTACTGTTTTTTTCTTTTTTTTTACTCCTTGAAAAGAAACTTCTATGGTGGAATTAGGAGAAATGGATAAGAATTGAAGCCCCCAGAAAACACAGAGTTCTGACAATTCAAATATTTCAGTGATTTCTGAACAATGCTCAAATGGAGCAGAGAATACAGAGTTCACAGAAGAAGCAGGAGTGATAACAGAAATGGGTAAAATATACATAATAGATAAAACAGTATATGAATAAAAGGAAACTATCAGAAATAAAATGTGGAAGGCATTCTGGATTCCAAGCCATCTCTTTGTGCCTATATTCATGTATGAAAGATTGCATTTTGTCTCATAGCCTTTTTCTCCAACCTTCCATTAATCTCAATTTGCTGCCAGATTAACATGCTTAAAATACAGAATTGATACTACTGCATTAAACAGTTGCAGGAAAAACAAAATAATCTAAGTGCTGTTTAGAGCTGACAAAGATTTAGGCCTTCTGAGGTTATGAAGAAACTGTGAATCATATCAGTTATTGGACATTAGAAAATATTATTCCTAGGAACATATTTTATATGTTCCTTACTTCCTCTAATATGTTCATATTTCATCTACAAAGCTCAGCTTTAGAAAAGTGATTTTCCATCTAATTGTCAGCTTTTCTTAGCCTAAAAGTATCAGTTTGTTTTTTCTTATGTAGATTTAAGAAAGAATAATTTGCCTTACTTTGTCATGAATAGAGTAACAATTTGAATTATTATAATGACAAAAACCTCTAACCTTGATTAGATGACATGAGTGATACAGATAATAATGTGGGATAGAGGAACAATTATTTTGAAAATCTAAGCTAAATATCCCTCAATTTTTCATTAATATTTGAGATATTTGAAGATAGTGTTCCTAAAATGCCTCCACACTCACTATAAACATCTTTAACCAAATCTTCCTTTGTCTCATTCACCATGACTCACCTGGAATCATACCTTTTGACAGTTTTTTCTCCACCATCCAGGGCTCTTTCCCATGCTCCAACAATGTGATCACATATGGCTTAGTTATGGAAAGACCTGCTTACAGGAAGAATATAGAATTGTTTAAGCTGTGGTCTTCTATTATGAGAGGCCATCAAAAGAGGGACCACAGGAATGGATGAAGGGTGTTCATTGAAATGGAAAGATAAGCTTTAGGCAGGGCACAACAGAGCTGCACATTTCCTCGGGAGCATGGTACAGAATTCAGCCGTTTACTTAGGAGAATCTCCAGCAATTCAGGGTGGCAAAAGAAAGGTGTCCCCTGTTGGAGTGGAAGGGGTGATATCCTTACCTACAGAGACAAGGTTCTCATAATTCTGGACCATCACATCCTTGTATAAGTCCCTCTGAGCAGAATCTAGGCATGCCCACTCTTCATGAGAGAAGTCTATAGCCACATCACTAAATGTCACCTGAAATAGCAAATATATTTAGGCTCAGCCATAGCCCAGGCCTCTTCTGTCACTGAAGAAGAGGTAAAATTAGCCTGGTTGTGGAAGAAATGGAACAAGATTCAGGAGTCGTGACAAAGATTGGGAATGTGATCTCAGTTAAGTAATAATAGGACAGTTACGTAGATGGAATTATTACATAATAAAGGGGAGAGTTATGTGTTTAGAATTATTATACAATAAGGATGAGAGACAAATATGAGAGCTTTGCTTCAGTAGAGTTAACTTTTTGTTAAAAGTTATAGAATTGTATGAATTTTTAAAAATCAGCATTTAACATTTGACAGCACAGAGTCAAGTATTTGGTTATATATTTTATACCTTAAGTACTAGGTAAGTAATTAAAAAATGAGGCTAAAGCGATTCTCTCTTGAATGGGATACCAGGATGATCCACTAACCCTCATAAAAAATGGGTTTGGAAAAAAGACATCTTTATATTAAAGACTGATAGACATACACTGTTATGGTTTGATTGTGTCTCCCATAAAGCATGTATTGAACTTAATAACCGTTCTAACAGTATTGAGAGGTGAGATCTTTAGGAGACGATTAGGCCTTGAGGGCTCTGCCGTCATGAATGGATTAATGTCATCATCGTGGGAGTGTGTTCCTTATTTAAAAAATGAGTCTGAGGCCCCTTTTTCCTCTCTCCTCTTTTTGCCCATCCACCCATCCACCATAAAAGCACACAGCAACACGGCCCTTGTCAGACCCCTCCCCCTTGATCTTGGACTTCTCAGGCTCCAAAACCATGAGAAGTCAATTTCTTTTTTTTCTTTCTTTTTTCTTTTTTTTTTTGAGATGGAGTCTCACTCTGTTGCCCAGGCTAGAGTGCAATGGCACGATCTCGGCTCACTGCAACCTCTGTCTCCTGGGTTCAAGTGATTCTCCTGTCTCAGCCTCCCAAGCAGCTGGGATTACAGGTGCCCGCCACCATGCCTGGCTAATTTTTGTATTTTTAGTAGAGACGGGGTTTCACCATGTTGGCCATGCTGGTCTTGATCTCCTGATCTCAAGTGATCCACCCACCTCAGCCTCCCAAAGTGCTGGGATTACAGGTGTGAGCCACCGTGCCTGGCCAAGAAGTCGATTTCTATTGTTTGTAAATTACTCAGTCTGTGGTATTCTGTTACAGCAGCACAAATGGACTAAAACATACACATAACTGATTCATAAAAAAGAAAAATATATTTATGGCATATACTTAAACTTTGTACTGATAGACATTTAATAACTAAAATATGAGACCCCTGGGCGAAAAGACTGAAGGCTGGTTTCATGTCATAGATCAGGGGTCCCTAACCCCCAGACCATGGACTGGTACTGGTCTGTGGCCTGTTAGGAACTGGGCCACACAGCAGGAGGTGTGTAGTCGGCAAGTGAGCATTACCACCTGAGCTCCACCTCCTGTCAGATCAGCCGTGGCACTGCATTCTCATAGGAGCGCAATCCCTACTGTGAACTGTGCATGCAAGGGATCGAGGCTGCACACCCCTTATGAGAATCTAACTAATGTCTGATGATCTGAGGTGGAACAGTTTCATCCCCAAACAAACACCTCCCACTTCTGGGGAAAAATTGTCTTCCATGAAACTGATCCCTGGTGCCAAAAATGTTGGGCACCCCTGCCACAGACAGTCCTTAACTAGGACCTGAAACTAAGCGGGGAACAAAAGGGTACATTTCAAAGAAAATATTCTAAGGAAATGCTCACAGATGTGCTTGGAAATTCCTCTCAATAGTACTCATTTCAAAGTATTATTTAAGATAGTAAAACTTTAGAAGCTTAAATATTCAATAATAGCTTATTGACTAGTCAAATTATATGTGCAAAAATACATCCATTTAATATAGCATTATTACTGTCTTTGATTTGTGAAAGACTGCTCTACTGTGGTAATTTTTTAGCTCTGAGAGTTAATTCAGCACTGTATTACATTATTTGGATATTTTGCGTGCATGTTCACCAGTGACACTGGTCTCTGGTTTTAAAGGCAGAATTTACTTTTGTCAGGTGTTGGGAAAATAATTAAAATTCAAATCTCCTGCCAATGGTAGAAAATCCTTTCCACAGATGTAGAAAAGAAAGAAAAGAGTTTTATTACTGAATAAGCATTAAATAAGACCTTGATGCATGTCACAGGCAATCCACTAATGAGATTAAAAGGACAGGAAGAAATCTCACTCATCCTTTTATATCACCAAGCAGATACAATCCAATACATACATTTTCCAAATAAACAATAACTTATCCAAGTAAGACCTGACAGTTCAATTTGCTACGCATAATTTGTCCTAAATTCACCCATTAATTGGAGTTGACACTGTTAGTTAATTGCCTTTATCCTAAATAAAAATAACGTTTCTCATATCTTTATGACAGACAAGTCATTACAACTTAGAGCCAGGAATGCTTCTTTCTTCCCCTGCAGTTGCCCGGGCAGCTTGAAATGTTCACTCATCTCTGTCCCCAAAAGAACATAGGATATTTGTCCTAGCACTTATTTAAATTTCCCATGCTTTCTTACTTTTCTACAGTGCTGCAGTCCTCAATACAGTAGCCACTAGCCAATTTGGCTACCTACATTTAAATTAATTAAAATGTAAAAATAAAATAAAATTTAAAATTCAGTTCCTCAGTTGCTTAAGCCACAGTTCAAGTACTCAATAGTCATATGGGGCTGGTGGCTACCGTACTGACCAGTACACATGCACAGCACTTCCACCACTGCAGAAAGTTCTCTTAGACAATACTGCACTAGATCATGAAGTCCTGTGTGTCAGTGTACACCACAATCCATGTACAACTTTTCCTACCAGGTACTTCATAAGTGTTTAGAAGATGAACCAATGAATGTTTTTGGCATTAGTTCACTTTAGCCTTTACTTTGTTTTTTTTTTTTAAGAGATAGTATCTTGCTCTGTTGCTAAGCTGGAGTGCAGTGACATAATCATAGCCCACTGCAGCCTCACACCCCTGGGCTCAAGCAATCTTCCCACCTCATCAGCCTCCCGAGTAGCTGGGACAACAGACATGTACCACCATGCCAGTTTTTCAATTCTAATTATCTATTTTTTCCAAGAAAACAGACTTCACCCAACATGTACATCTGCTACTCATATCCCCTCCTATGCAAGCTTCACCTTCCATGCCATGATTCTGCCCCACCAGTTCTTCATTACTCATCTTATTCACTCCACAGTTACTTACTAAGCATCTATTTGGTGCCAGGTACCACTCTGGGTACTGAAGCTATAATAGACAACAAAGAAGAAAAAAGATTCCTCCCACCAGGAAAAGACAATGAGCACGTGCATATAGTGAACATACAGTACATCAGCTAGTGAGTGACACACGCCGTGGAAAACAAGAAAGCAGTGACGGAGGAGTGGAAGTGCTAGGTGTTCAGGGAAGCTTTTCTGAGAAAGTAACCACCAGAACCCAAAATGTACTAAAAGATTGGACTTATGTGTCCTTAATGAATGTGTCAAATGAGTCTCCTGGAAGGAGCATGTTATTAATATCATGTCATACCTGTGCTCTTAGAGAAAGAAAGATGGATGCAGTTCAGATTTTGTCTGCAGATATTGTACATGATGCCAAAGCTAACAAGGTACCCTCTGGGTGGCCTGGGAAAGGTATGTTGCATGCCTTCAGAGGTGGAGATAAATTGCAGTAGAGAGGCTGTTGAAATTGGCACCAAACAGATCATGTTAGCCAAATCTACAAGAGCAAAATATATACCAGTTTTTGACTGAATAGAATCAGCAATGTTAATAATATTGGATATTGGCTATGGAGGCCTCAATGGATGGGACCACAGCATTAAGGTGTAGTAATCCATCAGGAATTTTATGCTGTTTAGAGAAGAATAAAAACTTAAAAGATAGGAAATAAACTAAATGAAAAAATAAACTAAAATATATAGCTGGGCAAAATGTATTATATTAATTAATGCCCAAAGTTTGAGTGTTGGAAGAGGGAGAGTTGAATTAATGCAGAGACCATGAACAAGGAAAAGTGAACATGTACTTTTATTGTTAAATTGTGTGATGAATAATGCAATTGACCATTATAAATAGAAATTCAACTACATGAAGCATCAATATCTTATAGCCCATCCTGAGGCTATCGAGATGCTCTACCTTAAGGACCTCATTAGCATAAACTCAGGGGTCATCAGTGGGGCTCACTATTAATAACAAAAGACACTCCTATCACTCAGGACATTCCAGGGGTTTCAGCACTCTGAGAGGAACTGATGACAAAGACCAAATATATGTCCTACCAGAATCTTGCTTGATCTTCTCTCAACTTCCTTGATCTGTGCTTTTTGATGTCTGTCAGTAAGTTTGGAAAACTTTCAGTCATTATCACTTCAAATCGGTTTTCTGCTCCTTTCTCTCCTCCTCTAGGATTCATTCTCATTATGCCCATGTTACATCTTTTATAACTGTCCATAGTTCTTGGATATTCTGTTTCAGTTCCCTCCCTCTCTCTCTCCTTCTCTCTCTTTTTGCTTTCCAGTTTGAGAAGTTTCCATCAACATGTTTCACACTCACAGATTCTTTCCTTGATCTTCTGTATTCTGTTGATAAGCCCATCGAAGACATTCTTCATTTCTGTTACAGTGTTTTTTATTTCTAGCATTTCCTTTTAATTTTTTTTTTTGTGTTTGCCTCTCTCTGCTTATATTACACATGTGTTCGTCCATGTTGGCCACTTTCTCCATTAGAATCCTTAGCATATTAATCATAGTTTAAAATCCTGGTGTGATAATTCCAACCTCTCTGCCCCAGTGTCTAGTTGTGATAGCTGCTTTGTCTCTTCATAATGTGTTTCTTCCTGCTGCATTAGTCTTCTTGGGTTATTCTTCTTAACAGAATGCCACAGACTGAATGACATAAACAAGAGACATTTATTCGCTCACAATCCTGGAGGATGGAATGCCTAGATCAAGGTGTCAGCAGAGTTGGGTTTTGGTGAGGACTCTCTTGCAGGCGTGCAGACAGCTGCCTTCTTGCTGTGTCCTGACATGGTCTTCAGTCTGTGAGCACACACCCTGGGTGTCTCTTCCTTTTCCTATAAGGACTGTAGTCTTATTTGTTTAGGGATCCATCCTTACACCTCATTTAACCTTAATGACCTCTTTAAGGTCTCTGTCTCCAATACAATCACACTGGGGGTTAGGGCTTTAACATGAATTTGCTGGGGAGGGATGGGCACAACTCAGTCTAGAGCATTTACCTTTTATCATGTTGTGCTATTTTTGTTGATAGCCAGACATGATGTATCGGGTAAGATGAACTAAGGTTAATAGGACTTTACTGCGAGGTTTTATGTTTATCTGGCTAGAATTTTGGCTGTTTATTATTTGCTGTAGCAGTAGATTTCAGGGGATTAAATTTCCTCTAATATCCTTGTTGGTGTCTCTGCTGTTGTCTGTGGGTTTCCCTAGAAATTCCTGTCTGTCTCTTGCAGCTCTATCAGTTACCATCTACTGTTTTTTGTTTATTATGATTTTTATTTATTTTATTATTTTTTGAAACAAAGTATCCCTCCGTCACCCAGGCTGGAGTACAGTGGTGCAATCTCGGCTCATTGCAACCTCTGCCTCCCAGGATCAAGTGATTCTTTTGCCTCAGTTTTCCAAGTAGCTGGAATTACAGATGCATGCCACCACGCCCAGCTAATTTTTGTATTTTTAGTAGAGACCTGGTTTCGGCATGTTGGCCAGGCTGGTCTCGAACTCCTGACCTCAAGTGATCCACCCACCTCAGCCTCCCAAAGTGCTGGGATTACAGGTATGGGCCATTGCACCTGGCCCATCTGCTGTTATTATACCGCAGACCTGTTGATGTGGTGATAAGGTATTGTGGAGAGGCAGCATTTTTGAATCTCATGATTACATCTCATGATTACATCTCAGTTTTATTAGTGAGACTGAGTCCCTGGGCTGACCTTCAGAAAAATTTCTTAGCTTTCTTTTCTTCCTTTATTTGAGATAGGAAGACTAGATGGAACAGACTGACTAGTTCTTCTCACAGGTCACACACGATTTGGTAAAGTAGTTTCCTGGGGGCAGGCTTTTGTTATGTAGCACAGAATACTCTGGGCTTATTTCAAAATGCTTATGTTTCCTTGGGTGTGTCTTAGAATGATTATTTCCCCTTCCTCCTGCTTGAAGCATGAGATAATTGTTCTCCAGTCTTCATCAGGAGAATCTGGTGGGTCTCCTGGAGGCAAATCTCATGAAAATACAGGTGCTGCTCCCATGATAAGACTGGGCTCCCAGGATTTTTTAAGACTAAGGCTTGTCCACCATTAGCCTCCAGCAATTTGTTAATCACTGTTCACCTGTCAGTTGCTGGCTCCAGAGGCTTCTGTCCTCAAAATCTGATCCCCTATATTTGCTGTGTCTCCAGTTTGGGGGGGCATTGCTTTGCCCTATGGCCTCGATACTCTGATGGATCTAAGAAGAGTTACTGATTTTCAGTTTGTTCAACTTTTTGTTGTTTTGAGGACGGGAGTAACAAGCTCTTTAGATGTTGGAGTGGAAACCACAAATATATATATATGTACTATTTCTCATTATCAAGTTTTATTTCCCCCATTCTTTTGTCAAAACAAATGTTGGATAGTTATAAAAGCTTTACAGCATATTTGTCCACTAATTTCATCATTTTCATCATTTTTGTGCTTCTCAATTCACTCTTCTGGTTAATGATTTTTATGTCACTACTTCTTTGTGTGCATGGTTATTCTTTATTGGATGCCAGATACTGAATTTTACATTATTGAATGTTGTATTTGTTTGTATTGCTTTAAACAATGTTGGACCTTGGTATGCCATTCAATAAAATTACTTAGCAGCATGATTTCCTCTTGCCTGCTTGGCACTAGGTCTTTCTGTTTTAAACTTTTTTAGTATAAGACCAGAGCAGCCTTGAGTCTGTCAGCCCCGTTCTTTAGGTGATACCTTTCTATCTGGTGTTTTCTGTACTAATAGGTGTTCCACACTGGCAGGTGAACATACAATTCCCAGCCCTGGATGAGCTCAAATAATTGTTTGGGATATTGCTTTGTAGGGGTTCCTTTCTAAACCTCAGGTAGTGTCTGGTCATGCTTGTGCAGATCGGGACTTAGCCAAAGATTTACATGGATACTTCTGCAAATCTTTGCCTCTCTCCTCTCTCCTATTATCCCACCTAAATTATACCCATGGTGGTCACCATATATACTTATTTTTCTTCTACACTGTAAGCAGGAATAATTGTAGGGCTCACGTGTTGTAACCTAGTGAGTTACAGAGAAACACCACACTCTGAGACGAATTCAGGTGTCCTTTATTAGCCAGCGACTGAGAGATGGCTAGTGCTCAAAATTCTCTAGGCCCCAAAGAAGGGGCTAGATTTTCTTTTTTACTTTGGTTTAGAAAGGAGAGGGGGGGAGTCTAGTTAAAACAATCTTACAGAAGTAAAGCAGGCAAAAAGTTATAAGGATAAATGGTTACAGGAAAGCAAACAGTTCCAGGTGCAGGGGCTTTAAATCTATCACAGGGTGACAGATGCGGGGCTTTGGGTGTTATCAACCAGATGAATTCCTAGGAACTGCGGATATAGCTTTCCACAGTATCTTATCAGTTAATTGCATCCTTGGATGTGTTGGGAATCTGCTTGCACAAGTCAAGTCAAGTCCTTGAGGAAGGGAGTGGGTAAGGGGCTGTAAGTGAAGGAGCCAAGATGGAGTCTGTCTGGCTCTCTCAGCTAAGGGAGAGTCAATTCAGGTTAAAACAAGGTTGGGTATCACATTCCCCACTTGTGTTTTTGGGGAATCAAACCATTGATTCCTCGGTTATAACCAGGGGGTTATATTGGGTTTTAAGGTACATAAGCTTGACAGAAGCTATATGTTGTTTTACAAAATTAAGAAACCAATTTAACATACAAGGCTCAAAGACTAAGCCTAACAATAGGGGAGAAAGGGTCCAGCTAACCCAGTGATTAGAGTAGTTAGCAATGGATTCCAGTTAAACATGCTTTGGTACCAGGGGGTGTTATTTTCTCGTTCTTGCTGGTGCCTGTCTAGGTTTTCTCAAACTTTTTGGAGAGTATCTTTTATGACTCCAGACTGATTGGCACAGAAGCAACAACTCTCTCCTAGAGTGGCACATAACCCTCCTTGGGAGAGAAATAGCAGATCTAAGCCTCGGCGGTTTTGAAGAACTACTTCAGCTAGAGATTTTACTTGGGTATGTAGTATATTTATGGCTGATTGGAGATTGCTTAAATCAGCATCTACTTGTTGAGACAGGGACATTAGTCCAGTTTCTCCCTGAACCAGGGCAGCCATGCTGATGGCTGCTGATCCAGCTATGCTAAGGCCAGCCAGGAGGGGTACAAGGAGTGGGGTGGCTCGGCAAAACCTGGGATGTAATTCAGGGGGAGCAATAAGAAGTTATCCTTCTGGCCCACTATACACGTAGACCTGGGGGAGTACATGAACCAACACACACAGGAGAGGTCCTGGTTTAGTTCCATTGATGTGGCAAGTGAGACCTGAAGTGCAGGCTAACCAGGTATTGTTAGGTGCCTGGTAGGAGACTGAGGTGCTTAAGGAGGTAAGCATAGACTGATTACAGGTAGCCTGAAAGGGAGAAGCAGATAAGTTATATCCGGTGCTAATTAGACAAGAAGTGTTTCCAGACGTATCTCCTAATGGGAGGGCATGGGGGCATGTACAACAAGAAAGAGAGCCAATTTTAAGTGCGGCTTCTACTCCTAATCCAATATAATATGGGGGTTTGTCCTTTAGGCACAACCAACAATCTTGGGCTAGTTTAGGCTGGGTGAGATTGAGGAGGTGATGTACCCCACCTAGAATGGACATCAGGCTGGGTTGGAGGTGCTGTCATTGCAGGTGAGGTTTGGGGACCAGGAATGGCAGTGGGACAGTTAAATCAACCTTGTCTGGATGTTTTGGGAACATAAGGTCATCTAAATCAGTTAAAGGCCTGATTGGCTTAGGAGGGCTCCATGAGACGAGGATTTTTTTTGGATGGTGAACATAGTTCCAACATCAAATCCCGGGATATAAAGCCTTAATCCCTATGACATGACATAATACCATTGAGCTAAATTAGGATTATGGATGTTTATAGTGAGAGGATTGCAATTTCTCCTAGTACACAGCTTAGGACGGGAAGCACGAGCTATGGAAAGGGTTGAAGATCGAGTTGATGCCCCAGAGTAGGTGGCCAAAGTTACACATGTCCAGTCAGGGCAGAAAAACTGGTAAGAATCTTGACAACTAGAGTTAGGGTGATTTCCAGGACAGAGGTAAAAGTCAACATTCTGAAGTCCTTTTTCTGCACCTTTGGAGTTTCCACATCCAGTCTGGCTTCTGGAGTGTCCAAATTCCACAGCAAAGTCGACGATACCTGCTCCTATGACTGGCAGATTGCATTGTTCTTCATGGGTATGGGCAGGCTCTGGGAACAAAGTACATAAATCAACTGTAAAAGAGACTTCCTTGAGATTCCTGCCTTCCAAGTAGTGTTTGCAAACACACATCCTGCTGTGAAAGAAGTGAGGAGGAAAGAGTAGGATGGGGCAGAAGGCATAATAGGTGGAAACAAACAATAGAGGTAAATAAAAAGAATTAATCTGATGGCTTCACTTGACTTAGGGGCAGTTTTAAGGGGCCTGGCCCAGGCTTGGGGACCCATGTTTCTTGTTGGGCTCTGTTGTCCTTTTTGATGTGAGATTGATGAATCCAAGCTGGAATGCCATCTACTTTCAGAGCCGTTGGTGTGGTGAGGATGACAGTATGAGGTCCTTTTCAGGCAGGAATGAGTCCTTTCTGGAACTTTTTAATGTACATGAGGTCACCCGGCTGGAAAGAGTGGTAGGGCCCCGTCTAGTCAGGAACTGGATTGGGGTGAGCTCCCCGGACAAGCGGCTGGATGATGTCTTGTACCTGTTGGAGAGACTTCCTGATTTTTACTGGCCTGAAGATCCGAAGCCTGTTTTTCCTCCTCTGGGGAATATTTTGGGTGATCTGGCAAGTCAGGTTGCAGAAAGGACACTGCAGGCAGCAGGGTCAGAGGTGCAACAGGGAGACGAGCTGCCTCCTAGGCTGTAGAGTCTGCTTTTTGGTTACCATGGGCAATGGCCATGTCTTCTTTTTGATGTCCTTTGCAGTGAATTACAGCCACCTGCTGGCAGTGCTTGGGCCTACAGTATATCCATCTCTGTAGTGATGGCAGCACCAGCCTTTTGAACTCCCTGCTCAAGGAAGCTGCTACCATCTCTAAACACGGTGGCTTCTGCCTCCTTTAAAGATACCTCTTGGAGATCAGGTCGGCCAGATTCCGTAGTCTCCAACGGTTCTTGGCAGTCATGGACAGGTATAGTAAGGTCTGTCTCTTGGTGGTGGGAGTGGGGATTCACAGGATGGCTTCACACTGGTGAGTGCCCTTTTTCCTTTCTTTATCTTGTACCTTAGGTAGGACACTCTAAGAAGACAAAGCTGGGCCTTTTTGGCCGAGATCCAATACCTGAGCACCTGAAGGAGGTAAAGTAGGTCCCTAGTATGTTGCAGGCAGCTGTCAGTAGTTTCAGTAGCCAATAAGTCATCTACATACTGAAGAATAGTACAATTGGGGTGACTGGCTCAGAATGGTATAAGATCCTGTTGGAGGGCTTCCCCAAAAAGGATGGGGGAATTTTTAAAGCCTTGAGGTAACTGAGTCCAAGTTAATTGGGTGGTATCTCCTGAGCCAGGATCTGTCCATTCAAAAGCAAAGATAGGTTGGCTTTTGGGGGCCAGAGGAATAGCAAAGAAGGCATCCTTTAAGTCAAGGACAGTGTATACTGTATGTTCTGGTGGGAGCAGGCTGAGTAAAGTATAAGCATTGTGGACAGTTGGATGGATGGTAACTGTCCACTTGTTAACCTCCCTCAAGTCCTGCACAGGCTGGTAATCATTTGTTCCAGGTTTCTGGACCGGCAAAAATGGAGTATTCCAGGTGGATTGACATG
This sequence comes from Homo sapiens, assembly GCF_000001405.40. Lineage (NCBI taxonomy): Eukaryota > Metazoa > Chordata > Mammalia > Primates > Hominidae > Homo > Homo sapiens. The sequence continues at coordinate 34,556,471 of NC_000019.10, forward strand.
GTGTGAGTATGCCAGCTTGTAGCAGTCACTGAATATGGAGATTTATCCCCTCTCTAGCCTGCTGACTCATAGGATACTGTTTTATCTGGACTGGCAGGGCAGTGGCCAGAAGTTCTACAACTACTGGCAGATGATGCTTTGCTTATCCCAGGGGGTTTGACTCAGCCCAGACTCGAGGAAACAGTCTGTAGGTCTAATAGGAGGAGAGAATTTGTTTTATTCTCCAATGGTTGTGATGGTGAAACCAAAAGATATTCCTCTGACAGAGGGGTAGTTAGCAGGAGTTGGGCAGTAGGGGGCGTTGTGTCCCCTAACGTGAAGTGAGCCTGCTGGGCTGAGAGATAGAAGCCTGTAACTTATGGAGCAGGTCTCATCTGAGAAGGGGAAGGGGGCACTCTGGGACTACAAGAAATGAGTGAGTTACTCTTTTCTTTCCTAAACTCACTTATCATGAGTGGGTGACAGGATATTCCTGAATAGCTCCTGTTGCCCCTTGTACAGCTACTCTTTTATTAGAGACACTGCCTAAGGGTGTCTGCAGTACTGAGTGTTCCACCTCAGTATCTATTAGGAAGTATACATGCTGGCCCCCCACTGTAGCGGTCACCATGGGCTCCTGGGGGCCAAGTGAAAGGGAGCCCCAGTCCCATCAGTCATCAGACTCCTCCGCTGTGGGGAGGGTGAGGACCTTTTTCTTTTCTGGTTTTTGCTCTGGCTTTAATGGGCATTCCTTCTTCCAGTGTCCTATCTGCTTGCAATAAGCACATTGGTTTTTCTCCAGGGGAGCCCGCTCACCTTTCTTGCCCTTTTGGCTGGGACCCGGGGTTCCCTGGCTATTCCTCTGTGATGGGGGCCCTTACTTTTTGGCTTCCTGGATGGCCACCACTAAGATTTTTGCTTGTCTTTTGGATGCTTTATCAGCAGCTTTTTCAGCTGCCTCAGCTGCCTGTTTTCGTTTTTCAGACTCTCGATTGTCAAAAACTTTCTGGGCTACTTCTAAAAGCTGGCTATTGTTCATTCCAGCAAATCCCTCCGGCTTTTGTAATTTTCTTTTACTATCAGTAGCTGCCTGAGCCACAAACACCAAATTAATAGCACGGCTATTCTTGGGAGCTGCCGGGTCAAAAGGGGTGTAAGTTTGATAGGCCTCCTGGAGACTTTCTAAAAGTGTTCCAGGTTCATCAGGCCCCTGGACAACTTCAGTTGTCTCAGACAGATTTATGGGTTTTTGAGCGGCTCCCTTGAGGCCCACAAGGAGATACCGGTGAAAATCATCTAAAGCCCTCCTCCCACCCGAGGAGTTAGGATCCCAATTAGGCCGGGTAGAGGGAAAAACCTCCTTAACGAGGTTTTGGGCTTCCCCCTCTGGTCTATCAGCTGATGTAAGGAAATACTTTCTGGCTTCTCTTCGGATACAATTCCTCTCTTCAGAGATGAAGAGGGTTAAAAGGCGTTGCTGACAATCATCCCAGGTGGGCCGGTGAGTCTGGAGCATGGACTCCATCAGTGAGGTCAGAACCTGGGGTTTTTCAAAGAAGGGGGGATTATGAGCCTTCCAGTTGTACAGGTCAGAAGTAGAGAAAGGGACGTAAACTAAGAATGGAGCTGAGCGCTCATCACCCGGAGGGATTTGTGCCTCTCTCAGTGGGAGGAGGGGGGCTACCTCCTCCTGCCATGGCCACAATCAGGAGGCAATAGATGGGGACGCCACAGGAGATGTAGTTGAGGAGGCAAGGGGAGATTCTGGGGGAGCAGGAGGGTTATAAGGTGGCAGAACTGTGTGAGGAAAACTTTCCTCTTCTTCAGAGGGAGGCAATACAGGAGGAGCCAAGGGAGCTGAGGATCCGGACAAAAGTGTGTGGTCTCGCTTAAAATGACCTTGGAGGTAAGATTATGAATGGCACATGAGCGGAGCCAAGGGGGAGGGCTCCGGACCAATCTCAGCCATTGATCAATGTAGGGAAACGGATCGGGGTGACCGGGAGTTCCAGCAACGACCCGCCACACAGCCTGAAGAGCTGTGAGATTCAGTGACCCTTCTGGGGGCCACACGGTTCCAAACTGTGGTCATTCTACTTCACAGAGTATCTGGAGTTTGCCTTTTTTAAGGTGGACCCCATAATTCTCTGAGAAGCCTAGGGAGAAATTTTGTAACATACATTGGAGAGGGCTCCAATCTTTATGAGGCTGGGAAGAAGAGTTTCCCATTCTGGAGGCAATTTAAAAAGGTTTCAGCAGAAATATTAAACCCAGCACAGACAGAGAAATTCAAGACCTGGGGGGCTGCAGTATCAGAAGAACAGAAGTATTATAACCAGAAGAAGAAGGAAAACAACCATAGTCAACACTTCTTGCCACATAAGGACGGTCTGTTTAAGCTTTGAGATCTAGGGGGAGGACAAGAGGCAGGTCTGAGGCCAGTGGGACCTACGTGATCCCCTCCTTTTTGTCCTATAGCCTAAATATCTTTGGTGTCTCCATGACTTGAAGGCAAAAAGTTCAAACTTGGCCTTTTCTTTTAAGGGTTGAAAAAGGGAGGACAGAACCAAGTCTTGGAGACACTGGATTTGCTGCAACACAGGAAAATGAGATGTGCAGGGTAAAGGATGGGAATGAGGAGGAAAAGGGGCCACTTGGATTTTTCCAGGCTAGGAGGAGCCATGCCGGGCAGCTCTGGGTCACCAGGGCCACTCTGCGGTCCCCCGCCCTGCCTCCAGGCCCTGTCAGACGCTGCAAGCCCAGCTCAGAAGCCTGGCCTGGGACCAAGTTCACTGCAGCAGGCTGGGCCCTTGCATTCTGAGCTGGGTGCGGATGCGCTGGTGCTCTGGGAAGTCAGGGGCTTTGACAACTGAAGGCAAAGGAGCCGGGCACCTGAGGGGGTCCCGGGGGAGGGGGTGCCGGGGGAGGGGATCCGGCGTCGTCACCCTCCAGTCCTTGCCCACAGGTCAGGGAGCCCCTGCCATGGGGGAAGGAGGCTGTTTCTTTTGTAAACTGGTGGAGGCGTGCCTCGCCCCTGGGCCTGACAGCCCAAAGAGACACGCCTGAGACCTCTGGACAGAGTACAGCAGTATGGGCGTAGGTTTCTCTGCACAGTGCCTTATCCATGGGCACGGGAAAAGTTATGGGATGACAGAAAAGATGAGCAAGGAGGTCTGTGGGGTGGCTATTTTGAATCCACCACCGGTCTAATGTGGAGGTGGTCCAGTCAATTGGGCATGGGGTATGGCAATCTAAATGCCAGCAACCTTTAAGGTGCCAGAAATCCCACACTCTTTCCCATAACAACACCTGATTTGTTTCTGACAGAAAAGGCAGGACTGGGATGGCCAACCCAAATGATTGATGAGAAATTTGACCTCCTGTGATAGAAAATCAGTACTGAGGACCTTGAAGAAGTTCTTACCCAGTTGTCTAGGGCAGTATTGATGACCTGACATATGAAATTTTACCAAACAAGACAATAGACCCTGGGGCATACAAACAATTATGACAATTTTTTAATAGACAGACAAAGGAAGGGGGGCCCGTGATGGGATCAGTCAGATGCCCATCTGGCCACTCTCCCTGAGGGGACTTAGGCTCCTCTTAGCATTGGCAGGCTGGTATAAACCCCTGGCTTGGATCGAGCTATGCCTGATGCTGCCTTAAGCCTTAAGAGGTCACCACGGAACTGCAGGTGAGGGCCCATTCAAACTCCGTAGCTTTCACCGTGGAGCTACATACTGGAAATTCAAGTGCAAGCCCTTGAACTCCACATTCACGCACTCATTCACACAGAGTTTATAACAGTTTTCTTATTCCCTTTCCAAAACAGAGGTCTCCGGGAGACCTGAACGAGAGAAGGAGAAGAGATAGAGAAAGAGGGAGGGAGGGAGAGAGAGAGAGAGAAAGAGAGAGAGAGATAGAGACTAGTCTTAACAGAGAGGCCTAACAGAAAACCAGGACTCTGTCCTCCAGTGTCCTGGAACATGGGCAGAGTCAAGGGAGGGCCATCGTCAGGGCTGCTTCCCTCCCAGAGAGACACAGAGGTGCCTAACAGAAAACCAGGACTCTGTCCTCCAGCGTCCTGGAATGTGGGCAGAGTCAAAAAGGGAGGGCCTTGTCAGAGCCGTTTCCCTCCCAGAGAAACAGAGTCAGATCTGACTTACTTTCCCAGGACCAGAAACTGAGGACTCAGGAGTTGAATTTTTGTGGGCACACACCAGTGGTCGATCCATTCCCGTCTGGAAGATAGGGTCTTATGGGGCCCTGGAACGTCTTCTGGTGGTGCCTCCCCTATAAGTCTGCTGTCTGTCCAGGGGAGCCTGGAATGAGTCTGGCTCTCACCCGGTGACAAAAAAATCTTGCTGGGGCCTCCAAATGTTGTAACTGAGCTAGGTACAGAGAAATGCCACACTCTGAGACGAATTCAGGAGTCCTTTATTAGCTGGTGACCGAGAGACGGCTAGTGCTCAAAATTCTCTCAGCCCCGAAGAAGGGGCCAGATTTTCTTTTATACTTTGGTTTAGAAAGGGGAGGGAGGCAGTCTAGTGAAAACAACCTTACAGAAGTAAAGCAGGCAAAAAAGTTAAAAGAATAAATGGTTATAGGAAAGCAAACAGTTTCAGGTGCAGGGCTTTAAATCTTTCACAAGGTGATAGACGCGGGGCTTTGGGTGTTATCAACCAGATGAATTCCTAGGAACTGTGGATATAGCTTGCCACAGTATTTTATCAGCTAATTGCATCCTTGGACGTGCTGGGAGTCAGCTTGCATAAGTTAAGTCCTTGAGGAAGGGGTGGGTAAGGGGCTGTAAGTGTAGGAGCCAAGATGGGGTCTGTCTGGCTCTCTCAGCTAAGGGAGAGTCAATTCAGGTTAAAACAAGGTTAGCTATCACACACATACTTTGTATCTTCTTCCTTGAGATCCCAGTCCTTCATTGCCTCTTGTCCAATGCTTGAAAATTGTGTTACTGTTTTCATATATTGCATCTGGTTTTCTTCTTGTTGAAAGCAAGAAAAAATTCTGGTCATTTCATTAGATCATGGTCTGAGGCAGAAATCAGGCTCATTCTTAATTTATTAAATGGCTTATAATCAATTCTATTAATATTTACTTATATTCTCAAGTTCTCCAGGAAGGATACCCCAAAAATTCATATTCACACACGACATGCTTCATTTCTTGATTGAGCCAACAAGATCTGTTCAATCAATCTTGGCTTTGGAAGAGCTCAGAGCAAAAGTTCCAAGCAAGGTCTTTTATGTTTCTCTGGCTAAATGACCAGAACCAGTTGTCTAGACACTCATGCCAGGTAAAGGTGTCTTAGTCTGTTCAGGCTGTTGTAACAAAAACCATAAACTGAGTTGCTTATGAACAACAGAGTTTTATTCCTCGTAGTTCTGAAGGCTGGGAAGTCTAAGATCCAGATGCCAGAACATTCAGAGTCTGGTGAGGGCTGCTTTCTGGTTCCTAGAGGGTGTCTTCTAGCTGTGTCCTCATGTGGCTGAAGGGTCAAGACAGCTGTCTGGGGCCTCTTTTATAAGGGCACTCATCGCATTCATGGGACTTCCAACTTGGTGACTTAATCATCTCTCAAAGGCCCCACACCTTTCAAAACCATCATATTGATGATTAGATTTCAACACAGGAATTTTGGGGGGATACAAACATTTAGACCACAGCAAAAGCCATTGGTAGACACAATGGCCCTTGGGGCCATGAGGGATTTTAGATTAAAATTTTTTTTTTATTATACTTTTAAGTTCTGGGATACATGTGCAGAACGTGCAGGTTTGTTACATAGCTATACATGTGCCATGGGGGTTTGCTGCACTCATCAACCCACCATCTACACATTAGGTATTTCTCTTATGCTATCCCTCCCATAGCCCCCCACCCCCCAACAGGCCCCAGTGTGTGATGTTCCCCTTCCTGTGTCCATGTGTTCTCATTGTTCAACTTCAACTCCCACTTATGAGTGAGAACATGCGGTGTTTGGTTTTCTGTTCTTGTGTTAGTTTGCTGAGAATGATGGTTTCCAGCTTCATCCACGTCCCAACAAAGGATAGGAACTCATCCTTTTTTATGGCTGCATAGTATTCCATGCTGTATTATGTGCCACATTTTCTTTGTCCAGTCTATCATTGATGGGCATTTGGGTTGGTTCCAAGTCTTTGCTATTGTGAACAGTGCCACAATAAACATACGTGTGCATGTGTCTTTATAGTAGCATGATATATAATCCATTGGGTATATACCCAGTAATGGGATTGCTGGGTCAAATGGTATTTCTGGTTCTAGATCCTTGAGGAATTGCCACACTGTCTTCCACAATGGTTGAACTAATTTACACTCCCACCAACAGTGTAAAAGTGTTCCTATTTCTCCACATCCTCTCCAGCATCTATTGTTTCCTGACTTTTTAATGATCATCATTCTAATTGGCATGAAGCAGTATCTCATTGTGGTTTTGATTTGCATTTCTCTAATGACCAGTGATGATGAGCTTTTTTTCATATGTTTGTTGGCTGCATAAATATCTTCTTTTGAGAAGTGTCTGTTCATATCCTTCACCCACTTTGATGGGGTTTTTGTTTTTTTCTTGTAAATTTGTTTAAGTTCTTTGTAGATTCTGGATATTAGCCCTTTGTCAGATGGATAGATTGCAAAAATTTCCTACCATTCTGTAGGTTGCCTGTTCACTCTGATGATAGTTTATTTTGCTGTGCAGGAGCTCTTTAGTTTAATTAGAACCCATTTGTCTATTTTGGCTTTTGTTGCCATTGATATGGGTGTTTTAGTCATGAAGTCTTTGCACATGCCTATGTCTTGAATGGTATTGCCTAGGGTTTCTTCTAGGGTTTTCATGGTTTTAGGTCTTACATTTAAGTCTTGAATCCATCTTGAGTTAATTTTTGTATAAGGTATAAGGAAGGGGTCCAGTTTCAGTTTTCTGCATATGGCTAGTCAGTTTTCTCAACACCATTTATTAAATAGGGAATCCTTTCTCTGCTGCTTGTTTTTGTCAGGTTTGTCAAAGATCAGATGGTTGTAGATGTGTGGCATTATTTCTGAGGTCTCTATTCTGTTTCATTGGTCTACATATCTGTTTTGGTACCAGCACCATGCTGTTTTGGTTACTGTAGACTTGTAGTATAGTTTGAAGTCAGGTAGCATGATGCCTCCAGCTTTGTTCTTTTTGCTTAGGATTGTCTTGGCTATGCGGGGTCTGTTTTGGTTCCATATGAAATTTAAAGTAGTTTTTTCTAATTCTGTGATGAAATTCAATGGTAGCTTGATGGGGATAGCATTGAATCTATAAATAACTTTGGGCAGTATGGCCATTTTCATGATATTGATGCTTCCTATCCATGAGCATGGAATGTTTTTCCATTTGTTTGTATCCAGTCTTATTTCCTTGAGCAGTGGTTTGTAGTTCTCCTCGAAGGGGTCCTTCACATCCCTTGTAAGTTGTATTCCTAGGTATTTGAATCTCTTTGTAGCAATTGTGAATGGGAGTTCACTCGTGATTTGGCTGTCTATTATTGGTATATAAAATGCTTGTGATTTTTGCACATTGATTTTGTATCCTGAGACTTTGCTGAAGTTGCTTATCAGCTTAAGGAGATTTGGGGCTAAGATGATGGGTTTTCTAAACATACAATCACGTCATCTGCAAATAGAGACAATTTGACTTCCTCTTTCCCTAATTGAATACCATTTATTTCTTTCTCTTGCCTGATTGCCCTGGCCAGAACTTCCAATACTATGTTGAATAGGAGTGGTGAGAGAGGGCATTCTTGTCTGGTGCCAGTTTTCAAAGGAAATGCTTCCAGTTTTTGCCCATTCAGTATGATATTGGCTGTGGGTTTGTCATAAATAGCTCTTGTTATTTTGAGATACTTTCCATCAATACCTAGTTTATTGAGAGTTTTTAGCATGAAGAGGTGTTGAATTTTGTCAAAGGCCTTTTCTGCATCTATTGAGATAATCATGTGGTTTTTGTCATTGATTCTGTTTATGTGATGGATTCCATTTATTGATTTATGTATGTTGAATCAGCCTTGCATCCCAGGGATGAAGCTGACTTGATCATGGTGGATAAGCTTTTTGATGTGCTGCTGGATTCGGTTTGCCAGTATTTTATGGAGGATTTTCACTTTGATGTTCATCAGGGCTATCGGCCTGAAATTTTCTTTTTTTGTTTTCCGTCTGCCAGGTTTTGGTGTCAGGATGATGCTGGTCTCGTAAAATCAGTTAGAGAGGATTCCCTCTTTTTCTATTGTTTGGAATGGTTTCAGAAGGAATTGTACCAGCTCCTCTTTGTACCTCTGGTAGAATTGGGCTGTGAATCCACCTGGTCCTGGACTTTTTTCTGTTGGTAGGCTATTACTGCCTCAATTTCAGAACTTGTTATTGATCTATTCAGGGATTCAACTTCTTCCTGGTTCAGACTCGGGAGGGTGTATGTGTCCAGGAATTTATCCATTTCTTCTAGATTTTCTAGTTTATTTGCATAGAGGTGTTCGTAGTATTCTCTGATGGTAGTTTGTATTTCTGTGGGATCAGTGGTGATATCCCCTTTATTATTTTTTATTGTGTCTATTTGATTCTTTTCTCTTTTCTTCTTTATTATTCTGGCTAGTGGTCTATCTATTTTGTTGATCTTTTCAAAAAAACCAGCTGCTGGATTCATTGATTTTGTTTGAAGGGTTGTTCATGTCTCTATCTCCTTCAGTTCTGCTCTGATCTTAGTTATTTCTTGTCTTCTGCTAGCTTTTGAACTTGTCTGCTCTTGTTTCTCTAGTTCTTTTAATTGTGATGTTAGGGTGATGATTTTAGATCTTTCCTGCTTTCTCTTGTGGGCATTTAGTGCCATAAATTTCCCACTAAACACTGCTTTAAATGTGTCCCAGAGATTCTGGTACATTGTGTCTTTGTTCTCATTGGTTTCAAATAACTTATTTATTTCTGCCTTCATTTCATTATTTACCCAGTAGTCAGTCATTCAGGAGCAGGTTGTTCAGTTTCCATGTAGTGGTGCAGTTTTGAATGAGTTTCTTAATCCTAAGTTCTAATTTGATTGCACTGTGGTCTGAGAGACGGTTTGTTATGATTTCCATTCCTTTGCATTTGCTGAGGAGTGTTTTACTTCCAATTATGTGGTCAGTTTTAGAATAAGTGCAATGTGGTGCTAAGAAGAATGTATATTCTGTTGATTTGGGGTGGAGAGTTCTGTAGATGTCTATTAGGTCTGCTTGATCCAGAGCTGAGTTCAAGTCCTGTATATTCTTTTTAATTTTTTGTCTTGTTGATTTGTCTAATATTGACAGTGGGGTGTTAAAGTGTCCCACTATTATTGTGTGGGAGTCTAAGTCTCTGTAGGTCTCTAAAAACTTGCTTTATGAATCTGGGTGCTCCTGTATTGGGTGCATATATATTTAGGATAGTTTTCTCTTCTTGTTGAATTGATCCCTTTACCATTATGTAATGCCCTTCTTTGTCTCTTTTGATCTTTGTTGGCTTAAAGTCTATTTTGTCAGAGACTAGGATTGCAGCACCTGCGTTATTATTATTATTATTATTATTATTATTTTGCTTTCCATTTTCTTGGTAAGTATTCCTCCATCCCTTTATTTTGAGCCTATATGTGTCTTTACATGTGAGTTGAGTCTCCTGAGTACAGCACACCAATGGGTTTTGACTCTTTATCCAATTTGCCAGTCTGTGTCTTTTAATTGGGGCATTTAACCCATTTACATTTAAGGTTAATATTGTTATGTGGGAATTTGATCCTGTCATTATGATGCTAGCTGGTTATTTTGCACATTAGTTGATGCAGTTTCTTCATAGTAACAATGGTCTTTACAATTTGGCATGTTTTTGCAGTTGCTGGTACCAATTGTTCCTTTCCCCATTTAGTGCTTCCTTCAGGAGATCTTGTAAGGCAGGTCTGGTGGTGAAAAACCTCTCCGCATTTTCTTTTCTGTTAAGGATTTTATTTCTCCTTTGCTATGAAGCTTAGTTTGGCTGGCTATGAAATCCTGGGTTGAAAATTCTTTTCTTTAAGAATGTTGAATATTGGCCCCCACTCTCTTCTGGCTTGTAGGGTTTCTGCAGAGAGATCCACTGTTAGTCTGATGGGTTTCCCTTTGTGGGTAACCTGACTTTTCTCTCTGGCTGCCCCTAACATTTTTTTCCTTCATTTCAACCTTGGTGAATCTGATGATTATGTGTCTTGGGGTTGCTCTTCTCAAGGAGTATCTTTGTGGTGTTCTATGTATTTCCTTAATTTGAATGTTGGCCTGTCTTGCTAGGTTGGGGAAGTTCTCCTGGATAATATCCTGAAGAGTGTTTTCCAAGTTGGTTCCATTCTCCTCGTCACTTTCAGGTACACCAAACAAACGTAGGTTTGGTCTTTTTACGTAGTCCCATATTTCTTGGAGGCTTTGTTCATTCCTTTTCATTCTTTTTTCTCTAATCTTGTCTTCATGCTTTATTTCATTAAGTTGATCTTCAGTCTCTGATATCCTTTCTTCTGCTTGATCAATTTGGCTATTGATACTTGTGTATACTTCATGAAATACTTGTGCTGTGTTTTTCAGCTCCATCAGGTTATTTATGTTCTTCTCTAAACTGGTTATTCTAGTTAGCAATTCATCTAAGCTTTTTTTCAAGGTTCTTATCTTCCTTGCATTGGGTTAGAACATGCTCCTTTAGCTCAGAGGAGTTTGTTATTACCCACTTTCTGAAGCCTACCTCTGTCAATTCATCAAACTAATTCTCTGTCCAGTTTTGTTTCTTTGCTGGTGAGGAGTTGTGATCCTTTGGAGGAGAAGAGGTGTTCTGGTGTTTGGAATTTTCAGCCTTTTTGTGCTGGTTTCTCCCCATCTTCGTGGATTTATCTACCTTTGGCCTTTGATGTTGTTAACATTCAGATGGGGTTTTGGTGTGGACTTCCTTTTTGTTCATGTTGATACAATTCCTTTCTGTTTGTTAGTTTTCCTTCTAATGGGCACCTCTGCTGCAGGTCTGCTGGAGTTTGCTGGAGGTCCACTTCAGACCCTGTTTACCTGGGTATCACCAGCAGAGGCTGCAGAACAGCACAGATTGCTGCCTGTTCATTCCTCATGAAGCGTCATCCCAGATGGGTACCCACCAGATGCCAGCTGGAGCTCTCCTGTATGAGGTGTCTGTTGGCCCCTTCTGGGAGTTGTCTCCCAGTCAGAAGGCATGGGGGTCAGGGACCGACTTGAGGAGGCAGTCTCTCGCTTAGCAGAGTTCGAGTGCTGTGCTGGGAGATCTGCTACTCTCTTCAGATCTGGCAGGCAGGAATGTTTAAGTCTGCTGAAGCTGTGCCCAAAGCTGCCCCTTCGCCCAGATGCTCTGTCCCAGGGAGATGGGAGTTTTATCTATAAGCCCCTGACTGGGGCTGCTGCCTTTCTTTCAGAGATGCCCTGCCCAGAGAGGAGGCATCTAGAGAGGCAGTCTGGCTACAGCGGGTTTGCAGAGCTGTGGTGGGCTCTGCCCAGTTTGAACTTCCCAGTGGCTTTGTTTATGTTGTGAGGGGAAAACTGCCTACTCAAGCCTCAGTAATGGTGGACACCCCTTCCTGCACCAAGCTTTAGTGTCCCAGGTTGACTTCAGACTGCTGTGCTGGCAGCGAGAATTTCAAGCCAGTGAATCTTAGCTCACTGGGCTCCATGCAGATGGGATCCACTGAACTAGACCACTTGGCTCCCTGGCTTCAGTCCCCTTTCCAGGGGAGTGAACAGTTCTGTCTTGCTGGCATTCCAGGTGCCACTGGGGTATGAAAAGAAACTCCTGCAGCTAGCTCGGTGTCTGCCCAAATGGCTGCCCAGTTTTGTGCTTGAAACCCAGGGCCCTGGTGGTGTAGGCACCAGAGGGAATCTCCTGATCTGTGGGTTGTGATGACTGTGGGAAAAGCATAGTATCTGGGCTGGAATGCACCATTCCTCATAGCACAGTCCCTCATGGATTCTCTTGGCTAGGGGAGAGAGTTCCTCAATCCCTTGTGCTTCCCTGTTGAGGCAACACCCCATCCTGCTTCTGCTCACCCTCCATGGGCTGCAGCCACTGTCTAACCAGTCCCAATGAAATGAGCCAGGTACCTCAGTTGGAAATGCAGAAATCACCTGCCTTCTGTGTTGATCTCACTGGGAGCTGCAGACCGGAGCTCTTCCTATTCCATCATTTTGCCAGCCACCCTTCAGGATTTTAGATTTTAAAGAGCTCTTCATGAATCTCACTAGTTTATTTTACCAAACATTAAAGATGGATACCCAGGAATCTCCAGAGATAAGACTAGAGCGGTGCTGGGCCAGTATCATATTACACAACAGCACAGCATACAAAAAGAATTGTGGGGCCAGGTGCAGTGGCTCATGCCTGTAATCCCAGCACTTTGGGAGGCTGAGGCAGGCAGATCACCTGAGGTCAGGAGTTTGAGACCAGCCTGGCCAACATGGAGAAACCCTGTCTCTACTAAAAATACAAAAATTAGCCAGGGGTGGTGGCGTGTGCCTCTAATCCCAGCTACTTGGGAGGCTGAGACATCAGAATTGCTTGGACCCAGGAGGTGGAGGTTGCAGTGAGCCAAGATCCTACCATTGCATTCCAGCCTGGGCAAGACTCCATCCAAACCAAAAAAGAATTGTGGATGCTGCTAAATTTGTAGATTAAAATTCCTATCTCAGGAAAGAAATGTGTCAAATCAATGACAGATTCAACCTAAAAAACTTCAAAAAGGACAACTGAAACTCAAAATAAGAAGGAAATAATAAAGATCAGCAAGAAATTAATGATATGGAAAGCAAAATAACAATGGAGAAAAACCAGTGAAATCAATAACTGATTTTTTGAAAAGATCAATAAAAGAGATCCACCTTTGTGGATCTAGCATGAAATAATGTGAGAAAACACAAATTATCAATGTTAGGTACAGGTGAGGTGACATCACTAGATACTATAGATTTTATTTATTCATTTATTTTTACACCCCACCTGGAGTGCAGTGGCACGACCATGGCTCACTGCATCCTGGAACTCCTGGGCTAAATCAATCCACTGGCTTCAGCCTCCAGAGTAGTTGGGCCTACAGGAGTGGGCCACCACACCCAGTTTTTATAGATTCTAAAAGGGTAATAAGGAATAATATGAATAATCTTATTCCAATAAATTTCACAGTGGCCAGTTTGAAAACAAACAAATAAAATTGAACTTATTTTTGACAACATTGTTGCAGGAAGTCAGGGATCCTGAACAGAGGGACTGGCTGGAGCCACAGCAGAGGACCATAAATTGTGAAGATTTCATTTTAATATGGATATAAATCAGATCCCAAATAATACTTTTATAATTTCTTATGCCTGTCTTTACTGCAATCTTGGAACATAAATTGTGAAGATTTCATGGACATTTATCAGTTCCCAAATAATACTCTTATAATTTCTTATGCCTGTCTTTACTTTAATCTCTTAATCCTGTTATCTTTGTAAGCTGAGAATGTATGTCACCTCAGGACCACTATTGTACAAATTGATTGTAAAACATGTGTGTTTGAACAATATGAAATCAGTGCATCTTGAAAAAGAACAGAATAACAGTGATTTTAGGGAACAAGGGAGGACAACCATAAGGTATGAGTGCCTGCGGGGTCTGGCAAAAAGAGCCATATTTTTCTTCTTGCAGAGAGCCTACAAACAGACATGCAAGTAGGGAAGATATCACTGAATTCTTTTCCTAGCAAGGAATATTAATAATTAAGACCCTGGGAAAAGAATTGCATTCCTGGGGGGTGGTCTATAAATGGCCGCTCTGGGAGTGTCTGTCTTATGCGGTTCAGATAAGGACTGAAATACGCCCTGTCTCCTGCAGTATGCTCAGGCTCACTAGGGGGGGAAAAACCCCACCCTGGTGAATTTGAGGTTAGACGGGCTCTCTGCCCTCGAACCCTGTTTTCTGTTGTTTAAGATGTTTATTAAAACAATACGTGCACAGCTGAACATAGACCTTCATCAGTAATTCTAATTTTGCCCTTTGCCTTGTGATCTTTGCTTTGCCCTTTGCCTTGGATCTTTATTGACCTCAGAAGCATGTGATCTTTGTGACCTACTCCCTGTTCATACACCCCTTCCCCTTTCGAAGTCCTTAATAAAAACCTGCTGGTTTTGTGGCTCAGGTGGTCATCACGGTCCTACCATTATGTGATGTCACTCCTGGAGGCCCAGCTGTAAAATTCCTCTCTTTGTACTCTCTCTCTTTATTTCTCAGACCGGCCAACACTTAGGGAAAATAGAAAGAACCTATGTTGAAATATTGGGGGCAGGTTCCCCTGATACAATATAAATATTAATGGAGAAAATCTCATGGAATCTGTGAACAAAAATGTAGAATAAATGAAATTATAGTTTCCAGGGTAGACAATGATTTTTATAAAAATTATACTTCTATGTACAGTTTGAAACTGAAATTTAAAAGAGTACTTTTTTTTTGAGAAGGAATTTCACTCTTGTTGCCTAAGCTGGAGTGCAATGGCATGATCTCGGCTCACTGCAACCTCCACCTCCCAGTTCAAGTGATTCTCCTGCCTCAGCCTCCCGAGTAGCTGGGATTACAGGCTCACGCCACCATGCTTGGGTAATTTTTTGTATTTTTAGTAGAAATGGGGTTTATCCATGTTAGCCAGCCTGGTCTCGAACTCCTGACCTTGGTGATCCGCCCACCTCAGCTTCCCAAAGTGCTGGCTTTTTACGAGAGCATACGATATATACTTGAGACATATATATAAGATGTGCAACTGAAATACATATAAGATGTACACTATAAACTACAAAATATTGTGGAAGAAAATTAAAGATCTAAATAAAGGGAGAGATATACCACATTTATGGATTAGAGCACAAAGGCTTCCCTTTGTGGGTAAACTGACAATGTTTTAAACCCATTAATGTTTTAATTCTTTTCAAATTGGTGTGTGTGTGTATATATATATATATATATTTATTTATTCAATGCAGCCGGGCACGGTGGCTCATGCCTGTAATCCCAGCACTTTGGGAGGCAGAGGCGGGTGGGTCACAAGGTCAGGAGATTGAGACCATCCTGGCTAACATGGTGAAACCCCGTCTCTATTAAAAAATACAAAAAATTAGCCGGGTGTGGTGGTGGGCGTCGGTAGTTCCAGCTACTCTGGAGGCTGAGGCAGGAGAGTGGCATGAACCCAGGAGGTGGAGCTTGCAGTGAGCCGAGATCATGCCACTGCACTCCAGCCTGGGTGAAAGAGCGAGACTGTGTCTCAAAAAAAAAAAGAAAAGAAAAAATATATATATATATTCAATGCAATCTCAATCAAAATCCCATGATGCTTATATTAGAAAATAACAAGTGAATTCTAAAATTTATATGGTAATGCATAAAGTAAGGACTTAGAATAGCAAAAAAATTGAAAAAGATGCATAAAGTTAAAGAATTATATTGCCTGATTTGTAGACGTATTATTTAATTATGTTAAGTAGACTTTAAAATATTAGCAAAAATATAGATTAAGAAAGTCCAGGAATAGACCAACACATCTAAGATCAAATGATATTTTAGAAAGGTGCAAAGGCAATTCAGTGAAGATTGTGTTTTCAACAAGTGTTGTTGGAACAACTGGACATCCATATTAAAACAAAACCCAAGAAACAAAACCACAAGCTGTGACCCCAAACCTCACATGGTATATAATATTCAAGAACTAACTCAAAATGGATTATAAACCTGAAAGTATGAAACCTTCATTAAGTAACATGAGAGAATTTTTTAAATCTTGGCAAATACTTCTGAAATATGCACCAAAAACATGTTCAATCTAAGGAAAAATGACATGTTCAACTTTGTCATCAGTAAAAATTTCTGCTCTAGAACAGACTCTGTTAAGATGAAGGAGAAAATGAACCTTAGGCTAGAAGACTATACTGGCAAATCACATATCTACAGAAAGACTTGCATCCAATATTTACTAAAAACTCTCAAAACTCAATAATAAAACAAAAAAGTTTAAATGGGCAAAAGATTTGAACAGACAGTTAACCAAAGAAGATAGAGGGATGGCAGTAGTACAAATAAAAATTGTAAACATTAGTCATTAGGGAGATACAAAGTAAAATCACAGAGAAATACCACTACACACCAAGTGGGAATGGTGAAAATTGAAGACTCTCTATACCAAGTGTTGGTGAAGATATGGAGTACCTGAAATCCTCATAACACTGTGGAGGGCATGTAATGTAGTATAACCACTTTGAAACACAATTTGTCAGTTTGTAAAAAGGTAAACATCCACTTACCCTGTGACTTGGTGTGCTTATGCTTTTTATTTTCTGCGTTTTATGATGACATCTTTTAAAGTTTACTGGCTCTGGAGAGACTGCCCTCCCAGGATTAGTCTTTTCTTAGAGATGGCAAAGCGCTTGACCCAGAGCACCTCTCTCATATACAACCAACTGATCCTGAGTCTACAGCCCCAATTACCTCTTTATCCAACTCTCACACCCCCATGCCAATATCTCCCCTGCACTGAAGCACCCCACGACCAGGTACCAGGTAACCAGAGACCAACACTATAGGCCAAAGCCTGCCGGAGTTATTCAAATTAGCTAACCATAAGCTGTTTACTCTGCCCTGCCTGGCCTGTCCCATGAAAACTCCAATAAAGGCTGTTGCCTATGCCTTCCCCTTGCTCCTGCCTCCTGATCAACACTGGTGCTCTCCATGTGGCCCTGTGTGGCATGGTGTGCCCCTAGGAAATGTAAGTAATAATTGCTTTCCATTGCATTGGCCTCTCTTTGTGGTCACTCAGTCACCACCTTAAGTTAAAATCCCACAGGTAGAAATGAGACACATTTCTTCGTGTGTCCGTGTGTGTGTGTGTGTGTGTGTATGTGTGTGTGTAAGTGGGGGCAGGGCACGTCTGCAGAGAGACCCACGGCCCTGGGCCATGCCTTTGGGTGACAGTGTATCAGAAACTAAGCTCAGCATGCAGTGGGATGGGTTGGGTGTTGCTGTGACATCCTCTGTCCTCCCTGGAGCACCGTGGGATTGGGAGCAGGCTGAGCACTGTGGCGCCAGCCCGCAGGTCCATGTGTGCATGTGCACCCAGGAGGCCCTGAGGCATGACCGTGTGTCTTGGCAAACATGTGTCTGCACTTGGCTCGCCCTAGCACAGAATCTGCCACCGAGTGCCGGTTCAACAAACATTTGATAAGTGAGTTTGTTTGTCTGAATGGGTAGCAGATTAGGTGCAGCTTTCGAGAAAATTAGTAAATTGTAGTTTAGATTCAAGGAACATTACCTGGAATAAAACGCAGAACCTAAAGGATGTGAGGTATAGAAAGTGCGTTAGGATCACATGTTACACAGTGAAAAGGTCCTACATATGTGGGTGTTGAAGCCACTTGCCTGTGACTTCTGTCACCTGACTGGACCCTGATTGACCCTGGGTGACCAGGGGCAAAATCAGCAGAGGGGCGCAGCTGGGGGTGCTTGCTGGCCTGGCCACTCACCGAGCTGTGAGCAGCAGGGGAAGCTCCACCCAGGGCCCTAGTGAGTATGGGTGTGGGGGGAGGGGCACGTGGGTGGCCCTGATCAGTGTCAGGGTGAGCTCCCCCCATCCCACCTTCCTGTTACCTGTGGAGGGTGTCCAGTTTCTTGCCGTTTTGAAGCAAGAATTGGAAAAAAAAAAAAAAACCGCACAAACAGAGCAAGGAAAGAATGAAGCAACAAAAGCAGAGATTTACTGAAAATGAAAGTATACTCCACGTGATGAGAGAAAGAATGAAGCAACAAAAGCAAAGATTTATTGAAAACAAAAATACACACTACATGGTCGGGCACGGTGGCTCACGCCTGTAATCCCAGTACATTGGGAGGTTGAGGAGGGCAGATCACTTGAGATCAGGAGTTAGAGACCAGCCTGGCCAACATGGTGAAACCCCATGTCTACTAAAAGTACAAAAACTAGCCGGGCGTGGTGGCACACGCCTGTAATCCCAGCTACTTGGGAGACTGAGGCACGAGAATCGCTTGAACCCAGTCTGCACTCCAGCCTGGGCGACAGAGTGAGGACTCCGTCTCAAAAACAAAACAAAACAAAACAAAACAAAACAAAACAAAACAAAACAAAACAAAACAAAACACTCCACATGATGGAAGCAGGCTGCTGGGAGCAGGCCCGAGTATAGGGGCCCCCAGGTTACAGAATTTTCTGGGGTTTGAATACCCTCTAGAGGTTTCCCATTGGTTACTTGGTGTCCATCCTATGTAAATGATGCAGTGGCCCACAATCAGTCTGATCGGTTGCAGAAAGCAAACAGAGGCTGAGGTGAAATTACAAAAGTTACACCCTATGCAAGCATCTGATTGGTTGTGGCAAGCAATTGGTTGTTTTCTGCAACCAATCAGATACTTTCAATTTTCCATCTGCCACACAGAAAAAGGGGAAGTAGGCTTGCAAAGGGAGTAGTCTCTGGTCCTTTTCTTACTTAGGTTTGAAAAATTGTTTTCTGTTTGATTTAGTTCTAGGAAGTCAGAGTGAATCGGCCTTAGGTTCCGTGCCTCCAGACCCTGTTCTCCTGCCTCATTCCTACCAAGCTGCTCCCTGCAGGGGCCTGATGCCCTCAGGGAAGATTCTATGTATTCACTGTCTGGGGCTGCTCAAGCCACTGCTCTGCGCAGCCCTGCCTCCCACTGGCCTTCTCAATGGCTTTCCGCTCAGGGAACCCCTGCAGCCTGTAGTCTCCAGGCAGGCCTTGGGCCACCAGGCTGGAGAGAGCCGCGGCCACACTCAGCGGTGCAAGGTGACCCGGCTGTCTTCCTGGCAGGTCCTCGTGGGAGCGGCTGTCCCTTGTTCAGGGGCCCGGGACCGCGTCCCCGTCCCCCGACATGTCCCCCAAGCATGCCTTCAGGGCAGGGTGCAGACTGGAAGGCTGGACTGGCGGGGACACGCGTGTTCTGCATCTCCTAACGCTGTGCCCACTGTGGGTGGGACGGTGACTGGCTTGGGTGGGGTCCAAGGCGGGGGTGACGAATGACACCCTTGGAGAGGGGGCCTGCAAAGGGCACTGTCTGTGGCCACGTGGTTACTGTGGGATTTGGCCTTGGGGAATCTGATGGATGTTGACAGCCAGTTCCTGCCTCTTTTCCTCTTCTGGAGCCCCCTTGCTAGCACCGCGAAAAACCCCGCACAGCTCCAGCCGCGGGGCTCGCTCAGGAGCGGCCGCGAGGGGACACCCAGGTTGCGCTGCAGGAAAGCCCTTGTCTGAGCAGGGCACGGGGCTCCACGACAAAAGGACACGATTTGACTTAAATTATGTTTTTCCCTTGATGATATTTTCATTTTCTTTAAAAGGATGTAGTTTTCTTGGACCGTGGACCAAGCTTATTTCTTAAACAGATTCCAGCAAACTCACAAGTGTCCTTCAGCTCTAGGCCTGCTGTGTGTGTGTGTGTGTGTGTGTGTGTGTGTGTGTGTGTGTGTATGTGTGTGAATGTCTGGGGCCAAGGCCAGGGATGACTGGGCTGTGGTGAGAACCTGACCCTTCCCAGTCTTCCCTGATTTCTCTTGTTCCTGCAGCTACCTAGTTTGGGGATGGATGGGGAAGGAGGCCCCAGGATGAGTCCTCACGTCTCTGCATCCCACTGGGGGCTGCGTACAAATGGATGAGGACCCCCCCCTTGAAAGGCTCCTGGGTGGTGTAGGCCCTGGATGGGAGAGTTGGGGGGTAGAGCTGGATGTGGGATCTAGATCAGGGATGCTTGGGGCTTTTGATGCCCTGATATGGGATTGAGGAGGGGGCATGGTCAATGCTGAATGGGTGTGAACAGATGACTGGGGATGGGGAGCAAGGGAGATTCTGGTGGGGGAAGCACGGGAAGGTTGAGGTCAGAGCTGGGGAAGCTGAATTCCAGGTTGAGGAGAAGGAGGTGTGGTCGCAGATTGCAGGGAACCCAGAGGACTTGAGCAGGGAACCCTCTGGCCAGGTGGGTGTGGCAGTTGACATTGGAGTTGGGGTGGGGGTGGAGTCGGGGGTGGAGCTGCAGATGGCAGGGGCAGTGTTGAAGGTGGAGGGTGACGGTTGAGGCAGGGAAGGGGCAGTGGGGTGGGGATACCCCATCAGGTTGTCCCATGCCTCTCTGAGAGATGCCTGCCCTTCCACCCGCCCTTCTGGGGTCAGTCCCTCCCACTTCCCCCTTGGCTGAAGAACACACACAGAAGCTGGATGGATGCAGGTGAGTTTATTAGGCAGCATTGTCCCGCAGGGGACAGGCCTGGGTGGGGAGGTGGGGGGCAGCCGTTCCCAGGCTTGCCCCAATCAGCACAGCAGGAGAGAGAGTAGAGGCAGCAGCAGGGCGGGAGCTAGGGAGGGTGGGGCCCTGGGCCCAGATTCTCATGGTTGGGACAGGCAGCCTGGACAGGAACCCGAGGTGCCTATGGATGGTGTTACTTCAGTATCGTGTCGGCACACTGGTTGTTGATTTCTTCCTGTGGGGAGGGGTGGGAGGCCGAAGGGAGGGGTCTTCTGGGGAAGGAGGGATAGGATGGGGTTGATTGCGGAGGCTGAGCATCAGAGCGCGGAGGTCCAGCGCCCTGAGGTCTTGTCCCTGGGCAGCTGCCCGTGTGAGAGGTGGTTGCTTGGTGAGAGGTGGGGAGGTATTTGGGTGGAGAGAGAGGCTCTCAGGGAACAGAGTCCCTGCTCTCAAAGGAGGTCAAGGGCTGTGGGGTGGCGCTGGTGGCCGGGCCCTGCTGCACTCACCAGTTGCTGCACGACGGCCTCTGTCTCCTCGGGGGTCATTGTGTCGGTCACGCAGTCCTTGAGTTTAGAGGATGTGTTTCTTTCCGGCTCCGTGAGGTGGTATCTGTTGACAGTGTCCATGTAGGTGTCCTTGTCCTTGGTCAGAAACTGGTTAATGACCGTCATAAGCTGCGGGCAGAGTTTCCTGGGCTCTGCGGGGAGAGTAGGAGCGTGTGATCAGGGAGGGGTGGGTGCCCCGGGGCTGCAGCGCGGCCCGGGCTTCCCTGGCGGGGCCTACCTGCGAGCAGCGGCAGCAGCAGGAGACCCAGCAGCGCCAGGGCTCGGGCGGACGCCACGCGGTTCGGGGTCGGGGCCGGTAGGTATGCGGGTCACACTGGGGCAGTGCGGACGCAGGTCCCTCTGGCATCTCGGGAGACGCGGTCCTTAAACTCCGTGTCCTGGGGGCGGGCCCGGGTGGCGTGGCTTGGCTGGACAGGGAGGGTAGGGGCGGTAGTGGGGTTTGTGGCACTCCAGCGTAGCAGGTTGCATCTGCGGGTCCCCGCCCCTGCCCCGCCCCCAGCCCCTCCCATGGTGCTGGATCCAGGCAGCTGATGTGCAGGCGGGGACCCCTGGCTGGGCGCGGTCCTGGGCGCGTCCCTGCGCGGTTCAGGCTTCCATGCGCGCTGAGACTCCGCTGGCTCTGTGGCCTGCCCCGTCGTGTGTGCGTCACGAGGCTTGGGTGCACGCGTTTGAGAATGGGATATGTGTGTGTGAGTGGAATGCGCTGGTGGGAGCGTGTGGGGTGTGTGTGTGTGGCACCTGAGGTTGGGGTGTTGACTGTGTGGGGTGGGGGTCTGTGATTATATGAATATGAGGGTGTGATTGCGGCTGGGACAGGGCATGTGGCTGCCTCTGCCTCTGCATCTGAGAGAGACAAGAAGTGATGGGAGAGTCTTGTGTGGGGGCCCTGCGGGGCAGGGACAGGGGACCCTTCTTCACTTTATGCCATCTGGAGGTGAAAAGCCAGCTAAGTAGCAGGCTTCATCCTGGAGACAGAGGCTGGGAGACTGCAGCTGAAAGGTGTGGGTTCCGGGAGGGCTGCAGGGGGCTGAGCAGCAGCGTCAGGGAGCAGAGGGCCGCCCTCCCTCCATCTTCCTTCCTTCTCTGGACCCCAGAGCACTGTGTCCCCCTCCCACCCCTACAGCTGCAGGTGGAGCCAGCTGGAGGGGTCTTTAGAAGGAAGGGGGTCCTCTGAGGGCAGAGAGGGCCAGGAGGCTCCCTGAGGACCTGAGGCCCCTCTGGGCCTCCCAGGGCTGGGCCTGTGGTCTGATCTGCTTTGCCCTGGGAGAGACGTGCTCAGTGGTGGGGTTTGTGTAGCTGTCACTCAGTCACCTGCCTGTGCCCAGCCACACACCTGTGACTCCCATGGGCCCCACCCAATACACATGTGGGTCTTCAAGTGCCGTGAGGGGAAGTTCCTGCCTGTGTCACATGCATCCATCCCACCCACCACACTGCAGGTTACAGGACTGCCCCACAAGCGCCACCATGCCAGCCTGACGTTACCTGGCACACAGGTATCCTCACCTGCATGACATGATCAGATCATGCACTTTCTATGCCAGGGCCAGTGCCAGGGCAAGCTTGTATCTTCAGCTTTGGGGACACTGTGGGGCGGGTGGTGGCTGGAGGCCAGGGAAGTCACCAGGCTGGAGAGGGTTGATGTCAGACATCTCCCGTGCACCACTTTGAGCCACCTCAGCCTCACCTGGGACTCTGGCTGGCACTGGGACTAGCAGTTCCATGAAGGTTTAGAGCATCTCTAGGCTTAGGAAGGGCCTCCCTTGTCATCACTGTGGTCCGGGCTGCATGCCTTGTGACCAAGGGCTCTGGACAGCAGATGCAGCCAGCCAGAGTGTGGGGGTGAGGGGCCTGGGCACAGGAGGGATGGGAGGCCTTCCCTGCACCCCCATGGCCACCATTTCAGAGGGAGGACAGCAATTATTTGGGTTTGTCCTGTGAGCGGTGGCAGAGAGAAGGCCCCAGGGCAGGTCTAGGGCCAGACAGGCACCCTCTGCTGCAGCCTCGGGGCCACCAGGCACGTGATGGGGCCGGTGTGGGGATGTCCCCTGGCCAAACACATGGGTAGGGGGTGCTCTGGGGTCAGTGGGTGGGTCCGGGCGTTTGCAAGAGCCATGTTAAGATAGACAGTCCTGAAGGATGGAGGGAGGGGGCAGAGGGGTCAGAGAATGGATGGATGGGGGAGACGGCTCCTGCCGCTTCCTGGCCTCTAAGTGGGGGTGATGGGTGGTAGGTGAGTGCAGTGGGAGCTGCAAGGCTGAGCCAGGGAAGTGGAGGCAGCAGAGATGCAGACCTTGCCTGAGGCTGACTCGGGACTGGGGCTTCTTAGAGGCCAGGGCCCTAGAGCTCCTGGACAGGGAGTTTGCAGGAACAGTGATGCAGCATACAACACAGCACAACTCGACACAACACAATCTGCCACAGCAGAGCAGCGTGCGGTGCACTGGGCTGCAGCAGAGCATGGCCCAGGGTCCAGGGAGTCATGTAGGCTCCAGGGAATCATGGAGCAAACTGACCTGAGCCGCATCCCTCAGCCAAGGCACAGGCCCCCAGCCTTGAGCCACCCACTTCCTTGGGACAGCTGGATGCCCTAGTGTCCCTGGGGCTGAGGATGGGGCTGGGGCTGCTGTCCAAGGTGAGGTCTGACTCTAATCCCCTGTCTCTAATCCCCAGTCGTTTGGGGAACTTGGGCGTCTTCCAGGGGACCCAGTGGTGCTGATGGGATTTCTGGGCACCTCAGCCAGGTCCCCTGCCCACCTCGCCACACTGGTTCCCACTGCAATCTGGCTTTGGGGCCTGTGTGGCCTCTGCTTACTGAGCCCTGTGGTTCCCT
Organism: Homo sapiens; assembly: GCF_000001405.40. Classification (NCBI taxonomy): domain Eukaryota; kingdom Metazoa; phylum Chordata; class Mammalia; order Primates; family Hominidae; genus Homo; species Homo sapiens. The sequence continues at coordinate 34,580,159 of NC_000019.10, forward strand.
GCCAGGCACCGTTGGCCCTCCGGCCAGGCTGGCACCTGGAGAATGGCCTGTCCCCAAATCCTGCACTCTTCCCAGCTCACCTGCTTTGCTTTTCTCCCGCACTGGGAGGTGGGAGCCAGGTTGACACTGGAGGAGGAGCTCCCTCAACTGTGGCTTCACCTTAGGGTTCTGGGCAGGGTTTTGGGCAGTGAGACTTTCTGGATAGGGGCTGGAGGTCAACAGCCTTCTGAGTGGGGAGTGGTCTCATAGCAGAGAGACCCACGGTGGAGGGGTGGGGTGGGCAGGGAGGACGACCCGGCTGTGGAGGAGCTGGGGCAGGCAGGTTACACGGATGCAGTTCACACTCCCTCCTTCTCCCCATCCTCTCCCACACCCCCCGCGTCCTCTCCTGTCTCTTCCTCCCTGCCCTGTTCTGTCCCTCTTTCCCCTCTGTGTCTCCATCTTCCTGTCCCTTTTTCCTTATTCATTTGTCCTCCTCTTCACTTTCCATTTCTCCCTTTCCCTCCTCCCCTCACCTCTCATCTTTCTATTATGACATATGACACAAATACAGACTAGGACACACCATATAAACGTATCTTAGGTGATGACTGTGACGCAAACCTCACAATACCCCTGCAGTTCAAGAAAGGTCATGGTGAGCCCCTCCCGGCACCAGCCTCACTGCCTAGAGTTGACCCCTGTCCTGAGTTTGTGGTTTCTTGTTGTTTTAGTGGACGGTTTTGCTACCTAAACATCTTCACATATAATAAGTGTTAATTTTACTCTTTTACAGTTTTTATAACCGTGGTCACCATGTGTGTGTTCTCCCATATCTTACTTTTTTGTTCAAGATTTTTGTTGGTATCAATCCACATTGCTCTCTTTATGGTTTAAAAGCATCGACCATTGTGTACTGATTCTATTATCGTGAACAGCACTACAGGGAGCTTTTATGTGTGGATGTCCTGGCACACATTTACATTCACATTTGTATGGGTTTGTGCCCATGTGTGGAATTTTAGATGATAAGGCATTCATATTCTTGACTGTCTTAGGTAACAGGAAACCTTGAAAGCAGTTATACAATGCACACGCTCAGCCACACTGTAGTATTTCCTGCCACTCTAGATCGCCATAGGCTGGTATCGTCAGTGTCGAGTGAACCATCTGGTAGGCAGGTGTCAGGGGCATCTCATTGGGTTCCCATTTGCATTTTCTGGTGTAAGGAGGTTGAGGCCTCTTTATGTGTTTATTGGTCATTTAGTGAAGTGTGAGTAGAGGGCTTTTTTCCCGTTTATATATTGCATGTTCATTTCTTTTTTCCATCTCTGGTCATTTGTAGGAGTTTTTTGTATATATATATATATTTTTTTTTTGGAGACAGGGTTTCTCTCTGCTGCCCAGGCTGGAGAGCACTGGCATGATCTCAGTTCACTGCAGCCTCAACCTCCTGAGCTCAAGTGATCTTTCTGCCTCAGCCTCCTGAGTATCTGGTACTACAGGCGCATGCCACCACACGTGGCTTATTTTTGCATTTTTAGTAGAAATGGGGTTTCGCCATGTTGTCCAGGCTGGTCTCGAACTCCTGAGCTCAGGTGATTCACCCGCCTCGACCTCCCAATGTGAGGAGTTCTTGCTATCTTCTTTTTTTGTTTTTGAGATGGAATTTCACTCTTGTTGCCCAGGCCGGAGTGGAATGGCGTGATCTCGGCTCACTGCAACTTCTGCCTCCTGGGTTCAAGCTATTCTCCTGCCTCAGCTTCCCGAGTCGCTGGGATTACAAGCACCCACCACCAGGCCCAGCTAAATTTTGTATTTTTAGTAGAGGTAGGGTTTCACCATGTTGGCCAGGGTGGTGTTGAACTCCTAACCTCAGGTGATCCACGCGCCTCAGCCTTCCAAAGTGCTGGGATTACAGGCGTGAGCCACCACTCCCGGCCAGTATTTTCTTGATAAGAGCCCTTGTTTGGTTATTTATTTAAAATGCCTTCTGCAACACTGGGGATTATTAGCTTTGTATTCCCTTGACGGTTTTTATTGAACAGAAGTATAAGGCTTACTGTAATGAAATTTATCAACGCTTCCTTTCTGCTTGATGTTGTGTGTGTGTGTTTTGCTTAATAAATAGTCTTATCTTTTTATTTTTATTTCTTAATGTGGTTTTATTGCTTTGGAAAAAAGATTCTCATCTCATGGTCATAAAGATATTCTTCTACATAAATACTTGTGAAGTCTTTATTCTTTTGCCTTGTCCATTGAGGTCTCTAAGGTACATGGAATTGACTTTTGTGTGAAATGTGGGTAACAGTCCTCTTACTTTTAAATTATATAGATTCCCTGCTGTCCCAGTACTGTTTAGGACAGGAGTGTGTAATGTTTTGGCTTCCCTGGGCCACACTGGAAGAAGGATTGTTTTGGGTCACACATAAAATACACTAACACTAACAATACCTAATGAACTAAAAAAACTTAAAATCGCAAAAATCTCATAATGTTTTAAGAAAGTTTACAAATTTGTGTTGGGCCGCATTGAAAGCCACCCTGGGCCGCAAGCATCCTGCGGGCTGCAGATTGGACAAATTTGGTTTTGGAGAAGATGGCCCTTATTCCATTATTCTCAATGTCCCTTTGTCAAAAAGCAAGTGCCCCATAGAGGGACATAGTTTGCTTCTGAGTTCTCTATTTCATGTCGCTGGTCTGTTTGTCTGTATGCCAATGTGGCACTATGTTGAGTACACACTAAAGCTTTAGTTCTTGACTCTGGCAGAGGGGGTCCTTCCGCTTTGGCCTTGTTCCTGGAGTGTCTTTGCTGTTTTTGACCCTCTGCGGTGCCAGACGTTTAGAAACAGCTATTTGAATTCAATGTGGGAGAGAACTGAAGTTTTGATGACATCGAGTATTCCTCTCCATAATGCTGGGATATGTTGCCGTTTATTTTGATTCTCCCTATTTTCTCTCAATAATTTTTTACATATATATTTCTATGGTGCTCTTATACATGTATTAATTGATTGATTCCAAGGCATCTGTTCTTTTTAATGCCATTGTAAATGTTACATTCTTTTAAAGTGTAGGTTTATAAATGTTTGTGTTGCTATATAGAAAATTTTAATTATTCTATATTATTTTGTATTTAGGATTCGAAGACTCTTTAGTATTTTCTCTGTAGATTCTTTAAGATTATTTATATAAATATATCAACGTGTATTTGTTTCTTCCTCTTCAATATTCATATATTTTACTTGTCTTGCTTTATTGCATTTGTAGAATCTCTAGTGCAATGTTGGATAGCAATGGTGAAAACAGGCTTTTTGTTTAGTATCTAAACTCAAGAGGAACTTTTTTGTTTGTTTTGCTCTTGACAGCATTGTATTTTATATAAATTGTTAAATTTCACGTAATTTTAGGCTTATAAGAAAGTTACACAACATTATATATAAATATTTCTGGATACCCTTCATCCAGATTCAAGAGGATAGCTTTTGATATTTTATCATTAAATAGGAAGTTTAACGTAAGATATTTTTGGTAGATGTTCTTTGCTAGATTAAAGATATATCATTCTATTTCTATTTTTTAAGGGGATTTTTAAATCTTTTTTGAGACAGGGTCTTGCTTTGTCACCTGGGTTGGAGTGCAGTGGTGTGGTCTTGGCTCACTGCAGCCTCAACTTCCTGGACTCCTCCCACCTCAGCCTCCCAAGTAGCTGGGACTACAGGTGGGTGCCACCACACCTGGCTAATTTTTGTAATTTTTTTAGAGACAGAGTTTTACCCTGTTGCCCAATGTGGTCTCAAACTACTGGCTCAAGTGATCTGCCCACCTTGGCCTCCTAACATGCTGCAATGACAGGTATGAGCCACTGCATCCTGCGTCAGATAATTTTTTAAATCGAGAAAAGATGAATGTTATAGCACATCTCACTTGCATTTAATGAACTGTGTGTACAGTTTTTTTCCCCTTAGTTCTGTGAAAGTGTTACATCAAATAATTTTCTAATTTGAAAGCTACCTTGCATTTCTGGTGTAAATCCTCCTTTATCAGCATACACTATTCTTAAATGTAATTTATTCCACTTTGCCAATACCTTGCATGGTACATTTTGTCTATGTCCTTGAGTGGTTAAATTTTGGTGTCAGGATGATACCAGCTCATTATGAATTGGGGATGTAGTGGTAATTTCTATTTATTCCAACAGATCTAGTCTTCTTCTTTCCCCAGTCTGCTTTGTACCCCAGAACATGGCCTTTTGTGGACTGCATCATTGGGCTACATTGCCCTTTGGTTTTTGTGGGTCAACACATTGGAGATATAGCAGGGCACTGAAGGAAAGAGGAGAGTGAGATGAGGGGACTCACTCCCAGTTGCCCTCCTTCAGGACTACAGGTTGGCCATGGCTGCGTTCCTATCCTGGTGGCCGAAGGTCCTGGGAGCTCGCTCTCTCCTACAGTTACAGGTCTCACTGGATTGTAGCAAAGCTTCTTTTCCTTGCCTCCCATTAGATATTTTGCTCTTGCTTGCCTTGGGCATTTTGTTATTGGTTTCCCTTTACTTTGCTCACAGCAGAGCCATAAGCCTGTGAACCCAGGGGTGTCTGAGACAGGTCTCAATCAATTTGAAAGTTTATTTTGCCAAGGCTAGGGATGTGTCTATGACACAGCTTCAGGAGGTCCTGAGGACATGTGCCCAAGGTGGTCAGGATACAGCTTGCTTCCATACATTTTAGGGAGACATAATACATCAATCAATGCATGTAAGATTTACATTGCTTCGATCTGGAAGAGCAGAACAACTTGAAGTGGGGATGGGGGGGCTTCCAGGTAGTAGGTAGATTTAAAAATTTTCTGATTGGCAGTTGGTTCAAAGAGTGAACCAATAGAAAAGAATGTCTGGGTTGTGATAAGGGATTGTGGAGACCAAGGTTTTTATCATGCAGATGAAGCCTCCAGGTAGCAGGCTTCAGAGAGAATAGATTGTAAATATTTCTTATCAGACTTAAGGTCTGTGTTGATGTTAAATCCTGGTCAGCTTTTCCTGAATTCCAAAAGAGAGATAGGTATAATGAGGCATATCTGACCCCTCCTTCCATTATGACCTGAACTAGTTTTTTAGGTTAACTTTGAATGCCCTTGGTCAAGAGAAGGGTTCCATTCAGATAGTTGCGGGCCTTAGAATTTTATTTTTTGTTTATAGTCATTCATTAAACTCTTGTCATGTATCCTGTGTGAGTGTGCCATTTCCTTCCTGCAGGGACATTGAGTGGTACAGGGAATGCACCCTCATTATTTATGCTTTGGAAGAATTTGTATAAGATTGGAGTGGTGTAAGCGCCCGACGGGTTCTTCCCGCCTGCTCCACAAACAAAATCAATTCACAGAGACCATAACATTGCAGTAAAGAAAGAGTTTAATTGATGGGAGGCTGGCCATGCCATGTAGGAGACAGAGTTATCATCAAAATGATCTCATTGAAGGCTCAGAAGCTATGGGATTTTCAAAGATGCTTGGTGGGCAGGGGACTTGGTTATATGGAGTGGTGAGGGCTTGGGTTGAAGACGAAAGAATAGGGAGTCAAAGCTGTCTTTTTGCATGGAGTCACTTCTGGATGGGGCCACAGGAGTGGCTAATGGATCCAGGTGGAGCCATCAGTGTTAGACACACAAAGAAAACCTGAAAAGACATCTCCAAAAGCCAATCTCAGGTTCTACCATAGTGATGGTATCTGCAGAAGTAACTGGGGAAGTTGCATATCTGTGAAATCCAGAATAATTGGTGGCAATTATTTCATATGTTTATTAAAGTTGTTATTTTGTTTTAATAGCTTTATTGAAGTATAGTTGACATATAACAATTACATATACCTAAAGTGTATAGTTTATAATTTTTGTTTATGTCTATACCTTGGCCAAATTAAGAGGGACCATCAGGCACTATCCTCCTAGCTTGATGGTCTCTCATTAGCTTTATAAACACAGTTGAGTTTTGGGGAAGGGCTATTATCATTTTAATTATAAAGTAAATGTCTCTTTTTAATGTTCTTCTCTTCATTAATCTATTAAGTTGATTCTAATTGTACTTTAAAATCTTGTATGTTTATTAAATTAAATTATTTTGTTTTAATATCTTTTAATAAAGTATAATTGACATATAACAAATATGTATATCTGAAGTACATAATTTGTGACTTTTGACAGTTGCAAAAATCAGAACCACCATAATGATCAAAATAATGAACACATCCCTCACTTCCAAATGCCTCCTTGTTCCTCTGTGTAACACCCTCTCCTGCATCTCCTTAATCCCTTCCTCCTCTCTAGGCAACCGCTGATCAGCTTTATGTCAGTATAGATTAATTTGCTTCATGTAAATTCAATCATACAGTATGGAATGTTATTATTTCTTCAGAGAGTGTTGTCCTTCTGGTTCATCTGTGTCATGTGTATGAATAGTTTATACCTTTTTTGAATGTTAAATTTAAAAAACTACATACGGTGATACTCACTATTTTTGATGTACGTTTATTTCCATGAGTTTTGACAGCTGTGCCTTCTGCAGGTTTTGTATTGATGTCTGGAATCTCAAGCACTACCACCACAATAGAGATGCCATTTTCTTACTTTCAAATATTCCTTGTGCTGTGCTTTTGTAGTGAAATATTCTCCTTGTCCTCAATTCTGAGCAGCCACTGGTTCATTCTTTATTCTGATACCATTGCGTTTTCTAGAACTGCTTATCATGAAGTCACGCAATATGTAGCTTTGTTGTTGTTGTTGTTGTTGTTCTTTGAGACGGAGTTTCACTCTTGTTGCCCAGCCTGGAGTGCAATGACGTGCTCTCGGCTCACCGCAATCTCTGCCTCCCAGGTTCAAGCGATTCTCCTGTCTCAGCCTCCCGAGTAGCTGGGATTACAGGCATGTGCTACCATGTCTGGCTAATTTTTTGTATTTTTAGTCGAGATGGGGTTCTCCATGTTGGTCAGGCTGGTCTGGAACTCGTGACCTCAGATGATCCACCTGCCTCGGCCTCCCAAAGTGTTGGGATTACAGGTGTGAGCCACCACACCCGGCAATATGTAGTTTTTTTGAGTCTCGCATCTTTTAATAATTTGATCATTTACAAATTCTAATTATGATCTTACATTTTTAAAGGTATCAAGTGTCATTACACTTTCTTGATTTCTTTCTTTTCTAGTTTATTGTTGATGTTCAGGAATGGTACTGATTTTAGTATGTTGATTTTATATCCTGCACCTTTAATGAATTTATTGATCAGTTCTGAGAGTTTTTTGGTGGTGCTTTTGGGGTTTTCTGTTCATAAGATCATGTCCTCTGCAAGCAGAGACAATTTGACATCCTCCTTTCCAGTCTGGATGCCCTTTGTTTCTTTTTCTTGCCTAATTGCTCTGGCTAGGACTTTCATTACTACATTGAATAAAAGTGGCAAAAATGGACATTCTTGCCTTGTTCCAGATCTTGGAGGAACAGCTTTGTACTTTTCCCTATTCACTATGATGTGAATAGGCTGTGGGCTTGCCATACATCGATTTATTGTGTTGGGCTACATTCCTTCTATACTCAGTTTGTTAAGAGTTTTTACCATGAAGGACTGTTGAATTTTATCGTGCTTTTTCTGCACCTATCGAGATGTTCATATGGTTCTTGTACTCATTCTGTTGATGTGATGTGTCTTATTTGTGGATCTGTGTGTCAGGAACCATCCTTGCATCCCTGGGTTGAATTCCACTTGGCATAGGAATGATCACTTTGATGTGCTGCTTCATTTGTTTGGCCAGTATTTTGGGGAGGATGTTTGCATCCACGTTTATCAGTGATATTGGCCTATAGTTTTCTTTGTTGTTGTGTCCTTCCCTGAGTTTGATATCCGGATAATGGTGGCCTTGTAAACTGAATTTGGAAGAATTCTATACTCTTCAATTTTCTGGAAGAGTTTGAGAAGAATTGCTATTAATTCCTCCTAAATATTTGGCGGAATTCTGCAGTGAAGCCATTGGAGTCTGGAATTTTCTTTGATAGGAGACATTTTATTACAGATTCAATTTGTCACTTGTAATTGGTCTGTTCAAAAGTTTGATTTCTTTTCAGTTCAATCTTGGAAGGTTGTATTTTTCCAGGAATTTATACATTTCTGCTAGGTTTTCAAATTGGTGGTTGTATTGTTGTTCATGACAGCCTCTAATGAGAGAAAATCTAATCATGAAAATTCACCCCTAGCTGAGGCCCACTTCCTTCCTCAGTGATGTGGCCGTCACCCAGGCCACAGGTCCGCATACCAGTGTGAGTCAGGCCGGGCCAGGTGGGCGGGAGGCTTGGCCGAGTGGCACCAGGAAATGCTTCTTATTGCTATTGACTCGGCTTGAAGATCCCTAACCTGCATAGGTTTTTGGAATTAAAACAGAAAGGTAAATGTCAGGCCTGGTGAGTTTCCAGACCTCTGGCATGCTCAGCCCCAGGGCTTGCCACCCCACAGGGGTCGGATGCTCCATCTCCCGCTCCAGTCCCTCTCTCACTAGACTTTCTGCTGATGTCCTGTGCACTCAACCAACATGACCCAGTGTCTAGTGAAGTCACGCAGAGCCCATGCAGGAGACACACAGGGCATTGGTGACTTGGTCACACTCCTCAGGGCACATATGGGGTGACCGATGGATGGAGGAGAAGGAAATGGGGGTGCTAAGAGTTCACTCTTGACTTGGAGAAGGAGACCTGGAGAAGGTCAAGTGTTGGAACCACCCTGGCAGAGGTCAGAGACAAAAAGAAACCTGAGAGATGGGGCCCAGCAAAGTGGAAAGCTGGGGTGTACAGAGGGAGGGTGGAGGATCAGGTCTCAAGGTCAGCAGGCTGGGTCCTGCCTATTGTGTGTTCTGGCACTGGGTATGGACTCTGTGCTGAGAGATATGGGTAGGTGTCTGGGGTGTGTGGTGACGTGATGAGACCTGGACTGTAAGAGGTCACCTCTGCATTCTGGGCAATGACTTAGGGGTTGGAGGGAGGCTATGGGAAGGTCAACACTTAGACGTACTGCCCACCTAAGACTGGAGTGACCTTGTGAGGTGGCTCTGAAGGGTGTGGGAGGCTGACTTCAGGCAGGAGAGGTAAATGGGACTGAGCTAAAGGGAGGTGTGGGGAGCACTGGTCAGGGCAGAGAGGATGGCTCAACGGCCTGTCTTCTACCAGGGAGTGGCTCAGAGCCAGGGCAGGAGGCCAGCTCTGAGTTGGTGGGAGCCTGGCAGAGGTTTTGCTCAGGAGTCCTGGGAGGCCCCTGGACCTGAGTGACAGGTCTGAGGGGTCTCACTTGCACTTAAGGCATTAAAATGTCCCTGTGCCTTTTGTATCCTATTAGTAGGTCAAGGAACCCAGCAGCAAGGTGGACTTAGGCCTCCAGGGGCTCTGGCTGTCATGGGTGAGGGGAGATGAACAGAGTTGGAGGCTGCAGGGAGGAGTGGAGGGGGAGCTGGCAGGATGGGCCAGGGTTCCCCACACAGGCTCAGTGGAGAAGGGCTTGTCATCATGGTGACCCTTTGTGCTGCAGCCTAGGGGGTGAGACCTACAGTCATGGACCAGATCCCAGGGCAGTGTGGATGATGGAGGAGGAGGGTGAGTTCAAGGCAGGTGTGGGGACAGAAGATGTGGGCCTCCAATGACCTGCACAGGGCCTGCATTTTATCCTGAGGAAGGAGGATCAGGAGCCCCCGAGGGCTTTTCCTGGAGCCGCAGGTGCTGCCATGGAGTGCAGGGAAGGTCACTCTGGCAGCTGTGGGGATGGCCTGGAGCCCAGGGAGTTGGTCCTAGAGGAAGGAGGCAGCTGCCATAATCCAGGTCAGAGTCAACAAGGACATAAAACCACCTGCTCATTGTTTACTCATTTCTTCATCACAAGTTCTCTGAGTATGTCCTTGGATCCAAGGCCTGGGAAACCAGGAATGTGGGTATGACCCCATTTCAACCTTGAGAATGGCTTTGAAGCCTATTGTCCCTAGACCACACCTGAGGATGTTACCTGGCCCACTTTTCTCACATTACACAGGAGAGGACTGAAGACAGAAGGGGTATGGTTTCCACCTCCAAGGTCCTGCACAGCCCAAGGACACAGGGCCTGGAGGAGGTCCCAGGTGTCCTCATGTCGTGACCTGACCTCTCTCAAATGGAACATGGATCTCAGCTATGATTCTATTTTCCATCCATCCATGCACTCATCATCCATCCATCCATCCATCCATCCGTTCATCCATCCATCCATTCATCCATTCATCCATCCATCCATCATCTATCCATAGATGCATCTATCCACCTATCCATCCAACAATCCATCTGTCCAGCTATCCATCTATCCTTCCATTCTTTTATCTGTTTCAGAGACAGCACTTCCTACATTTGGGCAGCAAGACTCTTGTTGAAGAGGATGTGGATGAGGCATTTCTGTGGGTGCCGGAGAAGCTCCATATAGTGCTAGGTTAATATTACTAAGTTATGGCTGAAATTCAATATTCTATGAAACATACAAGTAGGGAATATAATTCCTTATACCAACAATACAGAGATCATCACATATCATTAAGAATAACAGAGTCGTAAGCATTTTAGTTAAAGTAAACTCACAGGACATTGTCATTTTAAGAAATTACTCAATTTCAGGACAACTGACAGATCATGGGTAGACTCATCTTCAGTGACAATTATTTTCTAACATTTTCCTTATTCTTTCAAACACATGTGAAATGCTTTTGCATCTCAAAGTATTTATATCAATAACATGTTTGTCCAAATTTCTCAGGGCATTTCTAATTCTTTTCATTTACTTCTGGTTGAAACTCTCCATCTTTGATTGCTACAAGCTGAGTTTTAATTGAGACTGAATAAGTAGCATGATCTGCATTATTTTCTTTAGCTCCACAGATTTAAATTCCATTGAAATGCTGAAATTTACATGTTTTTGTCTCCAGGCCCAACTATTCCATGAGCTCCAAACTAGAGCGTCTCACACCCCCTGTGTCCCGTCCTCCTGGATAGCTAATGGATGTCTTGGATGTGGGAAACTTATCCAGGCCAGCATGGGACTCTGGATCTTTGCCCTAAACCTGCTCCTCCCCAGGCTTCACCTTCTCAGCAGTGGCATCACATCCAGCCAGCTGCTCCAGCCCAAATGTGATGAGATCATTTTGATTCCCCTTCTCTCCACATCCTCTCCCCATATTCAATTCAACAGCAGGTGCTGTCAGTGCTGCCCCAGCCTCTGTCTCCCTCGTGTCTCTCCAGGGCTGCACTGTGACAAGGCCACGGTGTCTACCTGGACGGCCACAGGGACTCCCAGTTGGTCTTCCTGCCTCTACTGCCGCCCCCGTTGCTCTATTCCAACAGGGAAAGTGTGACCTCGTAAGTCCTGCTCATCCCCTCCCAGGATTTTTCACTGCACATGGAAAGGATCCACCTTTCTGCAAGGTCCTGCGTGACCTGGCACTTGCCTCGTTTTCTGACGTGACCTCCTTCCCTGCTGCCCCTTGTTCCAGCTGCACTGGCCATTTCTCCAACACAACAAATCCTTTCTCATCATGCCGCATTCCCTGCCCCAGACCTTCACCTGGTGGCTGCCTCAGGTTCTTCAGGACTCAGGGGAGATGTTGTCTCCTCAGATGCCTTCTGGGACCACCTGACCAATGTGGCACCTCAAGCCAGTCCCGCCTGATCACATTTCCCTGTTGGGTGGTCCTTGTGGTTCTCATCACTATTACAATTTTCTTGAGCTTTGCAACCCCCTCTTCACCTTGGATGTGAACTTCAGGGAAGCAGGGCCGTCACCTGCCTTGTTTTCCACTGGGTGCCCGGCTCTGGGAAAGGGCCTGATGTGTGGCAGGGGACACTTCTTCCCTGGCTGAGTGGATGGGTGATGACTGGGATGGAAAGTGCATTAAATGAGGCCAATTCTGGGGACAGAGGGGAGATGATGTGTCCTGAGATGGGGGACTGAAACGTGTGACCTGGAGGAGATGACGGCTGAGGGATGACAAGGAGAATGGGTGGAAGGGAGAAAGGGCATTTTGGGCAGTGGGAGTGAGGGAGGAGAAGAATGTTGAAAGGAAATCTGGGAGTGCAAAGATAGGGTGGTCAGCAGTGGAGCCTTGTCCTGGCCAGCCGTGTGTGCCCTGCTGAAGGTGGGTCTGCACTTGTAGGGAAATGAGCTCTCAAAGATCCAGGGAGAAAGAAGATCCAGGCTGGTATTCCCATGGAAGGGGAGTGAGGCTGGAGGCAGGGAGACTCAGAGGGATGGAGGTCTCGCTGACCTGAGCAGGAGGGAGGGACAGGGTTTGGAGGGTGTCATCTGAGAGACACCTGGGTGGGAGGGAGAGGGAGGAGTCTAGGGCGGTGTGAGCTGATAGGGGTAGGCGACCACCGCCTGGGAGGTCCAAGGAGCCTGCGGAAAGGGCTTGAGGTTTGGGGAGGGACCTCCCCCAGAAGGAGTTGATGGAGCCTCATCAGTGTATTGAAGGCCACTGAGACCTCCATCGAGGATGAAATCAACTGAGGGGTGAGGTGGGAGAGAGGGGCCGTGTTTGAGGGTGGCACTCGTTCCCTGTGACCTCAATGTCAATGTCCCCTGTCATGGTGACATGGCCACACAGACCCATGGCCTCATGCAGATTGCCTGGTCCCACCAGCCCCAGGAGCAGAGCTGAGCTGCAGGTATTTATGGGGACGCTGAGGCTTGTGACTTAGCCAGGAGGGTGTGATTTCCCAGCCTCCAGCATCCCGAGTCCTGGGGAGCCCTGGAGGTTCTGCATTGAGGGGTTGTGGGGTAGAGGTAGGGGGAGAAAAAAGGACAGCTTGGGTAGGTAGGGATGGAGAAGTGTGTTAAGGTTGATTTCCTGGGTTCCGAAAACAGGCATATCGACTGGACACAGTGGCTCATGCCTCTAACCCTAGCACGTTGGAGGTTGAGGTAGGTGGATCATTTGCGGTCAGGAGTTTGAGACCAGCCTGGCCAACATGGCAAAACCCTGTCTCCACTAAAAATACAAAAATTAGCCAAGCGTGGTGGTGTGTGGCTGTATTCTGCTACTCAGGAGGCAGAGGCAGGAGAATCGCTTGAACCCAGAAGGTGGAGGCTGCAGTGAGCCAAGATCGCGCCAATGCACTCCAGCCACCCTCCTCCCCGCCAAAAAGAAAACAGGCATGTCTATGCTACACCTGTAGAGTTTTTCCTCAGTCGCATATTTTCACACTGGGACCCTGGTCACACTCTGCATATGCGGTCACAGCCAACCCCACACAGATGCCAGAACACAGAACTGAGCTGCAGGTGTTCATTGGGGTCTCTGTAGTGATGAACAGAGCCAGGCCAGGAACGCGGGGAGCCCCAAGGAAGGCAGGAGGGCCAATATCTGATCTGCAGGGGTCCTCAGATCAGAAGGCTGCTTCTATGCAATCGTTGCTCTGAAGGATCTTCTTCTGTTGGAAAAAGAAGAAAGAGAGGAGCCGGTGGCCTCTGTGAAAGGCTCCCCAGACTCATCGTTATTGCCCGGTCCCCGAGCTCAGAGGAGCTCCTTGAGTGTGTCTGCTTGTTGGGGATCCCAGGCTCTGGACAAAGATGGTGGATGTGGGTTGTGTCTCCTGCTTGAGTGTGACTCTGCATGTGTTGGTGTAACACGTGTATGCATGTGTGTGGGCAGGCATGGGGTGTGTGTGTTGCTGTTAACAGCGTCCTGTGTGAGTGTGTGTTGCTGTGTACTCATCATCAGTGCTTTGGTGCAGTGATTGTGGTTCCCTGCATGCCTAGGCCTCTCCCGGGCACCAGGGGCAGAGGTTCTCCCCTTGCAGAGTTGCAGCGTCTGGGTCGAGGACTTGGAGAGGTGAGGCAGGAGGGCCCTGTTGGGGCAGGTGGGGAACTTCATCTGATTTTGCGCATCCTGGGATGTGGCTTCCTGCTTAAAACGTGGAAAGCAGGATGGAAGGCAAGTGCAGGGAAGTGCAAGCCTGGGACGTGTGGCCATGTAGTGTGTGCAGGTCCCCCCGGGCACACTCACAATAACAACTGAATGAGCAAATCTTTCTGTCACGGAGACATTGGCAAAGCATTGCTGGACATTGAGGAAGGACTCCTCTGTCAGGGGACTGGGGTTGTAACGAGCAAGCTCCTCCTTCAGGAGGTCTTGGGACACATCAAACACAACATTCGCAAGCAGTTTATCGATATCCAGGCAGGCATCCCCTGTGGAGGATGAGGTGAGATAAGAAAACAGAGGAGGTCAGAATTCAGCGAAACCTCCCATGGCCAATGAGACCTTGGGATGGTGATGAGAGTGAAGGAGCAGGGCCACCGCTTCCTCCCAGCCCTGCTCGCCTCTTTCTTACCCAGCTGGACGCTGCAGATCAGAGCCAGCAGAAGAGCACAGGTGGCGGATGTCACCCTCATGACAGCGGAGTCTGGTCCCAGCAGGCACAGGCAGGGAATTTGGCGATGGGTGAGCTTTATGTATATCTGAACAAGGCACATGCCTCTTCGTGTGTGTGTGTGTGTGTGTGTGTGTGTGTGTGTGTGTGTGTGTGTGTGTGAATGTGGTCAGGGCAGGTCTGCAGAGAGACCCTCGGCCCTGGGCCATGCTGTTGGGGTGGCAGCGTATCGGGAACTGGACTCAGCATGCAGTGGGAGGGGTTGGGTGTTGTGACATTCTCTCTGTCCTCCCTGGAGCTCCCTGGGATTGGGAGCAGGCTGAACACTGGTGTAAGCCTGCAAGTCTGAGTGTGCATGCACATGTGACCCTGTGTCTTGGCAAACGTGTGTCTGCACTTGGCACGCCCTAGCACAGAATCTGCCACTGAGTGCTGGCTCAACAAACATTTGCTAAGTGAGTATGTCTGTCTGAATGGATAGCACATTAGGTGCAGCTTTTGAGAAATCAGTAAACTGTAATTTAGATTCAAAGAACATTATCTGGAGTAAAACACAGAACCTAAAGGACATGAGATGTAGCAAGTGTGTTAGGGACACATGTGACACAGTGAAGGGATCCTACATGTTGGGGACCAGCCTCAACACTACCCGTAGGGTACCCGAAGTCTGGTGGTGACAAAGGATTGAGAAAAGACAAGTTAAGAGTGAAAGGTGGGGAGCCAGGGGGCCAGTGCAAAATGTGGAGGCTGCAAAAGGTGCCGAGCTCTGGTCTCCACACTATTTATTGAGTACAGTCCCTTCGATCTAAGAAGCAGATGTTCAGGGAGAAACAGTGAAAGGGTGGCAGTGCATCACAGGCATAATCTATAGCAATAGCAGTTTAAATGAGTCTCCTTTGTGCTCAAACAGCATAACTTTAACTTGTTGGAGAGTAGCTAGTAGGAGCGGCCTTGACTGGGAGCCTGCACGTCTGTCCACATTCCAGTGTTTCAAAGAAGTGTCTTTCTCCCTGAGCACAGTGTTTACAGAGAAGACAGCGGGTCTTGCTCTGAGCATGGGAACATGATGGCAATTAGGAGGCTTTCCTCCTCAGAGGCCTTTTGTGGCTTTCCACAACTTATTCCCGTATTTTTATGGCCAGTTTATACAGGCACCCCACAAGCCCTTTTCCCAGCACCTACATATGAGGGAGCTGATGTCACTCACGTGATTTTTGTCTCCTGACAGGACCCTAAATTGTAAGTGTGACCCCAGGGGCAGAATCAGCAGGTGGGGACAGCTGGGGGTGGGGAAGGCAGCAGGGATGCTGACGCTTGTACACTCGGGTGCCAGTGCCGCTCCAATAGCGGTTTGTGCCCTACTGTGTCAAGGGAGGGTCTGGCTAGGAGCACCTGAGGGACACGCCCGGTGCAGAGGACACTCACTGGGCTGCTGAGAGCCATGTAGAACCGCAGAGCAGTTCCTAGATTAGGCTGTGCCACCCAGACTGAGTGGGCTCACCTCGGCCAGGCATGAGCCATCACTGTGCACGTACAGAACCTCATAGTAGCGCCCAGGACTTGGGCCTCTTAAAGGACCTACCCAGCATTGGGTAGGACTTAGAGTGGCCGTCACCAGTGGCAGGGCCCTGAACGCCCCCACATTCCAGTTGTAAAGTTGAGTGGATGAGTTGACAGTTGGACTGGCAGACGCTGAAGCAGGGGCTGTGGCTGAGCAGGGAGGATGGAGGCCACTGCCACTCCCTGGCCGGCCACCTGCTGTGTCGTCCCTGCCACCTGTGGTCCTGCAGCCTGGGCTGCAACCTGCGCAGTGCAGGCGTCCATGCGTGCTGAGACTCTCAGCCGGCTCTGTGGCCTGTCATGTTGTGTGTGCGGGACGAGGCTTGGGTGCACGTGTGTGAGAATGGGATTTTGTGTGTGTGTGAGTGGAATGCGCTGGCAGGATTCCACCCACTATGTGGGGTGGAGGGTCTGTGATTATATGAATATGAGGTTGTGATTGTGGCTGGGAGGGGCTGTGTGGCTGCCTCTGCCTCTGCATCTGGGTCTGTGTCTGAGAAAGAAAGGGAGAGATGGGGGAGGCCTGGTGTGGGGACCCAGCAGGGCAGGGACAGGGGATGTTTCCTCACTTTACACCATTTGGGGACCCTCCCCAGGGGGAAAAGCCAGGTACAGTGGAGAAGCACTGTCTGAGTGGGCTTCGTCCTGGGGACAGAGGCTGGGAGACTGCAGCTGAAAGGTGTGGGCTCCAAGAGGGCCGCAGTGGGGCTGAGCAGCAGAGTCAGGGAATAGAGGACCTGGGAGCAGAGGGCCGCCCTCCCTCCATCTTCCTTCCCTCTCTGGACCCCAGAGCACTGTGTCCCGTCTCAACCCCCACAGCTGCAAGTGGAGCCAGCTGGAGGGGTCTCTAGAGGGAGGGGGGTCCTCTGAGGGTAGAGAGGGCCAGGAGGCTTCCTGAGGACCTGAGGCCCCTCTGGGCCTCCCAGGGCTTGGAGCATGTCCCTCCCAGTGGCTGATCTGCATTGCCCTGGGAGGGACATGCTCAGTGATGGGGTTTGTGCAGCTGTCACTCAATCACCTGCCTGTGCCCAGCCACTCACCTGTGACTCCCATCAGCCCCACCACATGTGGGTCCTCAAGTGCCATGAGAGGAAGTTCCTGCCTGTGTCACATGCATCCATCCCACCCACCACACTGCAGGTTACAGGACTGCCCCACAAGAGCCACCATGCCCACCTGAGGTTACCTGGCACACAGGTATCCTCACCTGCATGACATGACCAGATCGTGCACTTTCTATGCCAGGGCCAGGGCAAGCTTGCACTTTTAGCCCTGGGGACATTGGGGGTGGTGGTGGCTGGAGGCCAGGGAAGTCACCAGGCTGGAGACATCATCTACCTCCCTAGAGGGTTTGATATCAGACATCTCCCGTGCACCACTTTCAGCCATCTCAGCCTCACCTGGGACTCTGGCTGGCACTGGGACCAGCAGTTCCATGAAGGTTTAGACCATCTCTAGGCTTAGGAAGTGCCTCCCTTGTCATCACTGTGGTCTGGGCTATGCGCCTTGTGACCAAGGGCTCTGGGCAGCAGATGCAGCCAGCCAGAGGGTGTGGGTGAGGGGCCTGGGCACAGGAGGGACGCGAGGCCTTCCCTGCACCCTCATGGCCACCGTTTCAGAGGGAAGACAACAATTATTTGGTTTTGCCCTGTGAGCAGCAGCAGAGAGCGGGGCCCAGGGCAGGTCCAGGGCCAGACAGGCATCCCATGCTGCAGCCTCGAGGCCTGCAGGGCACATGATGGGGCCGGTGTGGGGGCGTCTCTTGTGCCAAACAACTGGGCAGGAGGTGCCCTGGGGCTGGTGGGTGGGTCAGGGCGTTTTCAAGAGCCATGTTAGGATAGAGAGTCCTGGAGAATGGAGTGAGGGGGCAGAGGGGGCAGAGAATGGAGGGGTCGGGGAGACTGCTCCCACTGCTTTCTGGCTTCTAAGTGGGGGTGATGGGTGGTAGGTGAGTGGCAGAGGGGTCAGCGGGGGCTGCAAGACTGAGCCAGGGAAGTGGAGGCAGCAAGAATGCAGGCCTTGCCTGAGGCTGACTCGGGGCTAGGAATTCTCAGAGGTCAGGGCCCTAGAGCTCCCGGACAGGGAGTTTGCAGGAACAGTGACGCAGCACATGCCACGGCACAACTTGACACAACACAACATGGCACAGCAGAGCAGTGTGCGGCACACTGGGCTGCAGCAGAGCGTGGAATGGGGTCTGTAGGGTCTAGGGAATTATGGAGCAAACCGACCTGAGCCGTGTCCCTCAGCCAAGGCACAGGCACTGGCCTTGAGCCACCCACTTCCTTGTGACAGCCTCATGCCCTGGCGTCCTTGGGGCTGAGGATAGGGCTGGGGCTGCTGTCCAAGGTGAGGTCACTAGAGGGGACTCTAATCCCCAGTTGTTTGAGGAACTTGGGCATCCTGCAGAGGATTTTTGGACACCTCAGCCAGGCTTTTGGGGTGGTGGGGTCTGGACCCAGGGGGAAAACCATGGGGCATGGCTTTGCTGGGATAGGGAGGGTAGGGGCAAGAGTGCAGCTGGGTGTGGCCCTGTAGGCACAGCATGTGGCATCTGCCAGTCCCCATTTCCTGCCTTGCTTCCAGCCTGTGCTGTGATGCAGGAATCACTTCCTTGTGACAGGTCCGTGCCCTGGCCTCTCTGTGGCTGAGACAGGGCTGGGGCTGGTGTCTAAGATGAAGTGTGACTCTAATCCCCTGCTTCTGATCCCCAGTTGTTTGGGGAACTTGAGCATCTTCCAGGGACCCAGTGGTGTAGATGGGACTCCTGGGCTGTTTAGTCAGGCCTCTTGCCCACGTGGCCACATTGGCTCCCACTCAAATCTGGCCTTGGGGCCTGCTTGGCCTCTGCTTACCAAGTCCTGTGGTTCTCTGCCAGGCACCATTGGCCCTGCGGCCAGGCTGGCACCTGGAGAATGGCCTGCCCCCAAATCCTGCACTCCTCCCAGCTCACCTGCTTTGCTTTTCTCCTGCACTGGGAATTGGGAGCTAGGTTGATACTGGGAGAGGAGCTCCCTCAACTGTAGGTTCACCTTAGAGTTCTGGGACAGGTTTTTGAGAGATGAGGCTTTCTAGAAGGGCCTGGAGCTGGTGAGCCTGCTGAGCAGGGAGTAGTCCCACAGCAGAGGGATCTATGGTGGAGGAGTGGGATGGGTGGGGAGGACGACCCAGCTGTGGAGGAGTTGGGGCAGGCAGGTCACATGGGTGCAGCTCGCCCTTTCTCCTTCTCCCCATCTGTATTAGTCTCTTTTCATGCTGCCAATAAAGACATACTTGAGACTCTGCAGTTTACAAAAGAAAGAGGTTTATTGGACTTAAAGTTCCACGTGGCTGGGGAGGCCTCACAATCACGGTGGAAGGTGAAAGGCATATCTCACATGGCGGCAGCAAGAGACAGAATGAGAGCCAAGCAAGACAGGTTTCCCCTTATCAAACCATCAGATCTCGTGAGACTTATTCACTACCATGAGAACAGTGTGGGGAAAATCCCTCATGAATCAATGATCTCTCACTAGGTGCCTCCCACACATGTGGGAATTATAGGCATACAATTCAAGATGAGATTTGGGTGGGGACACGGAGCCAAACCATATCACCATCCTCTCTTCCCTCCCTGTCCTCTCCTGTCTTTTCCTCCCCGCCCTGTTCTCTCCCTCTTCCCCCTGTTCCTCAGTCTTCCTGCCTCTCTTCTTCCTTCTCCATTTCTCCCCTTCTTCACTTCCCATTTCTCCCTTTCCCTCCTCCCCTGACCTCTAATCATCTTTTTATTGTGACATAGAACACAAGTATGGAGACGTACACACCATGTAAAGTGTATCTTAAGTGATTACTGTAATGCAAACCTCACAATGCGCCCTCCAGTTCAAGAAAGATCATTGTGAGCCCCTCAAGGCACCAGCCTCACCTCCTAGAGTAGACCACTGTCCTGATTTTATGGTTTTTTTTTATTATACTTTGTTTTAGGGTACATGTACACAACGTGCAGGTTTGTTACATATGTGCCATGTTGGTGTGCTGCACCCATTAACTTGTTGTTTCAGTGGATGGTTTTTCTACCTAAACATCTTCATATACAGTAAACGTTAATTTTGCTCTTTTACAATTTATATGGCTGGGATCGTAATGTGTCTGTTCTCCCGTATCTTACTTTTTTGTTCCCCATTGTTGTTGATATTCATCCATGTTGTTATCTCCATTGTTTAAGTCTACCCTGGTACACTGATTCTATTATCATGAACAACACTGTAGGGAGCTTTCATATGTTGATGTCTTGTACACGTTTATATTCACATTTGTTGGGGTTTGTGCCCATGTGTGGAATTTTAGGTGATAAGGCATTCATATTCTTGACTATCCTAGGAAACAGGAAACCTTGAAAGCAGTTGTACAATGCACTTCCCCAGCCACACTGTAGTATTTCCTGCTGCTCTAGATTGCCACAATCTGGTATCGTCAGTGTTGTGTGAACCATCTGGTAGGTAGGTGTCAGGGGCATCTCACTGTGGTTTCCATTTGCATTTTCTGGTGTAATGAGGTTGAGGCCTCTTCATGTGTTTATTCGTCATTTAGTGAAATGTGAATGGAATCTTTCTTCCCATTTATATATTGCATGTTCTTTTCTATTTTTTCCACCTCTGACTGATTTGTAGGCGTTCTTTCTATATTCTTGGTAAGAGCCCTTGTTTGGTTAGTTGTTGAAAATGTCTTCCCCAACACCACTGTGGATTAGCTTTGTATGTTTTAATGATTTTAATAAAAAGAAGTTTAAAGTTTACTATAATTAAATTTATCAATGCTATATTTCTGCTCGGGGTGTGGTGTGTGTGTGTGTGTGTGTGTGCATTTTGTTTATGTAAACATTCTTATCTCATGGTCATAAAGATATTCTTTTACATAAAGAGTTGTAAAGTCTTTATTATTTTGCTTTGTCCATTGAGGTCTATAATCCACATGGAATGGACTTTGTGTAAGGTGTGGGTAAGAGTCCAATACCTTTTTAATTATTTAGATATCCTGTTGTCCCAGTACCATTTAGGAGAAGATAATCTTTATTCTACTGCTCTGTGTCCTCTTTGTCAAAAATCAAGTGCACCATAGAGGGCCGTAGTTTGCTTCTGAGTTCTCTATTTTGTCTCACTAGTCTGTTTGTCTGTCTCTATGCCAATGTGGCACTGTGTTGACTACACACTAAAGCTTTAGTTCTTGACTCTGGTAGAGGGAGTCCTTCCACTTTGGCCTTGTTCCTAGAGTGTCTTTGCTGGTTTTGGCCCTCTGCATTCCCATATAAGTTTAGAAACAGCTTGTTGAATTCAATTTGGAGAGAACTGAAATTTTGATAATATTGAGTATTCCTCTCCATAAAGCTGGTACATGTTGCCATTTATTTTGGTCTTCCCTATTTTCTCTCAATAATTTTTACCTATGTATCTCTGTACCACTCATATGAATGTATTAATTTATTTATTCCAGGGCACCTGCTATTTTAATGCCATTGTAGATGTTATCTTCTCTTAAAGTGTACATTTATACATGTAAGTGCTGTTGTATAGGAAATTTTAATTATTCTATATTGTTTTGTATTCAGCATTTAAAAAAACTTTTAATATTTTATCTGTAGATGCTCTAAGACTATATATAACTCTATCTAATGCCTATTTGTTTATTCCTCTTCAATCCTCAGATTTTTACTTGTCTTGCTTTATTGCATTGTAGAATCTCTAACACAGTGTTGGGTAACAATGGTGAAAGTAGGCTTTTTTGTTTAGTATCTGAACCCAAGGGGAAGGGTTTCTTGTTTGTTTGTGTTTTGTTCTTGACAGCTTTTTATTTTATAATAATTTTTAAATTTTGGCACAGTTTCAGGCTTATGAAAAGCTACAAAAATTTTAAAAAGTATTTCTGGATACCCTTCATCCAGATTCAAAAGGATAGCTTTTGATATTTCACCATTACATAGGAAGTTTACTGTAGGATACTTTTGGTAGACACTCTTTGTTAGATTAAGGATATATTATTTTATTTCTGTCTTCTAAGAGCATTTTTTTAAAAAAGGAAAGATGATGAATTTTAGAACACATCTTATTTACATTTAATAAAATGTGCATATAGTTTTTTCTTAGTTCTGTTAATGTGTCCAAGTATATCAGATGATTTTTCAATGTGAAACCTGGCTTGCATTTCTGGGATAAATCTGCCTTAATTGGTATCATTATTCTTTTTATATATAATCTCATTGACTTTGCTAATATATTGTGTGGAACATTTTGTCTATGTCCTTGAGTGGTTGGATTTTGGTGTCAGGATTATACCAGCCTCATTAAATGAATCAGGGGATGCAGTGGCGGTTTCCACTTATTCTAAGAGATCTAGTCTACCCTTTCCCCAACCTGCTCCATACCCCAGAACATGGCCTTTTCTGGATTGCATCATTCGGCTACGTTGCCCTTTGTTTTTTTGTGGGTTGATATATTGGAGATAAGGCGGGAAATGAAAAGGAAGAGGAGGGTGAGATGAAGTAATTCACTCCCAGCTGACTTCCCTTAGGGCTACAGGTTGACAGTAGCTGCACCCCTCTACTGATGGTCAAAGGTCCCGTGTGCTTGACCTTTCCTGCAGTTACTGGTCTCAGTTCATTGTAGTAATAGCTCCTTTTCCTTATCTCCCTTTAGATATTTCGCTTTTGCTAGCCTTGGGTGTTTTCTTATTGGCTTCTTTTAACTTTGCTCACCCCACAGCCAAGAGCCATTCATTAAACTCTCCTCAGGTGTCCCATGTGAGTTTGCCATTTCTTTCCTGCAGGGACACTGATGGATACAGAGAATGAACCATCATTTTTTATTGTTTGGAAGAATTTGTGTAAGGTTAGAGTGGTTTCCTCATTAAGTATTTGCCAGAACTTTCCAGAAAAGCTATCTGCATGGGATTTTCTTTGCAAAATCTTTAAAAATTTTAATTTAATTTTACAGATAATTAGAGGACTGCATGGCCACCAGCAACAGTTGCAGATTCTTCTGGGTAATAAAACTCACAGGCACAATAGATGTTCACCTGACTCTAAATTAACTTAGATTTATGAAAGGACAAAGAAAAAGCATGTTCAGCATTTTCAGTGTTATTGGTGGGGTGAGAGATGTCCAGCAGCAGCAGTCTAACATTTCACACCACCATTCAGGAGGATAGTTATTTGGGAATTGAAATTAATGTGCATGAGGCTCACCTTGGCATGTTCATGTATCACTGTCTGATCCAGAATATCTTACAACACTGGAGGACAGCTCCATGTCCATGTTAATTCAGGAAAGTCATTGCCTTGCTTTCCTGACAGTCTTTTACATGGTCCTAATCATGTCTTCATTCAATGTCCATACACCACTCACTGCCCTCCCAATTCAGGTGCAATCCCCCAAGCAAAGCTTTCACAATAAACAATGCCTGAAATGCAGCATTTCTCATTGATCTAAGTCCATTCTAAGGAGGCAGTGCTGGAGGAAAATGAGAGCAATGTCATTGTTCCAGGATTAATTATAGGGAGAGAGCCTAGGCCTGCTGTTCACAGTTTGCCCATAAGGACTATGCAGGATTTCTCTTTCTTCTCATGTCAGTATTTGAATATTTTTCTTGGAATTTAAACACTTCACCTAATTTAAAATACAGACAAAGTTTCCATAATATCTTATTTTTTAATGTTTTATTACTTTTTTTTTTTTTTTTTAACAGATAACGTCTCACTATATTGCCCAGGCTGGAGTGCAGGGGCTATTCACAGGTGAGATGATAGCTCACTGTAGCCTCAAACTCCTGGGCTCAAGCAATGCTCCCACCTCAATCTACTGAATATACTCTTATTTTATATGGCTGAAGGGTCTTAGGGAGATCTCCTTTTAAATAATTTATTCATTATTTGTGTCTTTCCCATTTTTCTTTTTAATGTCTCCCTTTAGGTAAGTTTGTCAGTTGTTAGCAGATTAATTTAATGTTCAAGAATATTTACTTTGTGCTGCTATATTGCCAGACAGTCTTTTACATGATCCTAATCATGTCATCATTCAGTGTCCATACATCACTCACTGCCCTCCCAGTTCAGGTGCAGTTCCCCATTTCCCCTCACTCCATTGATATCAGGCTCAGGATGTCCCTAGATTTGGACAATGGGATGTTAGCAGACAATAGGGAGTTAATTGCTTCAATAGGACCATGCAGTTAGTCTTTCCTTCCCACATCCCTGTGGTCACTATGAGATTACCTTTTCCTTAGTAAGTGATGGTTCTTTAGGGTGAGCCCCTGAATGAATAGATGTTGATCAGATTTGAGCCCAACCTACAGGAGTGGCCAAGTCCTACCAGGCCCACAGCTTGAGTGCTCACCATCTAGCCGAGCCCAGCTTATATCAGCTGAAACACCAGCCAAACTACAGCACATGAGTGATCATCAATGATTGTCATTTTAATCTATTGAATTTTCAGGTTGTTTGTGACACAGTAAAAGTGGGCCAATTGAATCCTTACTTTCTATAGATATGAAGAGTTTGTAATCTTTTATTGATTTTTATGAAAATTGCATTGAGATCAAATTATATCCTCTATTTTAAAATCCTTTGAAATTTGTTGAGATCTACTTTATACTCTAATACATGGTCAATTTTTTAAATGATCCCCATGCAGTTAAAAAGTGCATATTCCTCCATTATTACATGCCTTATTCTATTAAGTTGTTCCTAATTGTATTTTTATATCTTGTATATTTTTATTTTTATTATAACAGCTTTAATGAAGTATAAATGACATATAAGAAGCATGTATATCTAAAATGTACAACTTGTAACTTTTGACAGTTGTGAAAAACCAGAAAATTACCACCACAATCAAAATATGAACAGATTCATCTCTTATGAAAGTTTCCTTGTACCTCTTTAAGTGCCTGTCTCCTGCCTCTTTGTCCCCTTCCTTCTTTCTAGGCAACCACTGATGTGCTTTCTGTCAGTATAGATTAGTTTGCATTTTCTAGCACTTCATGTACATGGAATCATACAACATGCACTATTTTTGGTCTGAGTTCCTTCACAGATCTTATAATCTTTTGGCTTCATTGGTCTTGTGTGTATCAATACTTCATAGCTTTTTGAGTCTTAAATGTTAAAAAATTTACATGCAGCAAACTCAATCTTTTTGATGTGGATTTCCATGAGTTTTGAGAACTCTGTCTTATGTAGGTTTTGTATGGATGGCTGGAGTCATAGGCACTTCCACTACAGTAGAGATGTTGCTTCCTAACTTCAGATACTCCTTGTGCTGTGCTTTTGTAGTCAGATGGTCTCCTTGCCCTTAATCCTGAGTGGCCACCAGCTTGTTCTTCATTCCGGTGGCTTTGCCTTTTCCAGAACTGCTTATCAATGAAATCATGTAAGATGTAACTTTTTGAGTCTGGCTTCTTTCAATAATTTTCTCATTGACAAATTCTACCTACGATCTTAAAATTTTATTTATTCATTTATTTTTTGAGACGGAGTTTTGCTCTTGTTGCCCAGGCTGCCAGGCTGGAGTGCAATGGTGTGATCTTGGCTCACCGCAACCTCCACCTTCCAGGTTCAAGCAATTCTCCTGCCTCAGCCTCCTGAGTAGCTGGGAATACAGGCATGCACCACCATGTCTGGCTAATTTTTTTTTGTATTTTTTTAGTAGACACGGGGTTCCTCCATGTTGGTCAGGCTGGTCTCGAACTCCTGTCCTCAGGTGATCCACCCACCTCAGCCTCCGAAACTGCTGGGATTACAGGCGTGAGCCACTGCACCCGGCTAATCTTAAAATTTTAAAGGTATCAATGTATCTTTATTAATATTCATTTTTTCAGATGTTTTAATTACTGGAAATAAGATTACCCAATTTGTTTTTTTAGAAATCTGGTTCTTCTGTGTCAATATATTTAATGTATTTTTACGTAGTTACTAAAATTTTTTTTTTATTTTACGTAGTTTTTAAAATTTTTTAAAAAAATTTTATGTAGTTTTTTAAAATTTTACCAACTTTTTAAAAAATTTTACATAGTTACTAAAAATTTGTTTTTAATTATGCCAGCTTTATTGGCATAATTGACAAATAGGAATTGTGTATATTTAAAATGTACAGCTTTAACATATATATTTACAGTGTGAAGTGACCACCATACTCAAGGTACCTGACATATCCATCATAGATTTAAGATCATATTTAGAATTTATAAAAAGGTATTGAAGTCAGCCAGACTCAAAGGCTACATCTTGCATGATTTCATTTATTAGCAATTCTGGAAAAGGCAAAGCTATAGGGATGAAGAGCACACCAGTGCCTACTAATGATTAAGGGTGGGGAGATTATTTGAGTAAAAAGGGAGAGCAGAAGAAACTTTTTGAGGGGTAGGAAACAGGTTTTTCTTTTCTTTTTCTTTTTTTTTTTGCTGGTGAGGACACTTACTTAAGATATAAATTTTTATCAAATTTCAAGTACAACAGCTTCTCCCTTTTTCAGTTTTGCTTTCTGCAGTTTCAGTTACTCGTGGTCAACTAGGGTCCAAAAATTGGTGAGGCAGTACAATAAGAATTTTCAGAGACAGACAATGACCAGATTTATATAACTTTTATTACAGTATATTGGTATAATTGTCCTATTTTATAATTAGTACCTGTTAATCTCTCACTCAGTTAATTTATAAATTAAACTTTATGATAGGTATGGATGCATTGTAAAAAAAAAAAAGCATAGTATATTGTACACAAGGTTCAGTACTATGCATAGGTTCAGGCTTTCACGGGGGATTGTGGAATGTATCCCCTGCAGATAAAGGCGGACTCCTCTCTACAATAGAGTATTATTAATCGTGGCCACCACGCTGTCCATTAGATCTTCAGAGCTCACTTACCTTGCATAGCTGAAACTCTGTACCCTTTGACCAACAACTTCTCACTCATTCATCCCCCGGCTACACTTTGCCCCAGGCAACCACCATTCTACTCTCTAATTCTGTGAGTTCAGTCATTTTAGATTCTACATAGAAGTGAGGTCATGCAGGATTTGTGTTTCTGTGTCTAGCCTATTTCACTAGGCATAATGTCCTACAGGTTCATCCGTATTGTTGAAAGGAGCAGGATTTCTCTCTTTTTTAAAAGGCTGAATAGTATTCCATTGTATATTTTATAAAACATAGAAAGATAGATGGATGGATAGACAGACAGATAGATAGCTTTTGTGTGTGTGTATATATATCACATTTTCTTTATCCATTCATCCATTGACAGGCATTTAGGTTGTTTCCCTATCTTGGTGACCATGAATAATGCTTCAATGAACCTAGGGGTGCCTATCTATTGATGTTATTTCCTTTAGATATATACCCAGAAGTGGGATTTCTGGATCATACGGTAGCTCTATTTTTAAGTTTTTGAGAAACCTCCATTTTGTTTTTCATAAAGGCTGTACCATTTTATATTTTTACCAATAGTGCACAAGGGTTCCAATTTCTTCACATCTTTGCAAACACTTACGATTTCTTGTCTTTTGGATAGAAACCATGCTAATGTGTGTAAGGTGGTATGTTGTGGTTTTGATTGCCATTTCCCTGATGATTCGTGATGGTGAACATCTTTTCATGCATCTGTTGGTCATTTGTATATCTTTTTAGGAAAAATGCCTATGCAGGGCCTTTGCCCATTTTTAATTGGATTGTTTTTTGCAATGAGTTCTATGAATTAATTACATATTTTGGATATTAATCCCTTATCAAATATATGGTTTACAAATATTTTCTCTCATTTTTTAGGTTAATACCTCCAGCTTCATCTTCTCACTCAGAATTCTTTTGGCTTTTTGAGCTTTTTTGTGATTCCATAAATATTTTGGGATTTTTTTCCTTTTTCTATAAAAAATGCCATTGGGATTCATGGAATCTGATAGGGATTGGCTTGAATCTGTAGATCACTTTGGGTATTATGAATATTTCAATATTCATTCTTTAAATCCATGAAAGTATGAAGTCATTTTATTCAGTTGTGTCTTAATTTTCCTCATCGTGTTTTATAGTTTTCAGTGTGCAAGTATTACACCTCTTTGGCTAAGTTTATTTTCAAGCATTTTATTCTTTTTGTTGTTACTGGAAATGTAATTGCCTTCTTATTTTCTTTTTTGGATAGTTCATTATCAATGTATATAAATGTCTCCAACTTTTGTATGTATATTTTGTATCCTGCAACATTACTAGACTTATCAGTAATTTAACAATAAATTGTTAATTATGCTCACCCTACAGTGCTATAGAAAACTAGAACTTATTCCTCCTATCTAGTTGCACTTTGTACCATTAATCAACCTTTGGCTATAAACCCCTCTCCCAAACTTTTCCTTGCCTCTAGTGACCATTATTGTACACTCTCCTTCTATGAGATGAACTTTTTTAGCTTCGGCAGATGAGTGAGAACATGCAGCATTTATCTTCCTGTGCCTGGCTTACTTCACATAACACAATGGCTCCAAGTTAATCCATGTTGATGCAAATGACAGAATTTTATAATTTTTTATGGCTAGTGTCTCATTGCATATATATATATATATATATATATACCGTATTTTCTTCATCTTTTCACTTGTTGATGGACACTGAGGTTGAGTCAAATCTTGGCTGTGAATAGTGCTGCAATAAATGAGAGTGCTGCAATAAATGAGTGTGCAGATATGTCTTCGATATACTAATTTTCTTTCTTTTTTTCTTGGATGTATACCCAGTAATGATATTGCTCGATCATATGGTAATTCTATTTTTGTTTTTTTGAGAAACCTCCATATCATAATGCCTATCCTAATTTACATTCCTATCAACCAGCAAGAGTTCCCATTTCCTTGCTTCCTCACTAGCATTTGTTATCTTTTGTAATTTTGATAATACCCATCCCTACTGAGGTGAGATGATAGCTCACTGTGGTTTTGATTTGCATTTCCCTGATGACTGGCGATGTTGACCATTTGAAAAATACCTGTTGACCATTTGTATGTCATCTTTTGAGAGATTTTTATTCAGCTAATATGCCCATTTATACATCAGATTATTTGTGTGTTTTTTCCATGTTGAGCTGTTTGAGTTCCTTGTATATTCTGGATATGAATCCTTTGTCAGATGAATAGTTTGCTAATATTCTTTCCCATTCTGCAAGTCATCTCTTCTCTCTATTGATCATTTCCTTTGCTGTGCCGAAGCTTTTTAGTTTGTTATAGTCCTGTTTATTTTTTCTTTTTTTGTTTGTGCTTTTGAGGTTTTCTCTATAAAATCTTTGCCAAGACCAATGTCCTGAAAATTTTTCTTCATATTTTCTTCTAGTAGTTTCATAGTTTCTGCTCTAAGTCTTTAAGCTATTTTAAGTTGATTTAAGGAAAAATATGATTAGAGATGGATGTCTGGTTTCATATTTTTGGCATATTAATATCCAATTTTCCCAGCACCATTTATTGAAGAGACTGTCCAATCCTCAGTAAATGTTCTTGGCACCTTTGTTGAAATTATGTTGATGGTAAATATGTGGATTTATTTCTGTGTTGTCTATTTAGTTCCATTGGTCTATGTGTCTGTTTTTATGCCAGTACAATACTATTTTTTAAAAAACTATAGCTTTATAGTCTATTTTGACTTCAAAAAGTGTTATGCCTCCAACTTTTTTCATTTTTCTCAGGGTTGCTTTGGTTATTTGGAGTCTTTTGTGGTTTCATACCAATTTTAGGACTGCTTTTTCTACCTCTGTGAAGATGTCGTTGGTATTTTTATAGAGATTGCATTGACTCTGCAGATTGCTTTTGGTAATACGCTCATTTTTACAACATTAATTCTTCCAATCATGAACATGAGACATCTTTTCACTTTTGATGTCTTCTTCACTTTCTGTCATCAATGTTTTATAGCTTTTTTGGTAGAGATCTTTCACCTCTTTGGTTAAATTTATTCTTTTTTTTGGTGGCTATTTTACATGTGATTGACTTCTCGATTTCTTCCTTTACTAATTTGTTGCTGATGTGTAGGAATGCTACTGATTTTTGTATGTCGATTTTGTATCATGTGCCTTTACTGAATTCCTTTATCAGTTATAAGAGTTTTTTCTTGGTCCTTTTAGGGTTTTCTATATACAAGATCATGTCATCTGCAAGCAGAGACCATTTGGCATCCTCCTATCCAGGCTGTATGCTCTTTATTTCATTCTCTTGCCTAATTGCTCTGGCTAGGACTTCCAGTACTATTTTGAATAAAAGTGATGAAAGTGGCCATTCTTGTCTTGCTCCAGATTTTAGAGGATGACATTTCAACTTTTCTTTATTCAGTATGATTTTGGCGATGGGTTTGCCATATATTTATTTTATTATGTTGGGGTACATTCTTTCTATACCCGGTTTGTTAAGAGTTTCTATAATGAAGCATTGTTGACTTTTATCAAATGCATTTTCTGTGTCTATTTATATGATCTTACAGTTCTTGTTCTTCCTTCTGTTGATGTGATGTGTCACAAGTATTGATTTGTATATTTTCATTCACAATCCTTGTATTCCTGGGAGAAATCCCACTTGATCATGGTGAATTAGCATTTTGCTAAGCTGTTGAGGTTGGTTTGCTAGTATTTTGTTGAGGATGTTTGTATCTATGTTTATTATGGATATTGGCCTATAGTTTTTTTTTTTTTTCTGTATGCGTGTGTCCTTGTCTGGTTTTTCTATCAGGATATACTGGTTTTGCAGAGTGAGTTTGAAAGAATTCCATTCTTTTCAATTTCTTGGAAGACTCTGAGAAGAACTGGTATCAGTTCTACTTAAATATTTTGTAGAATTCTGGAAGGAAGTCAGTGGAGTCTGGGTTTTTTCTTTGATGGGAGATATTTTATTAGAGATTCAATCTCATTACTTGCAATTGCTCAATTCAGGAGTTCTGTTTCTTTTGGGTTCAATCTTGGTAAATTTTATGTGTCCAATAATTTACATATTTTCTGGTTGGTTTTCTAATTTGTTAGCTTATAGTTATTTGTAGCAGTCTCTAATGATATTTTGTGTTTGTGTGATATCAGTTGTGATGTCTACTATTTCATTTTTGGTTTTATTTACTTGTGCCTTTTTTCTTGTTTCATAGTTAGTCTGGTTAATGGTCTGTTGATTATTTTTATCTTTTAAACATAACCAGCTTTTCATTTTTTGATCTCCTGTTTTTTAGTCTCAATTTTATTTACTTCTGCTGTGATCCTTATTATAGTTTTCCTCCTACTAATTTTGGGTTTGATTTGTATTTGTTCTTCTAGTTCCTTGAAATTCATTGTTAAGTTTTACTTGAAATCTTTCTGTTTTTTTGATGTGAGTACTTACTATTAAACTTCCCAGTTACTGATTTTGCTGTGTCCTATAGATGTTGATATGTTGTGTTGGTTTCATCTGAACTCTTTCTACTTTTTAAATGTAGGTATTTATCATCAAAATTTCTTGTTTATATAGCTTCTGCTGCATCCCCCAGGCTTTTGTATGTTGCATTTCTATTTTAATTTGTTTCAATAAATTTTAAAATTTACTATTTTTTTTTTTTTTGGGATGAAGTCTCGCAGTGTTGCCCAGGCTGGAGTGCAGTGGCACGATCTTGGCTCACTGCAACCTCCGCCTCCTGGGTTCAAAGGATTCTCCTGCCTCAGCTTCCCTAGTAGCTGGGATTACAGGTGCCTGCTACCACACCTGGCTAATTTTTTTTTGTATTTTTAGTAGAGACTGGGTTTCACTATATTGGGCTAGGCTGGTCTTGAACTCCTGACCTCGTGATCCACCTGCCTTGGCCTCCCAAAGTGCTGGGATTACAGGCATGAGCCAATGTGCCTGGCCCAAAATTTACTTCTTAATTTCTTTATTAACTCATTGTTGAATTTTCATATATTTGTGTTTTAGAAAATTCTTTTTTTTTTTTTTTTTTTTTTTTTTTTTTTTTTTTAGGATAGTCTCACTCTGTTGCCAGGCTGGAGTGCAGTAGCATGATCTTAGCTCACTGCAATATCCGCCTCCTGGATTCAAGTGATTTCCCCTGCCTCAGCCTCCCAAGTAGCTGGGCCTACAGGCATGCACCACCACACCTGGCTAATTTTTTGTATTTCAGTAGAGACCGGGTTTCACTATGTTGGCCAGGATGGTCTTGATCTCCTGACATCGTGATCCGCCCACCTTGGCCTCTCAAAGTGCTGGGATTACAGGCATGAGCCACTGTGCCTGGCTGAAAATTTATCTTGTTATTGATTTGTAGTGTTATTTTATTGTACACAGAATAGATACTTGATATGATATTGGATGCATGCATTCAATATGTAATAATCACATTAGGGTAAATGGAATATCTATCACCTGAAGCATTTATCCTTTGTGTTACAAATAACCCAATCATATTCTTTTCATCATTTAAAAATGTAGAATTAAATTATTATTCACTACTGTCACTCTGTTGTGCTATCAAATACTAAACCTTATTCATTCTTTTTTAAATGGTCTTATGAAAGGAATTTATATTTTACAGTTGTTGGATGAAATAGTCTGTAAATGTCTGTTAGATTTGTTTGATCTAACGTGCAGCATAAATCCAACGTTTCTTTGTCAATTTTCTGTGTAGATGACCTGTTCACTGCTGAGAGTGGGGTGTTGAAGCTCCCCAACTGTAATTGTATTGGAGTCTATCTCTCTCCTTAAATCTAATAATATTGGTTTTATATTTCTTTGTGTTCCAGTGTTGGGTGCATATGTATTTAGAATTGTCATACCCTCTTGGTATATTGATTGATCTTTTACCATTTGATCCCGTATCACTTGAGCCCTTATTAATGATCCTTTGTCATGGAGTCATTTATCCTTTTATCATTATGAATGACCTTCTTTGTCTCTTATAGTTTTATGTTAAAATCTACATTATCAGATATAAGCATACTGACTCCTGATTGCTTTTGATTTTCATTTGTGTGGAATATTTTTTCCATCTCTTCATTTTCTTTTCTTTTTTTTTTTTTTGAGATGGAGTTTCACTTTGTTGCCCAGGGTGGAGTGCAGCGGTGCATTCTTGGCTCACTGCAACCTCCACCTCCTGGGTTCAAGTGATTCTCCTGCCTTAGCCTCCTGAGCAGCTGGGACAACAGGCACATGCCACCATGCCCAGCTAATTTTTGTATATTCAGTAGAGATGGGTTTCACCATGTTGGCCCAGCTGGTCTCAAAACTCCTGACCTCAAGTGATCTGTCCCCCTTGGCCTCCCAAAGTGCTGGGATTACAGGTGTGAGCCATTGGGCCTGGCCATCATCTCTTCATTTTCAATTGGTATATATCTTTATAGGTGAAGTGAGTTTCTTGTAAGCAGCATATTTTTGAGTCATTTAAAAAATATCAATTCAGACAGTTTCTATCTTTTAAGTGGGGAATTTAGTCTGTTTTCACTCAGAGTTATTGATAAGTGAGGACATATTCTTGTGATTTTGTTAACTGTTTTCTGAGTGTTGTGTATATCCTTTGTTGTTTTCTTCCTCTGTCATTGTTTGTCATTGCACTTTGGTGGATTTCTGTAGTGATAACCTTTGATTCCTTTCTTTTTCTCCTTTATGTATCTGCCCCACCCATAAGTTTTACACTTTTGTGTGTTTTCATGATAGTGATTATTATCTTTTTGCCTCCAGATGTAGTACTTCTTTGAGTATTTCTTTTTAAGCCTGTCTGATGGTGTTTAATGTCCTTAGAGTTTCTTTTGTGGAAAAAATGTTATTACTCTCTCATTTCTGAAGCATAGCTTTGCTCTGTATAGTATTCTTGCTGGACAAGTTTTTTCTGTCAGCACTTTGAATATATTATCCCATACTCTCCTGGCCTGTAAAGTTTCTGTGAAGAAAATTGCTATTGGTCTACTGGCAATTTCTTTATATGTGACTTGACGCTTTTGCTGTTTTTAGAATTCTCCCTCCTTCTTTGACTTTTGATAATTTGACTGTAATGTGCCACTGGGAGGAACTTTCAGCTGAATCTTTTTTGGGGCCTTGGATCTAGATGTCCATTCTCTCTCCAGACTTGAGATTTTTTTGCAATTATTTCATTAAGTCAGTTTTCTATGCCTTTTCTCTTCTCTTTTCCTTCTGGGACTTCTGAGTTCCAACATTTATTCACCTAGTGGTGTTGCATAAGTTTTATAACTTTTTTTTTCACTGTTTTTCACTCTTATATCTTAATTTTTCTGTAATTGGGTAATTTTAAGTGACCTATATTTAAGTTCAGAGATTCTTTCTTCTGCTCGATCAAGTCTGCTATTGACACTGTCCATTTTATTTTTTAAATTTCATTCATTGAATTCTTCAGTTGCAGGATTTCTGTTTTTTAATTATTATTCCTATCGCTATTGAATTTCTGATTCATATCATAAAGTTTATCTGATTTTATTGAATTGTGTCTGTATTTTCTTTTATCTTGTCGAGTTTCCTTAAGATTAGTAGTTTGAATTCCTTTTCCATAGGTCATTTATTTCCTTTTCATTGATGTCTTTTACCAGCAAGTTATTATGTTCTTTTGGTAATGTCATATTTCCTTGCTTTTAAATGTTTCTTTTGGCACTTCAGTGTTATCTGTACATCTGGTGGAACAATTGCTTCTTTCAAACTTTTTAGAGTTGCTTTCATAAAGTAAGACTTTCCCCTCCAGTTGGATATTCTTGTGCCAGTTGGCAAGAAATTGGTGACTGTTTCCAAATTAGTATAGTGGTATGGTCTACATGTAGTTTCCTTATCTGTGTTGAATGTTATCAATAACTATGAGTGACCCCATGGCCTAGACTGCAGATGTTTGTGACAGTGGTTGCTTAGGTTGTTAGCATCATTGGTCAAGGCTTTGGGGGCCTTCCAATTCTTATTTTTCTGCTCAGCACCACAGGGGAAGGGTGTAACAGCTGCTCAAAGCTCAGCTTGGGGATGTTAGGCCACTGGGCTGGAGTGCTTCAACAGTGGCTTAACCTCTGGCATGAAGGGGATCTGTGGCTATTAGCCCCCAGAACAAGATGCACTCCAGTCATAGTTCTAAATGTGAGATGGCACAGTGCAATAGCTGTATGGGCCACAGGGAGCAGGACACAGGGTGGGCTTCTTCTCTGGAAGGAACACAGCCATATATATATATGGACTCTAGGCAGCTTCCTCAGTCAGGCTTAGTGTCTAAAATACTCCAGTGGTGAGGTCTGTGGGTGTCCAATATGTTGATGGGGGTTATTGGGATCCTCTGGTTTACCTTCTCACTGAATTAGGAGAAGTTCCTTCTAATTCTCAGCTGATCATGTGTAGGGGATGGGACAG
The DNA here is from genome assembly GCF_000001405.40 of Homo sapiens. Lineage (NCBI taxonomy): Eukaryota > Metazoa > Chordata > Mammalia > Primates > Hominidae > Homo > Homo sapiens. The sequence continues at coordinate 34,615,427 of NC_000019.10, forward strand.
TGGAGGTCCAGCATTTTTTTTTTTTTTTCATTCTCAATGTAGGCATCCTGAGTTTCTGTGCTCATTAGAGTTTCTGTGACTTTTCTGATGCATTCCTGTACTCTCCTTCAAGTATGTAGTTGTTTATTCATATTCATACTGTCTTTGGGGGTTAGAAGCAATAAGAGCTTCTAGTCTGCCATGTTGCTGATGTTACTCCTGTAATTTTATTTTCTTGTAGTGTCTTTTGTGTGGATTTGGTATCAATCATGGTAATGGTGGCTTCATAAAATGTGTTTGAAAGTATTCTCTCTACTTCTATTTTTGGAAGAGTTTAAAATAGATTGGTTACATATGTATACATGTGCCATGCTGGTGTGCTGCACCCACTAACTCGTCATCTAGCATTAGGTATATCTCCCAATGCTATCCCTCCCCCCACCCCACAACAGTCCCCAGAGTGTGATGTTCCCCTTCCTGTGTCCATGTGTTCTCATTGTTCAATTCCCACCTATGAGTGAGAATACGTGGTGTTTGGTTTTTTGTTCTTGCAATAGTTTACTGAGAATGATGATTTCCAATTTCATCCATGTCCCTATAAAGGACATGAACTCATCATTTTTTATGGCTGCATAGTATTCCATGGTGTATATGTGCCACATTTTCTTAATCCAGTCTATCATTGTTGGACATTTGGGTTGGTTCCAAGTCTTTGCTATTGTGAATAGTGCTGCAATAAACATACGTGTGCATGTGTCTTTATAGCAGCATAATTTATAGTCCTTTGGGTATATACCCAGTAAAGGGATCACTGGGTCAAATGGTATTTCTAGTTCTAGATCCCTGAGGAATGGCCACACTGACTTACACAATGGTTGAACTAGTTTACAGTCCCACCGACAGGGTAAAAGTGTTCCTATTTCTCCACATCCTCTCCAGCACCTGTTGTTTCCTGACTTTTTAATGATCGCCATTCTAACTGGTGTGAGATGGTATCTCATTGTGGTTTTGATTTGCATTTCTCTGATGGCCAGTGATGGTGAGCATTTTTTCATGTGTTTTTTGGCTGCATAAATGTCTTCTTTTGAGAAGTGTCTGTTCATGTCCTTCGCCCACTTTTTGATGGGGTTGTTTTTTTCTTGTAAATTTGTTTGAGTTCATTGTAGATTCTGGATATTAGCCCTTTGTCAGATGAGTAGGTTGCGAAAATTTTCTCCCATTTTGTAGGTTGCCTGTTCACTGTGATGGTAGTTTCTTTTGCTGTGCAGAAGCTCTTTAGTTTAATTAGATCCCATTTGTCAATTTTGGCTTTTGTTGCCATTGCTTTTGGTGTTTTAGACATGAAGTCCTTGCCCATGCCTATGTCCTGAATGGTATTGCCTAGGTTTTCTTCTAGGGTTTTTATGGTTTTAGGTCTAAGGTTTAAGTCTTTAATCCATCTTGAATTAATTTTTGTATAAGGTGTAAGGAAGGGATCCAGTTTCAGCTTTCTACATATGGCTAGCCAGTTTTCCCAGCACCATTTATTAAACAGGGAATCCTTTCCCCATTGCTTGTTTTTCTTAGTTTTGTCAAAGATCAGATAGTTGTAGATATGCGGCATTATTTCTGAGGGCTCTGTTCTGTTCCATTGATCTATATCTCTGTTTTGGTACCAGTACCATGCTGTTTTGGTTATGTAGCCTTGCAGTATAGTTTGAAGTCAGGTAGTGTGATGCCTCCAGCTTTGTTCTTTTGGCTTAGGATTGACTTGGCGATGTGGGCTCTTTTTTGCTTCCATATGAACTTTAAAGTAGTTTTTTCCAATTCTTTGAAGAAAGTCATTGGTAGCTTGATGAGGATGGCATTGAATCTGTAAATTACCTTGGGCAGTATGGCCATTTTCACGACATTGATTCTTCCTACCCATGAGCATGGAATGTTCTTCCATTTGTTTGTATCCTCTTTTATTTCATTGAGCAGTGGTTTGTAGTTCTCCTTAAAGAGGTCCTTCACATCCCTTGTAAGTTGGATTCCTAGGTATTTTATTCTCTTTGAAGCAATTGTGAATGGGAGTTCACTCATGATTTGGCTCTCTGTTTGTCTGTTGTTGGTGTATAAGAATGCTTGTGATTTTTGTACATTGATTTTGTATCCTGAGACTTTGCTGAAGTTGCTTATCAGCTTAAGGAGATTTTGGGCTGAGACAATGGGGTTTTCAAGATATACAATCATGTCATCTGCAAACAGGGACAATTTGACTTCCTCTTTTCCTAACTGAATACCCTTTATTTCGTTCTTCTGCCTCATTGCCCTGGCTAGAACTTCCAACACTATGTTGAATAGGAGTGGTGAGAGAGGACATCCCTGTCTTGTGCCAGTTTTCAAAGGGAATGCTTCCAGTTTTTGCCCATTCAGTATGATATTGGCTGTGGGTTTGTCATAGATAGCTCTTATTATTTTGAAATCGTTGGAAAAGCGCAGTATTCGGGTGGGAGTGACCCGATTTTCCAGGTGCCGTCTGTCACCCCTTTCTTTGACTAGGAAAGGGAACTCCCTGACCCCTTGCGCTTCCCGAGTGAGGCAATGCCTCGCCCTGCTTCGGCTCGTGCACGGTGCGTGCACCCACTGACCTGTGCCCACTGTCTGGCACTCCCTAGTGAGATGAACCCGGTACCTCAGATGGAAATGCAGAAATCACTCGTCTTCTGCATCACTCACGCTGGGAGCTGTAGACCGGAGCTGTTCCTACTCGGCCATCTTGGCTCCTCCCCCGCATGTGTCTTTATGGTAGAATGATTTATAGCCCTTTGGATTTATACCCAGTAATGGGATTGCTGGGTTTGAATGGTTAAATCCAATTCTTAATAAAAGCTTATAAAGAAATCTATCCAATCTTAACTAGTTTGACCATAATGCAAACTTTTTATAAACCTTTTACAACCCTTTACAATTTTCTGTTGAACAGCAGATTAATTCTATAAGAAAAACCTGTTACTCAAATACATGGGCCCAGATTCTGGCCCTGTATCAGTGTGCTTTTATTTTATTGTTTAACCTACAGAGAAATTAAATAATGCCCTTCAAATCTTAGCCAACTTTCTCATACCCGCAGACTTTCCTTCACAAGATTAATGCTTCACAAATTCTTCACAACTTGCTTGAACCTTTAGTTTTTTTCCCCCATTACTCTTTTAGGTTAGGACAATCCTTAAAAACTGCTGAACTAGACAAAATTACATCTTTTTAACAAAAGTCATACTCCCATACCTTTTATCACCTTTTACCAAAATCACACTTTACCTTCCTTACACACCCTGCATGTGAAACTCTTTCTTCAGTAGTTTCAAGCACATGTTATAATATTAACTTTTAGCAACTCTTATTTTTGGTGGAAAAGATGGTAAACAAGCAATTTTAACCATGTATCAGATTGCAGATCTCAGGATGAGGATAGAGCTGCAGATAGTGTCCAACTCTCCCAAACTTAGCCAGGGGACCTGGCCTAAGCCTTACCTAAAATCTAATGGCTATAAAACAGACAAGTCAAACAATTATTTAAAGTCATAGAAGCAGTTTATGGCCTTAAAACACATGGCAAACAGGTTCAGCCTGCCTACTTTAGACCAAATGTCTAAATTTTGAATATATTTATTTTATTTTACCAATAATCTTTTACATTGTCTTTTTTAAAGAAATTAGAGTCCCATGACCTAAATCCATTAAAGTTTCTATTTTTTTCTGACAATATGTTTAAGTGCTTATATTTAGGACAATTAATTACAGCTCTTTTACACCACACACGTAACACACATAATACACAGACAAAAACGGAGATCCAAGACAGAATTTCATCAATAAAGAAATCTTTAGAGGGAGAGTGGGGGCTTTAAAACAATATTCACGCATATATAGGCCAAATATCAGCTTTAATTAAGTCAACTTTTAAGTATAGAGATCTTAAGATTCTTTAAAAATCTTTTATTACCAGCTTTTAGCCAAGACAAAGGGCCAATATTTCTGGCTTTTGAATTTTTTTTACTAAAGGCAACCTTCTACATGAAATCAGTAAGTCTTAACTAAGAGGATGGTAACCTTGGATGCATGAAGTGTCTCCAAAGAGATGGCAAGCGATGGGCAAAGAGACGGCAAGCAATTTTTATGAGATGTAGAATCTCCCCAAAGGTAGTTCAGGAAAAAGAAAATTTCAAGACACGAAATCAGAAGCTGTCCACAAAGAGGAAAGGAAGCAATAAATGGCAAAAAGTCAAACACACATAAAATCAGAAAAGACTGATTCCCTAAGCCAGGAATTGAACCCAGGCCACCAGCATGAAAAGACAAAAACCTTAACTACTGAGCACAAGGTGACTGAAATTGCTTTTCCTGAAAGGAATCTTGAGCAGTTATTTTTGAAGTTGCAAAGGATTTTAACTATTCAAGAGAATTAAGGTGAGAATTAACATAATAATGTCCCTTTTTTAGACCCAAGAATCAAAGCTTTGTAACTCAACTGCACAGGGCTTTAAAGGCAATACAGAAAGTTACTTGGATGAATAACCTTTTCAAGTGCACAACTGGAATTAACTTTTAGATAACTTTTGAATTAGATAAAATTATTCTTTTTTAAAAAAAAATAGAACACATTTTCCTTGGCACATTTTATGTAAACCCAGGAAGCAAGAAATCCTAAATTGCCTATCAGATACTAGCATTTTATAGATGAGCACCATTCTACAATTTTGGAACGTGTTCTCAATATAATAATCTTTTCTTAATTGGAAATGACCCAGGTATATACCCAAAGAATTATAAATCACTTTACTATAAAGACACATGTACACATATGTTTATTGTGGCACTATTCACAATAGCAAAGACTTGGAACCAACCCAAATGTCCATCAATGATAGACTAGATTAAGAAAATGTGGCACATATACACCATGGAATATTATGCAGCCATAAAAAAGGATGAGTTCATGTCCTTTGTAGGGACATGGATGAAGCTGGAAACCATCATTCTGAGCAAACTATTGCAAGGACAGAAAACCAAACACTGCATGTTCTCACTCATAGGTGGGAATTGAACAATGAGAACACTTGGACATAGGGTGGGGTACATCACACACCAGGGTGGGGGGAGGGGGGAGGGATTGCATTAGGAGATATACCTAATGTAAATGACAAGTTAATGGGTGCAGCACACCAACATGGAACATGTATACATATGTAACAAACCTGCACGTTGTGCACATGTACCCTAGAACTTAAAGTATATATTTTAAAAAGTCAGATGAATTTTCTGCCTAGGAAAAAGCATTTAAATTATAATTCATAGTTCCAATGAGTTGGCAGTGAAATTGGGGCCATGAGATGTTCCAGCAGCGATGGAGATGGGGCAAATCTTATAGTATTAACATCACACCATTTGGCAATAATGTCAAAAGTTACAAAAATACTTGAAATCAGTAATTATGAGAATGTATACTGGGAAAACTTTCAAAATAAATTCAATCTATATGCAAAAAAAGAGAATGTTCCAATACTTGAAATCAGTAATTATGTTTATGAGAATGTATACTGGGAAAACTTTCAAAATAAATTCAAGCTATATGCAAAAAAAAGAGAATGTTCCTATTCCTTATTTATAATCCTTAAATAGTGTTCCTATTCCTGAAAGATTAAAGTCGCATGAAGTAAAAGGCATTACAGCTTTTATTTTTCCTTCAAAAAATATTTTATCTAAGTGCTTATTTTTAAAGCCAGTTAATTATAACTTTTTTTGTATAACCATTACACACATAACATATATATGACTACACAGACAGAAGAAAACCCAGCAGTTGTAAGGTTTTTTTGTTCGTCAATTTTCTAATTGGATTATTGGCCTCAGGGTGGAGCTCTTTAAGAACAGGGCTAGGAAAGCATACAGTTTCTAGGGCCTAATAAACAGGCATACCTGAAAGGCAAAAAGAGATTTTGAGTGGGTTATATTCACCTCTAATTCTTGGGGTTTCATGAGGAAAAGAGAGATGTCTCACAAAATGGAATCCTTGGCATTTTTTTTTTTTCCCCAAGGAGTCCCAGGCCATCAGAAGCTATCTAGGGCCTTTCATACATGCACTGACTGGCAAGACAAAGTGGAGAAAAGTAATTTAGTCAACTGAGAAAAAAAAAAACCTTTTCAGAAAAACAAGATCCAAGGAGAGAAAAACATAAAAATCTTTTAAATATATCTATAACTTGGATATCCTCTTTTAATTAAGCTGAGCATTCTTTAAGAATATCCTTTTTCATTAATTAAAACTTTACAGGGAATATAAACAATGATTCTTATCATTCCTTTCACTGGTTTGCACAGGGACAGAGAGGCCAAAAGTCTGACTGTAAAAAAACTTTTATCCTTTTACCAGCATGTCTGGCTTCTGGGTTTTCTAGGGGAGTTTCTTTGAGGTCCTCCTTGGCTGCATAGGTTTGCATGACTGTTCAAAGCCATATTCAGGTTCTTCAGTTTCCTCTGGGAGGAAAGTGTCTGGGTTCAGGCAAGGACAGGTTTTTTTAACTGGACTGTAGATTCCTCTAACAGCAGAGCCTGATCTTTGAGGAGGTGATTATCTGTTGGCCAGGGACTTCTCTTAGAAGACAGCAGTTCTGCCGCATTATGTGGGTTATATACAGTTAAGTCATTCCTCATGGTTAACTTGGTGGCCACTGACACCAGTAAAGCCACTGCTGTAACTGCTCAGAGGCAAGCTGGCCGTACTTTAGCCATCAACTCAAGCTCCTTGCTTAGGTAACCTACTGGCTGTTGAGCTGGACCTTGAGCCTGAGTTAAAACTCCCAGGGCCATTCTCTTCCTTTTTGCTACATAGAGACTGAATGTCTTTCCTATGGGAAGACTAAGGGCTGGTGCTTTAAGCAAGGCTTGTTTTAACTGGTTAAAGCCTTTTTGAGCCCCAGGTTCCCAAGTCAGGGACTGAGTTTTAGCTGCTTGCATTTCTTTTATGAGGTGGTATAAAGGGCGAGTTATCTCACTGTACCTGGGTATTCCTAGTTTGCAAAATTCAATAATGCCTAAGAATCCCTTCAGATGTTTAAGCATTTTGGGAAGGGCAAAGAGGAAATGGGCTTAATCATTTCCTTACCTAGTGCTCTTGTTCCTTCTGACAGGACTAGATATAGGTACTTTACTGAAGTTTGAAAGAGCTGAGCCTTAAATTTTGAAACCCTATATCCCCTTTCAGCTAAAAAATTGAGGAGAGCCTCAGTGTCTTCCTGAGACTTTCTCAGTTGGGGCACAGAGGAGAATGTCATCTACATACTGCAAAGCTTCAACCTGAGGGTGAGAAAAATCAGAGAGATCTTTGGACACGGCCTGTTTTTGCAACTTCCTTCAGATATTAGGGGCTGCCTGAGTAATAAACTTGTCCTTTAAGATTAGCTGTCCTTCAATTGAAATGAGAGATAGAAAGGTGTGTTTCACTAAAGCTTCTCTCAGCCTTTCCAAAAAGGCTGAGGGGTTTTCATCTAGGTTTTTTTTTTTTTTTATTATCTATTATGGAAAGCTTGTAGTAGTTAATAGGTTTGGCTATAGTCCTTTGTGGCTTCTCCAATATACGCATTTGAAAGAGTTTTCTTCTCCACTCACCAATGCTATTATTATGGTCACATTTAGGGTCCTTTAAGGGCACTATTACTCTCCCAATTGGATAAGGCTCTTCCCCTTCCCTGGCACTGTATGAGACACAAAGTTCATCTCCAAATTTCTTTGCTGCCTACAGGGCCAACTGTTTCTCAGCAGCAGTTAGGGTTTGATTTAAGAGTAACCTAACATCCTTCCAGCAGAGTTTAAATACTCTATATGTGAGTGAAGTTGGGACTTTCCTAAAGCAAACTTCAGGGTCTGACGATTAAAAGAGATCCAGGCTGCACTCGAGGAAAGTGCAGGCTTGAAGATGGGTTGTTAAGTATCTGGAAAGAGAGGGGAGAAAAGGCATACCTTAGTCCACTTCCTCCTTTTGGAGTGACCCAGGGTACAGAGAAAGGTAGAAAGGGCGTCCTCCTTCTCCTCTTTCCTCCCATCTCCTCTGGGTCCTGGTGGCCATCAATTGTGCTGCCCATGGATGCAAGCATTACCACCCATGGATCCAGAGGAGCTAGTCAGCAGGAGTAGTCATGTTTACCTGTGAGATTCCCTAGCTCTCTACCTATCTCTGGGTATCCCAGACCTACTCGACCTAAAAGGCTCCCATGGTACCCCAGGGGCCCAGGAGGGATTGTGCAGTAGTTGGATTTGAGTAAGACCATTTAATGGAAGGAGTGTCTTGACTCTGTCCCTGGCTTCTCTTACTGTGGCCCTAGCAAAGCCCTGATTTCCCAGAGAATGGGACCAATTGACTTCTAAGCATAAAATCCTCTTTTGTTTAAATGCCAATGTAGTTGTGTTTAGGACAGGTGCCTCAAAAAATATAAGGATTAAATGGCTGTCCTACCTTCGATGAGGACAGTACTGAGCCTAGAATTTGTCTCTCAAGGGCAGCTTCCTCCTGACTATTGAAAGTGGAGTTTTCCTGCCTACAAATAGGGCATGAGGTCTGATCACTTATAGAGGGATGCAGGAGGAAAAAGAGTTGGGGAACTAGAGGTTTTGGGAAAAGGGTCAATATGGCCCCCCAACACAGAAAAATCCTATTTTGCTAGGTGTTGTGGCAATAACTGAAATGTTAGGTAAAAACTGTGACTCCAAATTCTTTCTAGGCAGAGAGGTGTGGGGCTTGGTGGGCTGTCCCCACAATATGCCTCCCAGCAAAAATACAATTTGTCTCATGGAGGAACTGTTTAAATTCACTGGCAGTGCTGAGCTTTTATGTGGAGGAATAAAACAACCCAAATGGAGAGGAGGGTATTCACTCAGGTTGAAATATCCTCCTATAGAGTGCCATGAATGACTATCATTGGGGAACAAAAAAGCCCTTACTAGGTGAAAGTTTAGTTCAGTTTAGTTTAGTTTAGTTGAAAGTTTAGTTGAAATCTTGAAATCCCCCCATCTCAAGGAAATCACAGAAGCAGCAATTCTTAGAGTTACATTCCTGGTTACTAAGGCACTTGCTAACTTTACCCAACAAGGTTATCTCCCCAGGCTGTAAAAACTCCCTCAACATAGCATACAAAGAAGGGATAGGAGACATGAGAGCTGCAAAAAAGAAAAGAAAGGAAGAAAATGTGATAGGAAAGTCTGGAAGTCCTGGTGGGCTGTTGGGGACTGGAGTTAGTCCAGGAGTCTTCAGGTAACACCAAGGTGCAGCCTCCGCCAGATGCCTTCAGTTGCCCCAGGACCTTCTTCCAGCCCCACATGATGGCTAGATCTTCTGTGAAAGGGAGCTAGGTTGGAACAGAGCCAACATTCCCAACACCCAAGAGTGATGGGGGATTGATAAAGTCCTCTCCATCAAGCCTGTCCCCTGAATCTTGTAAGGCTGGCAGCCACTCTAGAAGCTTTTAATAGGCTGACAGGGGCCCAGTGTTTTGTTTGATCTTACAAGAAAAAAACAGAGGATAAGGAGCCTTGGAAATGAAAGTACAGTGTTGGAGGTCCTCTCCTACTCATCTTTCTGATGTTTCCTTTCCTGGCCAATGCACCAGTGTTGCATTCTTGTTATCTGAGGTATTACTCAGAGTATTATCTGCTTATTCTACTGAGTAACATTTCTGCAGTTTGCAGCAAAACCCTTAATATTATAAAAGAAGTGAGGTGGAGCCAAGATGGCCGAATAAGAACAGTTACAGTCTACAGCTCCCAGCGTGAGTGATGCAGAAGACGGCTGATTTCTGCATTTCCAACTGAGGTACCGGGTTCATCTCACTGTGGAGTGTTGGATAGTGGGTGCAGGACAGTGGGTGCAGCGCACCGAGTGTGAGACGAAGCAGGGCGAGGCATCATCTCATCCGGGAAGCACAAGGGGTCAGGGAATTCCCTTTCCTAGTCAAAGAAAGGGGTGACAGACGGCACATGGAAAATCGGGTCACTCCCACCCTAATACTGCACTTTTCCAATGGTCTTAGCAAACTGCACACCAGGAGATTATATCCCATGCATGGCTCGGAGGGTCCTACAACCACGGAGCCTCGCTCATTGCTAGCACAGCAGTCTGAGATCAAACTGCAAGGCAGCAATGAGGCTGGGGGAGGGGCGCCTGCCATTGCCAAGGCTTGAGTAGGTAAACAAAGCAGCCAGGAAGCTCGAACTGGGTGGAGCCCAACACAGCTCAAGGAGGCCTGCTTGCCTATGTAGACTCCACCTCTAGGGGCAGGGCATATCCAAACAAAAGGCAGCAGAAACCTCTGCAGACTTAAATGTCCCTGTCTGACAGCTTTGAAGAGAGTAGTGGTTCTCCCAGCACACAGCTTGAGATCTGAGAACGGACAGACTGCCTCCTCAAGTGGGTCCCTGACCCCCGAGTAGCCTAAATGGGAGGCACCCACCAGTAGGGGCAGTCTGACACCTCACACAGCCGGGTACTCCTCTGAGACAAAACTTTCAGAGGAACGATCAGGCAGCAACATTTGCTTTTCACCCATATCCGCTGTTCTGCAGCCTCCGCTGCTGATACCCAGGCAAACAGGGTCTGGAGTGGACCTCCAGCAAACTCCAACAGACCTGCAGCTGAGGGTCCTGACTGTTAGAAGGAAAACAAAGACATCCACACCAAAACCCCATCTGTACGTCACCATCATCAAAGACCAAAGGTAGATAAAACCACAAAGATGGGGAAAAAACAGAGCAGAAAAACTGGAAACTCTAAAAATCAGAGTGCCTCTCCTCCTCCAAAGGAATGAAGCTCCTCTCCAGCAACGGAACAAAGATGGACGGAGAGTGACTTTGACGAGTTGAGAGAAGAAGGCTTCAGACGATCAAACTACTCTGAACTAAAGGAGGAAGTTCGAACCCATGGCAAAGTAGTTAAAAACCTTGAAAAAAAATTAGACGAGTGGCTAACTAGAATAATCAATGCAGAGAAGTCCTTAAAGGACCTGATGGAGCTGAAAACCACGGCATGAGAACTACATGATGAAAGCACAAGCCTCAGTAGCCGATTCGATCAACTGGAAGAAAGGGTATCAGTGACAGAAGATCAAATAAATGAAATGAAATGAGAAGAGAAGTTTAGAGAAAAAAGAATAAAAAGAAACGAACAAAGCCTCCAAGAAATATGGGACCATGTGAAAAGACCAAATCTATGTCTGATTGGTGTACCTGAAAGTGATGGGGAGAATGGAACCAAGTTGGAAAACAATCTGCAGGATATTATCCAGGAGAACTTCCCCAATCTAGCAAGGCAGGCCAACATTCAAACTCAGGAAACACAGAGAATACCACAAAGATACTCCTCGAGAAGAGCAACTCCAAGACACATAATTGTCAGATTCACCAAAGTTGAAATGAAGGAAAAAATGTTAAGGGTAGCCAGAGAGAAAGGTCGGGTTACCCACAAGGGGAAGCCCATCAGACTAACAGCTAATCTCTCCGCAGAAACTCTACATGCCAAAAGAGAGTGGGGGCCAATATTCAACATTCCTAAAGAAAAGAATTTTCAACCCAGAATTTTACATCCAGCCAAACTAACCTTCATACGTGAAGGAGAAATAAAATCCTTTACAGACAAGCAAATGCTGAGAGATTTTGTCACCACCAGGCCTGCCCTACAAGAGCTCCTGAAGGAAGCACTAAACATGGAAAGGAACAACTGGTACCAGCCACTGCAAAAACACGCCAAATTGTAAAGACCATCAATGATAGGAAGAAACTGCATCAACTAATGATCAAAATAACCAGCTAACATCATAATGACAGGGTCAAATTCACACATAACAATATTAACCTTAAATGTAAATGGGCTAAATGCTCCAGTTAAAAGACACAGACTGGCAAATTGGATAAAGAGTCAAGACCCATCATTGTGCTGTATTCAGGAGACCCATCTCATGTGCAGAGACACACATAGTCTCAAAATAAAGGGATGGAGGAAGATCCGCCAAGCAAATGGAAAACAAAACAAAACAAAAAAGCAGGGGTTGCAATCCTAGTCTCGGATAAAACAGACTTTAAACCAACAAAGATCAAAAGAGACAAAGAAGGCCATTACATAATGGTAAAGGGATCAATTCAACAAGAAGAGCTAACTATCCTAAATATATATGCACCTAATACAGGAGCACCCAGATTCATAAAGCAAGTCCTTAGACACCTACAAAGAGACTTGGACTCCCATACAATAATAATGGGAGACTTTAACAAACATCCCACTGTCAACATTAGACAGATCAACGAGACAGAAAGTTAACAAGGATATCCAGGAATTCAACTCCGCTCTGCACCAAGTGGACCTAATAGACATCTACAGAACTCTCCACCCCAAATCAACAGAATATACATTCTTCTCAGCACCACATCGCACTTCTTCCAAAATTGACCACATAATTGGAAGTAAAGCACTCCTCTGCAAATGTAAAAGAACAGAAATTATAACAAACTGTCTCTCAGACCACAGTGCAATCAAACTAGAACTCAGGATCAAGATCCTCACTTAAAACCGCTCAACTACATGGAAACTGAACAACTTCCTCCTGAATGACTACTGGGTACATAACAAAATGAAGGCAGAAATAAAGATGTTCTTTGAAACCAACGAGAACAAAGACACAACATACCAGAATCTCTGGGACACATTCAATGCAGTGTGTAGAGGGAAATTTATAGCACTAAATGCCCACAAGAGAAAGCAGGAAAGATCAAAATTGACACCCTAACATCACAATTAAAAGAACTGGAGAAGCAAGAGCAAACACATTCAAAAAGTAGCAGAAGGCAAGGAATAAATAAGATCAGAGCAGAACTGAAGAAGATAGAGACAAAAAAAAACTCTTCAAAAAATCAATGAATCCAGGAACTGTTTTTTTGACAAGATCAACAAAATTGATAGACTGCTAGCAAGACTAATAAGAAAAGAGAGAAGAATCAAATAGATGCAACAAAAAATGATAAAGGAGACATCACCACCGATCCCACAGAAATACAAACTACCATCAGAGAATACTATAAACACCTCTACACAATAAACTAGCAAATCTAGAAGAAATGGATAAATTCCTGGACACATACACCCTCCCAAGACTAAACCGGGAAGAAGTTGAATCCCTGAATAGACCAATAACAGGCTCTGAAATTGAGGCAATCACTAATAGCCTACCAACCAAAAAAAGTCCAGGACCAGACAGATTCACAGCTGATTTCTACCAGAGGTACAAAGAGGAGCTAGTACCATTCCTTCTGAAACTATTGCAATCAATAGAAAAAGAGGGAATCCTCTCTAACTCATTTTATGAGGGCAGCATCATCCTGATACCAAAGGCTGGCAGAGACACAACAACAAAAAAAAGAATTTTAGACCAATATCGTTGATGAACATCGATGCAAAAGTTCTCAATAAAATACTGGCAAACCGAATCCAGCAGCACATCAAAAAGCTTATCCACCACAATCAAGTTGGCTTCATCCCTGGGATGCAAGGCTGGTTCAACATATGCAAATCAATAAACGTAATCTATCATATAAACAGAACCAAAGACAAAAACCACATGATTATCTCAATAGATGCAGAAAAGGCCTTCAACAAAATTCAACAGCTCTTCATGCTAAAAACTCTCAATAAACTAGGTATTGATGGGATGTATCTCAAAATAATAAGAGCTATTTATGACAAACCCACAGCCAATATCATACTGAATGGGCAAAAACTGGAAGCATTCCCTTTGAAAACTGGCACAAGGTAGGGATGCCCTCTCTCACCACCCCTATTCAACATAGTGTTGGAAGTTCTGGCCAGGGCAATCAGGCAGAAGAAAGAAATAAAGGGTATTCAATTAGGAAAAGAGGAAGTCAAATTGCCCCTGTTTGCAGATGACATGATTGTACATTTAGAAAACCCCATCGTCTCAGCCCAAAATCTCCTTAAGCTGATAAGCAACTTCAGCAAAGTCTCAGGATACAAAATCAATGTGCAAAAATCAAGCATTCCTATACACCAATAACAGATAAACAGAGAACCAAATCGTGAGTGAACTCCCATTCACAATTGCTTCAAAGAAAATAAAATACCTAGGAATCCAACTTACAAGGGATGTGAAGGACCTCTTCAAGGAGAACTACAAACCACTGCTCAATGAAATAAAAGAGGATACAAACAAATGGAAGAACATTCCATGCTCATGGGTAGGAAGAATCAATATCGTGAAAATGGGCATATTGCCCAAGGTAATTTATAGATTCAATGCCATCTCCATCAAGCTACCAATGACTTTCTTCACAGAATTGGAAAAAACTAAAGTTCATGTGGAAGCAAAGAAAAGCCCACATTGCCAAGTCAATCCTAAGCCAAAAGAACAAAGCTGGAGGCATCACGCTACCTGACTTCAAACTATACTACAAGGCTACATAACCAAAACAGCAAGGTACTGGTACCAAAACAGAGATATAGACCAATGGAACATAACAGAACCCTCAGAAATAATGCTGCATATCTACAACTATCTGATCTTTGACAAACCTGACAAAAAGAAGAAATGGGGAAAGGATTCCCTATTTAATAAATGGTACTGGGAAAACTGGCTAGCCATATGTAGAAAGCTGAAACTGGATCCCTTCCTTACACCTTAAACAAAAATTAATTCAAGATGGATTAAAGACTTAAACCTTAGACCTAAAACCATAAAAACCCTAGAAGAAAACCTAGGCAGTACCATTCAGGACATAGGCATGGGCAAGGACTTCATGTCTAAAATACCAAAAGCAATGGCAACAAATGCCAAAATTGACAAATGGGATCTAATTAAACTAAAGAGCTTCTGCACAGCAAAAGAAACTACCATCAGAGTGAACAGGCAACCTACAAAATGGGAGAAAATTTTTGCAATCTACTCATCTGACAAAGGGCTAATATCCAGAATTTACAATGAACCCAAACAAATTTACAACAAAAAAACAAACAACCCCATCAACAAGTGGGCGAAGGATATGAACAGACACTTCTCAAAAAAAGACACTTATGCAGCCTAAAGACACATGAAAAAATGCTCACCATCACTGGCCATCAGAGAAATGCAAATCAAAACAACAATGAGATACCATCTCACGCCAGTTAGAATGGCGATCATTAAAAAGCCAGGAAATAACAGGTGCTGGAGAGGATGTGGAGAAATAGGAACACTTTTACACTGTTGGTGGGACTGTAAACTAGTTCAACCATTGTGGAAGTCGGTGTGGCGATTCCTCAGGGATCTAGAACTAGTATTACCATTTGACCCAGCCATCGCATTACTGGGTATATACCCAAAGGATTATAAATCATGCTGCTATAAAGACACATGCACACGTATGTTTATTGCGGCACTATTCACAATAGCAAAGACTTGGAACCAACCCAAATGTCCAATAATGATAGACTGGATTAAGAAAATGTGGCACATATACACCATGGAATACTATGCAGCCATAAAAAATGATGAGTTCATGTCCTTTGTAGGGACATGGATGAAGCTGGAAACCATCATTCTCAGCAAACTATCACAAGGACAAAAAACCAAACACTGTATGTTCTCACTCATAGGTGGGAATTGAACAATGAGAACACGTGGACACAGGAAGGGGAACATCACACACCGGGGCCTGTTGTGGGGTGGGGGGAGGGGGGAGGGATGGCATTAGTAGATATACCTAATGTTAAATGACGAGTTAACGGGTGCAGCACACCAACATGGCACATGTATACATATGTAACAAACCTGCACGTTGTGCACATGTACCCTAAAACTTAAAGTGTAATAAAAAAAGAGAAATTTGTAAACTTTCTTAGAACATTATGAGTTTTTTTTTTTTACAATTTTTTTTTTTTAGCTCATCATTCTATCGTTAGTCTTAGTATATTTTATCTGTGGCCCAAGACTATTCTTCTTCCACTGTGGGCCAGGGAAGCCAAAAGATTGGACACCTCTGGTTTACAGGGTAGATAATGAATATTTCTATAAAAATTGTATTTCTATGTACTAACAATGACTAATTTAAAATTGAAATTTAAGAGTACTTTTTACAAGAGCATACAACATATACTTGAGACATATAAGATTTGCAGGATATATACACTGAAACTATAAAAGATTGCGGAGAAAAATTAAAGATCTAAATAAAGGGAGAGATATGCCACGTTTATGGGTTACAACACTCAATATTGTTAACGTTAAAATTCTCTTCAAATTGATATACATATATTCAATGCAATCCCAATCAAAATCCACAATACTTTTATTAGAAAATGACAACTAAATTCTAAAATTCATATGGAAATGCGAAGAACTTAGAAAAGCCAAAAACAAAACAAAATAAAAACAGAAAAAATTTGAAAAGAAGTACAAAGTTAAAGGAATACATTGCCTGATTTAAAGACATAGTGTAAAATTATGTTAAATAAGACTTTAAAATATTAGCAAAAATACAGATTAAGGAAGTGCAGAAATAGACCAACAAATATAAGATCAAATAATTTTAAAGAAAGGTGCAAAGGCAACTCACTGAAGATCGTGTTTTAAAGAAATGTTGTTGAATGAACTGGACATCTGTATTAAAACAAAAACCAAAAAACAACACTGTAAAGCTGTGACCCCAAACCTCACATGGTATACAATATTCAAGAACTACCTCAAAATGGATTATAAACCTAAAAGTACAAAACTTTAATTAAGTAACATGAGATAATTTCTTAAATCTTGGCAAATACTTCTGAGATATGTACCAAAAATATGTTCAATCAAAGGAAAAATAACACATTCAACTTTGTCAACAGTAAAATTTTCTGCTATAGGACAGACTGTTAAGATGAAGGTAAAAAAGATCCATAGGCTAGAAGACTATACTGGCAAATCACATATCTGAAGGAGGACTTGTATTCAATACTTATTAAGAACCCTCAAAACTCAATAATAAAGAAAAGAGTTTAAATGGGCAAAAGATTTGAACACTTAAAAGTCCAAAGAAGACAGAGGGATGGCAGTAGTACACATAAAAATTGTAAACATTAGTCATTAGGGGGATACAAAGTAAAATCACAGAGAAATACCACTACACACCAAATGAGAATGGTGAAAATTAAACACTGACCATACCAAGTGTTGGTGAGGACATGGAGTTCCTGAAATCCTCGTAACACTGTGGAGAGAATATAAAATAGTATAACCACTTTGGAACACAATTTGTCAGTTTGAAAAAGGTAAACATCCACTTACCCTGTAAGTTGGTGTGCTTATGCTTATTTTCTGTATTTTATGGTGACATCTTTAAAAGTTTGCTGGCTCTGGAGAGACTGCCCCTCCCAGGGCTAGCCCTTTCTTAGAGATGGCAAAAGCCTTGACCCAGAGCACCTCTCTCATATACAGCCAACCAGTCTAGAGTCTACAGCCCCAATTACCTCTTTATCCAACTCTCACACCCCACGCCAATATCTCTCCTGCACTAAAGCACCCCAGGACCAAGTACCAGGTAACCAGAGACCAACCCTGTAGGCCAAAGCCTGCTGAAATTATGCAAACTAGCTAATCACAAGCTGCTTACTCTGCCCTGCCTGGTCTTTTCCATGGAAACCCCAATAAAGGCTGTGGCCTATGTTTTCCCCTTGCTCCTGCCTCCTGACCAACACTGGTGCTTTCCATGTGGCCCTCTGTGGCACGATGCCTTTCCTTCTCTTGGAAAATGTGAATGGTGAATTATTTCAATGGCACTGGCTTCTCTGTGTTGTCACTTAGTCACCTGTATAAATTAACATCCCACAGGTAGAAATGAAACACTCAGTCCTGTTACTCCTAGGTATTAACATATAAGAAAGACTAGTACATGAATGTTGATAGCAGCTTTATTTGTAATAGCCCCAAACTAGAAGCAATCCAAATGTCCTTTAACAAATGAGCAGCAAAATTGTGGAGTATCTATATAAAGCTATACACGAGTCTGTAATAAAACAATGAAGTGTTGACACATGCAACATGGAGGAATCTCAAAATAATTATGCTGAGTGAGAAAAAAGCAAAAAACAGCATTTTGTTATTCCATTTATGTAAAGTTTTAGAAAAAGAAAATAAGTCTACAGCAAAAGACAGTAAATCAATGTTTGTGGCAATGGGGTGCCAGGGAGGGAGGGAAAGAGGGATTTTAAAGGGGGCTGAGATGACTTTGCAGGTGATGAATCTGCTCATTATCATGATTATGGAGATGGTTTCCTGGGTGTACACATTAGATAACACTTAATACATTTACATTTTAAATATGCACAGTTTACTGCGCAACAATATCTCAATAGAGCTTTAAAAAATGGCTCCACATAAAAAATCTGGGTCTCCTGCTTCTCTTGAAAAACCAGAAAATTTAGTACATATATAAGGGACTCCATAACTATTCTCATTCTTTGGAAGGGACAGCCCTGCTTCAATGGGAGCAAAGACTAGCGAGCAATAAAGCTTGTTTGTGAGTCACAGAAGTCACATGCCTAGACTCTGATCTCTCCTCTCTGTCCCGTTTCTTGCTTGTGTAGCAATGGCCTAGAGGTGAACAGCCACAACAGCCTCAGCAATCCAGAACACATTCAGATTATTTGCTCTGCCATTGACCTTGTGCACAGGAGACTAAATCTGGAAGTCCTGAAAATATCTGTGTACCCTCATGCCTCACAGCTATAGCACACTCTGGAAGCATGTTTAGATGGGGCACATACCCTCTATTTTGTTGCCCTGAGCTCTATGAATCACATGCAGTATGTGAATGTAATTATGGTGGTCTGCAATGGCCTCAGCCCACTCATGATTTCCTCCAGGGAAGCGGAGGGAGTACAGAGGTCTGCCTTCACTGAGCACCCTGGGTAACCTAAGGTACACTTGCCAGCTGGTAGAGGTGAAATGGCTTCTCCCACAGGTACTGGCAGTGACAGAACTCAGGTAAGAGCCTTGGGCAGGTTAGAAAGTGCAATGCAACTCCTGAAAGCTTCCCACCTACCTGGCACTCACACGGAATCTCTCCAGCATGGATGTCCAGATGTGAGATTAACTTTTGGCTGATTGATAGCTACTACACAAAGCTACTTTCAGAGCTTCTGTCCGGTGTCACCCACTATGTGGACCAAGCAGACAGCATCCTCCCTGCGTTCCAAGGCCTTCCTCCAGGGTGAACTTTCTGGCACCACATAGGCTGTTGGTTTAAGCCTTTTCTCCAGTGTGATTTTTTTTTTATATTTAATGAGGTTGGACTTGTGGCTAAATAATTTCCTACATTCACTACACTCATAAGGTCTTTTTCTAGTATGGACTCTCAGGTGTTGAACAAGTATAGATTTAACGCTGAAGGCTTTCCCACATTCGCTGCACACATAGGGCCTTTCACCAGTGTGAACTCTCTGGTGTAAAATGAGGCTGGATCTTTGGCTAAAAGATTTCCCACATTCTGTGCACTCACAGCCTTTCACCAGTGTGAACTCTCTGATGTGCAGTAAGGCCAGAGATTTGGCTAAAAACCTTCCCACATTCAGTGCACTTATAAGGCCTTTCTCCAGTGTGGATTCTCCAATGCCGAGCAAGTGTGATTTTGCAGCTGAAGCATTTCCCACATTCACTACACTTATAAGGCTTTGCCCCAGTGTGAATTCTCTGGTGTTCAATAAGGCCATAGCTTTGTCTAAAGGATTTCCCACATTCACTGCATTCATAAGGCCTGGCTCCACTGGGAACTCTCGGGTGTATAATCATGCTGGAATTCTGGCTAAATAATTTCGCACATTTGCTGCACTCCAGTGTGGACTTTCTCCAGTGTGGACTCTCTGGTGCTGAATGAGTGTGTGTTTGCTGCTATAGGCTTTCCCACATTCACTGCATCTGTAAGCCCTTTCTCCAGTGTGAAGGTTTTTATGCCTAACAAGGTGGGTGCTTCTGCTGTAGGCTTTTCCACATTCACTGCACCCATAAGGCCTCTCTCCAGCGTGAACTTTCTTGTGTTGAACAAGATGGGAGCTTTTTCTGTAGGCTTTCCCACATTCGCTGCACCCGTAAGGCTTTAAACCCATGTGAACTCTCTGGTGTACAGTAAGGCTAGAGTTATGACTGAAGAATTTCCCACATTCACTGCATTTGTAAGGTCTTTCTCTGCTGTGGACTCTCTGGTGCTCACAAAGCCTATTTCTGTGGCTAAAGGCTTTCCCACATTCACTGCACCTGTGATACCCTTCTCCAATGTGAAAGGCCTCCTTGCACTCAGTATTTCTGGGTGAATTCTGGGTCTGGTACTGGAGAAGGCCTGACCTGGGCAGGAGGTCCTTCTCACAGTACCCACATGTGAAGGGATTCACTGACATGTAGACTCTGCAGTTCTTAACAAAGCCCTATCCTTATCTCTGCTGAGGCATTTCTCTCCACTGTGCTGCCTCTGGTGCTAGGGGGTGTCTGTACTGACCCAGAATTGTCTCCCACATGCCCCCCGTGTGTGCAGTTTGTGCCCGGGGTGTATTCCCTGATGCTCAGCCAAGAGCAAAATGTCTTTCATGATTGGACCACAAATCCCACAAGGGGAGGCTTTCTGGGCAGCTGGACCTGCCTTAGGAGCCCTGACCTGTGACACTCCTTGAGAAGATGGCTCCTCATCCTCCATTAGAAACCAACAACCTGAAAGCAAAGAAATATTGAAGTATACATACAGCCTGGTGGGATCTACTGGGTTCATTGCAAGACTCCTGGTCTAGGACTGACTTTCGTGGGAGAGGCAGCCCTATCACAGTGTGTGTCTTACAAATGCAGGAACAAGTACACAGGACTCTTGGGGGGCTACGGGGGTTACAGGTGACAAAGAGTCTACTGTGCTAAGCCTGGCATCATGATACAATGGGGAGGTCTAGGGAGGAGCAAGGGCACAGCGATGGGATGCAGCCCAGGAAGGAGAGGCTGCATCTCCCTCTCACTTCTCTGCAATGGCTTTTAGCAGGAGCTTGTCTGCTGGTGACACAGGAGCACTGAACAAAAGGGTGTGTCCAGACTCAGGAAAACCAACTGCAACTGAGTAGCTGTTCAAGAACTACTTAGGCTATGTGAACATCTCACAAAACATTATGTGTAGCTCAGGGTTAGAGAACACTGCAGAGGGAACAGTGGAAAGGAAGGGGTGAGACCTGGAAATCAGAGAGGTGGGAGTCGGCCCTGGCCAGATTCAGTGTAGGAAAGAGAAATGGGCAAAATGTCAAGAATGCAAAACATAGAAAAGAGTTATGGCCCCTGCCCTTGGTATAAAAACAATGATGGACACTGGCAAGGTTGCTGGAATCATGAGAACTCAGCCCTGACGTTAAGCCATCCCTCACTTCCCACTTACCAGAGCCAGTCCCCGCCAGAGTCCCTCCTCCCATAGCTTTGTCAGGCATCCATGTCTCTTCCTCCAGCCCCAAGTGGACAACTACCTGAGTCTGGGAAGATGCAAGGCCTAAGGGAAAGACACGACAGGTGAGTGGACAGCAGGAGCGCAGAGTAACCCACCCCATGACAGACCCCAGGAAAGAAAACTAGTATTACAAAAAGAGCCTCAGAAGAAGATCCCATAGGAACAGCCCAGTGGTCCCTGAAAATAGTAACCACATTGGTCCTGCAATTCCCAGCACAGTGAGGCATGAGGAAATGCCACCAGGAGGGAAGGGGGCAGAATTGGGGGCAGAGAGGTACAATGATTCTGCATAGTCACTCTGCCAGGGCGAGGCCAAGCCTGGTGGGATCTATTGGGTTCACTGCAAGACTCCTGGCCCCCATCTCCTTCCCTGCAAGGCCTTAGGGCACCAGGTAGTGGGGCTGCCTGGGGAGGGGACAGAGAATGCACTCAGTCCAGCCCTGGCACCCACAGCATCTATGCAAGAAAAGCTAGGAAGGGAGCAATGTCCACAGCCTGGCTGTGGGAAGGAAACAGCAGCTCCTGGAAAAAAGCGGAAGCAAAGAGCCCAGCCTGGGATGCTGAGGTATGAGGGACTTACCCAGCGAGGCCACAAGTGCAAAGTTCTCCAGCATCACATCGCAGACAGACACCGGGTCCATCGTGAGTCCCTCGAGCTTCAATTCTTAAAAGTGCTACACTCCACAACTCATCATGAGACAGGCAAAATCATAAAAAAAAAATGGCTGGGTGATTTTTCTAAAATTGCTAAAATGGTTGATAATAAATATTTTGTGTTATTTATTTATATGGTTTTTATTTTTTCCTGATCAGATCTATAAGGCAAAAACTCTCTCTAGAGAGGAAAATAATGAATGTTTGGTTTGTCAAACCCGTAATTCTGGAAAGGCAATTAAAATTTCAGGTGGGAATACACCACCCGATGGGCTATTTAAAAATTGACAGATGGATTTCTCTCAATTGCCAACTTCAATGGCATATCAGTATGTTCTCTTAAGAGTTTGAATGTTTTCTGGTTGGGTAGAGGTAGGTAAGCTGAGGCTGTGACAGTAGTTTAAAAAGTCATTAGAAAGTTATTAGAAAATGTGTTTCCTTGCTGGGGCATCCCTGGAGAAATCCCCAGTGATAAAGGGAGACCATTTTACTTGACAAGTTATAAAGTAGTTATATAACATAAGATGTCATGGACACAGTGGCATTAACACTGTCCTTATCACCCTCAGTCTTCTGGAAAGGTCAAAAGGACAAATGGCATTTTGAAACTGAAATTGGGCTGGGTGCAGTGGCTCACGCCTGCAATCCCAGCACTTTTGGAAGCTGAGGTGGGCAGATCACTTGAGGTCAGGAGTTCGAGACCAGCCTGGCCAACATGGCAAAACCCCATCTCTACTAAAAATACAAAAAATTAGCCTGTGGTGCATGCCTGTAATCCCAGCTACTCTGGAGGCTGAAGCAGGAGAATTGCTTGAATCCAGGAGGTGAAGGTTGCAGTGAGCCAAGATTGCGTCACTGCACTCCAGCCTGGATGACAGAGGAAGATCCTGTCTCCAAAACAAAAAAAAAAAGGAACACCCATCCCCCCCCAAAAAAACAAACAATGACAACAACAAAAACAAAAACAAAAACAAAACTGAAATCGGCAAAGCTCATTGAATTGATTATATTTCCACGGCCAACTGTATTACCATTGGCCTTGATAGCAATCAGATTCATCCCCACCAGAAAGCATAAATTGGCCCCTGATAAAATAGTCACTGGAAAGTTTATGCCCCTAATAATAGAATTTCACTCTCTTAAACTCTGATATGACTAAATACTTCAAAGGTTTAATGCCAAAATATATTATCACCAGGTAAAGGAAGCTTTTCATGATCCACCAATGAGAACAATCAAGCCCTGCATGATTTGGAATCTGGAGATTGGGTCTTCTGGAAATGATATCAGAGGAAGATTGCCCTTAAACCCCAATAAAAGGGACCATATCAAGTTCTTCTTCCCACCCAAATTGCAGTAAAACTTCAGGGTTGCAAACCTTAGATCTACATCACACAATTCAAAGGGACCTCTGCAGACTCTTGAAGTTTTTCTCCAGAAGCAGACAGCATCTTACATATGTACAGCTCTCCTAAGACCATGGGCCAAGACTTACCTCCATCCTGAAAGCCGTATCCTTTTACTTTTTTTCCCCTAATTTTCTTCTGCCCCAATTATTTCCTTTTCCTTACAGGAAAATCCATGGGACCATAATCTGTGGATAGCTTTACCTAAGGCTTATTCTGTAGCAAAAAACTTGAGTAATCCTTGGGCTTGTGGGTTAATGCCAAAAACTCAAGAAGCAATTTCACAAATGCCAATGCCTCCCTGTGTTCCCAATTCACCCTGACGCTCCAAAGGAAGAACAGAAAGCTATCTTGATATTCTAGACATCACTACCACTTGTTTTCCTACACTTGCTGGAAACAATATCCTAACCTTTCCAATTAGTAACCTAATCACTACCAAATATAGAAAACACATTCGAGTGATGCCTGCAAAAGATGTATTATGCTTCCAGGCATCACATACTCAAGATCTGGGGACTATGTATGCAGGCTATTCGTGCATAGTATCATAAGTAATTGCTATATAATGTCACCAGAACAAATCCAGTAGGGTCCTTCTTCATGTGGTTATACACCTTAACAGCATGCTGTAAAGGGACCACAAAGAATTTTCCCACTGAACTTTGTTCAGGAGCCATCAGGCTTACAGGTCAAATTTAACTTACTTCTGCTCAAACACCACCAGGAGGCGCTCTTTTCCAATGCTTGAGGACCTATCTTGGGTCCGCAGAGAATTTGCTTACCCTTTCTTCCTCTTCACTGGTTTAGATCTTGCTCTTTGATGGGTCTCACTCCTGCCTTTTGAATAGCTTCCTCTGACAGTTCCCATAATACCTTCCATAATCAGAGGCCAAAACAGTAAACAAAATGATCATCGGCCTTGAAAGAGACTAAGATAAGCTAGTTTCTACTGAGGAAAGGTTCCAGTGGGGTTCCTGAGGGCTTGCTCTTGGTGGTAGTAGGGTGCTGGTAGTGTGGAATTCAGAACAGATCCATAAATTGGGGAAAATCTTGGACTTTATGGCCAACCAAACCTTCCAGTGGTTCAGTAGAAGCCACCCTCCAAAAGGTAGATGATAACCTATGCATCTAACAAAACACTTAATAGAATATCATGCAGCTTAATTTATTTGAGATAAGGTCTTGCTGTGTCACCCAGGTGGGAATACAGTGGGGCTCACTGCAGCCTCGACCTCCTGGACTCAAGGGATCCCCCCACCTCAGCCTCCTGAGTATCTGGGATCACAGGTGTGCACCAGACCTGGCTAATTTTTAATTTCTCTTTTTTTTTTTAAATAGAGACAGGGTCTCCCTATGTTGCCCAGGCTGGTCTCAAACTCCTGGGCTCAAGTGATCCTCTCATCTTGGCCTCCCAAAGTACTGGGATTACAGGTGTGAGCCCCTGCACCCAGCCTCATGCAGCTTTACATCATTTTGATCATGTTGGGGACTTGTGCTGAATCAAACTGAGTGCTGTATCTACACTTCCCCTGATTTTGCTACTATGGAAAGCTTAATTTAAAAGGTGGCTATTTCTTTAGATACTTTTATCAAATACATGAAGAAAATTTCAATAGATGAAGAAAAAAAATTTTTTTTAACTCTGGTAAAATATACATAGCATGAAGTTAATCATTTTAACTATGTTAAGTGTATAGTTCAGTGGCATTAAGTACATTCACGATGTTGTGCCACCATCACCACTATCGATGTCCAAAACTTTTCATGAATGGCAAGCTTAGCTTTTCCAGGGTTTTTGAATCTTTATGTTTTTTTCTGGTGGGTCTCCAGGTTACTATGACTTACAGTACCAGGCTAATGACATAAACTGATACCTCTTTATTATTATTTTTTTCCAGATGTGAAATTATAAATGCAGGGACTTAGAGCTCATACAACTTTAAAAAGGTTGGGAAAGTGAAGTTATCACCACTTGGTTATATCTCCTAAGGAAACTAATTTGAGGTCTCCCCTTCTCAATTTTTCCTTCTTTATAGGTACTATTAATGCCCTAGCCCAGCAACCTGACTTATTATTGAATATATTCGGGGTGTGATGGTGAATACTTAATCACCATCACACCCCAAACAAAGATTATGACCAATTGGACTCAAATACTATTGAGCTGCTTATATGCCTGGACTTTGACTTGTTTGGTTTTGACTGGTTTTGTTCATAGGGCCTCCTGTGAAGGAGTACACTTTGGTCTCTTGGTATTATTTTCTGGTAGTCATCGTAATAGTCCCCCTGGTGCACTGTATCCTGTCAAATCTTAAATGTGTGTATGCAGACATCCATTGTGCACTGAATGGTCTCCCTTTGGCTAGATCAGCAAGAATACAATTATTTAACTGATCTGACATCATGACTTGTGAATTCCGTGCTGAGGCCAAGTAAGTCTAATACAATGGTGACAGACAGTGTCAATGCCCAGGGTTTTGGTCACTATGTCAAAATCCAATGGCTGACCCAAAGTGGGGAATTGGCAAATTGAACTAAATTTGGCCTGAGGCTGTCTCCATATCTTGAGTCCTCGTGGAGCTGGTTTGGAGTTTCGTTTTGGAATTTGGTAGCGGAAGGTCAAGGTCGTTTGCCAGATGGCTATAACTTCTCTTTATGCTCAAAGATCTTGACAGTATGTAAATTGGGTGATCACCTTTTCTATTTCTAGTTTTGGTTGATCTTCTGTTAGGTTTGACCAACTCTTGGCCCCTCTTATGTCGACTAAAACTCCTGCAGCTGCAGAAAGTCAAGTTCCAGCACTAGAAACAAGGACCAGTTAAGAGAAATCATTTTACCCCAAAAATATATTTCTTTGACATATTTTGAAGGGACCCTGCTAGATCTTTCCTAGTCTAGATCTAGGAAAGATTAGCTAAAGGTCTTCATTCTGAAGGCTCCCATATGTACACATTAAATAAATTTGAATGCCATTTCTTCTAAAAATCAATCTTCCTCATGTCAGTGATTTACAGTAAACCTTTCAGGGGCTAAGAGCCTTGTCCCCACAGTTTTGGTGCAGCAAGCAGGGTCTCCAATGCCACTCTGCTGTTTTGGAAGCTGCAGTGAAGGGAACCCAGGAAGCTGACAAGCTGGCAAAAAGGGTAAAAACTTCTTACCCGACAGGCTTCCAGCCTCTCTTTCTGTGCAATTTAGTTGAGCAGACGATAAAAGATCAGTTCTGTCTCAAAGGATTTTGTTTTTCTTTTCTATAAAGGCAAAGGGCTAGTGGGAGATCCTCAGTGTCCTCAGTATCACTGGGGACTCCTGCAATGCTACCCACAGGAGAGCCCCTCCACCCTTGTGGGCCCTAAAACTAACATAGGGAGCTGCTGAAAGATTGTACCATGGCACATATGTGAGGTTTTCTTCAAAACAGATTGTGTTGCAGGAACTGAAACACCACCAAAAACAATCCCATTAAATGTGGGCAAAGGGGCCGGGCCTGGTGGCTCACACCTGTAAGCCCAGCACTTTGGGAGGCCAAGGCAGGTGACTCACGAGGTCAGGAGTTCAAGACTAGCCTGGCCAACATGGTGAAACCCTGTCTCTACTAAAAATACAAAAAAATTAGCCGGGCATGGTGGCGGGTCCTTGTAATCCCAGCTACTTGAGAGGCTGAGGCAGGGAATTGCTTGAACCCAGGAGGTGGAGGTTGCAGTGAGTCGAGATCGTGCCACTGCACTCCAGCCTGGGCGACAGAGCAAGACTCCGTCTCAAAAAAAAAAAAAAAAAAAAAAAAAGTGGGCAAAGGACATGAACCAACATCTCTCTAAAGATGACATACAAATGACCAACACGTATATGAAAAAATGCTCAGAATCACAAATTATCAGAGAAATACAAATAAAAAACAATGCAATATCACTTCACCCAAGTTAGAATGGCTGTTATTAAAAGGACAAAAACCAACAGACGCTAGTGAGGATATGGAGAAAAATGAACTCTTAGATACTATTGGTGGGAATGTAAATTAGCACAGTCACTATGGAAAACAGTATGGACATTTCTCAGAAAACTAAAACTAAAACTATCATACAATCCAGCAATCCCAGTACCGGTTATCTATCCGAAAAGGAGGAAGTCAGTCTATCAAAGGGATTCCTGCACTTGTATGTTTATCACAGCACTGTTCACAATAGCCAAGATACTCATTCAACCTAAGTGTCCATCAGTGGGTGAATGGATAAAGAAAATGTGGTACATATACACAATGGAATACTATCCCTATATTATTACTATAAAAAAGAGTGAAATCATGTCTTTTGCAGCAACATGAATGGAACTGGAGAAAATTATGTTATTTGAAATAACCCAGGCATAGAAAGACAAATACCACATGCACTCAATCATGTGTGGGAGCTAGAAAAGTTGACCTCATAAAGGTAGAGAGTAGAAGGATAGACACTACAGGCTGGGAAGGGTGTGGGTGGGGGGAGATGAAGAGAGGGAGGTTAACGCATGAAAGCCTACAGTTAGATAAAAGGCATAAGTTCCATCATTCGATAGCAGAATAGAGTGACCATAACTAACAACCAAACATTGTGTATTTCAAAGTAGCTGGAAGGGAGGACTTGAATTGTTCCCAATGCATAGAAATGATAAATACTCCAAGCGATGGACCCTTCAAATACCCTGACCTTATCATTACACATTCTATGCCTGTAACAAAATACCTCATGTACTCCATAAACATGGAAAATATTATGTATCAATTAAAAAAAACTATTCCTAGAATGATGGTAAAAGGAGAACATTAGACAATTTCTGTTCAATGAGGATAGTCCAAATTTGAGTAAAAGTTTCAAAAAAATATTAATTTAAGGAGAAAAATTGGTAGAACACCTGATGAAGATAAAGATGGACAATGTGAGGTCTAAATATCCACAAGAAGTCAGAAAGTTAAGCAGAAAAAAAAAAGAAGACAATTACTTTCTACAGAAAAAGAAAAAAGGCTGTACAAGAAGGTAGGAAAGGTAATTACAGTGTACTATATATCCCATCTGTGAATAACATTTATACCTTTATGAGTATATCAACAACAGAAGATTTGTGATTTGTGATTTATGATTTGTGATTATATCAACAACCAAAGTTTTGCAGAACTCTATTGGGATGATGGGTAACGTGGCATACGAGCAGACAGATAACTAAATCTTCCACTTCATCTGCAATATTGGAAAGTCAACAGATAGTGCCTAAAATAAAAATTTTGTTTGTAGAGGCAGGGTCTCACTATGTTGCCCAAGATGGTCTCAAACTTTTGGCCTCAAGAGATCCTCCTGCCTCAGCCTCCCAAAGCACTGGGATTACTGGTGAGTGCCACCTTGCCCAGCCCCAGCCTTGTTTTTTTGTTTTTTTTTTTGTTTTTTTTTTTTTACTCTGGTAAAATATACATAGCATGAAGTTAAATCATTTTAACTTTAAGTGTAAAGTTCAGTGGCATTAAGTAAATTCTCAATGTTGTGCCACCATCACCACTATCGATGTCCAAAACTTTTTCATCATTTCAAACAAAAATTCTGTACCCATCAAGAAATAACTCCCCAGGCTCTGCCCTGCCCCCTTGTAACCTCTCTTCTACTTTTGTTTTATAGAGTTAGTTGCTTATTCTGGGTAACTCATATAAGTGAAACCATACCACATTTGTCCTTTTGCGTCTGGCTTATTTCACTTCGTTTTATTTCTTAAGTGTCAGCCATGTCACACATATAGAAAAAGTTCATCTTTTTCGCCAAATTATATTAATATATCACATGTATTCATTTATGTGCTGACGGACACTTAGGACATTTCCATGGACTCACATAATTTGATGCAAGTAGAAACATTTATAATTAACACAATATTTTATGAAAGGCTCATATGTAATAAGTACTATTAACTGAGTGCCCACTTTGCAGAACCTGTGTGAGGGGCTTTATATAAACTGAAGCACAACGAGCTTGGGAGGTGGGAATTGCTGTCAGTTTCACAGATGAGCAAGCTGAGTTTCTGTGTCTTCAGAGCTGAAAGTGCCTCACCCAAGTGTGCAGTCCAGAGCCTGTGCTCCTTCCACTGCACGCCCAGGTGTCGCTCATGAACACAGACACAGGGAGAAACACACACACGAACCCAGATGTCTACCCAGAAATATCTTCGTGAAGGGACAATAAACGCACAGGCAAACATTCAGACAAACTCACTTAGCAAATGTTTGTTGAGCCTGGACTCGGTGGCAGATTCTGATCTAGGGGATGCCAGGTGCAGATACATTTGCCAAGACACAGGGTCATGCCCCAGGGGCTCCTGGGCACACATGCACACACAGACCTGCGCGCTCACACCACAGTGCTCAGCCCGTTCCCAATCCCAGGACACTCCAGGGAGGACAGAGACTGTCACGCCAACACCCAACCCCTCCCACTGCAGGCTGAGCTGAGTTCCTGATATGCTGCCAGCCCAACAGCATAGCCAAGGGCCCTGGGTCTCTCTGCAGACCTGCCCTGACCCCACTTATGTGCATACACAGACACACAGACACACACAGACACACACAGACACAGACACACACACACACACACACACACACACACACGAAGGTGTGTGTCAGTTGTCCAGATACACATAAAGCTCATCCATGGCCAAGTCCCTGCCTCTGCCTGCTGGGACCAGACTCCACTGTCATGAGGATGACACCCACCGCCTGTGCTCTTCTGCTGGCTCTAATCTGCAGCGTCCAGCTGGGTGAGAAAGAAGCGGGCAGGGCTGAGAGGAAACAGGTGGCCCTGCTCCTTCACCGTCATTGCCATCCCAGGGTCTCAGCTGTCACTATTGCAGACATTTGCCAGGGGAGGTTTCAGTGAATTCTGACCTCTGCTGCTTTCTTATCTTGCCTCATCCACCACAGGGGATGCCTGCCTGGATTTCTATAAGTTGTTTGGGAGAGTTGCTTTTGCATACCCAGAGGACCTGAAGCGGGAGCTTGCTCAATACAACCCCAGCCCCCTGACAGAGGAGTCCTTCCTCAAGTTCTAGCAATGCTTTGCCTCTGTTTCATTCCCAGAAAGCCTTGCTGTTGTTGGAATATGGTAAGTGTGCCCTGGGGAACCTGCACATGCTGCACAGCCACAAGTCCCAGGCCTTATGCCCTGCACTTACCTTCCCTTCCTGCTTGCCATATCCTGAGCAGGAAGCCACATCCCAGGATGCTCATGATCAGATGAAGGTGCCCACAGGCCTCAACAGGGCCTCCTGCCTCACCTTTTTCAGCCCTGAACCCAGACACTGCAACCCTGCAAGGGGAGAACCTCTGCCCCTGGTGCCCGGGAGAGGCCCAGGGACACAGGGAACCACAATCACTACATCAATGCACTGATGATGAGCACACAGCAACACACACTCACACAGGATGCTGTTAACAGCAACACACACACTCCATGCCTGCACAGGCACATGCATACACGTGTGTTACACCAACACATGCAGAGTCACACTCAAGCAGGAGTCACAACCCACACTCACTGTGTTTGTCCAGAGCCTGGGATCCCCAAGAAATGGACAGACCTTAAGGAGCTCCTCTGACCTCTGGGACTGGGTGTTAATGATGGGTCTGGGGATGCTTTCACAGAGGCTCCCAGGTCCCCACTTTATTTCTTTCCCAACAGTCTAGGATCGTTGTCAGCGATGACTGCAAAGATGTGTAGATACTTCCTTCTGATCTGAGGACCCCTGCAACCCACCTGGCCCTCCCTTCCTCAGGGCTCCCCACACTCCTGGCCTGACTCTATCCATCAACAAACAATCCCCAGTAAACACCTGCAGCTCAGCTCTGTATTCTGGCGTCTCTGTGGGGTTGGCTGTGACCACATATGCAGTGTGTGACCAGGGTCTGCCTGCGAAATTACGTGACTGAGGAAGAACTCAACAGGAATGTGTACACATGTGTGTTTTCTGAGCCCAGGAAATCAACCCTAACACAATCCTCCATCTCCTCCTACCCAAGTCCTCCTTCTCTCTACCCCCAGCACAACCCCACCCCGCCTTGACCCAACCCCCCAGGACTCCAGATGCTGGAGGCTGGGAAACCTTGCCCTCCTGGCTGAGTCACAGGCCTCAGCGTCCCCATAAATACCTGCAGCTCAGCTCTGCTCCTCGGGCTGTTGGGACCAGGCAATCTGCATGAAGCCATGGGGGTCTCTGTGGCCATGTGACCATGACAGGGGACACTGAGGTCACAGGGAACGAGCACCACTCTCAGGCATGGTGCCTCTGTCCCACCTCACCCTTCAGTTGATTTCGTCCTCGCTGGAGGTCTCAGTGGCCTTCAATGCATTGACAAGGCTCCACCAACTCCCTCTGGGGAAGGTCCCTCCCCAAACCTCAGGCCCTTTCTGCAGGCTCCTTGGATCTCCTGGGCAATGGCCACCTGTGCCCATCAGCCCACACTGCCCTAAACTCCTCTGTCTCCCTCCCAGACTCTCACTGCCCCAAATATCCTTTCTCCTCTCCACTCATTCTTTTTGTTACCTCTCAGCTGTCATTTCCTCCCGGGTCAGACATTTCTGGCCCCCATCTCAGGCCACGTCTTCTCGCCTTTGTCCCCAGAATTGCCTTCACTTAACACACTGTCTGCCCCAGTCATCACCCATGCACTCAGCCAGGGAAGGAGTGTCTCCTGCCACAGGTCAGGCCTTTTCCCAGAGCCGGACACCCCATGAAGAACAAGGCAGATGAGGGCGCTGCTTCCCTGAAGTTCACATCCAAGGTGAAGAGGGGGTTGTAAAGCTGAAGAAAATTGTAATAGTGATGAGAACCACAAGGACCACCCAACAGGGAAATGTGATCGGGTGGGACTGGCTTGGGGTGCCACATTGGGTCAGGTGGTCCCAGAAGGCACGTGAGGAGACATCTCCCGAGTCCTGAATAACCTGAGGCAGCCACCAGGTGAAGGTCTGGGGCAGAGAATGCAGCATGATGAGAAAGGGTTTAGTGTGTCGGAGAAATGGCCAGTGTACCTGGAACAAGGGGCAGTGGGGAAGGGGGTCACGTTGGGCTGGAGCAGCTGGGTGGATGCGATGCCACTCCTGAGAGGTGAAGCCTGGGGAGAAGCAGGTTTAGGGCAAAGATCCGGAATCCCACACTGGCCTGGATAAGTTTCCAATCAAGATATCCATTAGCCATCCAGGAGGATGAGACACAGAAACTGTGAGACACGCTAGTTTGGAGCTCATGGGAGACTCAGGCCTGGAGACAAAAATATATGCTTTCAACATGTAGGTGGAATTTAAATCCATGGAGATAAAGACAAGAATAAATCTCATGTTATTTAATTCAGACACACATAACATTCAGCTTTTAACGATCAAAGGCCACGAGTTTCAACTATAAGTTAATGAAAACAGTTAAAAATGTCCTGAGAAATTTTGGACAAAGAAGCTGTTGATGTAAGTTCTCTGAGGATGCAAAAGCATTTCACATGTGTTTGAAAGAATAAGGAAAATGTTAGAGAATATTTGTCTGGTTACCATGAGTCTACCCATAATCTGTAAGTTGTCATGAAATTGAATAATTTCTTAAAATTACAATGTCCTTTAATCAAAACATATTTATTGCCAAGCTATGCTTTTTAAATTAATTTTGTTCATATTTATCTAGATGGCAAATCCACAGAATATATTATGTTAAATTATGATCTTTGTATTAACGTTAAAATTTTGTGATGTGTCTTTTTCCTTTTTTCCACAGTTTTAATATATTACTCTTTAATATTTTTAAACTTCATACTTTTTTGGTTATTAAAATGAATTTTTTAAATGCAAAAAGAACATGTTGCATTATTTATTTTAGAAATTCCCCTCTTTGTGTTGGACTGCAAATTCAGTTTCTCTTTGGATTGTTCTTTTTTATTTTATGATTTATTTTATTTATTTATTTATTTATTTTGAGACGGAGTCTTGCTTTGTCGCCCAGGCTGGAGTGCAGTGGTGCGATCTCAACTCACTGCAACCTCCGGCTCCCGGGTTCAAGCGATTCTCCTGCCTCAGCCTCCCAAGTAGCTGGGATTACAGGCATGTGCCACCACACCCAGCTGATTTTTTGTATCTTTCTTTAGTAGAGACAGGGTTTCACCATGTTGGCCAGGCTGGTCTTGAACTCCTGACCTCGTGATCCGCCCACCTCGGCCTCCCAAAGTGCTGGGATTACAGACGTGAGCCACTGTGCCCAGCCTGGATCTTTCACAACTAGGACTGACACTGTATGTAAAAGTTCCGGAACAGTACAGAAGGTAAACAGTTTTTATGTATAACTTCAAAAAGGGAAGGAAAAAAGAGAGAAATCCTTTGACTTCCACGTGCCCATCTCAAGACATTCCACTCACAGATTTGAGGCTCTGGGTTCTGGGTTTGGAGTTTCAGTGTTAACCTGAACAGAACTGACACACACACATAAAGATGAGTGTAATGTGTAATTATTATTCCTCTTGCTGGTCACCACCATCACTTTCGATTTCTCTTTTTTTGTGTGAATTTACTTAAAAGAAAAAAAAACTTTTTGCAATAACTATTTGGAGTTTAAAAATCAATAAACCGGCCAGGTGTGGTTGCTTATGCTTGTAATCCCAGCACTTTGGGAGGCAGAGATGGGTGAATCATTTGAGGTCAGGAGTTCGAGACCAGCCTGACCAACATGGTGAAACCCCGTCTCCACTAAAAATACCAAAAAAATTTTAGCTGGGTGTGGTGGCAGGTGCTTGTAACCTCCGCTACTCGGGAGGCTGAAGCAGGAGAATCACTTGAACCTAGGAGCTGAACAGGCAGACCCAGCCTGATGCCCTTGGGACCTGATCCCACTGCCCTCTTCCTGTGCACCCCAGCTTTCCACTCTGTTGTGCCCCAATCTGTCAAGTTTCTTTTTGTCTCTGATCTCTGCTAGGGTGATTCCAATGCCTGACCATCTGTTCTTCTTCTTCAAGTCAAGGGTGAACCCTCAGCCCCACCATTTCCTCTTCCTCCACTCCTAAGTCATCCCCTAAGTGTCCTGAGGGCAATAACCGGGGCGTAAATGCCCTATGTGTCTCCAGCATGGGCTCTGCATGACTTCACTAGACACTGAGTCACACTGGTTGAGGTCAGAGGACAGAAAATCTAGCGAGAGAGGGACTGGAGCAAGAGGTGGAGCGTCTGACCCTTGTGGGGTGGTTCAGCTGCTGGGGCTGAGCATACCGGAGACCTGGAAACTCACCAGGCCTGACATTTACCTTTCTGCTTTAATCCCAAGAAACCTATGGAGATTGGGGATCTTCCAGCCGAGCCAACGGCAAAGATGAGGATTTCCTGGTGCCCCTTGGCCAAACCTCCTGCTCACCTGGCTGAGCCTGACTCATACCAGTATGTGGACCTGTGGTGTGGGTGGCAGCCACATCACTGCGGAATTGGGCTTCATCCAGGGTTGATTTTCCATGGTTAGATTTTTCCTCATAACAGTAGAGGCTGTTATGAACAATATGACAACAAATTAGAACACCTAGCAAAAATGTATAAATTCCTGGAAAAATATAACCTACCGGGATTGAGCCGAAAAGAAATCAAACTCCTGAACAGACCAATTACAAGTCAGAAATTAAATCTGTAATAAAATATCTCCTATCACAGAAAAGTCTAGATTCCAATGGCTTCATTGCAGAACTCAACCAAACGTTTAGGAAGAAATAACAGCAATTCTTCCTAAACTCTTCCTGAAAATTGAAGAGTACGGAATTCTTCCAAATTCATTTTACAAGACCAACATTATCCTGATACCAAAACCAGAGAAGCACACACAACAACAGAAAACTATAGGCCAATATCCATGATAAACACAGATGCAAACATTCTCCACAAAATACTAGCCAACCAAATTCAGCAGTACATTAAAGTAATCATTCCCCATGACCAAGTGGGATTCAACCCAGGGATGCAAGAATGTTTCCAGATACACAAATCAATAAAAGCAACACACTACACCAACAGAATGAGTACAAGAAGCATATGATCATCTCATTAGGTGTGGAAAAAGCATGATAAAATTCAATAGTCCTTAATGGTAAAAACTCTTAACAAACTGTGTATAGAAGGAATGTAGCCCAACACAGTAAATCAATGTATGGCAAACCCACAGCCAACATCATAGTGAATAGGGAGAAGTACAAAGCTCTTCCTCTGAGATCTGGAACAAGGCAAGAATGTCCACTTTCACCACTTTTATTCAATATAGTACTGGAAGTCCTAGCCAGAGTGATTAGGCAAGAAGAAATAAAGGGCATCCAGACTGGAAAGAAGGATGTCAAATTGTCTCTGCTTGCAGAGGACACGATCTTATGTACAGAAAACCCCTAAAGCACCACCAAAAATCTCTTAGAAAGAAAACCCCTAAAGCACCACCAAAAAAACTCTTAGAACTGATCAACGAATTCATTAAAGATGAAGGATACAAAATCAACGTATTAAAAGCAGTACCATTCCTGGACATCAACAACAAATTAGAAAAGAAATCGAGAAAGCAATCTTATATGAAATAGCTATTAAAAAAAGAAATGCTTCAGAATAAATTTAACAAAGAAGGTAGAAGACCTCTACCAAAACAACTATAAAATACTGAGGAAATCAATTGAAGAAGACACCAAAAAATGAAAACATATCCCATGTTCATAATTAGAAGGATCACTATTGTGAAAATGACCATGTTACCAAAAGTGATCTGCAGATTCAATGAAATTCCTATCAAAATATCAATGATATCTTCACAGAAATAGAAAAAATAATCCTAAAATTTATATGAAACTACAAAAGACTCTGAGTGGCCAAAGCAATCCTGAGCAAACAAAACAAAGCTGAAAGCATGGCATAACTTGACTTCAAAATAGACTACAAAGCTATAGTAAACAAAACAGCATGGTACTTGCATAAAAACAGACACATAGACCAGTGAAACTAAATAGATAACTCAGAAACACATCCAGCTGTTTACAACCAAGTGATTTTCAACAAAGGCACCAAGAACATTTACTGGTGAATGGACAGTCTCTTCAGTCAATGGTGCCTGAAAAACTGGATATCCGTATGCCAAAAAAAATGAAACTAGACCCCTATCTCTCATTATATTGATAAAATCAACTCGAAATAGTTTACAGACTTAAAAGCTGAAACTATGAAACTGCTTGAAGAAAACATAGGGGAAATACTACAATACTGATCTGGGCAAAGAGTGTATAGTGAAGAACCCAAAAGCACAGGCAACAAAAGCAAAAATAGGATAACTGGATTATATTAAACTAAAAAGCTATTGCACAGCAAATGAAACAATCAACAGAGAGAAGAGACAACTTGCAGAGAAGAGACAACTTGCAGAATGGCCAAAAAAATTGTAAACTATTCATTCAACAAGGGATTAAGATCCAGAATACACAAGAAACTCAAACAATTCAATGTCAAGAAGAAAAACTACAAGTAATCTGATGTAAAAATGGATAAATTAGCTGAATAAACATCTCTCATAAGATGACACATACATATGGCCAACAGGTATTTTTAGATGAGATCTGGCACGTTCAGGGTGGTATGGCCATAGACACCAACAGGTATTTTTAAAATGCTCAACATCACTCATCATCAGGAAAATGCCAATCAAAACCACATTCAGATATCACCTCACCCCAGTTAGAATGGCTACTATGAAAAAGACAAAAGATACCAAACGCTGGTGAGGAAGCAAAGAAGAGGGAACTCTGGTGTGCTGTTGGTGGGAATGTAAATTAGAACAGTTATTATGAAAAACAGTATGAGGGTTCCTCAAAAACTAAAAATAGATTTACCATATGATCAAGAATCCCATTACTGGGTACACATCCAGGCAAAAGGAAATCAGTATATCAAAGAGATATCTGCACTCTCATGTTTATTGCAGCACTGTTCACAATGGACAAAACATGGAATCGACTTAAGTGTCCATGAACACGTGAACAGATGAAAAAAAATGTGGTATACATACACAATGAAATAGGATTTAGCTATGAAAAAGAATAAAATGCTGTCATTTGCAGCAACATGGATGAGCTTGGAGTCATTGTTTTAAGCAAAAGAAGCCAGGTACAGAAGGATGAATCCTATGTGTTCTCACTCACATGTGGAAGTAAAAAAGCTGCTCTCATAGAAGAAGAGTGTAGAATAATGGTTACTTGAGGCAGGAAGTAGTTGGGGGAGGTGGGACTATAGCCAAAAGTTGATGGATGGATACAAAAGTGCAGCTAGATAGGAAGACTAACTTCTAGTGTTCTATAGGATTGTAGGGTGAGTGTAATATACAATTTATTGTATATTTTCAAATACCTAGAAGAGCAGATACTGCATGTTCCCAATACGAAGTAATGATCAATGTTTGAGGAGGTGTATATGCTAATCACCCTGCTTTGGTCATTACACATTGTATGCATGTATTGAAATACCACTGTAACCCATAAATATATACAATTATTACTGCATCCATTTAAAATAATAATAAAAGCAAAAGAAGAAAAGAAAAAAAGCTACAGTCTAATATCCACAATTAAATCTTCAATAACATAGTAGAAAACCAAGTTCAACACACATTAACAGAATTATACAATATGACCAAGTAGACTTTATCCCTGAAATAAAAGAATAGTTCAACACATGCCAATGAATCAATATGACATTCCACATTAACAAAATAAAGAATAAAAACCACAGGATCACCTTAAAAGATGCAGAGAAAGCACTTGATAATATTCAATATCCATTCATACTGAAACCATCACCAAAATAGATACTGAAGGAACTTACCTCAACACAAATATGGTAATATATAAAAACCCACTGCTAACATCATAATCAATAAAGAGAAATTGAAATCATTTCCTCTAAGATCAGGAACAAGATGAGGATGCCTACTCGTACCACTCGTATTTAACATGGTACTGGAAGTCCCACCCAGAGCAACGAGGCAAGAAAAAAAAAGCCATCTAAATCAGAAAAAAAAGAAGTAAAACTTTATCTCTTAGAAGATCACATGATGTTGGTTGTGAGATGTGTTCATTATTTTGATTATTATGGTAGTTGTTCTGATTTTTACAAGTGTCAAAAGTTACAAATTATATACTTTAGACAAACATACTTGTTATATGTAAAATATATTTCAATAAAGCTATTAAAACAAAAAAATTAATTTAATAAACATATACAAGATTTTAAAATAAAATTAGAATCAACTTAATAGGTTAATGAAGAGAGAAACATCAAAAAGAAACATTTAGTTAATACTTTAAATGATACTATTTAAAGCTCAACTTCCCCAAAACTCAACTGTTTATGTAAAGCTAATGAGAGACCATCAGGCTAGGATAGAGGAGCCTTAATTTGGCCAAAGTACAAACAAAAGTTACAAATTATACACTTTAGATAAACATACTTGTTACAGGTCAATTATATGTTAATAAAGCTATTAAAACAAAAAATTAAATTTAACAAACATATTAAATAATTGCCAGCAATTATTCTGGCAGTCACACAGATATGCAACTTCTCCAGTTACTTCTGCAGATACCATCACTATTTTAGAACCTGAGATTGGCCTTTTGAGAAGTCTTTTCAGGTTTTTTTGTATGTCTAACACCAATGGCTCCACCTAGATTCACCAGCTGTTCCTGTGGCCCCACCCAGAAGGAACTGCATGCAAAAAGACAGCTTCAACTCTCTATGAATTCATCTCCAATCCAAGAAATCAGCACTCCACATACCCTAGCCCCCAGCCCACCAAGAGTCTTTGAAAAACCCCTAGCCTCTGGGCCTTCAATGAGATCACTTTGATGTTAACTCTGTTTCCCCCATGGCATGGCCAGCCTCCCATCAATTAAACCCTCTGCAATGCCACGGTCTCCCTGAATTGATTTGTTTGTGCAGCAGGCAGGAAGAATCCTTCGGGCACTTACACCACTCCAATCTTATGTAAATTCTTCCAAAGAATAAACAATGAGGGTACATTCTCTGTACCAATCAGTGTCCCTGCAGGAAGGAAATGGCACACTCATGCAGGACATAGGACAAGAGTTTAATGAATGGCTGTAAACAAAAAATAAAATTCTAAGGCCCCCAACCATCTGAATGGACCCCTCCTCTTGGCCAATGGCATTCCAAAGTTAACCTGAAAAACTAGTTCAGGTGAAGATGGAAGGAGGAGTCAGACCTGCCTCATTATACCCAATTCCCTTTTGGAATTCAGGAAAAGCTGACCAAGGTTTAACATCAACACAGACCTTAAGTCTGATAAGAAACATTTACAAATCTATTCGTTCTGAAGCCTGCTACCTGGAGGCTTAATCTGCAGGATAAAACCTTGGTCTCCACAAACCCTTACCACAACCCAGGCATTCCTTTTTATTGACAATAACTCTTTGAACCAATTGCCAATCAGAAAAATTTTAAAACTACCTAAGACCTGGATGCCCCCCCAACCCCACTTCAAGTTGTCCTCTTGCCCTTCCAGATGGAACCAATGTAAATCTTACACGCACTGATTGATGTATTATGTCTCCCTAAAGTGTGTAAGAGCAAGCTGTACTCTGACCACCTTGGGCACATGTCATCAGGACCTCCTGAATCTATGTCATGGGCAGATCCTTAGCCTTCGAAAAATATTTTCTAAGTTGATTGAGACCTCTCTCAGATACCTTCTGGTTCACAGGCTTATGGCTGTGCTGTGAGCAAAGTTAAGGGAAACCAATAAGAAAAGTGAGAAACCCAAGGCAAGCAAGAGCAACATATCTAACGAGAGGCAAGGAAAAGGAGCCATTTCTACAATCCAGTAAGACATGTAACTGCAGGAGAGGCCAAGGTCACAGGAGGAATGCAGCCACTGCCAAACTGTAGCCCTGAAAAAAACCAAAGGGCAACATTGCCCAACAATGCAATCCAGAAAAGATCAGGTCCTGGGGTACAAAGCAGGCTATGGAATGAAGACTAACCCTGTTGGAATAAATATACATCACCTCTACATCCCCCAATTCATAATGAGCTGGTATCATGTTGACACCAAAATCCAACCACTCAAGGACATAGACAAAATGTTCTATGCAAGATATTGGCAAAGTGAATGAAATTACATATAAAGAAAACTATATGCTGATTAAGGAGGATTTACACCAGCAACGCACGGTAGGTTTCAAATTACAAAATTATTTGATGTAATTTAACACATTCAGAGCCTAAGGGAAAAAACTGTATGCATATTTCATTAAATGCAAGTGAGATATGTTATAAAATTCATCTTTTCTTGATTTAAAAAATTCCTTTACAGAGGGTGCAGTGGCTCATGCCTATAGTTCCAGCACGCTGGGAGGCCGAGGTGGGCAGATCACTTGAGCCAGGAGTTCAAGACCATGTTGGGCAATATGGCAAAATGTTGTCTCTACAAAAATTACAAAAATTAGCCAGATGTGGTGGCACCCACCTAAAATCCCAGCTACTCGGGAGGCTGAGGTGGGAGGATCGCTTAAGCCCAGGAGGATGAGGCTGCAGTGAGCCATGACTGCACCACTGCACTTCAGCCCAGGTAACAAAGCAC
This sequence comes from Homo sapiens, assembly GCF_000001405.40. NCBI lineage: Eukaryota > Metazoa > Chordata > Mammalia > Primates > Hominidae > Homo > Homo sapiens. The sequence goes on from NC_000019.10 coordinate 34,656,592, forward strand.
AACCTTGTCTCAAAGAAAATTTAAAAATTCTCTTAGAAAATAGAAGTAGCATAATATATCTTAATCTAATGAAGACCACCTACGAAAAAAATCTGATGTTAAACTTCTTATGTAATGGTGAAATATCAAAAGCTATCCTTTAGAATCTGAACGAAGGGTAACCAGAAATACTTTTAAAATGTTGTATAACTTTCTTATAAGCCTAAAATTATGTGAAATTTAACAATTTATGTAAGATAAAATGCTATCAAGAGCAAAAGAAAGAAACAAGCAAAAAAGAAATTCATCTTGAGTTCAGATACTAAACAAAAATGCCTACTTTCACCATTGCTATCTAACATTGTACTAGAGATTCTACAAGTGGAATAAAGCAAGACAAGTAAAATATATGAAGATTGAGGAGGAAAAAGCAAATATGCATTAGATATATTTATATAAATAATCTTAGAGCATCTACAGAGAATATATTAAAGAGTTTTTGAATGCTGAATACGAAACAATATAGAATAATTATACTTTTCTATATGGCAGCACGAACATTTATAAACTGACACTTTAAGAGAATGCAATATTTACAGTGGCATTAAAAAGAACAGATACCTTGGAATAAATCAATTAATACATGTATAAGAGCACCATAGAAATACATATGTATTACCAACATTAACCTTAAATGTAAATGGGCTAAATGCTCCAATTAAAACATAGACTGGCAAATTGGATAAAGAGTCAAGACCCATCAGTGTGCTGTATTCAGGAGACCCATCTCATGTGAAAAGATGCACATAGGCTCAAAATAAAGGGATGGAGGAAGATCTACCAAGCAAATGGAAAGCAAAAAAAAGCAGGGGTTGCAATCCTAGTCTCTGATAAAACACACTTTAAACCAACAAAGATCAAAAGAGACAAAGAAGGCCACTACATAATGGTAAAGGGATCAATTCAACAAGAAGAGCTAACTATCCTAAATATATATGCACCCAATGCAGGAGCACCCAGACTCATAAAGCAAGTCCTTAGAGACCTACAAAGAGACTTAGACTCCCACACCATAATAATGGGAGACTTTAACACCCCACTGTCAGTATTAGATCAATGGAGAGAAGATTAACAAGGATATCCAGGACTTGAACTCAGCTCTGCACCAAGCGGACCTAATAGACATCTACAGAAATCTACACTCCAAATCAACAGAATATACATTCTTCTCAGCACCACATCGCACTTATTCTAAAATTGACCACATAATTGGAAGCAAAACACTCCTCAGCAAAGGTAAAAGAACAGAAATCACAACAAACTGTCTCTCAGACCAAAGTGCAATCAAATTAGAACTCAGGATTAAGAAACTCACTCAAAACTGCACAAATACATGGAAACTGAACAACCTGCTACTGAATGACTACTGGGTAAATAACAAAATTAAGGCAAAAATAAAGATCTTCTTTGAAACCAATGAGAACAAAGAGACAACATACCAGAATCTCTGGGACACATTTAAAGCAGTGTGTAGAGGGAAATTTATAGCACTAAATGCCCACAAGAGAAAGGAGGAGAGATCTAAAATCGACACCCTAACATCACAATTAAAAGAACGAGAGATTCAAGAGCAAACAAATTCAAAGACTAGCAGAATGCAAGAAATAACTAAGATCAGAGCAGAACTGAAGGAGATAGAGATACAAAAAAACCCTTCAAAAAAAATCAATGAATCCAGGAGCTGGTTTTTTGACAAGATCAACAAAATAGATAGACTGCTAGCAAGACTAATAAACAAGAAAAGAGAGAAGAATCAAATAGATGCAATAAAAAAATGATAAAGGGGATATCACCACTGATCCCACAGAAATATAAACTACCATCAGAGAACACTATAAACACCTCTACACAAATAAACTAGTAAATCTAGAAGAAATGGATAAATTCCTGGACACATACGCTCTCCCAAGACTAAACCAGGAAGAAGTTGAATCTCTGAATAGACCAATAACAGGTTCTGAAATTGAGGCAATAATTAATAGTCTGCCAACCAAAAAAAGTCCAGGATCAGATGGATTCACAGCCGAATTCTACCAGAGGTACAAAGAGGAGCTGGTACCATTCCTTCTGAAACTATTCCAATCAACAGAAAAAGAGGGAATCCTCCCTAACTCAGTTTATGAGGCCAGCATCATCCTGATACCAAAGCCTGGCAGAGACACAACAACAACAACAACAACAACAAAAAAAAAAAAAAAAAAAAAAGAGAGAGAATTTTAGGCCAATATCCCTGATGAACATCCATGCGAAAATCCTCAATAAAATACTGGCAAACCGAATCCAGCAGCACATCAAAAAAGCTTATCCACCATGATCAAGTTGGCTTCATCCCTGGGATGCAAGGCTGGTTCAACATACACAAATCAATAAACGTAATCCATCACATAAACAGAACCAATGACAAAAACCACATGATTATCTCAATGGATGCAGAAAAGGCCTTCGATGAAATTCATCAGCCTTTCATCCTAAAAACTCTCAATAAACTAGGTATTGATGGGACGTATCTCAAAATGATAAGAGCTACTTATGATAAACCCACAGCCAGTATCATACTGAATGGGCAAAAACTGGAAGCATTCCCTTTGAAAACCAGCACAAGAGAAGGATGCCCTCTCTCACCACTCCTATTCAACACAGTGTTGGAAGTTCTGGCCAGGGCAATAAGGCAAGAGAAAGAAAGAAAGGGTATTCAATTAGGAAAAGAGGAGTCAAATTGTCCCTGTTTGCAGATGACATGATTTTATATTTAGAAAACCTCATCGTTTCAGCCAAAATCTCCTTAAGCTGATAAGCAACTTCAGCAAAGTCTCAGGATACAAAATCAGTGTGCAAAAATCACAAGCATTCCTATACACCAATAATAGACAAACGGAGAGCCAAATCATGAGTGAGCTCCCATTCACAATTACTACAAAGAGAATAAAATACCTAGGAATCCAACTTACAAGGGATGTGAAGGATGTCTTCAAGGAGAACTACAAAGCACTGCTCAGTGAAATAAAAGAGGACACAAACAAATGGAAGAACATTCCATGCTCATGGGTAGGAAGAATCAATATCGTGAAAATGGCCATACTGCCCAAGGTAATTTATAGATTCAATGCTATCCCCATCAAACTACCAATGACTTTCTTCACAGAATTGGAAAAAACTACTTTAAAGTTCATATGGAACAAAAAAAGAGCCTGCATAGCCAGGAAAATCCTAAATAAAAAGAACAAAGATGGAGGCATCATGCTACCTGACTTTATACTACAATGCTACAGTAACCAAAATAGCATGGTACTGGTAGCAAAACAGATATATAGACCAATGGAACAGAACAGAGCCCTCAGAAATAACACCACATGTCTACAACCATCTGATCTTTGACAAACCTGACAAAAACAAGCAACAGGGAAAGGATTCCCTATTTAATAAATGGTGCTGGGAAAACTGGCTAGCCATATGTAGAAAGCTCAAACTGGATCCCTTCCTTACACCTTATACAAAAATTAACTCAAGATGGATTAAAGACTTAAATGTAAGACCTAACACCATAAAAACCCTAGAAGAAAACCTAGGCAATACCATTCAGGACCTAGGCATGGGCAAAGACTTTATGACTGAAACACCAAAAGCAATGGCAACAAAAGCCAAAATAGACAAATGGGATCTAATTGAACTAAAGAGCTTCTGCACAGCAAAAGAAACTATCATCAGAGTGAACAAGCAACCTACAGAATTGGAGAAAATTTTCGTAATCTACCCATCTGACAAAGGGCTAATATCCAGAATCTACAAAGAACTTAAACAAATTTACAAGAAAAAAGCAAACAACCCCATCAAAAAGTGGGCAAAGGATATGACCAGACACTTCTCAAAAGAAGACATTTATGCAGCCAACAGATATATGAAAAAATGCTCATCATCACTGGTCATCAGAGAAATGCAAATCAAAACCACAGTGAGATACCAGTTAGAATGGCGATCATTAAAAATCAGGAAACAACAGATGTTGGAGAGGATGTGGAGAAATAGGAATGCTTTTACATTGTTGGTTGAAGAGTAAATTAGTTCAACCATTGTGGAAGACAGTGTGGCGATTCCTCAAGGATCTAGAACTAGAAATACCATTTGACCCAGCGATCCCTTTACTGGGTATATACCCAAAGAATTATAAATCACTCTACTATAAAGACACATGTACACATATGTTTATTGCAGCACTATTCACAATAGCAAAGACTTGGAACCAACCCAAATGTCCATCAATGATAGAATGGATTAAGAAAATGTGGCACATATACACCATGGAATACTATGCAGCCATAAGAATGGATGAGTGCATGTCCTTTGCAGGGACATGGATGAAGCTGGAAACCATCATTCTCAGCAAATTATCACAAGGACAGAAAGCCAAACACCACATATTCTCACTCATAGGTGGGAGTTGAACAATGAGAACACATGGACACAGGGCAGGGAATATCACATGTCGGGGCCTGTCGGGGGTGGGGGGCTGGGGTAGGGATACCATTAGGAGAAATACTTAATGTAGGCGATGAGTTGATGGGTGCAGTAAACCAACATGGCACATGTATACCTATGTAACAAACCTGCATGTTATGCACATGTACCCTAGAACTCAAAGTATAATAAAAAAATAAATAAATAAACGTGCAATGACATTAAAAAAAAGAAATACATATGTAAAAAATTATTGTGATAAAATAAGGGAGACCAAAATAAATGGCAACATGTACCAGTGTTATGGAGAGGAATATTCAATATTATCAAAATTTCAGTTCTCTCCAAATTGAATTCAAAAAGCTGTTTCTAAACATCTGGCACTGTAGAGGGCCAAAACCAGCAAAGACATTCTAGGAACAAGGCCAAAGTAGAAGGACTCCCTCTGCCAGAGTCAAGAACTAAGTAAAGCTTTAGTGTGTACTCAACGCAGTGCCACACTGGCATAGAGACAGACAAAGAGACCAGCGACATGAAATAGGGAACCCAGAAGCAAACTATGTCCCTCTATGGGGCACTTGGTTGTTGACAAAAGGGACACTGAGAATAATGGAATAAGGGCCATCTTCTCTTAAACCAAGCTTGTCCAACCTGCGGCCTGCAGGCCCCATGCAGCCCAGGACAGCTTTGAATGTGGCCCAACACAAATTTGTAAACTTTTTAAAAACATTATGAGTTTTTCTGTGATTTTTTTTTTTAGCTCATTAGCTATTGTTAGTGTTAGTGTATTTTTTTTTAATTTAATTTAATTTTTTTGAGATGGAGTCTTGCTCTGTCACCAGGCTGGAGTGCAGTGGCCTGATCTCGGCTCATCGTAACCTCTGCCTCCCAGGTTCAAGCAATTCTCCTGCCTCAGCCTCCCAAGTAGCTAGGACTACATGTGTGTGCCACCACTCCAAGCTAATTTTTTTGTATTTTTAGTGGAGAGGAGCTTTCACCATGTTGGCCAGAATGGTCTTAATCTCTTGATCTCGTAATCCACCTGCCTTGGCCTCCCAAAGTGCTGGGATTACAGGTGTGAGCCACCGCGCCGGGCCATGTTAGTGTATTTTATGTGTGACCCAAAACAATTCTTCTTCTTTCAGTGTGGCCCGTGGAAGCCAAAAGATTACACAACCCTGTCCTAAACTGGGACAGCAGGGAATCTATATAATTAAAAAGAAAGGGAGTTCTTACCCACACTTCACGTAAAAGTCCATTCCATGTACTTTAGAGACCTCAATGGGCAATCCAAAACAATAAAGACTTTACAAATCTTTATGTAGAAGAATATCTTTATGACCATGACATGAGAATCTTTTTTCCAAAGGAATAAAACCATATTAAAAATAACAATAAAGAGATAAAAATGTTTTTTAAACAACACACACACACACACACACACACAACATGAAGCATAAAGTATAACATTGATAAATTTAATTATATTAAACTTTAAACTTCTGCTCATTAAAAACCATAAGGAAAATACAAAGCTGATCCACAGTGTTGGGGAACACATTTCCCACAAATAACCAAACAAGGGCTCTTATCAAGAAAATATAAAGAACTCCTTTAGCACATTGGGAGGCCAAGGCACAGGAGTTCAAGACCAGCCTGGGCAACATGGTGAAATCCGTCTCTACTGAAAATACAAAAATTAGCCAGGCACAGTGGTATGTGCCTGTAGTTCCAGCTACTCAGGAGGCTGAAACAGGAGGATCGCTTGAGCTCAGGAGGTTGAGGCTGCAGTGAACCGAGATCATGCCACTGTACTTTAGCCTGGGCGGCTGAGAGAGACCCTGTCTCCAAAAAAACAAACAAACAAACAAACAAACAAAAAAAAACAATAAAAGTGCGGAAAAAGCCTTCTACTCACATTTCACTAAATGACTGATAAACATATGAAGAGGCCTCAACCTCATTACACCACAAAATGCAAATGGAAACCCAATGAGATGCCGACGCCCCTGACACCTGCCTACCAGATGGTTCACACGACACTGACAATGCCACCTTGTGGCGATCTAGAGCAGTAGGAAATACTACAGTGTGGCTGGGGGTGTGCATTGTACAACTGCTTCAAAGGTTTCCTGTTTCCTAGAACAGTCAAGAATATGAATATCTTATCACCTAAAATTCCACACATGGGCACAAACCCTAACAAATGTGAATGTAAATGTGTGCCAGGACATCCACACATAAAAGCTCCCTATAGTGTTGTTCATGATAATAGAATCAGTACACAATGGCAGATTTTTTAAACCATAAAGACAGCAATGTGGATTGATAGCAACAGCAATGTTGAACAAAAAAGTAAGATACAGGAGAACACACACGATGACTACGGCCATAAAAATTATAAAAAGCCAAAATTAATGTTTACTGTATGTGCAGATGTTCAGGTAGCAAAACCATCCACTAAAATAACAGAAAACCACAAAGTCAGGACAGGGGTCAACTCTAGGCAGTGAGGCTGGTGCCGGGAGGAGCTCACCATGACCTTTCTTCAACTGCAGGGGTATTGTGAGGTTTGCATCACAGACATCACTTAAGATACAGTTTATATGGTGTGTCCTAGTCTGTATTTGTGTCATATGTCACAATAGAAAGATGAGAGGCCATGGGAGGAGGGAAAGGGAGAAAGGGAAAGTGAAGGGGAGGATAAATGAATAAAGAAAAAGAGACAAGAAGATGGAGATGCAGAGGGGAAAGAGAGAAAGAACAGGGCAGGGAGGAAGAGACAGGAGAGGACTGGGGGGAAGAGACAATGGGGAGAAGGAGGGAGTGTGAGCTGCACCCGTGTAACCTGCCTGCCCCAGCTCCTCCACAGCCGGGTTGTCCTCCCCGCCCACCCCACCCCTCCCCCATGGGACACCTCTGCTAAGGGACTACTCCCCACTCAGCACGCTGTTGACCTCCAGCCCCTATCCAGAAAGTCTCATCTCCCAAAACCCTGCCCACAACCCTAAGGTGAACCCACAGTTGAGGGAGCTCCTCCCCTAGTGTCAACCTGGCTCCCACCTCCCAGTGCGGGAGAAAAGCAAAGCAGTTGAGCTGGGAGGCTTTGGGGACAGGCCATTCTCCAGGAGCCAGCCTGGCCACAGGGCCAACGGTCCCTGGCAGAGAACGACAGGGCTCAATAAGCAGAGGCCATGCAGGCCCCAAGGCCAGACTACAGTGGGAGCCAGTGTGGCCAGGTGCCCAGAAATCCCAACAGCACCACTGGGTCCCTTAGAAGATGCTCAAGTTCCCAAAACTGGGGGTTAGAGGCAGGGGATTAGTCAGACCTCACCTTGGACAGCAGCCCCAGCCCTGCCCAGGGACACCAGGGCATGAGGGTGTCACAAGCAAGTAGGTGGCTCAAGGCCAGGTGCCTGTGCCTTGGCTGAGGGACGTGGCTCAGGTCAGTTTGCTCCATGACTCCCTGGGTCCCACAGACCCCACTCCACGCTCTACTGCAGCCCAGTGCACTGCATGGTGCTCTGCTGTGCCAGGTTGTGTTGTGTCCAGTTGTGCTGTGTTGTGTGCTGTGTCACTGTTCCAGCAAACTCCTTGTCCGGAAGCTCTAGGGCCCCGGCCACTGAGAAGCCCTAGCCCTGAGTCAGCCTCAGGCAAGGCCTGCATCCCTGCTGCCTCCCTTTCCCTGGCTCAGCCTTGCAGCTCCCGCTGACCCCTCTGCCACTCACCCACCCATCACCCCCACTTAGAGGCCAGGAAGCAGCGGGAGCTGTATCTCCCTCCCAACCACCCCCTCCCCTCTTTCTTCATCCTCCAGGACATGCATTTCTAACAGAAACCAGAAATCCTGCAAATGCCCTGACCCATCCACTGACCCCAGGGCACCTCCTGCCCAGGTGTTTGGCACAGGGGACGCCCCCACACCGGCCCCATCATGTACCTGGTGGCCCCAAGGCTGCAGCACGGGATGCCTTTCTGACCCTGGACCTGCCCTGGGCCCTGCTCTCTGCCACCGCTCACAGGACAAACCCAAACAATTGCTGTCCTCCCTCTGAAATGGTGGCCATGAGAGTGCAGGCCTTGCGTCCCTCCTGTGCCCAGGCCCCTCACCCACACACTCTGGCTGGCTGCATCTGTTGTCCAGAGCCCTTGGTCACAAGGCGTGCAGCCTGGACCACAGTGATGACAAGGGAGGCCCTTCCTAAGCCTAGAGATGGTCTAAACCTTCATGGAACTGCTGGTCCCAGTGCCAGCCAGAGTCCCAAGTGAGGCTGAGGTGGCTCAAAGTGGTGCACGGGAGATGTCTGATATCAACCCTCTCCTGGAGGTAGATGATGTCTCCAGCCTGGTGACTCCCTGGCCACCAGCCACCACCATCCCCCATGTCCCCAAGGCTGAAAGTGCAAGCTTGCCCTGGCCCTGGCACAGAAAGTGCACGATCTGGTCATGTCATGCAGGTGACCTCATGCGGGCATGGTGGCACTTGTGGGGCAGTCCTGTAACCTGCAGTGTGGTGGGTGGGATGGATGTGTGTGACACAGGCAGGAACTACCCCTCATGGCAGTTGAGGGCCCACGTGTGTATTGGGTGGGGCTGATGGGAGTGAGAGGTGAGTGGCTGGGCACAGGCAGGTGAGTGAGTGACAGCTACACAAACCCCACCACTGAGCATGTCCCTCCCAGGACAAAGCAGGTCAGAGCCACAGGCCCAGCCCTGGGAGGCCCAGAGGGGCCTCAGGTCCTCAGGGACCTGGCCCTCTTGGCCCTCAGAGGACCCCACTCCCTCTAGAAAGCCCCCCAGCTGGCTCCACCTGTAGCTGTGCAAGTGGGAAGGGGACACAGTGCTCTGGGGTCCAGAGAAGGAAGGAAGATGGAGGGAGGGCGGCCCTCTGCTCCCAGGTCCTCTGTTCCCTGACCCTGATGCTCAGCCCCCTGCGGCCCTCCTGGAGCCCACACCTTTCAGCTGCAGTCTCCCAGCCTCTCTCCCCAGGACGAAGCCCACTCAGCCAGTGCTTTTCCACTGTAGCTGGCTTTTCCCCTTGGGGAGGGTCCCCAGATTGTACAAAGTGCAGAGGGGTCCCCTGTCCCTGTCCCACAGGGTCCCCACACCAGGCTTTCTCAATGTCTCCCTGTCTCTCTCAGACAAGGAGGGCAGAGGCAGCCACAAGGCCGGTCCCAGCCACAATCACACCCGCATATTCAGATAATCACAGACGCTTGTCCCACACAGTCACACACCCCAACCTCAGGTACCAAACACCCCACACACTCCCGACAGCGCATTCTACTCACACACACACAATCCCATTCTCACACATGTGCACCCAAGCCTCTCGCCCCACATACAATGTGACAGGCCACTGGGCCACCTGCGGGTCCCAGTGCACATGGATGCCTGCAGTGCACAGCCACCTAGATCCTGCACCACCGGACAGGAAGGGGGCGGGTACCTGGCAGATGCCACCTGCTGCGCCCACTGGGCCACCAGAAACTCCACCTCTCCCCGACTCTCCAGGTCCCAGCCAAGCCACGCCCACCGGGCCTGCCCCCAGGACCCTGAGTTTAAAGACCCCATCTCCCCAAATGCCAGAGGGAGAGGATTCCGCACCACCCCAAGTGTAACCCACACCCTAGTCGGCCCTGACCCCGCACTGCATGGCGCCCACCTGAGCCCTGGCGTTGCTGGGCCTCCTGCTGCTGCTGTTGCTCGTGGGTAGGCCCTGCCAGGAGACCCTGGGCTGCGCTGCAGCCCTGGGGTACCCACCCCTCCCTGCTCACGTGCTCCTACTCTCCCTGCAGATCCCAAGAAACTATGCCCGCAGCTCGTGACCGTCATGAACCAGTTTCTGACCGAGGACAAGGACACCTACATGGATTCTGTCAACAGATATCATCCCACGGAGCTGGAAAGAAACACACCCTCCAAACTCAAGGACATGGTGACCAACACCACGACCCCCGAGGAGGGACAGGCCGTCATGCAGCAGGCCCGGCCACCAGCGCCTCCTCACAGCCCTTGACCTCCTTTGAGATCAGGGACTCTGTTCCCTGAGAGCCTCTCTCTCCACCCAAACACTTCCCCACCTCTCACCAAGCAATGTCCCTGCAGACGGGCAGCTGCCCAGGGAAAAGACCTCAGGGCGCTGGGTCTCCGCCCTCTGATACTCAACCTCTGCTGTCAACCCCATCCTATCCCTCCTTCCCAGAAGACCCCTCCCTTCAGCCTCCCACCCCTCCCCACAGGAAGAAATCAACAACCAGGGTGCCTACACGGTACTGAAGTGACACCATCCACAGGCACCTCGAATCTCTGCCCAGGCAGCCTGTCCGGCCCAGGAGAACCTGGGCCCGGGGCCCCACCCTCCCCAGCTCCTGCCCTGCTGCTGCCCCTCCTCCCACTCCTGCTGTGCTAATTGGGGCTGATTGCGGGCCACTACTTTATTTACATAGGGTGTACACCAAGTAACCAATGGGAAGCCTCTAGAGGGTATTTAGACCCCAGGAAATTCTAAATGGGCTCTTGAGCCCTTATGCTTGGGCCTGCTCCCGGTTTGGAGTGTACTTTCACTTTCAGTTAAGTCTCTGCTTTTGTTGCTTAATTCTTTCTTTGCTTTGTTTGTGCGTTTTCCCCAATTCTTTGTTCAAAACAGCAAGAACCTGGAGACCCTCCTCCTGTAACGGGAAGGTGGGATGGGGGGAGCCCACCCTGACACTGACCCGGGCCACCCACGTGCCCCTCCCCCCACACCCATACTCACTAGGGCCCTGGGTGGAGCTTCCCCTGCTGCTCACAGCTCGGTGAGTGGCCAGGCCAGCAAGCTCCCCCAGCTGCGCCCCTCTGCTGATTTTGCCCCTGGTCACCCTTACCAATCAGGGTCCAGTCAGGTGACAGAAGTCACAGGCAAGTGGCTTCAACACCCACATATGTAGTGAGAGGTGACAGCATGCTGGCGGCCCTCGCAGCCCTCGCTCTCTCTCGGCGCCTCCTCTGCCTGGGCTCCCACTTTGGCGGCACTTAAGGGGCCCTTCAGCCCAGCGCTGCACTGTGGGAGCCCCTTTCTGGGCTGGCCAAGGCGGGAGCCGGCTCCCTCAGCTTGCAGGGAGGTCTGGAGGGAGAGGCGCGAGCGGGAACCGGGGCTGAGCGTGGCGCTTGCGAGCCAGCTGGAGTTCCCGGTGGGCGTGGGCTTGGCGGGCCCCGCACTCCGAGCTGCCGGCCGGCCCTGCCTGCCCGGGCAGTGAGGGGCTTAGCACCTGGGCCAGCAACTGCTGTGCTCAATTTCTCGCCGGGCCTTAGCTGCCTTCCGGCGGGGCAGGGCTCGGTACCTGCAGCCTGCCAGGCCTGAGCCTCTCCCCCTCCTCTGTGGGCTCCTGTGCAGCCTCCGAGACGAGCGCCGCCCCCTGCTCCATAGCGCCCAGTCCCATCGACCACCCAAGGGCTGAGGAGTGCTGGTGCACGGCGCGGGACTGGCAGGCAGCTCCACCTGTGGCCCCGGTGCGGGATCCACTGGGTGAAGCCACCTGGGCTCCTGAGTCTGGTGGGGACTTGGAGAACCTTTATGTCTAGCTAACGGATTGTAAATACACCAGTCAGCACCCTGTGTCTAGCTCAGGGTTTGTGAATGCACCAATCGACACTCTGTATCTAGCTACTCTGGTGGGGACTTGGAGAACCTTTGTGTCCACACTCTGTATCTAGCTAATCTAGTGGGGACGTGGAGAACCTTTGTGTCTAGCTCAGGGATTGTAAACGCACCAATCAGCACCCTGTGGAAACAGACGGCTCGGCTCTCTGTAAAATGGACCAATCACCAGGATGTGGGTGGGGCCAGATAAGAGAGTAAAAGCAGGCTGCCCCAGCCAGCAGTGGCAACCAGCTGGGGTCCCCTTCCACACTGTGGAAGCTTTGTTCTTTTGCTCTTTACAATAAATCTTGCTACTGCTCACTCTTTGGGTCCACACTGCCTTTATGAGCTGTAACACTCACCATGAAAGTCTGCAGCTTCACTCCTGAAGCCAGCGAGACCACGAACCCACCAGGAGGAACTAACAACTCCAGACGCGCCGCCTTAAGAACTGTAACACTCACTGCGAGGGTCCGCGACTTCATTCTTGAAGTCAGTGAGACCAAGAACCCACCAATTCCAGACACAGTAGCATCTCTTCACTGTGTAACATGTGTTCCTAATGCACTTTCTATATCTCACTTCCTTTAGGTTCTGTGTTTTATTCCAGGTAATGTTCCTTGAATCTAAATTACAATTTACTAATTTTCACGAAAGCTGCACCTAATCTGCTACCCATTCAGACAAACAAACTCATTTATCAAATGTTTGTTGAACCGGCACTCGGTGGCAGATTCTGTGCTAGGGCGTGCCAAGTGCAGACACATGTTTGCCAAGACACACCGTTATGCCTCAGGGCCTCCTGGGTGCACATGCACACATGGACCTGCAGGCTGGCACCATAGTGCTCAGCCTGCTCCCAATCCCACGGTGCTCCAGGGAGGACACAGGATGTCACAGCAACACCCAACCCATCCCACTGCATGCTGAGCTTAGTTCCTGATACACTGTCACCCCAAAGGCATGGCCCAGGGCCGTGGGTCTCTCTGCAGACCTGCCCTGCCCCCACTTACACACACACACACACGAAGAGGTGTGTCTCATTTCCACCTGTGGGATTCTAATTTATGGCAGTGACTGAGTGACCACACAGAGAGGCCAATGCGATGGAAAACATTATTATTTACATTTCCCGGGGCACACCATGCCACACAGGGCCACATGGAGAGCACCAGTGCTGGTCAGGAGGCAGGAGCAAGGGGAACCCATAGGCCACAGCCTTTATTGGGGTTCCCATGGGAAAAGCCAGGCAGGGCAGAGTAAACAGCTTATGATTAGCTAGTTTGAATAATCCCGGCAGGCTTTGGCCTATAGTGTTGGTCTCTGGTTACCTGGTACCTGGTCATGGGGTGCTTCAGTGCAGGGGAGATATTGGCGTGGGGTGTGAGAGTTGGATAAAGAGGTAATCGGGGCTATAGATTCAGTGCCAGTTGGTTGTATATGAGACAGGTGCTCCAGGTCGAGCGTTTTGCCATCTCTAAGAAAAGACTAATCCTGGGAGGACAGTCTCCAGAGCCAGCAAACTTTAAAAGATGTCATCATAAAATACAGAAAATAAAAAGCATAATTACACCAAGTCGCAGAGTAAGTGGATGTTTACCTTTTCACAAACTGACTAACTGTGTTCCAAAGTGGTTATACTACTACATTCTTACCACAGTGTTATGAGGATTTCAGGTACTCCATATCCTCACCAACACTTGGTATGGTCAGTCTTTAATTTTCACTATTCCCGTTTGGTGTGCAGTGGTATTTCTCTGCGATTTTACTTTGTATCTCCCTAATAACTAATGTTTACAATTTTTATGTGTACTACTGCCATCCCTCTATCTTCTTTGGTTAGGTGTCTATTCAAATCTTTTGCCCATTTAAACTTTTTTCTTTATTATTGAGTTTTGAGAGTTCTTAATAAATAATGAATACAAGTCCTTCTTCAGATATGTGGTTTGCCAGTATAGTCTTCTAGCCTATGGCTCTTTTCTTCCTTCATCTTAAAAGAGCATGTCGCATAGCAGAAATGTTTACTGTTGACAAAGTTGAATGTGTTATTTTTTTCTTTGATTGAACATGTTTTTGGTGTATATTTCAGAAGTATTTGCCAAGATTTTAAAAATTCTCTCATGTTACTTAATGAAGGTTTCATATATTCAGGTTTATAATCCATGCTGAGTTAGTTCTTGAATATTGTATACCGTGTGAGGTTTGGGATCAGAACTTTGTGGCTGGTTTGTTTGTTTTGAGATGGAGTCTTTCTCTGTCACCCAGGCTGGAGTGCAGTGGTGCAATCTTGGCTCACTTCAACCTCCGCCTCCCGGGTTCAAGCAGTTCTCTGCCTCAGCCTCCCAAGTAGCTGGGATTACAGGCACCACCCCTGGCTAAGTTTTGTATTTTTAGTAGAGATGGGGTTTTAACATTTTGGCCAGGCTGGTCTTGAACTCCTGACCTCATGATACACCCACCTTGGCCTCCCAAAGTGCTGGGATTAAGGGCTGAGCTACTGCAGCTGGCCTGGTTTTTGTTTTAATATGGATGTCCAGTTGTTCCAACAACACTTGTTGAAAACACGATCTTCAGTGAATTGCCTTTGCACCTTTCTAAAACATCATTTGATCTTCTAAGTGTTGGTCTATTTCTGGACTTTCTTAATCTATATTTTTGCTAACATTTTAAAGTCTTAATTAACTTTATAATATGTCTTTAAATCAGGCAATGTAATCGTTTAACTTTATGCATCTTTTTCTTTTTTTTTTGCTATTCTAAGTGCTTTGTATTTTCATATCAATTTTAGAATTCACTTGTTATTTTCTAATAAAAGCATCGTGGGATTTTGATTGGATTGCATTGAATATATGTTTATCAATTTGAGAAGAATTAGCACATTAACAATATTGAGTGTTCTAATCCATAAACATTGTGTATCTCTCCTTTTATTTAGATCTTTAATTTTCCTCAGCAATCTTTTGTAGTTTTCAATGTACATATCTTGCACATCTTATGTGTCTCAAGTATATGTTGTATGCTCTTGTAAAAAGTGCTTTTAAATTTCAGTTTCAAATTGATCATTGTATACAGAAGTATAATTTTTTTAAAAAATTATTATTTACCCTGTAAATTTTATAAATTCATTTATTCCAGATTTTTTTCACAGATTCTATGGGATTTTCTCCATTAATATTTATGTTGTCTAACTTATTTGTTCAATTTTATGTGTTTATTTTCAAACTGGCAACTGTGAAATGTATTGGAAGATTATTCATAAAATTCCTTATTACTGTTTTAGAATCTGTAAAAGCTGGTTGTGGTGGTGCACTCCCATATTCCAAACTACCTTGGAGGCTGAAGCGAGTGAACTGCTTGAGCCCAGGAGTTCAAGACTTCAGTGAGCCATGATGGGGCCAATGCACTCCAGGTGGGGTGTAAAAATAAATAATTAAATGAATAAATGAATAAATAAATAAATAAACTATGTAGTATCTAGTGATGTCATCTCATCTGTAACTTATCGGTAATTTGTTTTTTCTCACATTTTTTTTTTTTGCTAGATCCACAGAGTTATATCCCTTTTATTGATCTCAAAAAATCTGTATTGGTTTTACTCGTTTTTCTCTATTGCTATTCTGTTTTCCACATCATTAATTTCTCTCTGATCTTTACTATTTCCTTCTTGTTTTGAGTTTCAATTGTCTTTTTTCAAGTTTTTAAGGTTGAATCTGTCATTGATTTGAGATAGTTCTTTCTTGATACAGGCATTTAATCTACAAATTTAGCAGCATCTACAATTTATTTTGTATGTTGTGCTGTCGTGTAATAAGATAGTGGCCTAGTGTAGCTCTAGTCTTATCTGTGGAGATTCCTGGGTATCCATCTTTATCCCTTGGTCAAGATAAATTAGTGGGATTTATAATGAGCTCATTAAAATCTAAAATTCCTCATAGTCCCAAGGGCCGATGTGTCTACCAATGGCTTTTGCTGTGGTCTGAATATTTGTATCCCCCCAAAATTCCTATGTTGAAACCTAATCATCAATATGGGACTCATTTGAACCTAAACTTCCACCAAAACACAAACCTGAAACTTTGTCTCCCTTCATACACGACACCTTCTTCCATAACCTCACATGGCAAAAGGAGCAAACAAGCTTGGGCCTCTTTTATAAGGACATCAATCCATTCATAAGAACTCCAGCCTCATAACTTAACATTTCCTCAAAGGCCTCACCTCTTAATATTGTCACACTGGGGATTCGGTTTCAGCATATGAATTCTGTGGCGGGGGCGGGGGACAGACATTCACATCATAGCACACCCTGAATCTTAAACAGCTTCTGCATCAGAGTAAACTGGCTTTTCTTCTCCAAAGTTCATATTCTAAAATGTGCCCTTGACCAGATAAATCCCAACAGCAAAAATTACTGATTGTAAACACTGCATTATTTTAAATAGGAAAGGGACAGAAGGCAGCTAAGAGCTAGTGGAAGGGAGTGGGTTGAGTATTGCATGTAATGTGTTTTAGTTTCTCCTTATTGCTCTCTCTCTCTGCTTCATTTTCTTTCTCAAGTGTCTGGCATATTTGTTTAAATCAGACTTGCTTATGCCTATGATTCTCTCTACCTCACACCCCTGATTTCTGTTCCTCAGTCTCTATTCCAGTGCCTCTAACCTTTCTGCTAACAATGCAAGTCAGGGTGTCACTGGAAAAGGGGTCTCGATCCAGACCCCAAGAGGGTTCTTGGATCTTGTTCAGGAAGGAATTTAAGATGTGTCGCAGAGTGCAGTGAAAGATGCAAGTTTATTAGAAGCTACACCATTAGTGAGCAGGAGGCCCTCAGAAAACAAGAGGAGGAATGCACTGGCTTTAAGTTTTTCTTATATAGGGGTCTTATCTATGAAAAAACTAAGCTAAGCTGGGTCTATGTGTGGGTGAGCAGGCAGAATAAAAAAAATTATTACAGTATTCATTTAAACTAACCTGGACATTCCAGTGTGTAAGTACATCAAAACATAGCTATTATCTTCAAAGCATATATTGTTACGGGTATTGGGACATCTGGACTCTGCACTGTTGTAGGAGTGTCCCTGTAGGTATCTTTAGGCTGTTTCCTCAACTATAAACACCCCATGACTATGGGCCATGACCGACAAGGAATGTGCTTTGCTAGTCTCAAAATGGAACTATACTTAAAATGGCATCCTCTGGCTCTCTTATACTCCTGCTTCCCTAACGATGGGGCATTCACAAGTTAGGGGTTTAACTTCACAGGAATGCTTTTTATGAGATGGCCAGACATAGCTATTGAAACAAAAGGACTAGCCCTCCATTTAAAGTTCTTCTCACCTATGCCCTGAGTCACATCTAGTCCTTTAATGTTGGCCCTCTCTCCACTCATGAACTTAACTCATATTCCAAATATCTGAGGACTCATAATGGGAAACCACCATAATTCTTCCAGTGAGATCATGAGGAAAAGCAGAAACAATGAAAAATCCCTATGTAAGCTTTTCTGGATGGACTGAGCAGGGACTTTATGTCTTAAGTGTGGTTTAAAGTGGTTCCAAAGTGGCAGGGATCCTGGTCTTGTCTGAAAGGAAATTATATAATCTCTAGAAGAGAAAGGCACTTTCATCTAAGGATATGGGAAAGCTACATGAAATCTCTTTTCAAGGACAAAGATAACCAACAAAAAAGGAAGCAAAGCAAACTGATTGAAGAATTTGGAAATAAACATCCAAACGGGCCCACAAAATCTTCAGTTATTGTTATTATCAGATACATATTATGAAGCAACTATACCTACCATGTTAAAAAAGTTTGGAAAATTGAAATTAAAATGTCCTGGAGAGATAATTATGAATGGGCAATAGATCGGAATAAATTATCCAGAATGCAACACAGAGATTGAAGGATGAAAATCACAGAGAATTTAAGACACCTGGAGGATAGAGGGGTAACACCTGCCTCATAACGAATTGGGGTTCTCAAAGCAGAGAAACAATGGTGAAGAGGCAATATATGGGAGAGGAAGAGTTTGCTGATTACCAGAGATGACACATCACAGATTCAAGTTGTTCAGCAAATCCCAAGCAGGAAAGAATTTAAGAATTTCATAACCAGAAACATTATGCCAAACTCCAGAAAACACATTCAGTTACTATTTCAGTTGAAAGCCCAGGATTCTAAGTGGGAAACGATCTTAATAACCTAGTCACTGCACTATCTCACTATCTCCTTAAACCTCATTTTTTCCTATGTCTCTTGCATTTTAATATTAAAAAGGTCATCATTCCAAAAGAACTTGACCAAAAGACCTGCAATTCTCAGAGAAGGGAATACTAAGACCAATAGACATTCAAAAAGATTCTCAATCTCATTAACAATTAAAAAATGCAACTTTAAGCCACAGTGAGTTACTATTTCACACCTAGTAGATTATTAAACTTTTAAAGTTTCACAAAGAGAGTGTTGGCAGTAAGAGTTGGCAAGCAAAATAACCATAAACTCTGGTAGGAGTGAAAATTGGTACAACTTTGGAAAACAATTCATGATTGTATAGTAAAATCATAGATGGAAACATGCTTTGCACAATCCAGTCTTTCCTTATTACATACTCTAAGCCTTGAGAGGAAGCCAGCTGATGCCAGTGTTTTTTAAAACTGTGGCTGCTATAGGAATTCACAACCACACCCACAGGATACACCAAGGTAGAACTGTCAGAGGTGTTTAAACCAGAGCGACTCCATCTTGAATAGGGCCTGGGTAAAATGAGGCTGAGACCTACTTCCCAGACACTTAAGGCATTCTAAGTCACAGGATAACATTGGAAGTCGGCACAAGCTACAGGTCAGGTCATAAAGGCCTTGCTGGTTAAACAAATTGCAGTAAAGAAGCCAGCCAAAACCCACCAAAATCAAGATGGCGAGGAGACTGACCTTTGGTGTCCTCACTGCTGCTTGTTATGTGTCCGGAATTGGTTCCTTCTGGTGGGTTCCTGGTCTGGCTGGCTTCAGGAGTGAAGCTGCAGACCCTCGCGGTGTGTGTTACAGCTCATAAAGGCGGTGCGTCTGGAGTCGTGCTGGAGTTGTTTGTTCCTCCCGGTGGGTTCATGATTTCGCTGGCTTCAGGAGTGAAGCTGCAGACCTTCACAGTGAGTGTTACAGCTCCTAAAGACGGCGTGTCTGGAGTTGTTCGTTCCTCCCAGTGGGTTTGTGGTCTCGCTGGCTTCAAGAGTGAAGCTGCAGACCTTCAGGGTGAGTGTTGCAGCTCATAAAGGTAGTGCAGACCCAAAGAGCAAAAGAACAAACATCCCACACCTGGGAAGTAGACCCCAGCGCGGTTGCCGCTGGTTGTTCGGGTGGCCCGTTTTTATTCCCTTATTTGGCCCCGCCCACATCCTGCTGATTTGTCCATTTTACAGAGCGCTGATTGGTCTATTTTACAGAGTGCTGTTTGGTCCGTTTTTACAGAGTGCTGACTGGTGCATTTACAAACCTTTAGCTAGACACAGAGCACTGATTGGTGTATTTACAATCCTTCAGCTATACAGAAAAGTTCTCCAAGGCCCCACCTGATCCAGAAGCCCAGCTGGCTTCACCTCTCGGTTATATGCTAATTATATGCATTAGCACGCTAAGAGAAACGCTCATCAGTGCCATGGCAATTTACAAATGCCATGGTAAGGTTCAGAAGTTACCCTGTATGGTTCAAAAAGCTGGGAAGCCCTCAGCTCCGAGAAATTGAAATTGCCCACCTCTTTCCTGGAAAACTCATGAATAATCCACCCTTGTTTAGCACATCATCAAGCAATAAATACAAGTATCCCTAGTCCAGCAGCCCAAGCTGCTGCTCTAACAATGGAGTACCCATTGTTTCTTTACTTTCTTAATACACTTGCTTTGGCTTTGCACTGTGCTCTCCCATGGATTTTTTCTTGCGTGAGCTCTAAGAACTCTCTCTTGGGGTCGGATCCGGACCCCTTTCTGGTAACAGAAGCACTGCTTCACGAAGATCATGCAGGTCAGTACTTAATAAGTACAAAAAAGTCTATAGCGACACTATTTATAATTTTAAAAATGATTGAAGTCAATTAACATTTAAGTGTTAAAAAGAAAGTAAACAACCCAAATATACACAAACAGTAGACTGCTCTGGCTTGCATACAGAGAGGTCCATTGCCCTTTTGGGTGGGCCTAAGAAGCACTTCTGGGGAGAGGGGGCGTCAGGCTGTGATGGCTGCGGGAGGAGTGACTCCTCCCAGGATGAGGGTCTCCATCCTCCCAGTGCTCACTCAAGTTCAGTATTTCCAAGTCCTTCCAGGGGCGTAACGCACGTCAGAACGGCCATTAGTGTCACAGATACGTGTCCCCTTGCATTTCCAGGAAATGCCCTTGGTTGGCGAACTACAGTCGTGACAGTCGGGCCACAGGGCGTTTTGTGAGTTATCGTCTTGGGCAAATGAGTGCCAAAAAAAAAAAAAAAAAAAGACCTGAAGGTGAACAGCATAGCGGCAGGGTTTGGGATGAGAGGAGCCCCTTTGCTAGCAACGGCGAGCACTTGCGCGGTACCAGCAAGGGCTGCCCATGTCTCGGAGGGAAACGTTTGTGTGAGCGCAGGAATGACCCGGAAGACCTTGGCACGGCTGCAGTTTTCTGGGAAATGTAATTTCTTGGTCCGGGCGCCATGGCCCTTATAAGTAGAGGGTGTCCCTTGGTTTCGAGTTGTATCGTTCACCAGAGGACGACTGTGTGCCCCAGGACAATTTGCGCATGGTCCTAGCTGGCCGGCTCTAGGTCGACGGCCCCAGGCGGTTAAGCTACTTACAAAGCCGTGACCGGTTTGCCCGCGGCGCACCAGGTCCGCGCAGCCGCAGAGACCCTTGGGAAGTGTGGTCTTCGGGTGCCGGCGGTTCGCGGCTTCCGGGACATTTGTACCGCAGGGGGAGGATTCTGGGAAATGTGGTTCGCCGTGGGCGGTGCACTGGGTCAGTCCCGCGATAGCTTCAGGCCTGGCGGCGGCTTCCAAGCTAAGGAACGGTTTGGGGCAGTGTCGTTCCCGGAGGTCGGCCGCCGTTACCCGCTCACCAGCTACGCGGCGCGTCAGGTCCGCGGAGGCGCGGGCTCGGGGCGCCTGCGGGACGGTGAGGCCCTGCTGAGGACTCCGGCAAGTGTGGGTCGCGGCGACGGCGGGGCTAAGGCCCTGGGTCCGCGCGCGGTTTGACCACGGCCGGGGCCTTGGGCATTTCCTGGCCTTCCTGTTGAGCCGTGTAAACGCGGGGTGATGACGGCGCCGACCTCTTGGCACTGTTGTGAGAGCGAAGTGGGCGCGAGAGCAGACGCCAGCTACAGTTTTTTTTGGGTTATGTCGTCATGAAGCCGGCGCTTTCAGTTGTGCAACCTTGAACAAATGGGTTCAGTATCTCGGAATTTCAGTTTTGTCTTCATTTTAAAAAATAAATCTGGTTTAGAACTCGACCTCAAGCGATCCGCCCGCCTCCGCCTTCCGAAGTGCTGGGATTAAAGGCGTAAGCCACCGCACCAGCCTAACGAACATGGCGAAACGCCGTCTCTACTAAAAATACAAAAAAAAATTAGCTGGGCGTGGTGGCACGTGTCTATAATCCCAGCTATTCGAGAGGTTGAGGTAGGAGAATCGCTTCAACCCGGGAGGCAGAGGTTGCAGTGAGTCGAGGTCGCTCCATTGCACTCCAGCCTGGAGACAGAACGAGACTCCGTCTCAAAAAAAAAAAAAAAAAAATCTGGAATAATATGAATGCACACCTTGCAAAGTGGTGAAGACTGAACGAGCTGATAAAGTTGTTACCGTTGTTTTATGAGTCTTTTGTATACAGAATAATTGATTTTCCCCGCAGGTGGCACCTGGTAAATAGCCCTTGCGGAGAAACACCCTGTTCCTTCCCAGGGAGAGATTGACGCTCCGGCGAGTGATTACCAGTGTGCTTTTCCATTAAGGTGTGTGACAGGTGCCGCAAGATAAGCCCGATTTTTCATGACTGCTTTTTCCTGCCTTTCTGTGCCCTCAGGACACTGCCCATCTCTAAGATAAGAACCTGGAAAGGGGACTCTGTTGGCCATTGGAAATTGCAGAATAATGTCTCAGGTAAGTCGGTGTGTCCCCAAATCTTCCTGAAACACTTTATTAGGCCTCTGTGTGTTTGCTTTGCTTCTCCTGCCTGTTCCCACCTAATCAAGTCCATTTAAGGGACTAGATCTATGGTTCCTTTCACTATAGGAAGAATGGAGCCCACAGGAGAGCTCCAAGGTATTGTCCTCATCACCCAGTGTTCCTCTTTTCTACAGTTTTCTGCTAGAAGACTTTCTAGATTGCCAACATTTTAAAACTGTAATTCACAATGCAACTTTGGAATGTAAGGTTATTCGGTTTATGGTTGTCAAAACTGTACCATGTGGTCTCAAGTGAAGAGATGTTTGGAGTCATCCTTGATTCTTCCTTTTGACTTATAACTCATATTCAGGTCCTCTAGTTTGGATCTAAACGATACACCGTATACAGCATCTGACCATTAGTTAGCCCATCACCACCACCACCACTACCACCCCAGTCCGAGCCACCTGGATTATTGCGGTAGCCTCCTAGCTGGATTCCCAGCATCTGCCCTTAACCCTCATCAGTCTGTTCTCAGTACAGCTGTGACCATGGTCCTATTGTTATATAAATTCCTGTCATTCCGCAACCTAAAATTTTTCAGTGGTTCTAACTGAGTCACTTCTGCAATGACCTATTTGTACAATTAGGCCATTACCTCCCTGATCCCACCTTCCTTCTCTGCCTCCTCATTCCTGTGCGCTCCAGCCTCTGTCACCAGTTGCTGTGCCATCCACGTGGAATATTCTTCCCCCACATACGCACAAGCTTGCATCCTTATCTCCTTCTGTGTTTGTTCCGTGGTTACTTTCTCAGAACAGCTTCCCTGAAAGCCTATTTGCAATTGCAGTCACCTTCCCTAGCGCTTCCACTCCTCCATCACTGCTTTGTTGTTTTCCACAGTGTGTGTCACTCACTAGCTGATGTACTGTATGTTCAGTATATGCACGTGCTCATTGTCTGTTCCTGGTGGGAGGAATGCTTTTTCTTCTTTGTTGACTGTTATAGCGTCAGTACCCAGAGTGTTACCTGGCACCAAATGGATGCTTAGTAAGTAATTGTGGAGTGAATAAGATGAGTAATGAAGAACTGGTGGGGCAGAATCATGGCATGGAAGGTGAAGCTTGCACAGGAGGGGATGTAAGTAGCAGATGTACATCTTGGGTGAAGTCTGTTTTCATGGAATAATTAAGATAATTAGAATTGAAAAACTGGTGTGGTAGTGCATGCCTGTTGTCCCAGTTACTCGGGAGGCTGATGAGGTAGGAAGATTTCTTGAGCCCTCTGGTGTAAGCCTGTAGTGAGCTATGATTATGTCACTGCACTCCAGCTTGGTGACAGAGCAAGAACCTGCCTCTTGAAAGAAAAAACAAAGTAAAGGCTAAAGTGAACTAATGCCAAAACCATTCATTGGTTCATCTTCTAAACACTTATGAAGTACCTGTTAGGAAGAGTTGTACATGGATTTTGGTGTACACTGACACACAGGACTTCATGATCTAGTGCAGTATTGTCTAAGAGAACTTTCTGCAGTGGTGGAAGTGCTGTGCATGTGTACTGATCAGTACGGTAGCCAACAGCCCCATCTGACTATTGAGTACTTGAACTGTGGCTTAAGCAATGGAGAAAATAAATTTTAAATTTTATTTAATTATTTTATTTTTACATTTTAATTAATTTAAATGTTGTAGCCAAGTTGGCTAGTGGCTCCTGTATTGAAGATTGTGGCACTGGTAGAAAAGTAAGAAAGCATGGGAAATTTAAATAAGTGCTAGGATAGATATCCTATGTTCTTTTGGGAACTGAGATGAGTGAACATCTCAAGCTGCCCAGGCAACTGAAGGGGAAGAAAGAAGCATCCCTGGCTCTAAGTTGTAATGACTGGTTTGTCAAAGATATGAGAAATGTTATTTTTATTTGGGATATAGGCAATTAACACAGTGGCAACTCCAATTAACAGGTGAATTTAGAAGAAATTTTGTGTAGCAAATTGAACTGTCAAATCTTACTTGAGGATAAGTTATTGTTTATTTGGAAAATGTGTGTTGGATTGTATCTGCTTGCCTATATAAAAAGATGAGATTTCTTCCTGTCCTTTTCATCTCAATAGTGGATCGCTTGTGAAGTGCATCAAGGTCTGATTTAGCTTATTCAGTAATAAAACTGCTTTCTTTTTTTTTCTACATTTGTGGAGAGGATTTTCTGCCATTGGAAGGCGATTCGAATTTTAATTATTTTCTCCAAACCTGAGAAAAGTAAATTCTGCCTTTAAAACCAAAGATCCATGTCACTGGTGAACATGCATGCAAAATATCCAAATAAAGTAATACAATACTGAATGAACTCTCAGAGCTAAAAAATTACCACAGTAGAGCAGTCTGTTTTACAAATCACAGACAGTAATAACTCTGTATTAAATGGCTGTACTTTTTGCACATATTATAATTTGACTAGCCAATAAGCTATTATTGAATATTTAAACTTCTAAAGTTTTACTATTTTAAATAATACTGTGAAATGAGTACTATTGAGAAGAATTTCTAAGCACATCTGTGAGCATTTCCTTAGAATATTTTCTTTGAAATCTACTCTTATTTTTTTCCCCTTCCAGGTCCTATTTAAGGACTGTCTATGGCAGGAGTCCTCAACCTTTTTGACACCAGGGATCAGTTTCGTGGAAGACAATTTTTCCACGGAAGTGGGAGGTGGTGGAGGTGATGGTTTGGGGATGAAACCGTTCTACCTCAGATCATCAGGCATTAGATTGACATAAGGAGTGTGCAACTTCGATCCCTTGCATGTGCAGTTCACAGTAGGGATTGCGCTCCTGTAAGAATCTATGCTATAGCTGATCTGACAGCAGGTGGAGCTCGGGTGATAATGCTCTTTCCTGCCACTCACCTCCTGCTGTGTTGCCCGGTTCCTAAAGGCCACAGACCAGTACCAGTCCGTGGCCCAGGTGTTAGACCCCTGATCTATGACATGAAACCATCCTTCAGTCTTTTCACCCAGGAGTCTCATATTTTAATTATTAAATGTTTGTCAGCACGAAGTTTAAGTATACACCACAAATATATTTTTCTTTTTTGTTTATGAATCAGTTATGTGTATGTTTTAGTCCATTTGTGCTGCTGTAACAAATACCCCAGACTGAGTAGTTTATAAATAATGAAAATTGACTTCTCATGGTTTTGGTGCCTGGGAAGTCCAAGATCAAGAGGCAGGCATCTGGCAAGGGCCTTCTTGCTGTGTCCTTTTGTGGTGGATGGGCAAAGAGACGAGAGAGAGGCAAAGGGGGGCCAGAACTCATTTTTTTAAATAAGGAACCCTCTTCCCTGATGATGACATTAATCCATTCATGAGGGCAGAGTCCTCAAGGCCCAATAGTCTCCTAAAGATCTAACCTCTCAATACTATTAGAATGGTGATTAAGTTCAATACATGCTTTTTTGGGGAACATAATCAAACCATATGTCTATCAGTCTTTAATATTAAGATGTCTTTTTTTTCTGAACCCATTTTTTGTGAGATTTAGTGAATCTTTCTGAGTATCATATTTGAGAGACAATTGCTTTAGCCTTATTTTTAATTACTTAGCTAGCATGTAAGCTATAAAAGATATAACTAAATACTTGACTCTGTGCTGTCAAATGTCAAATGTTGATTTTTAAAAATTCATATAATTCTAAACTTTTAACAAAATTACTGAAGCAAAGCTCTCATATTTGTCTCTCATTCTTATTGTATAAAAATTCTAAGCACATAACTGTCCCCTTTATTGTATAATTCCAACTACATAACTGTCCTATTATTACTTACCTGACATCACATTCCCAGTCATTGTCACAGCTCCTGAATCTTGTTCCATTTCTTCCACAAGCAGGCTAATTTTACCCCTTCTTCAGTGACAGAAGAGGCCTGGGCTATGGCTGAGCCTAAATATATTTGCTATTTCAGGTGACATTTAGTGATGTGGCTATAGACTTCTCTCATGAAGAGTGGGCATGCCTAGATTCTGCTCAGAGGGACTTATACAAGGATGTGATGGTCCAGAATTATGAGAACCTGGTCTCTGTAGGTAAGGATATCACCCCTTCCACTCCAATAGGGGACACCTTTCTTTTGCCACCCTGAATTGCTGGAGATTCTCCTAAGTAAATGGCTGAATTTCTGTACCATGCTCCCGAGGAAATGTGCAGCTCTGTTGTGCCCTGCCTAAAGCTTATCTTTCCATTTCAGTGAACACCCTTCATCCATTCCTGTGGTCCCTCTTGTGATGGCCTCTCATAATAGAGGACCACAGCTTAAACAATTCTATATTTTTCCTGTAAGCAGGTCTTTCCGTAACTAAGCCATATGTGATCATGTTATTGGAGGATGGAAAAGAGCCCTGGATGATGGAGAAAAAACTGTCAAAAGGTATGATTCCACATGAGTCATGGTGAACGAGACAAAGGAAGATTTTGTTAAAGATGTTTATAGTGAGTGTGGAAGCATTTTAGGGATACTGTCTTCAAAGATCTCAGATAGAAATGAAAAATTGAGGGATATTTAGCTTAGATTTTCAAAACAATTGTTCCTCCCTCTCAAATTATTATCTGTATCACTCATGTCACCTAATCAAGGTTAGAGGTTTTTGCCATCATAATAATTCAAATTGTTACTATATTCATGACAAAGTAAGACAATTTATTCTTTCTTAATTCTACTTAAGAAAAATATACTAATAGTTTTAAGCTAAGAAAAGCTGTCAGTTAGATGGAAAATCACTTTTCTAAAGCTGAGCTTTGTAGATGAAATATGAACATATTAGAGGAAGTAAGGGACATATAAATGTTTCTAGGAATAATATTTTCTAATGTTCAAGAAAAATATGATTCACACAGTTTCTTCATAACCTCAGAAAGCCTATATCTTTGTCAGCTATAAAGAGCATTTACTTTGTTTTTACTGCAGTTGTTTAATATAGTAGTATCAATTCTGTATTTTAAGCTTGATAATCCAGCAGCAAATTGAGATTAATGGAAGGTTGGAAAAAAAGGCTATGAAACAAAATGCAACCTTTCCCACATGAATATAGGCACAAAATGATGATTTGTAATCCTGAATGCCTTCCACATCTTATTTCTGATACTTTCCTTTTTTCCATACTATTTTATCCATTTCGTACAGCTTACCCATTTCCTTTATCACACTCTGTTCCTGCTTCTGTGAACTTTGGATTCTCTGCTCTATTTGAGCATTGTTCAGAAGTCACTGAAATATTTGAGTTGTCAGAACTATGTGTTTTCTGGGTGCTTCATTTCTTATCCAATTCTCCTAATTCCACTGTAGAAGCTTTTTTCAAGAAGTAAAAAAAAAAAAAAAAAAAAAAAAAAAAAAAAAAAAAAAAAAAAAAAAAGGCAGTGCTTTGCTTTCTTGATATATTTCAGATTGGGAATCAAGATGGGAAAACAAGGAATTATCAACAAAGAAGGATATTTATGATGAAGATTCACCCCAACCAGTAACAATGGAAAAAGTTGTAAAACAAAGTTATGAATTTTCAAATTCTAATAAGAATTTGGAATATACAGAATGCGACACATTTAGAAGCACCTTTCATTCAAAGTCTACTCTTTCTGAACCACAAAACAATTCTGCTGAAGGGAATTCACACAAATATGATATATTAAAGAAGAATTTATCAAAAAAGTCAGTTATAAAAAGTGAGAGAATAAATGGTGGAAAGAAACTTTTAAATTCTAATAAAAGTGGGGCAGCCTTCAACCAGAGCAAATCTCTTACCCTTCCCCAGACTTGTAATAGAGAGAAAATCTATACATGCAGTGAATGTGGGAAAGCCTTTGGCAAACAGTCAATCCTCAGTCGCCACTGGAGAATTCATACAGGAGAGAAGCCCTATGAATGTCGTGAATGTGGGAAGACTTTTAGCCATGGTTCATCCCTTACACGACATCAGATAAGCCATAGTGGAGAGAAACCTTACAAATGCATTGAATGTGGGAAGGCCTTTAGCCATGGCTCATCACTTACTAACCATCAGAGCACTCACACGGGAGAGAAACCGTATGAATGTATGAACTGTGGAAAGTCTTTTAGTCGTGTGTCCCTTCTCATTCAGCATCTAAGAATTCATACGCAAGAAAAACGCTATGAGTGTCGTATATGTGGAAAGGCCTTCATTCATAGTTCGTCTCTCATTCACCATCAGAAAAGCCATACTGGAGAGAAGCCTTATGAATGTAGAGAATGTGGGAAAGCTTTCTGCTGTAGCTCACACCTTACTCAACATCAAAGAATTCACAGTATGAAGAAAAAATATGAATGCAACAAATGTCTCAAGGTCTTTAGTAGCTTCTCATTTCTTGTTCAACATCAGAGTATTCATACTGAAGAAAAACCGTTTGAAGTTTAGAAATGCAGGAAATCCTTCAACCAGCTTGAATCACTGAATATGCATTTGAGAAATCACATTAGATTGAAACCCTACGAATGCAGTATATGTGGGAAAGCCTTTAGTCATAGGTCGTCCCTGCTTCAACATCACAGTATTCATACTGGAGAGAAACCTTACGAATGTATTAAATGTGGGAAGACCTTCAGCTGTAGTTCAAACCTTACTGTACATCAGAGAATTCATACTGGAGAAAAGCCATATAAATGTAGTGAGTGTGGGAAAGCTTTTAGCAAAGGCTCGAATCTTACTGCCCATCAAAGAGTACATAATGGAGAGAAACCCAATAGTGTGGTAAGTGTGGAAAAGCCTTTAGATCATATGAATCCCTATACATGTGAGAAATCTTACAGAAGAGAAGCAGTGTTTATCACGGTAAACTTCATTCATAGATCCTCCCTTATTTAACATCAGAAAAATGTATACTGGGGAAAAGTTGTATGAAGGTGGTGAACATGGGAGACTTTTAGCAATGATGCAGATTTTTTTATTAGAGTTTATACTGTAGAGAAATCATATGAAGTCAATAAATGTGGGAAAGCCTTTGTCAGTATTAATCCCTTAATTGACCTAAGTATACTCACACTAGGAAAAATCTGTGTACATGTAGCAAATGTGGGAAAGACTATAGGCAATAGGAATCTCCTGCAAACTCCTACAGGAGAAAAGTTGTATGAATGTGGAAACTTTAGAAATTGAAGGAATTTTTCAGTTCCAAGTGCATCCCTTATTCTATAGGAAATAAACTGGAGACAAATCTCATTTAAGAGATGCAGCAAAGTGTTCACTAAGAGTGTTTATCTTGCCAGACATAAGAAGATGAATGGTAGAGCAACCTGAAGGATTTAGAAATTACATATAAATCTTTGCAGTTATGCTATTTGTAAACAGGATTATATAGGAGAGCAAATAAACATAAGTATGCATTTCTTAGAGCAGTAGCTTGCAGTTTCAGTTGAGTTCTACTTAGAAATTCTTTTTAGCTAGTGGGCATGTGAAGATATTTAGTCACCCAGAGGAGCCAGTAAATGTTATAATGTTAAAAATTAAAGCTGCAAAAGAAATAAAATGGTGTTAATAAAAATTTGGCATCTAATAAAATCATTTTGTATATCATGAACTCTTTCTCTGTGACTGTTTGCGACAAAAAAAAATTTCACTAAGATTAGCCTTAGTATAGCCTTTAGCGGGAGACTAGCAAACTTCGAGAAGAATGGCCTGCTCTTTATACTAAGAATAGCAGTATTTTGGTGAGGATTATTGAGTCCATATCCAGTAGGCTTAATTAAATACATTTCAAGAACATTTACTGAGCATTACTCATGTGTATTACACAGGGATGGGATAAAGGAATCTAGTAGTTCTGAGCTCTAGTGCTGTGTCGAAATCACTGGAAGGACGTGTTAAAGCACAGATTGCTAAGCCTCAGTCCTAGAGTTTCTGTATGAGTTGATTTGAATTTGCATTTTTCACACGTTCTTAGGGGACACTAACACTGTTTGTCCAGAATATAATAATAATGTTATGGTGTCACTGACAACATATTGTTTCCTCAATCTTACCTATTAACCATTTCTTGAGCATCTTCTGTGGACTTAAGAAACACTCCATACTCCTTAAGAGCTTCGAGATGTGTGTGTGTGAAGAGCATTAAGCTTTGGAGTCTTGTTACCTGGGTTTAAATCCAAGTTACATGTATACTGGCTTTGTGACCTTGGACAAACTGTTTCACTGGGTCATGCTGCAGTTTCTCCATCTGTAAAATGGTAATAAACCTATTTCACAGCATTATTATGAAAGTTAAATGAGTTAATTGATGCACAATGTTTACAACAATGCCTGGCCTCTCAATAGCATTCAGTAAGTATTAGCTATAGCTATTGATTTCATCATCATCGTCTTCTCATGGTTGCTTCATTATTCTGGTCTCAGATGTCACATCTAATCACTTGCCACTCTTATCTGTTTACTGTTTCACATTTTTGGGGGAGAGCATTTACAAAACACCCCCGTTTCCTTCCAACAAATCCTTTAGTATCTGAGCCATTTTGAGGGAATGTTTCTTGCCCAAAATAACCTAAGGAGAAACAAAGAGACCAGATAGGAGATGAGATGAGAATTCAGCAGGTCTCTGAGAAGGAAGAAGGATGCCCTACAGAGTTGGAAAATGGGCCGAGTGAAGGAGGCATCAGGCTTCCACATGGAGGAAAGGGGAGGGTTTACCCACTGAGACCAGAAGACTACAGGTCTTTGGCATCATCTCTGAGTACAGAGTCCCATGGGCTGGGTGCCACTGCCCTCACTCTTCCTGAATGGAGGTTACAGCCTGTCATTGAAGGTCACCGATGCCTGGAAAGTCAGAGTTTTCTTGTTAGCCTTGGGCCAGTCAAATGTGATTAGAACTCAGTTGCTGGTAAACATCTAGAAAGAACCAATGAACATATCACTGAGCACTTCCTGGGAGCTTAATTCTTTGCTGCTGAGGGGGAGTCAGTTTTTAAACAAATTGCAATTGTGTTAGAGGAAAAAAGCTTTATATGCAGAAGTAATTAATGGAAGATACAAGACAATGACAAGGCCGTGTGGCCCGTATGGCCCGAGAGGTGCTGAGGGTAAGCACTCTGGCATCAAAGAAATAGGGAAAAACTATAATGATCATAATACAATACCGTTAATAGCAGCAGCCACTGCGCCTTGTGTTTGCTTTGTGTGCTGCATTCAGACAATTAAATGCTGTCAGCTCTGGACACAAATTGCTAGGTGTGAATTCAGCCTATTGGGACTGTCGCTTGCTTATTCTATACACTTGGGGAAGTCACTTCATTTCCCGATGTCTCCATCAAAACAAAAATATTTCTCATCAGGTGGTTGTGAGAATTAAAAGATATATAAAGCAAGCAACAAAGTGCCTCTGCATGGAAGTTTGTTGCCGTGTTTTTCCTGCTTTCAATAATCTTCCCACATACTGTAAGGTAAATGCCATAATCATCTTTGTGCTAGTGAGCTGAGTGAGTCTCTCTCAGAGTCACACATCTTAGGAATATAGGCTACATTTGAACATTTAGTAAAAGACCACACAATATTGCCCTTCTAGGACAGATCTCAGAAGACTGGGATTTCTCTTGGCAACCATAAGGCTCTCTTGCCTCACTGAACAAAAAACATTTCCTTTGGCCATGCCGCTCCTTCTGCCTAGAATGTGTCCCATACCCCATTTATTACCACGCTTACCTGCCAAGGGAGGCCTGCCTACCTTGCAAAGCTCACTAGGTGTGTCAAAGACGAACAAAGCTGGACATTAATGACAGTGGTAAGAACAGACTAATTGATAACTATTGCAATGGGGAAAGGAATTTGGCATGAAGTCAACTAAGCTTTGATTTGTACAAAGGTAAATGAGTATGTTAAAGGGAGGGTGAAGAAATAGGGGGTGGTGAGGAGCGGTTCAGTGGAGTCAGAAAAGTGAAAAATTAGGAAGGGAGGGGGCTGGTCTATGTGCAGTCTTATCTGGGTTTGCTACTGGCACTTTTGAGTTAGGCTCATATCCTCCCACAGAGGCTGGGAGACAGGGGCCTTATCTTCAGGTGCTGGCTGGAAGAAATTCTTTGGACAGCCTTGAGTTTTTTGGAAAGGCACTTTAGGAGTCATTAGAAAATGTTAGTGTTGTTCAAGTCTCAATAGGCCACAGTTGACAGGCATATTCAAGAAGGCTCAGAGGGGCCTGGATAGAGTTTGGTCAAAGAAAATCTTTGTCAGGTGTCACCGCAGGCTTCTCCAGCCCACTGAGGAGGAATGGTGGTGAAGACAAAAGAACATAGGCAAGGGATCAAAGTACAGGGTGTGAGTTTCTGCCAAGAGTTGCGTGACCCTGAGAAGGTAACTTAAGTTTTCCAAATCTCAGGTTCCTTTTCTGTAAAGCAGGAATAATAGAAACTAACTCTGAGAAAATTGGGATTAAATGAAGTGCTACATAATGGTGCTACATAACGAGTTACCCTCAGAGCTCAATAAATGTAGCTATTATTGTTATTTAGCCTCTTTGCTCCCACACCACCCTGGAAAACCCAACCAAGTCCTGATCTCTACTTTTGTACGTGTGCCACATTCCCTGCACAAAGATTCCAGAAGATGAGAAATACTTAACCTAGAACCAGCAAGGCCGAAAAAAAAAAAAAAAGACTCTCCTACTAGGTGACATTGGTGCAGAACAGGGAAGGATGCAAAGGAGGAGAGGAGAGGGAGAGGCACTGCAGAGATCTGGACTCAGTGTCCCAGGCAGAGGGAAAGACTGGGAAGTCGGAAAGAGCTTGGAATGATCAGGACAGCTTGGCAGGAGAGCAGTGAGCAAAGGAAGATGGAGTAGAGGATGCATTTCTAGGACTGTTTCTCTTTAGAAATAGCATCCAGAATGTCCCTGAATGGTGCTGGGCACTGGGAACACACATTAAACATTAGCCATCTCTGGTACTCTCACCTAGAATGAATGATGGTTAATATTTCCCCTTTAAGCCTTCCTTAGGAAAATGGAGGTGAAAGGTAGCAAGGTAGCTTGCACAAGGCCACAGCCCTGAGATAGGGCACAGCACGATCCAAACATGTCTCTGGATTCTGCAGGCGATGCCTCTCCTGAGGATCTGCACATGCTGCTGTACGTGAATGGTGGGGGGTACTAAGAAGTTGTAGTTCATACTTCCCCACCACATACCACTGATTTCTAGAAAGAGGAATTTTCTCTTGTAATACTTGATGTAACTCTAGGACTCTGGACAGACAGTGACCCTATCAGCAGGAAGAGAAGGCCTGAAGAATCCCAGGATTCCACGATCTTCCATGTCAGTGTGCCACAGCCATGTGGTTGAGAGTCCAAGTATGTGAGACTGGGGGATAGTTAATACAACTGTGCTAGGAGGGAAGCGACTATATCAGTACTTCAGACTCAGCTGAACTCTCTCCCAGGCCCTGCAAAGGTGTCTAGATGGGTCCTATCCTTCTTAGTGGCCTTCCTAGCTTGGTCCCAAAGAGCCTCCTGCATCCACTGGGTGGTGTGGGCAGACAAGTCATGTGACAAATGGAAGTTCACCCTTGCAGTACCAAAAGTCCAGCCCATGATAATGCAGGCTGCAGGAAACACTCCTGTCCCAGGCTGTCATTTGGACATATGAAGCACATCCTTCTGGGTAATGTAGCTCTTCACCTTATCTGAGGCAATAGCTAAGTAGCATCCAGAGGACCACTAGGAAGAAGCATCAAAAGACTTCCATGAGAGTGGTACTTCACATCAGTTCGTATGAACCGGGCTTTCTTGCATGGATAGTTGTTCAATTTGGTGTTTCTGTAGGGAGGAGGGGATGATCACTAGAGGATTCTTTTCAACTATTTTATCCTACTTCCTCCCAAAACATGTATTTTTTTCTAAACATGTTTTTGGGTCTTTTTAAAAATACGTCTGTCTTGTCAAGTGTTCCTTTACTCTCTTGAACATTTCATACAATTTTAATAACTTTTAATATACTTCTTTCCCAATTCTACCATGTGTGTCATTTCTGGGTCTGTTTATACTGGTTGATTGTTCTGATAATAGGTTATACTTTTCTGCTTCTTTGCCTGCCTGGTAATTATTTTTTCAATGCAAAATATTGTGAAATTTAATTTTTTAGGTGCTGGATAACTCTGCATTTCTACAAATATTCTTGAGTTTTGTTCTGTTACTCAGTTAAGTTATTTGGAAATAGTTTAATCCATTGGAAACTTTTTGCAAGTTTTGTTAGGTGGCACAAAGGCAGCCATATGCAAAGTGAATTTTATATAATACCTTTCTTGAGTTATCTACTTGTCTCCCCATGAATAACCAGGGTATTCCTCTCTGGCTTTAGGAATACAAAGTATTTCCAGCCCTGTGTAAATTCCAGACATTGCTTCCCCCTGCTCCTTTCAGGTGGTTGTTCCCTAGTCTTGGGCTATTTTCTCACATGCATAAACAGCAGTATTCAGTGAGGACTTAACAGGGACTTTCTGCAGAACCGTGAAGATCTCTCTGTGCAGCTCTCTCCTCTGTAGTCTCCTGTCCTGAAAATGTAGCCACCTTGGCCACCGTAGAGTCCTAACTCTGTCTCAGGAGCTCAGAGACTGCTGATTTTCCCTGGGATTCCCCCTTCCTGCTTTGCAGTCTGGAAATTCTCTGAAGGGAATCTGAGGCAATTACTTGGTTCCTTGTTTCCCTCTCCCAGAGATCACTCTTCTGTGCTGCCTGATATCCAATTTCTGAAAATTATCATTTTTGTTGAGTGTTCGATGTTCTAGGTGGGAGTGTAAATCTGGCCCATGCTACACCATTGTGGCCAGATACAGTAATCTTTTTGTCTTGTTTTGATGTCTTATGACATTCTATTTGACTACAAACATGGGGAGAGTGTTATTTCTTATAATAAATATCATGCCAGAGTAGGCAAAGAACGTAATGGAATTAAGGATTTCAGGAGTAACTGTGGATTTTGGCGGGGGGGGGGGGGCAATATATGCAAATATTTATTGATAATTTCTAGGTGGAGGATGTTTCTTTAATGACTAAATTTTTTCCCTTATCTAGCTTACATTTGGTAGTGGCAGAGAAATAACAAAAAAGATAGCCCAACAAATATGAGCATGTTAGCAGAGAAAGCAGGGAAAGGAGGGAGGCAATTGGAGGGCAGAAAGTGGGTAGAAGAGATACAGCCAGAGAAACTAATAATGTGGCATTGGAGTGGTGTCCTGAAGAAAGGTTCGGATTGAGTTTTCACGTTTGAAACATATGTTAGCATTCCAGGTTTTGTGCTAAGTGGTAGGTTCATGAATGACTACTACATTGTTAATAATCAATCATTCATTGAAGACTGAACTCAAAACTTCCCTAGGGGAAGAGAGTTTCAGAATATAAGATTTGTCACTTCCTAGCATCTTCACCATTCCTCTCCTCTCTTTTCATTTCCCACCATTTTTCATAGTTCTCCTTGCCATTCCTTGTAATATATATTTGTTCATTTGTTTGTTTTCCGGAGACAGGGTCTCAGTCTGTCACCCAGGCTGGAGTGCAGTGATGCAGTCATAACTCACTGCAGCCTGGAACTCCTGAGCTCAAGCGATCCTCCCATCTCAGTCTCTGGAGTCACTGGGACCACAGGCATGCACCACCACACCTGGCTAATTAAAAAAAAAAATGTAGACATGGAGTCTTGCTATGTTACCCAGGCTGGTCTTGAAGTCCTGGGCTCAAGCAGTGCTCCTGCCTTGATCTCTCAAAGTGCTGGGATTACAGGTGTGAGCCATCATGCCCAGCTCTTGTAGTTTTTTGATTTTTATACTCTACTTATCACTCCAGGACAGTCTTTATTACTCACTTCCTTTGTTGTTCTTTGTCACCTCCTGCCAAGCTCAGCTTCCCTGCCACTCTTCCTCTGTGTCCACCACCCCCTCGCTTTGCATCATTCCTCCCCTTCATTCTCTGTGTGGGCTGTGCCCCCCTTCCAGGCTCTATATTGGCATCGCCTCTAGGGAAGGGTTTGCCCAGTTTATGGTGCCAGCAGCAGAGTGTGTGAGCACTTGTTTCTCCACATTCTGACACATTGCTTGTCAGACATTTTGTCCTTGCCAGTCCAATAGAAGAGACAAAAAGCCATCCCAGGATAAATGTTTTAATGGTGCAGAGACTTATTGAATTAACCTCGATTCATGATGTCCTCCGATAAACTTCTTCATTGAAGGATTATTAGTAATGTAGTAGTCATTCATGAACCTACCACCTAGCACAAAACCTGGAATGCTAACATATGTTTCAAAGCCACTTTTTTTGGTTGTTTTCTTTGAACTTTTCTGCTAGGAACATTTGCTCCTTTTCCCACCAGTATGTTGGTCTTTTTCTTATCATTTGTAGGAGCTGTGGAGGGACTCCATACATACTAGGAAAATAAGCCAATTGTAATATGACTTGCAAATATCTTCACCATAATTTTCTCCTAACATTTTGAATTTTTTTGATGCAGTTGGCCATGCATAATATTTCATTTTTTATGCAGTCAAATTGATCAATTTGGGTTTTTTAATCTTTGCAATGGTCTTCTTTCTTCTGAGATTCTAAAAGATATTCTTCTTTATTTTTTTCCCAAGAGTTTCATGGGATTTTTTTTCTTACTCTTTCAATGTAGAAATATTTCAGAGATCTGAAGTTAATTTTGAAGTAGGCTGTGAGAAGTAGAGCCAACTGTTTAATTCCCTCAGATGTTTAATCAGTAGATTCAACACCACTTTATTTACAAAAAATCCAGATCGCCTTGATTAGCAAGTTACCTTTTTTCACAAAATTTTGATTATTTAGATGTATTTCTGTCTTTCCATTGAGAGTTCACTTATTGGTGCATGCTCACATGCATATGTGTGTTTTAAAGAATACTTCATAGGGCTTCTTGTCCCTAATACTCTATTTTAAAATTCTTTCTCAGCATTTTCACTTATTTTTCTAAGTATATTATGAATGTCATTTAAATGAACCATCCAATAGTAGCATTTTGAGTTTTGTTTCTTTCATTCATCTTAATCCACGTGAGACTCTTCTATGTTGTTGCATGTGTCAATAGTTTGTTCCTCTTGTGGCTTCATGGAATTCAACTGCATGAGTGTAACACACTTTGTGTATCCATCCACCAGTTGAACAACATTTGAGTTGTTTCCAGTTTCAATAAACTGAAATCTGAGTAAAACTGTTATAAATATTGCTGATCAGGGTTGTTGTTGTTGTTGTTGTTTTTTGAGATGGAGTCTCCCTCTGTCGCCCAGACTGGAGTGCAGTGGCGTGATCTCGGTTCACTGTAACCTCTGCCACCCGGGTTCAAGCGACTCTTGTGCCTCAGCCTCCTGAGTAGCTGAGACTACAGGTGGGTGCCACCACACCCAGCTAATTTTTGTATTTTTAGTAGAGACAGGGTTCCACCATATTGGACAGGCTGGTCTCGAACTCCTGACCTCGTGATCCACCCGCCTTGGCCTCCCAAAGTGGGATTACAGGTGTGAGCCAGTGCCCGACCGCTGATTAGGTTTTTTATGTGAACATAAATCTTCATTCTCTTGGGTGAATACTTAGAAGAGGGATTGTTGGGTCATGATAAATGGAAGATTAATTTTATAAGGATAAAGTACATCTTTTTCTTTAAAATAAATCTCGTTAGAAGAACTCAAACAACTCCACACTAAAAAAAACAAAGAGACAAATAATCCCATTAAAAATTGGGCTAAGGACATGAACAAACATTTCTCAAAATGTGACACACAAATGGCCAACAGGTGAATGAAGAAAATGCTGAACACCACTAATTATCAGGGAAATGCAAATCAGAACTGCAATGAGATATCATCTTACCCCAGCTAGAATGGCTGTTATTAAACAGACAACAAAAATAACAGATGCTAGTATGGATGTTTAGAAAAGATAACACTTATACACTGTTGCCTGGAATGTAAATTAGTGTGGTCACTAGGGAAAATAGTATGGTGATTTCTCAAAAACCTAAACAACTAAAAATGGAAGTACCACATGATCCAGCAATTCCCCTGCTGGACATTTATGCAAAGGAAAATTAATCAGTGTATCAAAGAGATACCTGCACTCACATATTTATTGCAGCACTATTCACAATAGCATAGATATGGAATCAACCTAAGCATTCATCAACAGATGAATGGATAAAGAAAATGTGGTGTATATACACAATGGAATAGTATATGGCCATAAAAAAGAATGAAATCTTATCATTCACAGCAACGTTGATGACATGGAGGTCATTATGCTGAGTGAAATAAGCCAGACACAGAAAGACATACTGCATATTCTCACTTCCATGTGGGAGCTAAAAAAGTTGATCATGGAGGCAGAGATTACAATGATAGATATCAGAGGCTGGGAAGGGGAGGGAATGAAGAGAGCTAGGTTAATACAGGTAGATAAAATATATAAGCTCATTCTTTGATGGCAGAATAGAATGACTATAGGTAACAACAATGTACTGTATATTTTAAAGTATCCAGAAAAAAGGATTTGAATTGTCTCAACACATGAAAATAACAAATACTCAAAATGATGGTGATGTAGTTTGGATGTGTGTCCCCTCCAAATCTCATGTTGAAATGTGATCCCCAGTGTTGGAAGTGGGGCCTAGTGAAGGTGTTGGAGTCATGGTGGTGGATCCTTCTTGAATGGCTTGGGACCATTCCCAGTGGTAACGCGCTCACAGGAGATCTGGTTGATTAAAAGAGATGGGGACCTCCCTGCTCTTGGTCCCACTCTCACATGTGACTTGCCTGTTATAGCTCCACCTTCTGCCATGAATATGAGCTTCCTGAGGCCTCATCAGAAGCTGAGCAAATGCTGGTGCCATGCTTGTACAGCCTGAAGAACTGTGAGCCAAATAAACCTCTTCTCTTTACAAATTACCCTGTGTCAGGTCTTTCTTTAAAGCAATGCAAAATGGGCAAATAGAGATAGAGGCCTGATGTGGTGGCTCACACCTGTAATACCAGCACTTTGGGAGGTCAAGGAAGGAGAATTGATTGAGGCCCAGAGTTCAAGACCAGCCTGGGCAACTGAGTGAGATCTTGTCTCTACAAGAAAACTGAAAAAATTAGCCAGGCACAGTGGCTCTCACCTGTGGTCCCAGCTACTCAGGAGGCTGAGGCAGGAGGATCACTTGAACCTAGGAACTCAAGGCTGCAGTGACCTAGTATTGTGTCACTGCACTCCAGTCTGGGTGACAAAGCAAGACCTCATCTCTTAAAATACATAGATAGATAGATAGATAGATAGATACCACATATACTGTTACTTGATCATTAACATTCTATGCATGTAACAATATTATGCATACCCCATTAATATCTACAATATTATGTATCAATTTTAAAAAAATCTTATTGGTATTTTCATTGTTATTACATTAAACTGGCTTCTATTTTTACCAGAAAACGCACCTTTATTCTATTGAAAATTCCCATTCAATATTTTCATTTATTTAAATTCTGTTTATATTTGTCCCTCATGAGGATTTTAGAGTTAAAAAAAAATAGTCATTAGTTGGAGGGATCTGGCAAGATGGCCAAATAGGAACAGCTCCGGTCTGCAGCTCCCAGCGAGACCAATGCAGAAAGTGGGTGCTTTCTGCATTCTCAACTGAGGTACCTTGTTCATCTCATTGGGACTGGTTAGGCAATAGGTGCAGCCCATGGAAGGTGAGCAGAAGCAGGGTGGGGCGTTACCTTACCTGAGAACTGAAAGGGGCCAGGGACCTCCCTCCCCCAGCCAGGGGAAGCTGTGAGGGACTGTGCTATCTGGCCCAGATACTATGCTTCTTCCACAGTTTTTGCAATCTGCAGACCAGGAGATTCCCTCACGTGCCTACACCACTAGGGCCCTGGGCTTCAAGCACAAAACTGGGTGGCTGTTTGGGCAGACACTGAGCTAGCTGTAGGAGTTTTCATACCACAGTGGTGCCTGGAACCCCAGAGAGACAGAACCATACACTCCCCTGGAAAGGGGGCTGAAGCCAGGGAGCCAAGTTGTCTTACTTGATGGGTCCCACTCCCACAGAACCCAGCAAGCTAAGAACCACTGGCTTGAAATTCTCACTGTCAACACGGAAGTCTGAAGTCGACCTTGGATGATACAGCTTGGTGGGGGGAGGGGTGTCTGCCATTACTGAGGCTTGAGTAGGTGGGTTTCCCCTGACCCTGCTAAGGACTGGCCTGAACTAAACACAGTGAGGCAAAGTGACTGTGGTCAGACTGCCTCGCTAGATCCTCTTCACTAGGTGGGGCATCTCTGAAAGAAAGGCAGCAGCTCCAGTCAGAGGCTGGCTTATAAATAAAAACTCCCATCTCCCTGGGACAGAGCACCTGGGTGAAGGGGCAGCTTTGGACACAGCTTCAGTGGACTTAAACGTTCCTGCCTGTTGGCTCTGACAAGAGGAGTGGATCCTGACAAGGAAGGTTCTCCCAACACAGTGCTTGAGCTCTGTTAAGGGACACACTGCCTCCTCAAGTGGGTCCCTGACCCCCATGCCTCCTGACTGGGGGAAACCTCCCAACAGAGGTTGACAGATACCCCATACAGAAGAACTCTGGCTAGCATCAGGCCGGTGCCCCTCTGAGACAAAGCTTCCAGAAGAAGGAGCAGGCAGCAATCTTTGCTGTTCCGCAGCCTTTGCTGGTGATACCCAGGAAAATAGGGTCTGGGGCGGACCTCCAGCATACTGCAGCAGACCTGCAGAAGAGGGGCCTGTTAAAAGAAAAACTAACAAACGAACACAATAACATCAACATCAACAAAAAGGACCCCCCTACACAGAAACCCCATCCAAAGGTCAGCAACCTCAAAGATCAAAGGTAGATAAATCCATGAAGATGGGGAGAAACCAGCCCAAAAATGCTGAAAATTCCAAAAACCAGAATGCCTCTTCTCCAAATGATTGGAACCCCTCTCCAGCAAGGGCACAAAACTGGACAGAGAATGTGTTTGACGAATTGACAGAAGTAGGCTTCAGAAAGTGGGTAATAACAAACTCCTCTGAGATAAAGGAGCATGTTCTAACTAGAATAACAAGTTTAGAGAAGAACATAAATGACCTGCTGGAGCTGAAAAACACAGCACAAGAACTTCCTTAAGCATACACAAGTATCAACAGCTGAATCAATCAAGCAGAAAAAAGGATATCAGAGATTGAAGATCAACTTAATGAAATAAAGCATGAGGACAAGATTAGAGAAAAAAGAATGAGAAGGAATGAACAAAATCTCCAAGAAACATGGGACTATGTGAAAAGACCAAACCAACGATTGACTGGGGTCCCTGAAAGTGATGGGGATAATGGAACCAAGTTGGAAAACACACTTCAGGATATTATCCAGGAGAAATTCCCCAACTTAGCAAGACAGGCCAACATTCAAATTCAGGAAATACAGAGAACAGCACTAAGATACTCCTTAAGAAGTGCAACCCCAAGACACATAATTGTCAGATTCTCCAAGGTTGAAACGAAGAAAAAAATGTTAAGGGCAGCCAGAGAGAAAGGTTAGGTTACCTACAAAGGGAAGCCCATCAGACTAACAGCAGATCTGTCTGCAGAAACCCTTCAAACCAGAAGAGGGTGGGGCCCAATATTCAACATTCTTAAAGAATTTTTAATCCAGAATTTCATATCCAGCCAAGCTAAGTTTCATAAGTGAAGGAGAAATAAAATCCTTTGCAAACAAGCAAATACTGAGCAATTTTGTCACCACCAGGCCTGCCTTACAAGAGCTCCTGAAGGAAGCACTAAATATGAAAAAGAAAAACTGGTACCAGCCACTGCAAAAACACCAAAATATAAAGACAAGTGACACTATAAGAAACTGCATCAACTAACATGCAAAATAACCAGCTAGCATCATGATGACAGGATCAAATTCACACATAACAATATTGACCTTAAATGTAAATGGGCTAAATGCTCCAATTAAAAGATACAAACTGGCAAGTTGGTAGAGTCAAGACCCATTGGAGTGTGTATTCAGGAGACTCATCTTACATGCAAAGACATATATAGACTCAAAATAAAGGGAATGAGGAATATTTACCAAGCAAATGGAACTCAAAAAAAAAAGCAGGAGTTGCAATCCTAGTCTCTGATAATACAGATTTTAAACCAGCAAAGATAAAAAAAGACAAAGAAGGGCATTACATAATGGTAAAGGGATCGATGCAACAAGAAGAGCTAACTATCCTAAATATATATGCACCCAATACAGGAGCACCCAGATTCATAAAGCAAGTTCTTAGAGACCTACAAAGAGACTTAGACTCCCACACAATAATAATGGGAGACTTTAATAGCCCACTGTCAATATTAGATCAACAAGACAGAAAATTAACAAGGATATTCAGGACTTGAACTCAGCTCTGGACCAGGCAGACCTAATAGATATCTACAGAACTCTCCACCCCAAATCAACAGCATATACATTCTACTCAGCACCACACAGCACTTACTCTAAAGTTGACCACATAAGTGGAAGTAAAACACTCCTCCTCAACAAATGGAAAAGAACAGAAGTCATAACAAACAGCCTCTCAGGACACAGTACAATCAAATTAGAACTCAGGATTAAGAAACTCACTCAAAACCACACATCTACATGGAAACTGAACAACCTGCTCCTGAATGACTAATGGGTACATAATGAAATTAAGGCAGAAATAACGAAGTTCTTTAAAACCAATGAGAAGAAAGATACAACTGGCTGGGCACAGTGGCTCACACCTGTAATCCCAGCACTTTGGGAGGCCAAGGCAGATCACGAGGTCAGGAGATTGAGACCATCCTGGCTAACACTGTGAAAGCCTGTCTCTACTAAAAATACAAAAAATTAGCCGGGTGTGGTGGCGGGTGCCTGTAGTCCCAGCTACTGGGAGACTGAGGCAGGAGAATGGCATGAACCCGGGAGGCAGAGCTTGCAGTGAGCCGAGATCACTGCCACTGCACTCCAGCCTGGGCAACAGAGTGAGACTCTATTCTCAAAAAAGAAAGAAAGAAAGAAAAAGAGAGAGACGAAAGAAAGAGAGAAAGAAAGAGAGAGAGAAAAAGAAATAACATACCAGAATCTCTGGGACACAGCTAACGCAGTGTTTAGGGGGAAATTTATAGCACTAAATGCCCACATCAGAAAGCAAGAAAGATCTAAAATCGACACCCTAACATCACAATTAAAATAACTAGAGAAGCAAGAGAAAGCAAATTCAAAAGC
Source organism: Homo sapiens (assembly GCF_000001405.40). Classification (NCBI taxonomy): domain Eukaryota; kingdom Metazoa; phylum Chordata; class Mammalia; order Primates; family Hominidae; genus Homo; species Homo sapiens. The sequence continues at coordinate 34,700,073 of NC_000019.10, forward strand.
TAGCAGAAGACAAAAAATAAGTAATATACTACCAGAACTGAAGGAACTAGAGACATGAAAAACCCTTCAAAAAATCAATGAATCCAGGAGCTGGGTTTTTTTTTTTTTAAGTTTTTATCATGTTTATTTAACTACAGGTATAGGATGAAGATGCACTTCAAATATCATGGGAAATTAAATATTCTGTGTTGGTCTACTCTTTTAAATTTCAGTGTACCTCTTCTTAACTAAAGAGAAATGTCTTAAACCTCTTTACACTTTACATCCATTTTATGCATTTAGATTCTTCTCCAGTATTTCATTTATTCATTTTTTTTTATTATTATACTTTAAGTTTTAGGGTACATGTGCACAACGTGCAGGTTTGTTACATATGTATACATGTGCCATATTGTTGTGCTGCACCCATTAACTCGTCATTTAGCATTAGGTGTATCTCCTAATGCTATCCCTCCCCTCTCCCCCACCCCACAACAGTCCCCAGTATGTGATATTCCCCTTCCTGTGTCCATGTGTTCTCATTGTTCAATTCCCACCTATGAGTGAGAACATGCGGTGTTTGGTTTTTTGTCCTTGTGATAGTTTGCTGAGAATGATGGTTTCCAGCTTCATCCATGTCCCTACAAAGGACATGAACTCATCATTTTTTATGGCTGCATAGTATTCCATGGTGTATATGTGCCACATTTTCTTAATCCAGTCTATCATTGTTGGACATTTGGGTTGGTTCCAAGTCTTTGCTATTGTGAATAGTGCCGCAATAAACATACGTGTGCATGTGTCCTTATAGCAGCATGATTTATAGTCCTTTGGGTATATACCCAGTAATGGGATGGCTGGGTCAAATGGTATTTCTAGTTCTAGATCCCTGAGGAATCTCCACACCGACTTCCACAATAGTTGAACTAGTTTACAGTCCCACCAACAGTGTAAAAGTGTTCCTATTTCTCCACATCCTCTCCAGTACCTGTTGTTTCCTGACTTTTTAATGATGGCCATTCTAACTGGTGTGAGATGGTATCTCATTGTGGTTTTGATTTGCATTTCTCTGATGGCCAGTGATGATGAACATTTTTTCATGTGTCTTTTGGCTGCATAAATGTCTTCTTTTGAGAAGTGTCTGTTCATATCCTTTGCCCACTTTTTGATGGGGTTGTTTGTTTCTTGTAAATTTGTTTGAGTTCATTGTAGATTCTGGATATTAGCCCTTTGTCAGATGAGTAGGTTGCAAAAATTTTCTCCCATTTTGTAGGTTGCCTGTTCACTCTGATGGTAGTTTCTTTTGCTGTGCAGAAGCTCTTTAGTTTAATTAGATCCCATTTGTCAATTTTGGCTTTTGTTGCCATTGCTTTTGGTGTTTTAGACATGAAGTCCTTGCCCATGCCTATGTCCTGAATGGTAATGCCTAGGTTTTCTTCTAGGGTTTTTATGGCTTTAGGTCTAACATGTAAGTCTTTAATCCATCTTGAATTACTTTTTGTATAAGGTGTAACGAAGGGATCCAGTTTCAGCTTTCTACATATGGCTAGCCAGTTTTCCCAGCACAATTTATTAAATAGGGAATCCTTTCTCTGCTGCTTCTTTTTGTCAGGTTTGTCAAAGATCAGATAGTTGTAGATATGCAGCATTATTTCTGAAGGCTCTGTTCTGTTCCATTGGTCTATATATCTGTTTTGGTACCAGCACCATGCTGTTTTGGTTACTGTAGCCTTGTAGTTTAGTTTGAAGTCAGGTAGCGTGATGCCTCCAGCTTTGTTCTTTTGGCTTAGGATTGACTTGGCAATGCGGGCTCTTTTTTGGTTCCATATGAACTTTAAAGTAGTTTTTTCCAATTCTGTGAAGAAAGTCATTGGTAGCTTGATGGGGATGGCATTGAATCTATAAATTACCTTGGGCAGTATGGCCATTTTCACGATATTGATTCTTCCTACCCATGAGCATGGAATGTTGTTCCATTTGTTTGTATCCTCTTTTATTTCGTTGAGCAGTGTTTTGTAGTTCTCCTTGAAGAGGCCCTTCACGTCCCTTGTAAGTTGGATTCCTAGGTATTTTATTCTCTTTGAAGCAATTGTGAATGGGAGTTCACTCATGATTTGGCTCTCTGTTTTTCTGTTATTGGTGTATAGGAATGCTTGTGATTTTTGCACACTGATTTTGTATCCTGAGACTTTGCTGAAGTTGCTTATCAGCTTAAGGAGATTTTGGGCTGAGACGATGGGGTTTTCTACATATACAATCATGTCATCTGCAAACAGGGACAATTTGACTTCCTCTGTTCCTAATTGAATACCCTTTATTCCCTTCTCCTGCCTGATTGCCCTGGCTAGAACTTCCAACACTATGTTGAATAGGAGTGGTGAGAGAGGACATCCCTGTCTTGTGCCAGTTTTCAAAGGGAATGCTTCCAGTTTTTGTCCATTCAGTAGGATATTGGCTGTGGGTTTGTCATAGATATCTCTTATTATTTTGAGATACGTCCCATCAATACCTAATTTATTGAGAGTTTTTTTAGCATGAAGAGTTGTTGAATTTTGTGAAAGGCCTTTTCTGCATCTATTGAGATAATCATGTGTTTTTTGTCTTTTGTTCTGTTTATGTGCTGGATTACGTTTATTGATTTTCGTATGTCGAACCAGCCTTGCATCTGAGGGATGAAGCCCACTTGATCGTGGTGGATAAGCTTTTTGATGTGCTGCTGGATTTGCTTTGCCAGTATTTTATTGAGGATTTTTGCATCAATGTTCATCAAGGATATTGGTCTAAAATTCTCTTTTTTGGTTGTGTCTCTGCACGACTTTGGTATCAGGATGATGCTGGCCTCATAAAATGAGTCAGGGAGGATTCCCTCTTTTTCTATTGATTGGAATAGTTTCCGAAGGAAGGGTACCAGTTCCTCCTTTTACCTCTGGTAGAATTCGGCTGTGAATCCATCTGGTCCCGGACTCTTTTTGGTTGGTAAGCTATTGATTATTTCCACAATTTCAGAGCCTGTTATTGGTCTATTTAGAGATTCAACTTCTTCCTGGTTTAGTCTTGGGAGGGTGTATGTGTTGAGGAATTTATCCATTTCTTCTAGATTTTCTAGTTTATTTGCATAGAGGTGTTTGTAGTATTCTCTGATGGTAGTTTGTATTTCTGTGGGATCGGTGGTGATATCCCCTTTATCATTTTTTATTGTGTCTATTTGATTCTTCTCTCTTTTTTTCTTTATTAGTCTTCCTAGCAGTCTATCAATTTTGTTGATCATTTCAAAAAACCAGCTCCTGGATTCATTAATTTTTTGAAGGGTTTTTTGTGTCTCTATTTCCTTCAGTTCTGCTCTGATTTTAGTTATTTCTTGCCTTCTGCTAGCTTTTGAATGTGTTTGCTCTTGCTTTTCTAGTTCTTTTAACTGTGATGTTAGCGTGTAAATTTTGGATCTTTCCTGCTTTCTCTTGTGGGCATTTAGTGCTATAAATTTCCCTCTACACACTGCTTTGAATGTGTCCCAGAGATTCTGGTATGTTGTGTCTTTGTTCTCGTTGGTTTCAAAGAACATCTTTATTTCTGCCTTTATTTTGTTATGTACCCAGTAGTCATTCAGGAGCAGGTTGTTTAGTTTCCATGTAGTTGAGAGGTTTTGAGTGAGTTTCTTAATCCTGAGTTCTAGTTTGATTGCACTGTGGTCTGAGAGACAGTATGTTATAATTTCGGTTCTTTTAAATTTGCTGAGGAGTGCTTTACTTCCAACTATGTGGTCAATTTTGGAATAGGTGTGGTGTGGTGCTGAAAAAAACGTATATTCTGTTGATTTGGGGTGGAGAGTTCTGTAGATGTCTATTAGGTCCGCTTGGTGCAGAGCTGAGTTCAATTCCTGGATATCCTTGTTAACTTTCTGTCTCATTGATCTGTCTAATGTTGACAGTAGGGTGTGAAAGTCTCCCATTGTTATTGTGTGGGAGTCTAAGTCTCTTTGTAGGTCACTAAGGACTTGCTTTATGAATCTGGGTGCTCCTGTATTGAGTGCATATATATTTAGGATAGTTAGTTCTTCTTGTTGAGTTGATCCCTTTACCATATGTAATGGCCTTCTTTGTCTCTTTTGATCTTTGTTGGTTTAAAATCTGTTTTATCTGAGACTAGGATTGCAACCCCTGCCTTTTTTTGTTTTCCATTTGCTTGGTAGATCTTCCTCCATCTCTTTATTTTGAGCCTATGTGTGTCTCTGCATGTGAGATGGGTTTCCTGAATACAGCACACTGATGGATCTTGACTCTTTATCCAATTTGCCAGTCTGTGCCTTTTAATTGGAGCATTTAGCCCATTTACATTTAAGGTTAGTATTGTTATGTGTGAATTTGATCCTGTCATTATGATGTTAGCTGGTTATTTTGCTCGTTAGTTGATGCAGTTTCTTCCTAGCCTTGATGGTCTTTACAATTTGGCATGTTTTTGCAGTGGCTGGTACAAGTTGTCCCTTTCCATGTTTAGTGCTTCCTTCAGGAGCTCTTGTAGGGCAGGCCTGGTGGTGACAAAATCTCTCAGCATTTGCTTGTCTGTAAAGTATTTTATTTCTCCTTCACTTATGAAGCTTAGTTTGGCTGGATATGAAATTCTGGGTTGAAAATTCTTTTCTTTAAGAATGTTGAATATTGGCCCCCACTCTCTTCTGGCTTGTAGAGTTTCTGCCGAGAGATCTGCTGTTAGTCTGATGGGCTTCCCTTTGTGGGTAACCCGACCTTTCTCTCTGGCTGCCTTTAATATTTTTTCCATCATTTCGACTTTGGTGAATCTGACAATTATGTGTCTTGGAGTTGCTCTTCTGGAGGAGTATCTTTGTGGCGTTCTCTGTATTTCCTGAATCTGAATGTTGGCCTGCCTTGCTAGATTGGGGAAGTTCTCCTGGATAATATCCCGCAGAGTGTTTTCCAACTTGGTTCCATTCTCCTCATCACTTTCAGGTACACCAGTTAGACATAGATTTGGTCTTTTCACATAGTCCCATATTTCTTGGAGGATTTGTTCGTTTCTTTTTACTCTTTTTTCTCTAAACTTCTTTTCATGCTTCATTTCATTCATTTCATTTTCCATCACTGATACCCTTTCTTCCAGTTGATCACATCAGTTACTGAGGCTTATGCATTCATCACGTAGTTCTCGTGCTGTGGTTTTCAGCTCCATCAGGTCCTTTAAGCACTTCTCTGCATTGATTATTCTAGTTATCCATTCGTCTAATTTGTTTTCAAAGTTTTTAACTTCTTTGCCTTTGGTTTGAACTTCCTCCTTTAGCTCAGAGTAGTTTGATCTTCTGAAGCCTTCCTCTCTCAACTCATCAAAGTCATTCTCCGTCCAGCTTTGTTCTGTTGCTGGTGTGGAGCTGCATTCCTTTGGAGGAGGAGAGGTGCTCTGATTTTTAGAGTTTCCAGTTTTTCTGCTCTGTTTTTTCCCCATCTTTGTGGTCTTTGATGATGGTGACGTACAGATGGGTTTTTGGTGTGGATGTCCTTTCTCTTTGTTAGTTTTCCTTCTAACAGCCAGGACCCTCAGCTGCAGGTCATTGGAGTTTACTGGAGGTCCACTCCAGACCCTGTTTGCCTGGGTGTCAGCAGTGGTGGCTGCAGAACAGTGGATATTGGTGAACCGCAAATGCTGCTGCCTGATCGTTCCTCTGGAAGTTTTGTCTCAGAGGAGTACCTGGCCGTGTGAGGTGTCAGTCCACCCCTACTGGGGGGTGCCTCCCAGTTAGGCTACTCAGGGGTCAGGGACCCACTTGAGGAGGCAGTCTGCCCATTCTCAGATCTCAAGCTGCATGCTGGGAGAACCACTACTCTCTTCAAAGCTCTCAGATGGGGACATTTAAGTCTGCAGAGTTTATTGCTGTCTTTTGTTTGTCTGTGCCCTGCCCCCAGAGGTGGAGCCTACAGAGGCAGGCAGGCCTCCTTGAGCTGTGGGCTCCACCCAGTTCGAAGTTCCCACCCACTTTGTTTACCTACTCAAGCCTGAGCAATGGTGGACGCCCCTCCCCCAGCCTCGCTGCTGCCTTGCAGTTTGATCTCAGACTGCTGTGCTAGCAATGAGCGAGGCTCCATGGGCGTAGGACCCTCTGAGCCAGATGCAGGATATAATCTCCTGGTGTGCCGTTTGTGAAGCCCATTGGAAAAGTGCAGTATTAGGGTGGGAGTGACCCGATTTTCCAGATGCTGTGTGTCACCCCTTTCTTTGACTGGGAAAGGGAATTCCCTGATCCCTTGCACTTCCCGGGTGCGGTGATGCCTTGCCCTGCTTTGGCTCACGCACAGTGCATCACACCCACTGTCTGGCACTCCCCTGTGAGATGAACCTGGTACCTCAGTGGGAAATGCAGAAATCACCCATCTTCTGCATCACTCACGCTGGGAGCTGTAGACTGGGGCTGTTGCTATTTGGCCATCTTGGCTCCACCCATGGAGCTGGGTTTTTTTTAAAAGATTAACAAAATAGATAGACCACTAGCCAGACTAATAAAGAAGAAAAGAGAGAAGAATCAAATAGACACAATAAAAAATGATAAAGGGGACATCACCACTGATCCCACAGAAATACAAACTACCATCAGAGAATACTATAAACACTTCTATGCAAATAAACTAGAAACTCTAGAAAAAATGGATAAATTTTTGGATGCATACACCCTCCCAAGACTAAACCAGGAAGAATTTGAATCCCTGAATAGACCAATAATAAATTCTGAAATTGAGGCAGTAATTAACAGCCTACCGACAGCAACAAAAAAAGCCCAGGACTAGATGGATTCACAGCCAAACTCTACCAGAGATACAAAGAGGAGCTGGTACCATTCCTTCTGAAACTATTCCAAACAATAGAAAAAGAGGGACTTCTCCCTAACTCATTTTATGAGGCCAGCATCATCCTGATTCCAAAATCTGGCAGAGACACACCAGAAAAGAAAATTTCAGGCCAGTATCCCTGATGAACATCGATACGAAAATCCTCAATAAAATACTGGCAAACTGAATCCAGCAGCACATCAAAAAGCTTATCCACCATGATCAAGTTGGCTTCATCCCTGGAATGCAAGGCTGGTTCAACATACACAAATCAATAAATGTAATCCATTACATAAACAGAACCAATGACAAAAACCACATGATTATCTCAATAGATGCAGAAAAGGCCTTTGACAAAATTCATGCTAAAAACTCTCAATAAACTAGGTATTGATGGAACATATCTCAAAATGATAAGAGCGATTTATGACAAACCCACAGCCAAGTTGAAGTTGCTTATCAGCTTAAGGAGTTTTGGGGCTAAGATGATAGGCTTTTCTAAATATACAATCATGTCTTCTGCAAATAGAGACAATTTGACTTCCTCTCTTCCCATTTGAATACCACTTATTTCTTTCTCTTGCCTGATTGCTCTGGCCAGAACATCCAATACTATGTTGACTAGGAGTGGTGAGAGAGGGCATCCTTGTCTTGTGCCGGTTTTCAAAGGTAATGCTTCCAGTTTTTGCCCATTCAGTGTGATACTGGCCCCTAAATCTGTCCCTGGAAGCTGCTGACAGATCACCATAGGGGGCAGAATGGGAGAGAGTGGGGCAAGGATAGGAGGGCCATCTGTTTCCTCCTTCCCACTCTCACCTGTCTGGAAGCACAGCTCTCTGATCACCAGCAAGGCCAGCACAAGCAGTGCCCCCTTCATCGTGTTGTCTACTGGAGTGTTCTGCTCAGGGCAGGGCTTCTGCTGCTTTATAAACAAATGCCCGTGGGCTGGGACCTGGCACATGTGCTTTCCTCACCTGAGAAGTGGTGCCCACAGGAAGCCCCTCCCACTCTGTGGAAACAAAGGGCTAAAGATGTTGATCCAGCTGCTGTTGATTCTGCTGCTGGTGGCTTTGGAGAGAAGCAGTTGTACCTTGGCCAAGGAGCAACTGCAGCTGACCTTTCTAAGTGGCACCATTCAGCCCCAAATGCTCTGTTGTCCCACCCCCAACTGTCACCTCTGCTTTCTGGCCACATTCTTCCCCCACCTTTCCTGGCTCCAAAAGTAGCACTCTCCCAAAATTAGGAGATAAAAACCACAGAAGGTCCAAGGACAGGTTTATGCCACTGTAGGTAGCCAAAATACCATGGAGAACCTTCTTTAGGAAAACAGTTTCTTGGCACAAACAAGATGAGATTGTCTATGAAAATTCTAGCAGAAGGAGGCCTGAGAAAGCTCCGAAGGATCAAATGTGGAACAATCTGAGCAATGAAATAAATCACATAGTATGGGATTATAACCCAGAGTATAAAATAGTATAAAATAACATACGGTTGGCCCTTTGTATGCGTGGGTTTCACATCTGTAGGCTCCACATCTGTTCATTCAACTGAGCATAGATTGAAAATACTTGGGGAGTAGGGGAGGGAATTCCACACAATTTCAAAAAGCAAAACTTGAATATATCCCATACCGAGCGCTATCTTGAATCCATGTGAAGGAAGTTGTATGTGGGCATTGCATTAGGAATTATAAGTAATCTAGGAATGACTTAAAAGTGTACTGGAGGATGTGTGCAGGTTACATGCAAATACTATGCCATTCTATATACGGAACTTGTACACCTGTGGATTTTAGTGTCCATGGGAGGTCCTGGAACCAATTCCCCATAAATCCAAAGGGACAACTACATGTGAGTCTATACTGATAAAAATAAATGATTATGTTCTCACTCATAAGTGGGAGCTAAGCTATGATGATGCAAAGGCATAAGAATGATACAGTGGATACTGGAGACTCAGGGGAAAGGGTGGCAGGGAGGTGAGGGATAAAAGACTATACACTGGGTGCAGTGTACAATGCTTGGGTGATGGGTGCACCAAAATCTCAGAAATCACCACTAAGGAACTTATTCATGTAAACAAACACCACATGTTCCCCAAAAACCTATTGAAATAAGAAAAGAAACAAAAAAAACAGGGAAGAAAAAAAATACAAATAAATGATTGAACAAATAAATAAATGAGAAAGAAAAGACAGATATTCCTTACAGAATAATTCCAAATTATATATATATAGATCCTCCCCTCCCTGCTACTGTTTTCCCCATTTCCTACTTTTTTCTTTTTCTTTTTTAGAGACAGGGTCTTCCTCTGTCACCCAGGCTGGAATGCAATTGCGTGATCATAGCTCACTGCAGTCTCAACCTCCCAGGCTCTCAAGCAATCCTCCTGCCTCAGCCTCCCAAGTAGCTGGGACCACAGTCCACCACACTCTGCTAATTTTGTTATTTTTTAAGAGACAGGGTCTCACTATGTTGCCCAGGCTGGCCTTGAACTCCTGGGCCCAAGGGATCCTCCTGCCTCTGCCTCCCAAAGTGCTGGTATTGTACACTTGAGCCACCACACCTGGCCACCCTACTCTTGTCTTCAGAAACATCTAGCCACCATCAAGCTTACTGCCCTCCCACCTTGAGTATGTGCTGGATGTTTCCCAAGAAAATAGTAGGGAAAGGGAAAAACAGTAGAGAAAGCCAACACAGATGACACTAATCAAGTGATAAGTGATAACCAGTGCCTAGACATTGATGTCACAGGGTCCTGCACTTCCAGGGTGTGTTCCCTAAAATCCTAATCCCAATGTAAATATTATGAGAAAAAATGCCAAACTCAGCTTGGTGGGCATTTGACGATGTCCACCACCTCAACACTACCAAGGCCATAAAAAAGCAAGGCAGGACTAAGACAGTGTCACACACCAGAAGACATGATGAACAGCTGACAGCTGGAGCTCATTGCTTGGCACCTCTCAACCAAGAGCCCTTACCAGACATGAATCCTGTTTTGTACAAGGTTCTAATCAAGGCCAAAAACCTTGCATTCTACCTTTGACTCTGCAGCTTCAGCAAACCTTATTCTGTCACTACTGACTCAGAGAAAAGGTCAGCCAAGAACCTCTAGCCAAAAACTGCCTTATTCTGAACTGACAAAGTACTGAAAACTTTCACTTTATTTAACTAATACAAAGCAATTTAATAAGCAAATATACAGTAAGTATCTGTAAAAGTTCTTGTTCATAGACTCCAGAGGCCAGGCACAGTGACTCATGCCTGATGAGTGTCTCTCCCAGCACTTTGGGAGGCTGAGGTGGGAGGATCGCTTGAGTCCAGAAGTTTGAGATGAGCCTGGGCAAGATGGGGAAACCCCATCTCTACAAAAACTAAAAATAAAAAAGTTAGCCAGGCTTGGTTGTGCACACCTGTGGTCCCTGCGACTTGGGAGGCTAAGATGGATGGCTTGAGCCTGAGAGGTTGAGGCTGCAGTGAGCTCTGATTGCACCACTGCAATCCAGCCTGAGCAACAGGAGACTCTGTCTTAAAAAAATAAGAAACCAAAATAAGTTTTAAAAATATGTAGTTTATAGACTCCAGAGCAATGGGGATGTCCCTTCAATTCATCTAACAGACATTTATAGAGCATCTACTTTGTGTTGGTCCTGGTCTGAGCCCTGAGGATGTAGCAGCACATTGGAGCTCCTCATACATCTATGGGTAGGGGGAGATAATCAGCAAATGGAAAGACACAGGCCTTTTCCTGCCCCACTGTGAGACCTGGCACAGGTATAAAAGGGCCTCAAATGGGGCCTGACGAACTTGCCACTGGCACCATGAAGCTGGCTCCTACTTTCGGGCTGCTCTTCACTGCCGTGCTCCTGATCTCCAGGGCAAGTAGGTGCCAGGCTGTGAATGCCTGGGGATGTGGATGCTGGGGCTTTGATGGCATCCAAGGGCAGTTTTGAGCATACATGGAGGGAAAGGGATGTGTAGGCTCTGATGAGTGTCTCTCAAGGGTCTGTCCACGTGTCATTGTGTTCCAGATTGTGACATCTGCCCAGTTGTGACAAAGGATGTTGATCTCTTCCTGGTGGGAACCCCTGATGAATATGTTGATCATGTGGCACAATACTGAACATCCTCATTAATATTGTCCAATGCTAGAAAGCTGAAGAACTGTTTCAATGGCAAATTGGCAGACGAGGACAAGAGGCATGTGCTCAGTGGGCTGGTGAGTGCAGCTGTGTGTGCCTGCACCTTAGTCTGGGTGGAGGGTCTGCTGGTTCTAGGGCAGTGGGTGGGAGTGCTTATTCTCCTCCCACCAACTTACCATTATGATATGTAATTGAGACTACTGGAAATAGATTTACATGTGAGGTGTGTAGCAACAGTAAAATGTATTTTAATAAAAGGTTATAAGAGGCATAAAAATATAAATTCTTGCCTAGGGTTAAAGAATTGTTTTAAATTAGAAAATATGAAGTTAAAAGTTCAAACAAGTGGTAGAAAGTGTAAAAATAAATCTTGCAAAAATTCTATGTATGAATATATTGACTAAATTCAAAAGGGTATTATATGGTTTTTCTCTAAATTCAGCATTAAAATAAGAGCATGACAAGGTACTCTCCCACCAAGGCCTTTCCCTGGGAATCTGGGAGGAAAAGGAACCTCGTGAATGAGGAGGTAGAGAGGAGGGAGCAGACACCAATGACGCAGGGAAGGGCCAGGAAGGGGGATTCAGCTAGCCCTTGAGCTTGTGGGCTGGCTCTGGCTGTTCAGCTCTGTAGGCTAGCCTGGGAACCTCCAGGACCTCCTGTGTCCATGGCACCACTCAACCTCAATTTTAGACCCTTGGCTCTGACCTCCTGGCCTACAGCCTCTCGAGCACATGAGACTCTCCAAACCATGAGCCCTGGGTCTTTCTAATACAGGATTTATTAAGAAATTATTTTTAGGCAGCTAGAAAGGGTAAAAGTTCTCGGTGGAATTTTCCTTTAATAAAAAGCAGCCCCAAACCATTTCTTCTCCGACAGAAAGCAGCCTGATATATATGAAAACTAGGAGCTTTCATATGTAAATGCCAGCAGCGGTACCTGGAAGCCAGGTACATTGAATATGGTGGTTCCTGCTCTCCTTTTCCTTGTCACCGTGTGTGTAGGAATCATGGTGACCCACCAGGTAGAACCACATTTGCATAATAAAAGAGTAGGGTGGGAAGGCCAGTCTTTTTGCAGGCTATGCAAATGGAACGTCTAGTCAAACCAATCCCCTGGGCCCTATGTAAATCAATCACCACCTCCCTAAGCCTCTGCACAAAATCGATTGCATCCTGCTGCAAACTGGAGACCCTCTCTTGGGCGACCTGCTTTCTCAGCATGAGGAAGCCTTTTCTCTCTCTTCTTCTTCTTTGTCTATTAAACTTTCTGCTCCTAAACCCACTCCTCATGTGTATTCGCGTCCTGAATTTTTTTCGACTGAGACAAAGAAACAGGGTATATACCCCAGTCAACCAAGCTGTTTCATCTGGCGGTTCTCATCCAGGATCAGGATCAGAATGGAAGATAGAAACATCGGACTGGTGAGTATGGAGTGAGCCTCAAATCTGCCCTTTAATCTCAAGGCTGTCTTCAAACCAGTTTTTTTTTTTTTTTCCACAGAGTTCCTAGCCATCACATGAGGCTGGGAGAAGTCCTAGGGCAACTGAGAATTTCTGTCCAGGGCACACCCTGGCATTATTCAAAGGCTTCGGGACTGAACCCAGCCTCCAACAGCCCATCCAAGTGTTGATCATGGATCTCCAGCTATCCTGTCACAAAATTTTCCTTTCTTTTCTATCTGCTGTCACTATGTCTCCTATCCTCTGTGTGTGCAGTGTGCAGGAAATTTTACAGTTCAGGGAAACAGTTCTGTTAGGAAAGATCAGCAAACACCACGTGCAGCAACTCAACAAGCATCTCTATCCTGCCTCTGGCGAGCACATGTTATTTCTAAGCCAACAGCGCCACCTAGTGGAAATATAAATCCTCTTCATGTGGCAAATCGCCGGTGTTTTACAGTAATACTGCAGCTTCTCAATTCTTTCTTTTTGCACCGCTAGAAATCAGCCTCTAAGGTCTTTCTGTGAATGGGAAAGCTCCAACTTCAACAATTAGGAGGAAAATGTCCTTCACAGCCAAATGTTAGCGCCCATACTGTGCCAACAGCAGGAAAAATCACCATTAGGTCCCTACGTTCATTTCTGTCTCCAATGAGAGCAGTACTTAATTAGTAAAGTGATTTTAAGTACAGAGGTTAAACAGAACCATTTTGCTATGGGTAAATATTTTAGCACAGGCCATAATAGCAGGTAATTTAGCACACTGACTCTGTTAAAGAAGGCTTGCCCAAAGGGGACACAGTCTCTCCAGAGATCCATTTCTTCAGGAAGCCAGGCAGATCACACAGATCGATAAGCTAAGGCAGTGTGGGTAAAGCATGGTTAATCCCATAACTTAGTTCATAAGGTTCCATGACTTGGAGGACCACGCCTACAACAATGGGCAGCACAGTTAACACAATGCTGGGACACAGGAACCAAGGAGAGAAAACTGTTGGGGGGATGCTCCCACTGTCTTCCTCTCCACCCTAGGTCACAGTGAAAGGACACCTAGGGAGTAGAAACAGAGGGACAAAAGAACTACAGGGCAAACAAAAATGTTAACAAAATGGCAATAGTAAATGGTAGGAGACTTCCACATGTCACATTTAATAATAGACAGACCATCTAGACAGACAACGTATAACAGACTTAAACAAAATCATAGAACAAATGGATCTACCAGACACACACAGAACTTTCCTCCCAACAGCGGAAGACATTCTCCTCAAGAATACACACTACAGTCTCCAGGATAGAAGACAAGTTAATTCGAAAACAAGTCTTAACAAATTTAAGATCAGAACCATATTCAGTGTCTTTTCTAGCCACGGTGGAATGAAACCAGAAATCAAAACTGGCAAGAAAACAGGGAAGTTTATATATATGTGGAAAAATTCAAAATTTCTTGACACAATTGCTGCACTTCTGATCAAATGGCTCTTGCAGATATTTATAGACTATTTCATCCAACAGCTGCAAAATATTATTTCTTTCCATAAGAACATTTAACAAAGAATGAGTATTTGATAGGAAAACAGGATGACTATAGTTAATAATCATTTAATTGTATATTTTAAAATAACTGAAAAAGTATAATCAGATTATTTGTAACACAAAGAATAAATCCTTCAGGTGACGGATACCCCATTGACTCTTTTTCTTTTTTTTTTTTGACAGAGTCTAGCACTGTTGCCTGGGCTGGAGTGCAATGGTGCAATCTCGGCTCACTGCAACCTCCGCCTCCTGGGTTCAAATGATCTCCTGCCTCAGCCTCCCAAGTAGCTGGGATTAAAAATACAAAAAATAAAAATTTTTGTATTTTTAGTAGAGACGGGGTTTCACTATGTTGGCCAGGCTGGTCTTGAACTCCTAACCTTGTGATCTGCCTGCATTGGCCTCCTGAAGTGCTGGGATTACAAGTGTGAGCCACCACACCCAGCCTCCCGTTGACTCTTATGTGATTATTATACATCGTTTGCCTGCATGAAAATATCACATCAAGTATCATTTCTGACCACAATGAAGTAACACTATAAATCAAATCAATAACAAGATAAATTTTCTAAAATGAACAAATATATAAAAATGAGACAATGAGCAAATAAACAAATTAAGAAGCAAATTAAAAAAATTTTTGAAGCAAGTTAAAATAGAAATGCCACATACCAAAGCCTGTGTGATCCAGCAAACACAATATTAGCAAGAATTTTGATAATAAATATCTTCATCAAAAATGTAGAAAAAGTTCAAATAAAACCTGCACAACATAACAAAATCTATAGGGTACTGAAAAGGCAATAATAACAAGGTAGTTTAGTAGTAACTACCTACATCAAAAAAAAGAGAGAAAGATTTCAAGTAAAACTTAATGCATTTCAAGGAACTAAAAGAGCAAATACAAACCAAACCCAAATTTAGCAGGAGGAAAGATATAATAAAGATCACAGCAGAAATAAATGAAATTGAGACTAAAAAATAGTATAGAAGATTAACAAATGAAGAGTTGGTTTTGTTAAAAGAAAAAAAATCATCAGACCATTAACTAGATTGTGAAAAAAGACCCAAGTAAATAAAACCAGAAATGAAATAGTAGACATCACAACTGATACCACGCAAAAACGAAGTATCATTAGAGATTGCTACCAGTAACTATAAGCTAACAAATTAGAAAACGTACCAGAAATGTGTAAATTATTAGACATATAAAATTTACCAAGATTGAACCAAGAAGAAATAGAACTCCTGAATAGAGCAATTACAAGTAATGAGATTGAACCTGTAATAAAATGTCTCCATCAAAGAAAAAACCCAGGCTCCATTTTCTTCCAGAATTGTACAAAATATTTAAGAACTAATACCAATTCTTCAAAAAGTCCTCCAGAAAATTGAAGGGAATGAAATTCTTCCAAACTCATTCTACAAAACCAGCAATACCCTGATGGCAAAACCAGACAAGGACACACACACATACAGAAAACAACAACAACAACAACAACTATAGGCCAATATCCATCATCCTCAACAAAATTCTAGCAAACCAACCCCAACAGCACAGCAAAATGATCATTCCCCATGATCAAGTGGGAGTTCTCCCAGGAATGCAAGGATGGTTCAAAATACACAAATCAATACATGTGACACATCACATCAACAGAAGGAAGAACAAGAACCATACAATCATGTAAATAGATGCAGAAAAAGCATCTGATAAAATTCAACTGTGCTTCATTATAAAAACTCTTAACAAACTGGGTGTAAAAAGAACGTATGCCAATATAATAAATGAAATATATGGCAAACCCACTGCCAACATCATAGTGAATAAGGAAATATTGAAACGTCATTCTCTAAAATCTGGAACAAGAAAAAAAAGTGGCCACTTTCACCAGTTTTATTCAACATAGTACTGGAAGTCCTAGCCAGAGCAGTTAGGCAACAGAAAGAAATAAAGTGCATCCAGACTGGATAGGAGGATGTCCCAGTCTCTGCTTGCAGATGACATGGTCTTGTATATAGAAAAACCTAAAAGGACCAACAAAAACTCTTAGAACTGATAAAGAAATTCAGTAAAGGCACAGGATACAAAATCAACATATAAAAATCAGTAGCATTCGTACACATCAGCAACAAATTAGTAAAGGAAGAAATTGAGAAGGCAAACTCATGTAAAATAGCTACCAAAATAAGAATAAATTTAACGAAAGAGGTGAAAGACCTCTACCCAAAAAGCTATAAAACGCTGATGAAAGAAAGTGAAGAGGACATCAAAAGTGAAAAGGCATCCCATGTTCATGATTGGAACAATTAATGTTGTGAAAATGAGCATATCACCAAAAGTGATCTGCAGATTCAATGCAATCCCTGTCAAAATATCAATGATATCTTCACAGAGGTAGAAAAAACAATCCTAAAATTGGTAAGAAACCACAAAAGACTCAGAATAACCAAAGCAATCCTCAGAAAAATGAACTAAGTTGGAGGCATAACACTTCTTGAAGTCAAAATAGATTATATAGCTATGGTTAAAACAAAAACAACACAACAACAAACAGTTGGGCATGGTGGCTCATGCCTGTAATCCCAGCTCTTAGGGAGGCAGAGGCGGGAGGATACCTTGAACCCAGGAGTTCGAGACCTGCCTGGGCAACATAGTGAAACCCTGTTTGCCACGAAAAGGAAAACAAAAGAAAAAAAAACAGTATGATACTGTCATAAAAATAGACACATAGTCAATGGAACTAAATAGCACAGAAATAAGTTCACATATTTACCATCAACAGATTTTCAACAAAAGTGCCAAGAACATTTATTGGGGATTGGAGAGTCTTTTCAATAAGTGGTGCTGGGAAAACTGGATATTAATATGCCAAAAATATGAAACCAGACATCCATCTCTAATCATATTTTTCCTTAAATCAACTCAAAATAGCTTAAAGACTTATATGCAAGAGCTGAAACTATAAAACTACTAGAAGAAAATATGCATAAAAATTTTCAGGACATTGGTCTTGGCAAAGATTTTATGGAGAAAACCCAAAAGCACAGACAACAAAAGCAAAAATAGACAAATGGGATTACATTAAACTAAAAAGCTTCAGCACAGCAAAGGAAACAATCAATAGAGAGAAGAGATGACTTGCAGGATGGAAAAAAAAATATTTGCAAACTATTCATCTGACAAGGGATTCATATCCAGAATATATAAGGAACTCAAATAACTCAACATGGAAAAACACACAAATAATCTGATGTACAAATGGCAAATTAGCTGAAGAAATATCTCTCAAAAGATGGCATACAAATGGTCCAGGTATTTTTCCAGTGGTCAGCATCACCAATCATCAGGGAAATGCAAATCAAAACCACAATGAGATTCATCTTACCTCAGTGGGAATGGCTATTATCAAAATTGCAAAAGATAACAGATGCTAGTGAGGAAGCAAGGAAAAGGGAAACCTTGCGTACTGTTGGTGAGGATGTAAATTAGGATAGCCATTATGGAGAATGATATGGAGATTTCTCAAAAAACTAAAAACAGAATTACCACATGGTCGAGCAATACAATTACTGAGTATACATCCAAAAAAAAGAAAGAAAATTAGTATATCAAAGACATATCTGCACTCTTATATTTATTGAAGTACTATTCACAGCCAAGATTTGGAATCAATCTCAGTGTCCATCAACAAGTGAAAGGATGAAGAAAATACAGTATATATATGCAATGAAATACTGTTTAGCCATTAAAAAATCACAAAGTTCTGTTATTTGCATCAACATGGATGAATTTGGAGCCATTGTGTTAAGTGAAATAAGCCAGGCACAGAAAGATAAATGCTGTATGTTCTCATTCATACACGGAAGCTAAAAAAGTTGAACTCATAGAAGGAGAGTGATTACTGATACAAAATGCAACTAACTAGATAGGAGGAATAAGTTCTAGGGTTCTATAGCACTATAGGATGAGTGTAATTAACAATGTATTGTTAAAGTACTGATAATTCTAGTAATGTTGTAGGATACGAAATACACATACAAAAATCAGAGACATTTCTATACACTGATAATGAACTATCCAAAAAGGAAAATAAGAAAACAATTACATTTGCAGTAACAACAAAAAGAATAAAATGCTTCAAAATAAACTTAGCCAAAGAGGTGAAATACTTGCACACTGAAGACTATAAGACATTGGTAAAGAAAATTAAAGAAGACATATATCAGATTCTATGAATCCCAATGGCATTTTTTATAGAAACAGGAAAATAATCTTAAAATGTTTATAGAATCGCAAAGAAGCCCAAAAAGTGAAAACAATCCTGAGTGAGAAGATGAAGCTGGAGGTATCAACCTAAAAAATGAGAGAAAACATTTGTAAACCATATATTTGATAAGGGGTTAATATCCAAACTATATAATTACCTGATACAACTCAACGCAAAAAATAATCCAATTAAAAATGGGCAAAGACCTGTGTAGGCATTTTTCCTAAAAATACATACAAATGGCCAATAGCTGCATGAAAAGATGTTCACCATCACGAATCATCAGGGAAATGCCAATCAAAACCACAAGATGCCATCTCACACACATTAGCACGGCTTCTACCGAAAAGACAAGAAATTATAAGTGTTTGCAAAGATGTAAAGAAATTGAAACCCTTGTGCACTATTGGTAGAAATATAAAATGGTACAGCCTTTATGAAAAACAGAATGGAGCTTTCTCAAAAAATTAAAAATAGGCTGGGTGCATTGGCTCACACCTGTAATCCCAGCATTTTGGGAGGCCGAGGTGGGCAGATCAGCTGAGATCAGGAGTTTGAGACCAGCCTGGCCAACATGGTGAAACTCTGTCTCTACTAAAAATGCAAAAATTAGCCAGGCATGGTGGTGTGTGTCTGTAATCCCAGCTGCTCGGGAGGCTGAGACAGAAGAATCACTTGAACCCGGGAGGCAAAGTTTGCAGTGAGCCAAGATCACACCATTGCACTCCAGCCTGGGCGATAGAACAAGACTCTGTCTCAAAAAAAAAAAAAAAAAAAAATTAAAAATAGAACTACTGTATGATCCAGAAATCCCACTTCTATGTATATATCCAAAAAAAATAAGATCAGTGATTGGCACCCCAAGGTTCATTGTGGCATTATTCACAGTCACCAAGATAGGGAAAGAACCTAAATGTCTGTCAATGGATGAATGGATAAAGAAAATGTGATATATACAAAAGCTATCTATCTATCTGTCTATTATCTATCTATCTATCTATCTATCTATCTATCTATCTATCTATCTATCTATGTATCTATCATCTGTGTTTTACAAAATATACAATGGAATACTATTCAGCCTTTTAAAAAAGAGGGAAATCCTGCTACTTTCAACAACATGGATGAACCTGGAGGACATTAGTGAAATAAGCTAGACGCAGAAAGACAAATCCTGCATGATCTCACTTCTATGTGAAATCTAAAATGATAAAACTCATAGAATCAGAGAGTAGAATTGTAGTTGCCTGGGGCCACAAAGTGGTGGTGGGTGGGATGAGTGAGAAGTTGTCAGTCAAAGGGTACAAAGTTTCAGCTATGCAAGATGCATGAGCTCTGGAGATCTAATGGGCAGCATGGTGACCATGATTAATAATACTGTATTGTATAGAAGAATCCCCTTTATCCTCAGGGGATACATTCTATAACTCTCTGTGAATGCCTGAACCCATGCATAGTACTGAACCTTCTATACAATATACTATGCTTTTTTCCTATGCGTCCATACCTATCATAGAGTTTCGTTTATAAATCCAACTGAGTAAGAAATTAACAGGAACTAATTATAAAATAGAACAATTATACCAATATACTGTAGTAAAATTTACATGAATCTGATCAGTGTCTCTCTCTGAAAATGTCTTATTGTACTGCCTCACCAATGTTTGGACTCTGGTTGACTATGAGTAACTGAAACTGCAGAAAGCAAAACTGTGAAAAAGGGAGGAGCCATCATACTTGAAATTTGCTAAAAATTGTTATCTTAAGTGTCCTCACCAGCAAAAAAAAAAAAAAACAAAAAAAAAAAACCTGTTTTCTACCCCTCAAAAAATTTCTTCTGCTGTTCCTTTGTACTCAAATAATCTCCTCACCCTTAATCATTAGTGGCCACTGGTGTGCTCTTATCCCTATAGCTTTACTTTTTCCAGAATTGCTAATAAGAAAAACCGTGCAATATGTAGCCTTTGAGTCTGGCTGACTTCAATACCTTTTTGTTTTAAAATTCTAAATATAATCAAATCTATGATGAATATATTAATTACCTTGAGTATGGTGGTCACTTCACCCTGTAAATATATATCAAATTATAAAGCCATACATTTTAAATATACACAATTCCTATTTGTCAATTATACCAATAAAGCCAGAGGTAAAAAAGAAATCTTATTATCTAGTTACTATATAAAAATATATTAAATATATTGCCACATAAAAACCTGATTATTTTTTATTTTTTATTTTTTTATCTCTTTTTTTTATTATTATTATACTTTAAGTTTTAGGGTACATGTGCACAACGTGTAGGTTTGTTACATATGTATACATGCGCCATGTTGGTGTGCTGCACCCATTAACTCGTCATTTAGCATTAGGTATATCTCCTAATGCTATCCCTCCCCCCTCCCCCTACCCCACAACAGTCCCCGGTATGTGATGTTCCCCTTCCTGTGTCCATGTGAAGAACCTGATTTTTAAAAAATAAATTGGGTAATCTTATTTCCAGCAATTAAAACATCTGAAAAAATGAGTATTAATAAAGATACTTGATACCTTTAGTATTTTAAGATTATAGGTAGAATTTGTCAATGAGGAAATTATTGAAAGAAGCCAGACTCAAAAAGCTACATAGTACATGATTTCATTGATAAGCAGTTCTGGAAAAAGCAAGGCCATTGGAATGAGGAACAAGCTGGTGGCCACTCAGGATTAAGGGCAAGGAGACCACCTGACTACAAAAGCACAGCACAAGGAGCGTCTGAAGTTAGGAAACATCTCTACTGTTGTAGAAGTGCCTACGACTCCAGACACCCGTACAAAACCTACATAAGACAGAGTTCTCAAAACTCACGGAAATGCACATCAAAAAGAGTGAGTTTGCTGTATGTAAATTTTTTAACATTTGAAACTCAAAAAAAGGTATGAAGTATTCATACTCATAAGACCAATGAACCTGAAAGATTATAAGTTCTGTGAAGGAATCAGATCAAAAACAGTGCATGCTCTATGAGTCCATGTACATGAAGTGCTGGAAAATGCAAGCTAATCTATACTGACAGAAACCAAATCAGTGGTTGCCCAGAGAGAAGGAAGGGGACAAGGAGAGGCAGGAGAGAGGCACTTAAAGAGGCACAAGAAAACTTTCACAAGGGATAAATCTGTTCATATTTTGATTGTGGTGATGATTTTTCTGGTTTTCACAACTGTCAGAAGTTACAAATTGTACATTTTAGATATACATGCTTCTTATATGTCATTTATACTTCATTAAAGCTGTTAAAATAAAAAAATTAAATAAACATATATAAGATTTAAAAATACAATTAGGAAAAACTTAATAGAATAAGGCATGTAATAATGGAGGAATATGCATTTTTAATTGCATGTGGATGATTAATAAAAATGACCACTTATTAGAACATAAAGTAGCTCTCAACAAATTTCAAAGGATTTTAAAATTTCCAGAGGATATAATTTGATCTCAATGCAATTTTCATAGAAATCAATAACAAAAAGTGATTGCAAACTCTTCATATTTATAGAAATTAATGATTCAATTGGCTCACTTTTACTGTCACAAATAACCTGAAAATTCAATAGATTAAAATGACAATCATTGATGATGATGACAATCATTGATCCCTCATGTGCTGTGGGTTGGCTGTGTGATATCCTACCTTGTTTTAACCTGAAATTGACTCTCCCTTAGCTGAGAGAGCCGGACAGACTCCATTTTGGCTCCTTCACTTGCAGCCCCTTACCTAGCCCCCTTTCTTCAAGGACTTAACTTGTGCAAGCTGACTCCCAGCACATCAAAGAATGCAATTACTGATAAGATACTGTGGCAAGCTATATCCGCAGTTCCCAGGAATTCACCCGGTTGATAGTACCCAAAGCCCCCGCGTCTGTGTCCGGTTGATGGTACCCAAAGCCCCTGCGTCTATCACCTCATGATAGATTTAAAGCCCCTGCACCTGGAACTGTTTTTTTTTCCTGTAACCATTTATCCTCTTAACTTTTTTGCCTGTTTTGCTTCTGTAAAATTGCTTCAGCTAGGCTCCCCCTCCCCTTTCCAAACCAAAGTGTAAAAGAAAATCTAGCCCCTTCTTCAGGGCCAAGAGAATTTTGAGCACTAGCTGTCTCTCGGTCGTCAGCAATAAAAGGAGTCCTGAATTAGTCTCAGAGTGTGGCGTTTCTCTACAACTCGCCTGGTTACAACATTTGGAGGCCCCAGTGAGATTTCACCACTGGGTGAGTGCTGGACTCGTTCTGGGCTACCCCCAACAGATGGCGGGCTTATAGGGGAAGCGCAACCTGAAGATGTTCCAGCGCCCTGTAGGCCACTGTCTTCTGGAGGGGAATGGATCGACTGCCAGTGTATGCCCACCAAATTCAACTCCTGAGTCCTCAGTCTCTGGTCCCAGGAAGGTGAGTCAGATCTGACTTTGTTTTTCTGGGAGGGAAACAGCCGTGACGAGGGCCCTCCCTCAGACTCTGTCTACGTTCCAGGATGCTGGAGGACAGAGTCCTGGTTTCTGTCTGTCTTCTCTGTTAAGACTAGTCTGTCTGTCTGTCTGTCTGTCTCTCTCTCTCCCTCTCTCTCCCCCTCTCTCTCCCTCTGTCTCTCTCCCTTCTCTTTCTCTCTCTCTCTCTCTTTTATCTCTTCTCCTTCTCTTGTTCAGGTCTCTAGGAGACCTCTGTTTTAGAACAGGAATAAGAATTGTAATAAACTCTGTATGAGTGAGTGAGTGAATGTGGAGTTCAAGGGCTTGCGCTTGAATTTCCAGTTTGTAGCTCCATGGTGAAAGCTATGGAGTTTGAGTGGGCCCTCACCTGCAGTTCCATGGCGACCTCATAAGGCTTAGGGCAGCATCAGGCATAGCTCGATCCGAGCTGGGGGTTTACACCGGCCTGCCAATGCCAAAAGGAGCCTAAGTCCTCTCCTGGGGAGCGGCCAGGCGGGCATCTGACTGATCCCATCATGGGACCCCCTCCCCTTGTCTGTCTATAAAAATTGCTATACTAATTTATATACCCCAGTGTCTATTTTTCTGTTTGGTCTGTCTAAATTTCGTATGTCAGGTCGCCGATACTGCCCATGGCGATTGGACAAGGACTTCTTCAAAGTCCTCGGTACAGATTTTCTATCCTGGGAGGAAAAATCTCTCATTAGTCATTTTGGCTGCCCATCCCAGTCCTGCCTTTTCTGTCAGAAACAAATCAGGTGTTGTTATGGGGAGGGGTGTGAGAAACATTCGCCCGTTTGGGATTTCTGGCACCATAAAGGTTGCTGGCATTTGGATTGCCATACCCCATGCCCCAATGACTGGACCACCTCCTCCTTAGACCAGTGGTGGATTCAAAATAGCCACCCCGCAGACCTCCTTGCTCACCTTTTCTGTCATCCCATAACTTTTCCTGTGCCCTTGGATAAGGCACTGTGCGGAGAAACCTGTGCCCGTGCTGCTTTACTCCGTCTGCACCCTTATTCTATTCCTCTGTGGCTACTCTCCTACCTTAGGAAAGATCTGAGTGGCCCCTTTCCTCCTCATCCCCATCCCTTACCTCACATATCTTGTTTTTCTGTGTCACAGCCAGTCCAGTGCCTCCAAGAGTTGGCTCTGCTCTCCCTCCTAAAACCCTTAAAAGAAAAGGCCAGGTTTGAACTTTTTGCCTTCGAATCGTGGAGACACCAAAAATATTTGGGCTATAAGTCAAAGAGGAGAGGGGGATCACATAGGTCCCACTGGCCTCGGAGCCACCTCTTGTCCTCCCCCTAGATCTGAAAGATTAAAGAGACAGAACTTATGTGGCAAGAAGTGTTGGCTGTAATTGATTTCCTACTTCTTCTGGTTAGAATACTTTTGTTCTTCCGATATTACAGCCCCCCAGGCCATGAATTTCTCTGTCCATGCTGGGTTTAATATTTCTGCTAAAACCTTGTTAAATTGCCTCCAGAATGGGAAACTCTTCTTCCCGGCCTCATAAAGATTGGAGCCCTCTCTAATGTATGTTACAAAATTTCTCCCTGGGCTTCTCAGAGGATTATGGGGTCCACCTTAAAAAAGGCAAACTCCTGACATTCTGTGAAGTAGAATGGCCACAGTTTGGAACCGGGTGGCCCCCAGAAGGGTCACTGAATCTCACAGCTGTTCAGGCTGTGTGGCGGGTCGTTGCTGGAACTCCCAGTCACCCCGATCAGTTTCCCTACATTGATCAATGGCTGAGCTTGGTCTGGAGCCCTCTCGCTTGGCTCCGCTCATGTGCCATTCATAATCTTACCTCCAAGGTCCTTTTGAGCCAGGCCTCACTGTCATCCCAACCCTTGGCCCCCTCGGCTCCTCCTGTATTGCCTCCTTCTGAAGAAGAGGAAAGTTTTTCTCACGCATTTCTGCTGCCTTATAACCTTCCTGCTCCCTCAGAATCTTCCCTAGTCTCCTCGACTACATCTCCTTTGGGCTCTCCACCTATTGCCTCCTGATTGCGGCTGCGGCAGGAGGAGGTAGCCCCCCTCCTCCTGCTGAGAGAGGCACAAATCCCTCCGGGTGATGAGCGCTCAGCTCCATTCTTGGTTTATGTCCCTTTCTTTACTTCTGACCTGTACAACTGGAAGGCTCATAATCCCCCCTTCTCTGAAAAACCCCAGGTCTTGACCTCATTGATGGAGTCCGTGCTCCAGACCCACCGGCCCACCTGGGATGACTGTTAACGGCTCCTTTTAACTCTTTCACCTCTGGAGAGAGGGAACGTATCCGAAGAGAAGCTAACTGTTACAGTAGCTGCAGTCTCTCCAACAGGTACAAGACAGCATCCAGCTGCTTGTCCAAGGAGCACATCCCAATGCAGTTCCTGACCAGATGGGGCTCTGCCACTCTTTCCAGCTGGGTGACCTGGAGTATGTTAAAAAGTTCCAGAAGGAAGGACTCACTCCTGCCTGGAAAGGACCTCATACTGTCATCCTCACCACGCCAACAGCTCTGAAAGTAGACAGCATTCCGGCTGGATTCATCACTCTCGCATCAAGAAGACCAACAAAGCCCAGCAAGAAACATGGGTCCCCAAGCCTGGGACAAGCCCCTTAAAACTGCGCCTAAGTTGAGTGAAGCCATTAGATTAATTCTTTATCTCTTTTGTTTCCACCTGTCATGCCCTCTGCTCCTTCCTACTCTTTTCTCCTTACTTCTTTCACGACAGGACTGTGTTTGCAAACACCACCTGGAAGGCAGGAACCTCTGAGGAAGTCTTTTTTGCAGTGATTTATGTGCTCTGTTCCCAGAGCCTGCCCATACTCTCGAAGAGCAACACAATCTGCCGATCATAGGAGCAGGGAACGTTGACCTTGCTGCAGGGTTTGGACACTCCGGAAGCCAGACAGGATGTGGGAGCTCCAAAGGTGCAGAAAAAGGACTCCAGAATGTTGACTTTTACCTCTGTCCTCGAAATCACCCTAACTCTAGTTGTTGAGATTCTTACCAGTTTTTCTGCCCTGACTGGACATGTGTAACTTTGGCCACCTACTCTGGGGGATCAACCCGATCTTCAACCCTTTCCATAGCTTGTGCTTCCTGTCCTAAACTGTGGACTAAGAGAAATTGTAATCCCCTTACTATAACTGTTCATAATCCTAATTTAGCTCAATGGAATTATGGCATGTCTTGGGATTAAGGCTTTATATCCCAGGATTTGATGTTGGAACTATGTTCACCATCCAAAAAAAAAAAAATCCTGGTCCCATGGAGCCCTCCTAAGCCAATCGGGCCTTTAACTGATTTAGGTGACCCTGTGTTCCAAAAATACCCAGACAGTGTCAACTTAACTGTCCCGCCGCCTTTCCTGGTTCCTAAACCTCAGCTGCAACAACAACACCTCCAACCCAGCCTGATGTCCATTCTGGGCAGGGTACATCACCTCCTCAATCTCACCCAGCCTAAACTAGCCTGAGATTGTTGGTTGTGCCTAAAGGCCAAACCCCCTTATTATGTTGGATTAGGAGTAGAAGCCATGCTTAATATTGACTCTCTTTCTTGTCATACATGCCCCTGTGCCCTCACACTAGGAGACGTGTCCGGGAATGCTTCTTGTCTAATTAGCACTGGATATAATTTATCTGCTTCTCCCTTTCAGGCTACCTGTTATCAGTCTTTACTTACTTCCTTAAGCACCTCAGTCTCCTACCAGGCACCTAACAATACCTGGTTAGCCTGCACTTCAGGTCTCACTCGCTGCATCAATGGGACTGAACCAGGACCTCTCTTGTGTGTGTTGGTTCATGTGCTCCCCCAGGTCTACGTATACAGTGGGACAGAAGGACAACTTCTCATCACTCCCCCTGAATTGCATACCAGGTTTTGCCGAGCCGCCCTACTCCTTGTACCCCTCCTGGCCGGCCTAAGCACAGCTGGGTTGGTAGCCATCAGCATGGCTGCCTTCATTCAGGGAGAAACTGGACTAATGTCCCTATCTCAACAAGTAGATGCTGATTTAAGCCATCTCCAATCAACCATAGATATACTCCATACCCAAGTAGAGTCTCTAGCTAAAGTAGCTCTTCAAAACCGCTGAGGCTTATATCTGCTATTTGTCTCTCAAGGAGGGTTATGCACAGCTCTGGGAGAGAGTTGTTGCTTCTGTGCCAGTCAGTCTGGGGTCATAAAAGATACTCTCCAAAAAGTTCAAGAGAATCTAGATAGACACCAGCAGGAGCGGGAAAATAACACCCCCCTGGTACCAAAGCATGTTTAACTGGAATCCATGGCTAACTACTCTAATCACTGGGTTAGCTGGACCCCTCCTCCTCCTCCTATTGTTAGGCTTAGTCTTCGAGCCTTGTATATTAAATTGGTTTCTTAACTTTGTAAAGCAATGCACAGCTTCTGTCAAGCTTATGTATCTTAAAGCCCAATATAACCCCCTTGTTAAAACTGAGTAATCAATGATTTGATTCCCCCAAAACACAAGTGGGAAATGTGATATCCTACCTTGTTTTAACCTGAAATTGATTCTCCCTTAGCTGAGAGAGCGGGACAGACTCCATTTTGGCTCCTTCACTTGCAGCCCCTTACCCACCCCCCTTCCTCAAGGACTTAACTTGTGCAAGCTGACTCCCAGCACATCAAAGAATGCAATTACTGATAAGATACTGTGGCAAGCTATATCCACAGTTCCCAGGAATTCACCTGGTTGATAGTACCCAAAGCCCCCGTGTCTGTGTCTGTTGATGGTACCTAAAGCACCTGTGTCTATCACCCTTTGATAGATTTAAAGCCCTTGCATCTGGAACTATTTTTCTTTCCTGTAACCATTTGTCCTTTTAACTTTTTTGCCTGTTTTACTTCTGTAAAATTGCTTCAGCTAGGCTCCCCCTCCCCTTTCTAAACCAAAGTATAAAAGAAAATCTAGCCCCTTCTTTAGGGCTGAGAGAATTTTGAGCACTAGCCATCTCTCGGTCACCAGCAATAAAAGGACTCCTGAATTAGTCTCAGAGTGTGGCGTTTCTCTACAACTCACTCGGTTACAACAGCTGGTGTTTCAGCTGATATAAGCTGGTCTTGGCTAGATAGTGAACACTCAATCTGTGGGCCTGATAGGACTTGACCCCTCCTGTAGGTTGGGCTCAAATCTGATCCACATCTATTCATTCAGGGGCTAACACCTAAGAACCAGCACTTCTAGGGGAAAGGTCTTCTCTTAGTGACCACAGGAATGTGGGAAGGAAAGACTAACTGCATGGTCCTATTGAAGCAATTAACTGCCTATTGTCTGCTAACATCCCATTGTCCAAATCTAGGGACAGCAATGGAGTGAGGGGACTTGGGGGACTGCGCCTGAACTGGGAGGGCAGTGAGTGGAGTATGGACACTGAGTGACTACATGATTAGGATCATGTAGAAGACTGTGTGGCAATTTAGCGGCACAAAGTAAATGTTGTGGAACATTAACTTAATCTACTACCAACTGAAAAACTTATGGGGAGGGAGACATTAAAAAGAAAAATGGAAAAGACACAAATAATGAATAAATTAAAAGGATACCACCTTAAAGATCTTTCAGCCATTAAAATAAGAGTATATTCAGGAGGCTGAGGTGGGAGCATTGCTTGAGCCCAGGAACTTGAGGCTGCAGTGAGTTATCATCACACCTGTGAATAGCTCCTGCACTCCAGCCTGGGCAATATAGTGAGAGTTTATCTGTTAAAAATAAAGTAATAAAACATTTTAAATAGGATACTATGGAAACTTTATGTTTACTTTTAAAATTAGGTGAGACTTTTAAATTCCAAGAAAAACATTCAAATACTGACATGAGAAGATAGAGAAACCCTGAATAGTCCTTATGGGTGAACTGTGAACAGGAGGCCTAGGCTCTCTCCTATATGCAATCCTAGGAAGATGATGTTGCTTTTATTTTCCTCCTGCACTGTTTCCTTAGAATGGACTTAGATCAATGAGAAATGCTGCATTTCAGGCATTGTTTATTGTGAAAGCTTTGCCTGGGGAACTGCACCTGAACTGGGAAGGCAGTGAGTGGCGTATGGACACTGAATGATGACATGATTGGGATCATGTAAGAGACTGTCAGGAAAGCAAGGTTTTCCTAAACTAACATGGACATGGAGGTGTCCTCCAATTTGTAAGATGTTCTGGATCAGACAGTGATACCTGAACATTTCAAGGTGAACCTCATGCACATTAACTTTAATTCCCATATAGCTATGCTACTGAATGGTGGTGTGAAATGCTAGACTGCTGCTGCTGGACATCTCTCACCCCACCAATAACACTGAAAATACTGATCATGCTTTTTCTTTGTCCTTTCATAAATCTAAGTTAATTTAGAGTCAAGTGAATGCCTATTGTGTTGGTGAGTTTTATTGCCCATAAGAATTTGCAACTGTTGCTGGTGGCCATGCAGTCTTCTAATTGTCTATGAAACCAAATTAAAATTTTAAAAGCTTTTGCAAAGAAAATCCCAGGCAGATGACTTTTTCTGGAAAGTTCTAGCAAATACTTAAGGAGGAAACCACTCCAATCTTATACACATTCTTCCAAAGAATAAATAATGATGGTACCTTGTCTGTATCGGTCAGTGTTCCTGCAGGAAAGAAATGGCAAACTCACACTGGACACCTGAGGAGAGTTTAATGAATGGCTCTTGGCTCTGGTGTGAGCAAAGTCAAGGGAAGTCGATAAGAAAACCCCTGGCCGGCTGTGGTGGCTCACGTCTGTAATCCCAGCATTTTTGGAGGCCGAGGAGGGCAGATCACCTGAGGTCAGGAGTTCGAGACCATATTAGTCAGATATGGTGAAATCCTGTCCTAAAAATACAAAAATTAGCCGGGCATGTTGGTGGGCACCTGTAGTCCCAGCTACTCAGGAGGCTGAGACGGGAGAATTGCTTGAACCCGGGAGGCGGAGATTGCAGTGAATCAAGATCATGCCACTGCACTCAAGCCTGGGCGACAGAGGAAGACTCTGTCAAAAAAAAAAAAATCCAAGTCTAGAAAAAGCAAAATACCCAAAGGGAGACAAAGAAAAAGAGCTGTTCCAAGGATGCAGTGAGACCTGCAACTGCAGGAGAGGTCAAGCTCATGGGACCTTTGGCCATCAGTAGAGGGAAACAGCCACTGCCAACCTGCAGCCCTAAGGGAAGTCAGCTGGGAACAAATCACTTCATCTCACTCTCTTCTTCCTTCCCATATGTCCTGCCATATCTCCAATGTGTCAACACCCCCCCAAAAAAGGGCAACGTAGCCCAATGATGCAATCCAGAAAAGGCCATGTTCTGGTATACGGAACAGGTTGCGGAAAGGGTAGACTAGATTTCGCAGAATAAATGGAAATCACCAGTATACTCCTCAGTTCATTTAATGAGGCTGCTATAATCCTGACAGTGAAATCCAACCACTCAGGGACATAGACAAAATTTTCCACACAAGATATTGGCAAAGTCAATGAGATTATATATAAAATAATACTACATGCTGATTAAGGCAGATCTATACCAGAAAAGCAAGCCAGGTTTCATATTAAAAAATCATTTGATATACTTTAAAACATTAACAGAACTAAGAAAAAAAAACATATGCACATTTCATTAAACGTAAATAAGATGTATTATAATATTCGTCATCTTTCCTTGTTTAAAAAATGTTCTCAGGCCGGGTGCGGTGGCTCACACCTGTAATCACAGCACTTTTGGAGGCCAAGGTGGGTGGATCACTGGAGGTCAGGAGTTGGAGATCAGCCTGGCCAACATGGTGAAATCCCGCCTCTACTGAAAATACAAAAATTAGCCAGGCGTGGTGGTGTGTGATGGTAGTCCCAGCTACTCCACAGGCTGAGAAAGGAGACTCACTTGAACCCAGGAGGCACAGGTTGGAGTGAGCTGAGATCGTGCCACTGCACTCCAGCCTAGGAGACAGAGAGAGACTCTGTCTCAAAAAAAAAAAAAAAAGAAATTAAAAAAATAAAATAGAAATAGAATAATATATCCTTAATCTAACAAAGCATCTACCAAAAATTCCTAAATTAAACTTCCTATTTAATGGTGAAATATCAAAAGCTATCCTTTTGAATCCGGATGAAGCGTATCCAGAAAAGAAGGAAAGAATAGGGCAAGGAGGAAGAGACAGGAGAGGACAGCGGGGAAAAGGAGGGAGTGTGAGCTGCACCCGTGTAACCTGCCTGCCCCAGCTCCTCCACAGCCAGGCTGTCCTCCCCACCCACCCCGCCCCTCCACCATGGGTCTCTCTGCTATGGGACCACTCCCCGCTCAGCAGGCTCTCGAGCTCCAGCCCCTCTCCAGGAAATCTCATCTCCCAAAACTCTGCCCAGAACTCTAAAGTGAAGCCAGAGTTGAGGGAGCTCCTCCTCCAGTGTCAACCTGGCTCCCACCTCCCAGTGTGGGAGAAAAGCAAAGCGGGTGAGCTGGGAGGAGTGCAGGCTTTGGGGACAGGCCATTCTCCAGGTGTCAGCCTGGCCGCAGGGCCAATGGTGCCTGGCAGAGAACCACAGGGCTCAGTAAGCAGAGGCCACGCAAGCCCTAAGGTCAGATTTGAGTAGGAGCCAGTGTGGCCAGGTGGGCAGGGGCCCTGGTTGAGGTGACCAGAAATCCCATCAGCACCACTGGGTCTCTTAGAAGATACTCAAGTTCCCAAAACAACTGGGGGTTAGAGGCAGGGGATTAGTCAGACCTCACCTTGGACAGCAGCCCCAGCCCTGTCTCAGCCCCAGGGACACCAGGGCATGGGGCTGTCACAAGGAAGCTGGCTGAAGGCCAGGTGCCTGTGCCTTGACTGAGGGACACGGCTCAGGTCAGTTTGCTCCATGACTCCTGGGACCCTACAGACCCCACTCCGTGTTCTCCTGCAGCCCAGTGCACAGCACGCTGCTCTGCTGTGCCAGGTTGTGTTGTGTTGAGTTGTGCTGTGTCATGTGCTGTGTCACTGTTCCTGCAGACTCCCTGTCCGGGAGCTCTAGGGCCCTGACCTCTAAGAAGCCCCAGCCCCGAGCCAGCCTCAGGCAAGGTCTGCATCCCTGCTGCCTCCGCTTCCCTGGCTCAGCCTTGAAGCTCCCGCTGACCCCTCTGCCACTCACCAACCACCCATCACCCCCTACTTAGAGGCCAGGAAGCAGCAGGGGTCGTTTCCCCCTTCTCTTCACCCTTTCTCTCTTCCCTCCATTCTCCAGGACATACAACTCCAACAGAAACCAGAAATCCTGCAAATGCCCTGACCCACCCACCAACCCCAGGGCACCTCCTGCCCAGGTATTTGGCACAGGGGATGCCCTCACACCGACCCCATCATGTGCCCTCGTGGCCCCGAGGCTGTAGCATGGGATGCCTGTCTGGCCCTGGACCTGCCCTGGGCCCTGCCCTCTGCCACCGCTCACAGGACAAACCCAAACAATTGCTGTCCTCCCTCTGAAATGGTGGTCATGGGGGTGCAGGGAAGGCCTCACGTCCCTCCTGTGCCCAGGCCCCTCACCCCAACACTCTGGCTGGCTGCATCTGCTGCCCAGAGCCCTTGGTCACCAGGCGTGCAGCCTGGACCACGCTGATGGCAAGGGAGGCCCTTCCTAAGCCTAGAGGTGGTCTAAACCTTCATGGAACTGCTGGTCACAGTGCCAGCCAGAGTCCCAGGTGACGCTGAGATAGCTCAAAGTGGTGCATGGGAGATGTCTGATATCAACCCTCTCCTGGAGGTAGATGATGTCTCCAGCCTGGTGACTTCCCTGGCCTCCAGCCACCACCACCCCCAGTGTCCCCAAGGCTGAAGGTGCAAGCTTGCCCTGGCCCTGGTCCTGGCATAGAAAGTGCACGATCTGGTCATGTCATGCAGGTGAGGATACTTGTGTGCCAGGTAACCTCAGGCAGGCATGGTGGCGCTTGTGGGGCAATCCTGTAACCTGCAGTGTGGTGGGTGGGATGGGTGTGTGTGACACAGGCAGGAACTACTCCTGATGGCAGCTGACGACCCACATGTGTACTGGGTGGGTGCCAATGGGAGTAGCAGGTGAGTGGCTGAGCACAGGCAGGTGAATGAGTGACAGCTACACAAACCCCACCACTGAGCACGTCCCTCCCAGGGCAAAGCAGATCAGATCACAGGCCCAGCCCTGGGAGGCCCAGAGGAGCCTCAGGTCCTCAGGAAGGCTCCTGGCCCTCTTCGCCCTAGGAGGACCCCCCCCCCGCCCCAAGCCGGCTCCACCTGTAGCTGTGGGCGTGGGAGGGAGACAGAGCGCTCTGGCGGCCAGAGAAGGAAGGAAGATGGAGGGAGGGCGGACTTCTGCTCCCTGACGCTGCTGCTAGGCCCCCTGCGGCCCTCCTGGAGCCCACACCTTTCAGCTGCAGTCTCCCAGCCTTCGTCCCCAGGACGAAGCCCACTAAGCCAGTGCTTTTCCACTGCAGCTGGCTGTTCCGCTTGGGGAGGGTTCCCAGATTGTGCAAAGTGAGGAAGGGTCCCCTGTCCCTGCCCCGCAGGGCCCCCACTCCAGGCCTCCCCCATCTCTCCCTGTCTCTCTCAGAGGTAGAGGCAGCATTAAATTAAAATTTAATTAAAATATTAAAAATAAAGTAAAAAATTCAAATATACAACAGTAGACTGTCTGGCTTGCATACAAAGAAGGCCATTGCCCCTTTGGGTGAGCCGGGCAAGGTCAGGGTCTAAGAAGCGCCTCTGGTGAGAAGCGGTTGTCAGGCTCTGATGGCTGCGGGAGGAGTGACTCCTCCCAGGATGAGGGTCTGTGTCCTCTCAGTGCTCACTCAAGTTCCGTATTTCCAAGTCCTTCCAGGGGGCGTAACGCACGTGAGAACTGCCATTTCTGTCACAGATACGTGGCCGCATGCATTTCCAGGAAATGTCCTTGGTTCGCGAACTACAGCTGGCACAATCCAGCCCAGGGCGTTCTGTGAGCTGTAGTCTCCAGCAAGTGAATTCCAAAAAAACCTCAAAGACCTCAAAGACCATACAGGGTGGACAGCGTAGTAGCAGGGTTTGGGAAGAGAGGAGCTCTTTTGCTAGCAAAGGCGAGAGCTCGCCTGGTACAAGGTCTGCCCACGTCCCGGGAGATAAACATTAGTGTGAGCGCACGCTAGACCCAGAAGAGTTTGCCACGGCCGCACGGTTTTCTGGGAAGTGTAGTTTCTTGGTCCCGGCGCCATTGTCCTTAAAAGTAGAGGGTGGCCCTTGGTTCCGAGGTGTATCTTTCACCTCATCAGTATGACTATATGCCCCAGGACACTTCCCGCATGGTCCTAACTGCCGGGCTCTGGGACGACAGCCCCAGGCGGTTTAGTTTTTTAGGAAACCGAGATCTGTTTGCCCGCGGCGCCCCAGGTCCGCGCGGCCGCAGAGACTCCTGGGAAGTGTGGTCTTCCGGTACCTGCGGTTCGTTGCGCCTGGAATTTTGTCCCCTGCGCGGATGATTCTGGGAAATGTCGATCGGCTGTGGGCGGCGCACTGGGTCCGCCCCGCTGTAGCCTCAGGCCTGACGGCGACTCCCAGGCTCCGGGACGATTCTGGGCAGTGTCGTCCCCAGAGGTCGGCGGCCGTTGCCCGCTCACCAGCGACGCGGGGCGCCTGCGGGGACGGTGAGGCCCTGCTGAGGACTCCGGCCAGTATGAGTCCCGGGGGCGGCGGCGGGGCTCAGGCCCTGGGTCTGCCCCGCGGTGTGACCCCGGCCGGTGCCTTGGTTTTCCTGGCCTTCATGTCCTCCTATGTAAACGCGGGGTGATGACGGCGCCGACCTCTTGGCGCTGTTGTGAGAGTGAAGTGGGCGCGTGGTTAGACGCCAGCCACAGTTGTCTTTGGGTTATGTCGTCATGAAGCCGGCGCTCTACAGTTGTGTAACCTTGAACAAATGGGTTCAGTATCTTGGAATTTCAGTTTTGTCATCGTTTAAAAAATAGATCTGGAAAAATGTGAACGCACACCGTGCATAGTGGTGAAGACTGAACGAGCTGATAAAGTTTTTACCATTGTTTTATGAGGATTTTATTTACAGAGTAATTGATTTTCCTCGCAGGTGGCACCTGGTAAATGGTTAGCCCTTGCGGAGAAACACCCTGTTAGTTCCCAGGGAGAGATTGGCGCCCTGGAGAGTGATTACCAGTGTGCCTTTCCATTATGGTGTGTCACAGGTGCCGCAAGATAAGCCTGATTTTTCATGACTGCTTTTTCCTGCCCTTCTGTGCCCTCAGGACACTGCCCATCTCTAAGATAAGAGCCTGGAAAGAGGACTCTGTTGGCTGTTGGAAATTGCAGAGTAATGCCTCAGGTAGGTCGGTGTGTCCGCAAATCTTCCTGAAACACTTTATCAGGACTGTGTGTTTGCTTTGCTTCTCCTGCCTGTTCCCACCTAACCAAGTCCATTTAAGGGACTGGATCCATGGTTCCTTTCAGTATAGGAAGGACGGAGCCCACAGGAGAGCTCCAAGGTATTATCCTCCTCACCCAGTGTTCCTCTTTTCTACAGTTTTCTGCTAGAAGACTTTCTAGTCTTGCCAACATTTTAAAACTGTAATTCACAATGCAACTTTGGAATGTAAGGTTATTCGGTTTATGGTTGTCAAAACTGTACCATGTGGTCTCAAGTGAAGAGATGCTTGCAGTCATCCTTGATTCTTCCCTTTGACTTATACCTATATTCAGATCCTCTAGTTGGAGCTAAGCTATACACTGTATACAGAATCTGACCATTAGTTACCCCAGCACTACCACCACCACTACCACCCCGGTAGTGATAGCAATAAAGCCACCTGGATTATTGCGGTAGCCTCCTAGCTGGATTCCCTGCATCTGCCCTTAACCCTCATCAGTCTGTTCTCAGTACAGCTGTGACCGTGGTCCTATTGTTACATAAATTCCTGTCATTCCTCAACCTATAATTTTTCAGTGGCTCTAACTGAGTCACTTCTGCAATGACCTATTTGTACAATTAGGCCATTACCTTTCTGATCCCACCTTCCTTCTCTGCCTCCTCATTCCTGTGAGCTCTAGCCACTGTCACTAGTTGCTGTGCCATCGACGTGGAATATTCTTCCCCCACATACGCACAAACTTGCATCCTTATCTTCTTCGTGTGTTTGTTCCGTGGTTACTTTCTCAGAAAAGCTTCCCTGAATGGCTATTTGCAATCGCAGTCACCTTCCCTCGCCTAGCACTTCCACTCCTCCATCACTGCTTTGTTGTTTTCCACAGTGTGTGTCACTCACTAGCTGATGTACTGTATGTTCAGTATATGCACATGCTCATTGTCTGTTCCTGGTGGGAGGAATCTTTTTTCTTTTTTGTTGTCTGTTATAGCTTCAGTACCCAGAGGGTTACCTGGCACCAAATAGATGCTTAGTAAGTAATTGTGGAGTGAATAAGATGAGTAATGACGAACTGGTGGGGCAGAATCATGGCATGGAAGGTGAAGCTTGCATAGGAGGGGATGTGAGTAGCAGATGTACATGTTGGGTGAAGTCTGTTTTCTTGGAGAAGTTAGATAATTAGAATTGAAAAACTGGTGTGGTGGTACATGCCTGTTTTTCCAGCTATTCGGGAGGGTGATGAGTTGAGAAAATTTCTTGAACCCTGTGGTGTGCGGCTGCAGTGAGCTATGATTATGTCACTGCACTCCAGCCTGGCGGCAGAGCAAGAAAAAAGTAACAGCTAAAGTGAACTAATGCCAAAATCATTCATTGGTTCATCTTCTAAACACTTAGGAAGTATCTGTTAGGAAAAGTTGTACATGGATTTTGGTGTACACTGACACACAGGACTTCATGATCTAGTGCAGTATTGTCTAAGAGAACTTTCTGCAGTGGTGGAAGTGCTCTGCATGTGTACTGGTCAGTACAGTAGCCACCAGCCCTGTATGACTATTGAGTACTTGAACTGTGGCTTAAGCAACTGAGAAACTGAATTTTAAACTTTACTTATTTTATTTTTACATTTTAATTAATTTAAATGTATGTAGCCAAATTGCCTAGTGGCTACTGTATTGAGGATTGCAGCACTGGTAGAAAAGTAAGAAAGCATAAGAAATTAAAATAAATGCCAGGACAGATAGGCTATGTTCTTTTGGGGACAGAGATGAGTGAACACCCCAGGCTGCCCAGACAACTGAAGGGGAAGAAGGAAGCATCCCTGGCTCTAACTTGTAATAACCTGTTCATCATAAAGCTATGAGAAATGTTTTTTTGATTTGGGATAAAGGGAATTAACTAACACAGTGGCAACTCCAATTAACAGGTGAATTTAGGATAAATTATGTGTAGCAAATTGAACTGTAAGGTCTTACTTGATTATTTGGAAAATGTATGTATTGGATTGTATCTGCTTGGCTATAAAAAAGAGATTTCTTCCTGTCCTTTTAATCTCATTAGTGGATTGCCTGTGAAGTGCATCACAGTTGATTTAGTGATTATTAAGTAATAAAACTGTGTTCTTTTTTTCTACATTTGTGGAGAGGATTTTCTGCCATTGGCAGGAGATTTGAATTTTAATTATTTTCCCAACACCTGGCAAAAATAAATTCTGCCTTTAAAACCAAAGACGAGTATCACTGGTGAACATGCATGCAAAATATCCAAATAATGTAATACAATGCTGAATTAACTCTCAGAGCTAAAAAATTACCACAGGCAAGCAGTCTGTTTCACAAATCAAAGACAGTAATAATGCTGTATTAAATAGATGTATTTTTTGTACATATTATAATTTGACTAGCCAATAAACTATTATTGAATATTTAAGCTTCCAAAGTTTTACTAAAAAGTAATATTGTGAAATGAGTACTATTGAAAGGAATTTCTAAGCCACATCTGTGAACATTTCCTTATTTTCTTTGAAACGTACCCCTTTATTTTTTTCCCTTTACTTTCAGGTCTTATTTAAGGACTATCTAAGGCAGTGGTGCCCAACCTTTTTGGCACCAGGGATCGGTTTTGTGGAAGACAGTTTTTCCACAGAAGCAGGAGGTGGTGGTTTGGGGGTGAAACTGTTTCACCTCAGATCATCAGGCATTAGTTCAATTCACATAAGGGGCGTGCAACCTTAATCCCTTGCATGCGCACTTCACAGTAGGGATTGCGCTCCTATGAGAGTCTAATGCCATAGCTGATCTGACAGGAGGCAGGGCTCAGGTGATAAAAGTCATTTGCCTGCCACTCATCTCCTGCTCTGTGGCCTGATTTCTAACAGGCCACAGACTGGTACCAGTGGTTATGTACCCCTAACCATCAGGGGATTAGGGACCCCTGATCTATGGCATGAAACCATCCTTCAGTCTTTTCACCCAGGGGTCTCATATTTTAATAATTGTCTATCAGTACAAAGTTTAAGTATACACCATAAATATATTTTTCTTTTTTGTTTATGAATCAGTTATGTGTATATTTTAGTCCATTGGTGCTGC
Source organism: Homo sapiens (assembly GCF_000001405.40). NCBI lineage: Eukaryota > Metazoa > Chordata > Mammalia > Primates > Hominidae > Homo > Homo sapiens. Next base: position 34,738,173 of record NC_000019.10, read on the forward strand.
TATAACAGAATACCACAGACTGAGTAATAGAAATTGACTTCTCATGGTTTTGGAGCCTGGGAAGTCCAAGATCAAGGGGCAGGCATCCAGCAAGGGCCTTCTTGCTGTGTCCTTTTATGGTGGAAGGGCGAAGAGAAGAGAGAGAACCAAAAAGGGGCCCAAACTCATTTTTTAAATAAGGAAGTCACTCCTAATGATGATGACATTAATCCATTCATGAGGGCAGAGCCCTCAAGGCCTAATCATCTCCTAAGGTCTCACCTCTCAAAACTGTTACAGCGGCGATTAAGTTCAATACACGCGTTTTGGGGGTCACAATCAAACCATAACAGTGTATGTCTATTAGTCTTTAATATAAAGGTTTTTTTTTTGTTTTTGTTTTTTTTTTTGAGACAGAGTCTTGTTCTATTACCCAGGCTGGAGTGCAGTGGCGCAACCTCCGCCTCTTGGGTTCAAGCCATTCTCCTGCCTCAGCCTCCCAAGTAGTTGGGATTACAGGTGTGAGCCACCACACCCAGCTGCCCATTTTTTGTGAGCCTTAGTGGATCATCCTGAGTATCCCATTTGAGAGACAATCACTTTACCCTCATTTTTTAATTACTTACCTAGCAGTTAAGCTGTAAAAGATATAACTAAATACTTGACTCTGTGCTGTCAAATGTCAAATGCTGATTTTTAAAAATTCATGTATTTCTGTAACTTTTAGCAAAATTAACTCTACTGAAGCAAAGCTCTCATATTTGTTTCTCACCTTTATTGTATAATAATTCTAAGCACATAACTGTCCCCCTTATTGTATAGTAATTCCAACTACATAACTGTCCTATTATTACTTAACTGAGATCACATTCCCAATCATTGCCACAACTCCTGAATCTTGTTCCATTTCTCCCACAACCAGGCTAATTTTACCCTTTCTTCAGTGACAGAAGAGGCCTGGGCTATGGCTGAGCCTAAATATGTTTGCTATTTCAGGTGACATTTAATGATGTGGCTATAGACTTCACTCATGAAGAGTGGGGATGGCTCAGTTCTGCTCAGAGGGACTTATACAAGGATGTGATGGTCCAGAATTATGAGAACCTGGTCTCTGTAGGTAAGGATATTACCCCTTCCACTCCAGTAGGGGACACCTTTCTTTTGCCACCCTGAATTGCTGGAGACCCTCCTAAGTAAATGGCTGAATTTCTGTAGCATGTTCCCAAGGAAATGTGCAGCTCTGTTGTGCCCTGCCTGAAGCTTATCTTTCCATTTCGATGAATACCCTTCATCCCTTCCTGTGGTCCCTCTTGTGATGGCCTCTCATAATAGAGGACCACGGCTTAAACAATTCTGTATTCTTCCTGTAAGCAGGTCTTTCTGTAACTAAGCCATATGTGATCACGTTATTGGAGGATGGAAAAGAGCCCTGGATGATGGAGAAAAAACTGTCAAAAGGTATGATTCCAGGTGAGTCATGGTGAACGAGACAAAGGAAGATTTTGTTAAAAAGGGTCCCAAACTCTTTATAGTGAGTTTATAGTGAGTGTGGAGGCATTTTAGGTATACTGTTTTCAAAGATCTCAGATAGAAATGAAAAATTGTGGGATATTTAGCTTAGATTTTCAAAACAATTGTTCCTCTATCCCAAATTATTATCTGTATCACTCATGTCATCCAATCAAGGTTAGAGGTTTTTGCCTTCATAATAATTCAATTGTTACTCTATTCATAACAGTAAGGCAAATTATTCTTTCTTAAATCTACTTAAAGAAAAACATACTGATAGTTTTAGGCTAAGAAAAGCTGTCAATTAGATGGGAAATCACTTTTCTAAAGCTGAGCGTTGTAGATGAAATATGAACATATTAGAGGAAAAAATGAACATATATAAATATGTTTCTAGGAATATTTTCTAATGTCCAATAAATGACATGATTCACACAGTTTCTTCATAACTTCAGAAAGCCTAAATCTTTGTCAGCTATAAAGAGCATTTAGATTATTGTGTTTTTACTGCAACTGTTTAATAACATCAATTCTGTATTTTAAGCATGTTAATCTGGCAGCAAATTGAGATTAATTGAATGTTGGAGAAAAAGGCTATGAGACAAAATGCAATCTTTCATACATGCATATAGGCACAAAATGATGGCTTGGAATCCAGAATGCCTTCCACATTTTATTTCTGATAACTTCCTTTTTTTCCATACTATTTCATCCATTACATATATTTTTCCCATTTCCATTATCACACTGTGTTCCCACTTCTGTGAACTCTGTATTCTCTGCTCCATTTGAGCACTGTTCAGAAATCATTGAAATATTTCAGTTGTCAGAACTATGTGTTTTCTGGGGGCTTCATTTCTAATCCAGTTCTCCTAATTCCAATTTAGAAGTTTCTTTTCAAATAGTTAAAAAAAAACAAAACAGTGCTTTGCTTTTTTGATGTATTTCAGATTGGGAATCAAGATGGGAAAACAAGGAATTATCAACAAAGAAGGATAATTATGATGAAGATTCACCCCAAACAGTAATAATAGAAAAAGTTGTAAAACAAAGTTATGAATTTTCAAATTCTAAGAAGAATTTGGAATATATAGAGAAGTTGGAAGGGAAGCATGGAAGTCAGGTAGACCATTTCAGACCAGCAATTCTCACCTCTAGAGAAAGCCCCACTGCAGACAGTGTTTACAAATACAATATATTTAGAAGCACCTTTC